>NC_000007.14:39615242-40240242 GCF_000001405.40 Homo sapiens | reverse complement strand
CAAAGTGCTGGGATTACAAGCATGAGCCACTGTGCCAAGCTGGCCTGATTCTTTTCAATCAGCTTTTATCTTTAGCTGTCAAACCACACTTTATGGAGATCTTTAGAAGCATAATAATGGCCTGAGGCACACTGTTATTTATATATGTTCATAGCACCCTGTACTCTTCTTCGCAGTTCTTTTTATTTGCATGTAATAAATATTTTCTGCTAATGTTTGTTTTCCCTACTTAACAGCTATAGGAAGATAAGGACTGTGCCTGTCCTGTTGCCTGCTTAATCTCCAGCGCCTACCACCATTCCCACCGTACAGTAGGAAACAGATGCGGTAACTACTTACTAGGTTGATGTGTAACTTAATTAAGGAATGAAAGATGTGTCCATGTGAAAGAAATACAGTGTGAGAGTTAAGCTTACTTAATGTAATACATGGAAAGTATATAAAGCAATGTTTGGCACATACCAAGCACTCAATAAATGTTATTTGCTCACCTAGAACAAAAATCACCTGAGTAGGGTAACACAAGAGATAAAAGCTGTTATTGACTGAGAAATTATAAGGTTGAGCATATACTGTGTGATTATCCCTGTTAGACCACAGTGCAATGTACTAAAGGAACTACAGTAATCCCCCAGCTCAACAGTTTTTCATTTAATTCATTTTACCATTTGAATATAGAAATTTTTAAATCCCAGATCTTTTCACATATTCCTAATTGAGTTCAACACCCTTAAATAAAACCATTCACAATAAAGAATGTCTTGGCCACATGAGAGCCTATGGAATTGAGCAATGAGAGAAATGTCCATGCTCTATTCTCTCAATGGATGGAAAGAAAACTGGTGCTCTTGAATATTTTAAGGGAAGGCCAGCAGGGTACAGCAGCTCATGCCTGTAATCCCATCACGTTAGGAGGCCAAGATGTCGTGAGTCCAGGAGTTCAAGACAAGCCTGAGCAACATAATGGGACACCATCTCTACAAAAAATTTAAAAATTAGTCAGGTTTGGTGCCACACACCTGTAGTCCAAGCTATGTTGGAGGCTGAGGTTGGAGAATCTATTGAGCCCAGGAGGCTGCAGTGTGCCACGGAGGCTGCACTCCAGCCTGGAGACCCTGTCTCAAATAAAACAAAACAGGCTAGATGTGGTGGCTCATGCCTGTAATCCTAGCACTGGGATTGGATCACAAAGTAAGGAGTTCAAGACCAGCCTGGTCAAGACGGTGAAACCATGTCTCTACTAAAAATACAAAAATTAGCTGGTCATGGTAGCTGGCACCTGTAATCTCAGCTACTCGGGAGGCTGAGGCAGGAGAATCCTTTGAACTTAGGAGGCAGAGGCTGCAGTGAGCTGAGATCACGCCACTGCACTCTAGCCTGGGCGACAGAGCAAGACTCTGACTTAAAAAAAAAAAAAAAAGCAAAGGCCACACACATTTTTTTCTAAGACTTGTGAAAATGAAACGAAGATGAAAGTACAATAACTTTGTATTTCCAGAAATTAAAACCCCAACAGTTGCTTTGAAATTAATAAAAAGTAAATCTCATCATGAGAAAATAGAGGCAAAGGAAAATAATTAATTAATTAATAAGTAAAATTAAATAAAAGGAAGACTGCAAAAGACTTGAGGTCACTCTGTCTCAGTTTATTCCAACACTACAGCAAGCAATATTTCCTGAAGAATTAACTAGAAGAAGTGATTTGGAGAATGAACACCCACTGAAACAAGTTTTTTAAGGCCATCAATCTAGTTTGTTTTGAAATGGGTGTGTTTTAGCATTTTTATTTACTAGGCTTTCACAATTTTTTTCACTTTGTTTAACGTCATTCATATTGCTTTCCCCGAGAGCCTTTTTTTTAATCTAACCAACCACATTTTGGCCATCTAAATACTTGTTAGGAACTTCCCAAACCACTATCAATGGAGAGGAATTATTATAAAATCAAATAATTATTTCACTGTCAGAATCTAAGGCACATGACAAATTAGATACATTTAAACCTGAGGGAGGCTTTAAGCAACAAATTTTCAAATACATAACTACCTATATTTTTCCAAAAGGAAAAATAGACCCTCTGCTATGTACACATGGCAGATGAAGGCACTCTAGTAGAAATGGACATCCGTGGTCTAGTCTAGTCAACTGTTTTATTTCAAAGAGGGAATATTCCTAAATCACACAAAGGTGCCTATATTAAGCTTGAATAACATAATAAATGTGGAAAGTGTGTTCACCATCTGATCTATGGCTTCTTGCTAAAAACATTGCTCTTTTCCATGTGGCCAAATTGATGTTTAGACTCAATACATTTGTAATGAACACTTCCTGTTTTACTTTCATAAGCATTCACTTTCCCTGGTTTCTTTCTAAAATTATTAATTTCAATGGCAAAAACAGCAATTACTTTTGCCCCAACCTAACAACTCATTTAATCCTATGGGTTAGTGCAGAGTAAAATCCTTTTGGAATATGTAAGGGAAGAAATTATGAATATTCTAAGGAAGGATACCTACCTCAGGCCCTGTGATGTGCATCAGACCAGAAACAGCCGAGGCAACAGCATCATAACCAGCTCGCTGAGAAATTGGACCTGTCTGACCATACCCTAAAACAACAAAAATAAACATATTCAGCACCACACAGGGTGTGCTAAAACCACTGTACAATATAGTGTGTTAGAAACATTTGTATCCAGAAATCCTGCAGCATTTCGAGACTATTAGATCTATACCATTCCTTGAAGAAGGCAGTAAGAATTCATTATAGTGCTCGACCCCGGCTACTCATTTTTTTTTGAGATGGAGTCTCGTTCCCGTCGAGCAGGGTGGAGTGTAGTGGTTCGATCTCGGCTCACTGCAACCTCCACCTCCCAGGTTCAAGTGATTCTCCTTCCTCAGCCTCCCGAGTAGCTAGGATAACAGGCGTGCACCATCACACCCAGCTAATTTTTGTATTTTCAGTAAAGACAAGGTTTCGCCATGTTGGCCAGGCTGGTCTCAAACTCCTGATGTGAAGTGATCCACCTGCCTCAGCCTCCCAAAATGCTAGGATTACAGGCATGAGCCACCGCGCCTGGCCTACCCTGGCTATTCTTAAAAAAAAACTCAGGCCGGGTGCGGTGGCTCACGCCTGTAATCCTAGCACTTTGGGAGGCTGAGGTGGGCGGATCACTTGAGGTCACGAGTTCAAGACAAGCCTGGCCAACATGGTGAAACCCCATCTCTACTAAAAATACAAAAATTAGCCAGGTGTGGTGGTGCATGCCTATAATCCCAGCCACTGGGAAGGCTGAGGCACAAGAATCACTTGAACCAGGAGGTGGAGGTTGCATTGAGCTGAGATTGCACCACTGCACTCCAGCCTGGACAATGCAGGGAGACTCCCTTTAAAACAAAAAAAAAGGAAATAATTCAAAACCAGGCCCACATTCTCACATGCAATAATCAATTAGAGTCGAGTATTGCCTCTCCCCTCTACATAGGGCATAAATCCTCTGATTTGCCACAGGGTCCACCACTCTACTTCCATATGCCTCAGCCGGGTTTCAAGTACTTCCCTGACTCCAACAGGTATTTGCTACCCTTGCTTTGTACACAGTAATATACAAAGTTAAGCTAATATACAAAGTTAAGCAGAACAATATCTCCCTGAGTTCTATTTATGTATTTTCTCAAGTAAACAAAGAAAACCTAAATGATTTTAAGATTTGGACATAAATAAACAATAACATCAACTAAGTGATTTTTAAGATTACAAAGAGAAGGTAGAGAAGGTGTCAAATTTTTTTTTTTTTTTTTGCCATCAGAAAGAATCAACAGAACACAGGAAAGATTTTCTTCTACTCCCCTCAGTCCTGATGCTTATTGCTACATCATAAAAGTTGTATCAGGCCAGGCGTGGTGGCTCACGCCTATAATCCCAGGACTTTGGGAGGCGGGAGGATCACCTGCGGTCAAGAGTTCAAGACCAGCCTGGCCAACACAGTGAAACCCCGTCTCTACTAAAAACACAAAAATTAGCTGGGTGTGGTGGTAGGCGCCTGTAATCCCAGCTACTGGGGAGGCTGAGGCAGGAGAACTGCTTGAACCCGGGAGGCAGAGGTTACAGTGAGCCGAGATTGCACCACCGCACTGCAGCCTGGGCAACAGAGAAAGACTCTGCCTCAAAAAATAATAACAAAAATAAAAATAAATAAAGGTTGTATCAGAAGCTACATAAATTTGTCTCCAAATCCTTCATATCAAGCAGAGTGACCCAATGAAGAGCTTTCCATACACATCAGCTACTTGCTGATATTCCCTGCATATGCTGCTTTAGGAAGGCCATGAAAGGGTTGCCTGCAAGCCTTGTTTCTCCAGCCACCTGGAAGACTCTCCCTCAACCTTTTGTAAAAGAGCACCCTCATTATATATGTTGCCACAGCACTTATCACAATAGAAACACAATACCATTATTTGTTAGATTTATTTTGTCTCCTCCCTACTAAAGTGTATACTCCAGAATGTTTTTCTGTTTGGTTCACTGCTGTATCCCCAGCCTCTAGAACAGTGTTCAATAACATTTATTGAAGGAATGAATGAGTGCAAAAATATTTTATATAAAAATAATTTTTTGGCTGGATGCGGTGGCTCACGCCTATAATCCCAGCACTTTGAGAGATCAATGCAGGCAGATCACTTGAGGTCAGGAGTTTGAAACCAGCCTGGCCAACATGGTGAAACCCCGTCTCTACTGAAATTACAAAAATTAGCCAGGCGTGGTGGTGCATGCCCGTAGTCCAGCTACTTGGGAGGCTAAGACAGGAGAATCGCTTGAACCCAGGAGGTGGAGGTTGCAGTGAGCCAAGTTCATGCCACTGCACTCCAGCCTGGGCAATAGAGTGAGAGTCTGTCTCAAAAAATAAAAATAACAAAAATTTTTTTCAAAAACAATCTATAAAAAGTAAATAAATAAAACCACAAAAGTGAGTGATAATCACCAATTAATCTACCCAGATGCATTCGCCACCAGAAATGATCTTTGTCACAAATAAGAGTATGTAAAACAAACTCCACAGATAAAATTATCACTTAATATGAAGGAATTAAAATAATTCAAGATTATAATTATTGATGATTAAAAAAAGGTGTTAAAACATGTCTCTGCTTATGTTTTATCTTGGAAAATTTCAAATAAAAATAGATAGAATATATAATAAACCCATCGGTCAACTTCAATAATTATTCATGGTCAATTTTATTTCCACTATGCCTATCTTTCAATTAGAACTGTTACATGAAGAAAAAATAAAACCATTATCTTTTTCTTTTTTTTTTCTTTTTTCTTTTTTTTGAAACTGGGTCTCACTCTGTCACCCAGACCGGAGCGCAGTGGCACCGTCGGGGCTCACCGCAACCTCGACTGACTGTGTTCCAGCAATTCTCCCCCCTCAGCCTCCCCAGTAGCTGGGACTACAGGCACACACCACTACACCCAGCTAATTTTTGCATTTTGGGTAGGGATGGGATTTCACTATGTTGCCCAGGCTGGTTTTGAACTTCTGAGCTCAAGTGATCCACCAGCCTCAGTCTCCCGAAGTGCTGAGATTGGGCATGAGCTACCACGCCCGGCCACATAAAACCATACTGAAAAACCCAAACGTCTTGATTCAGGTAAATTACAGTTTTATCTCCCAATATCAATAACAAAATGTATAAATTCTTAACTATTACTTTCTCAGTCTTTAGAAGAACAAAAATGGGATATGAAGCAAATAAAGAGAAATAAACTATAAGCCAACATTCTCTGTGCAGAAATAACGCCAAGTTTTAGAGAATGAGTTCCAGGGCAGGTAGTGTGCTGCTGTAGAGGGCACCCTGGCCCGGGATTCCAGCCTTCAAAGCAATGGTTTTCAAACCACTGGTAGTCCCCAGCACAAAACAAGTCTCCAGGAACAGAAAGAAGCTGCCACCATCGGCAGGAAGGCCTGTGCACTGTGAACCACCTGTTATCTCAGCAGGAAGTCAACAAAAGAAATTAAGTTTCAGTTAACTCTAGGTTCGGAAAATCAGGTGCTTCTGGCCAGGAGCCCAAATCCCTCAAATGGGACAAACCCAGGTCCCTCACCATCAGTGCAACTCTAAAAGGACTCTTCTAAATAAAGGCCTGCAGGAAAAATTCTCTTTTTGTTCAGCTTAGAACAAGGGAGAGACACAAATATCCTAATTACTTTAAATTACAACTTCTAAGTATTTCTATTAAAGAGAAAAGGAATAGTTGCTCTCATTGGAAGCAGTAAAGTATAGGGAAAAAGGGGAGTTTTAGGATTAAAAAAAATCTGGATTCAAATTATAGTTCTGCCAACTATTAAATCTTTGACAATTCATTCAATCTTCCTAAGCCTCAATGTCTTCATCTGTAAAATGGCAATATTCACATTTATCTCATAGATTTCTTATGAGGATTTAATTTGATTAGATAACACAAGCAAAATGAATTTTATATCAAGAGCTAAATATACATAATTACTAAAGATGCATTAATCAATGTATAAATAATATATTAGCTTACCTTTTCTACAAAATGTTGAGAATAACAAAAAGAAAACTACCCTGAGGTATGTCAAATGATGACAATAGACATCTAAGCATTTAAATTATGTTGTTTAATAAACCATAAAAATTAAGATATTTTGTACGTGGAATCTTGCACTTGTTCATAATAGCGAAGAAGCTGACAATAATAATAATAAACGTGGCTCTCGCCTGTAATCCCAGCACTTTGGGAGGCCGGGGTGGGTGGATCACTAGGTCAGGAGCTCAAGACAAGCCTGTCCAACATGGTGTAACCCTGTCTCTACTAAAGATACAAAAAATTAGCCAGGCATGGTGGCGCATGCCTGTAATCCCAGCTACTTGGGAGGCTGAGGCAGGAGAATTGCTTGAACCCGGGAGGCAGAGCTTGCAGTGAGCTGAGATCGTGCCATTGCACTCCAGCCTGGGCGACAGGGCAAGACTCCATCTCAAAAATAATAATAATAATAATAATAAACATATATATTCCATAATAGGAGTCAAAAATTATTCCACATTTTCACCTTATACTTGTAACTATTTAAATACTGACTACCAGTACTATGAATAAATTTTATGAGAATAAATAAATAAAATTTTAAAGCAGAGAATGAACATCAAAATGGTATTTTACTAAGATTACTCTGTTGGTGATGTGCAGAATGAAATTATTCATTAATAATTTAATGAAGAGGTAGAAAAAATGTTAAGCCTGGGATCCAGATAGTTCCTTTAAATTTTATTTTTAGCTTTACAATTCCAAAAACAACTATGATTAAAATCTAAATTAAAGAGGAAAAATGTATGCATATCGATTCTACTTTATATTCAAGTAAAGAGCTAAGAAAAATCAGGGAAGTTATGGAAAATCAGAGAGGAATACCCAACACACATTTTCTTTCTCTTTCTCCCTCTCTTCCACTTGGTAATTCACATTCATTTTAAGGAGCAACCTCGCCATCTTGTGGCATTTATGGACACTGAAAGCAAAACGTGAATTTCTAGACGTTGGTAAAAACGTACAGGGAGGAAGCTAAGGGGAAAAGATTTATTATCTCTTAATATTTTCCCTGAGTGCCATATGATCTGGCCTGCCTACCCCATTTTTCTTCTTAATTATGTCTGACTTTGTGTTTTCCCTCTCTCCCATCAGTGCTCAACACACTGTCTTGTTAATGGTTATACTTTTGGAGGTCACAGGTCCCTTTGACAAACTGGTAAGAAGCTATGAACTCTCCTCAGAAGAAAGTAATTGAATACATGCTCATACTCTTAGAACCCCACTCATTAACCCCTGTTGCCCTGGGTTAAGAGTCAGGTTAACGACCTTCAGTAGGTCATCACTGCTCTAGGCCTGGAGAACCTCAATTATCAAAACAACTCTCCCGACAGGGATCTGTTCAAGGACAGCTTTGAGGCTTCCAAGCAACCAAGAGACTCAGGATGAGGCTTTCACTTGATAATAAAAGGAAAAAAGAGAACAAAATAAAGTATCTCTCATCTAGACTATTCCATTAGCCACCTGTTTCTGCTCTCCCTACCTCATTTTTGACTCTTGTGATCACAGTGATTGACTGATTGATTGATTGAGACAGGATCTTGTTCTATTACCCAGGCTGGAGGGTAGTGGTGTGATCTTAGCTCACTGAAGCCTCAAACTCCTGGGTTGAAGCAATCCACCTGCCTCAGCCTCCCAAGTAACTGTGACCACAGGCATGCACCACCACATCCAGCTAATTTTTAAAATTGTTTGTAGAGATGTGGTGTTGCTTTGTTGTCCAGACTAGTCTTCAACTCCTGGGCTCAAGCAATCCTCCCACCTCAGCTTCCCAAAGTAATAGGATTACAGGCATAAGCCACCACGCTCAACCATACAGTGACCTTTTGAAAAGGTAAATCAGTACACTACTTTCCTGCCTAAAGCTTTTTAAGGGCTTTCCAAGTCACTTAAAATAAACCTCCACTCTTTATCCTGGCTTAGAGGGCCCCACATGGCTTGGTTACTACCTACTCTTTGGCCTCAGCTCGTCTGTTTTCCCAATGCCCTATCTTGGGCCCTGATATTGTTTTTAGTGTTCTCCACAGCTTATTCCCAAGGTGGGGCCTTTGCACAACCTAGGATGTATTTCTCTCCAATCTTCACATGGCTTGCTACTACATCCTCCTCAGAGAAGCTTTCTCTACCACCCAATCTAACATAGACTCCTAGGAATTCTCTAGCATTTTATGATATTTTCATTCTCTCTAAAGTACTTATCACTAGTGGATACTTTTATATTTTTGATGGATATCTCTCTCCTCTAGAATGTTAGTACCCTGAGGCCTGTGACCAAGGTGACTGTTCTCTGCAATATCTTTAGCACCTAGAATTACGTCTACCAGTAACTTAGCAAAAGCATGTTTAATAAATGAGTGAATGTGAATATATAAGTCTGGGAATAAAAACAACACTTGTTACAACCGGCTATAGGACAGAGATAAACCTCTGCTCCCTCCAGTGATGTCTGAAATAACCTATTGAGGGTAGAGGACTCCTGGCAACTGAGTTTCTGAGGTTCAACTGTTGGCATTCCCCAACAGTCCATATTTGGTCCTCTCTCTTCTCATTCTCATCTCTCTAATGAATCTCATCCCTTCTAAACAAGATACTGGAAATTCCCGTATCTAGAATAACAATGACAACATTTATCAAGTTATTGTGTATTAGACACTCTGTTAGACTTTTGTCAATTATTTGTTTAATTCATATAACAACTCTATGAATTATCCCCTTTTTACAACTATAACTGAGACATGGAAAGGTTAACTAACCTACTCAAGGTCACACAAATAGGAAGTAACAGAGCTTAGATTTGAACCCAAGTCTGGGTCCTTAAATAAAAAGATGTTTATATATATTTATGCATGTATGGACATCTCCACCAGAAAGTCCAAGGGAATGCAAGCTGACAACCCCTAAGAAGAAGTTATCCCACTTAAGTCACATTCATATGCCACCAACCCAGACTGCTCCTTCTACATTCACTAATTCAAACTGAAGGAAACCTAAGGGCCATCCTGGACTCTATTCTTTTACTTCCTGCCTATATCCAATAGATCACTAATTCCTAATTATTTGACCTGCCAAGTAATTCCCAAATCCATCCAGCCTCTCATGTCCTGCGATAGCCTGCTTACCACTTCCCCTGTCTCAGTTTATTCTTCATGTGGCTACAAAAGCCTTTCGAATTTGTAATTCTAATCAAGACATTTCCTTATTGAAATTCTTACGAAATTGCCTGTAGGATAAAAATAACAGTTCCTTAGCATGACATACTGAATTGTTTGTGACCTAGCCCCCACTCACTACCTATATCTTATCTCTGGCCACCACGTGACATGCATACTTAGAATAGCCGTTCTTCAGACATGCAAACTCTTTAATTCCTCTGGGCCTCTATACATGCCATTTCACTTGTGATCCTCATCTCCATTGTTTGTCAGTTCAAGGACAGCTCAAACCTAGCACTCTTTAAGATACAGACCTGGTCAATGATAGGTTACTAGAGACAAGAAAGAAGCAGGTTTCAAAGAGGACTAAGACCTATCCTGGTAATGAGTTCAAAAACAGTGTATATTTAAAAGTAATACCATTGTTATTAGCTAGAAGGTTAAGATTAATATTCTAAGCAACTACAGAAACTCCAACAATAGACTGTTTACCTCAAAGGAGAATAAAATGCAATAAAATGTTTCATAGTAAGTAATGTAATTCTTCAAAATGTACATACATACCTGGATTCTGTTTATTTCTCTACTCATTTTCTAGTGTAGGATGTTTCTGAATTAAAATGATAGGAGGTATAAACTCCTGATGCTTTTTTTTTTTTTTTTTTTGAGACAGAGTCTTGATCTGTGACCAGGCTGGAGTGCAGTTGCACGATCTCGGCTCACTGCAGCTTCCAACTCCCAGGTTCAAGTGATTCTCCTGCCTCAGCCTCCCGAGTAGCTGGGACTACAGGCACGCAACCACCAAGCCCAGCTAATTTTTGTATTTTTAGTAGAGATGAGGTTTCACCATGTTGGCCAGGATGGTCTTGATATCTCCTGACCTCGTGATCCACTTGCCTCAGCCTCCCAAAGTGCTGAGATTACAGGTGTAAGCCACCGCACCAGGACTTTTTTTTTTTTGAGACGGGGTCTCACTCTATTGCCCAGACTGGAGTTCAGTGAAGCAATCTCGGCTCACTGCAACCTCCACCTGCTGGGTTGAAGCCATTCTCCTGCCTCAGTCTCCCGAGTAGCTGGGACTATAGGCGCATGCCACCATGCCCGGTTAATGTTTGTATTTTTAGTAGAGACAGGGTTTCACCATGTTGGCCAGGCTGGTCTTGAATTCCTGACCTCAGGTGATCCACCCGCCTTGGCCTCCCAAACTGCTGGGATTACAGGCGTGAGCCACCGCACCCAGCGCATATTCTTTTTTAATATTTATTTTCTTATCCATCCACTAAAAAGGCCTAGAATCAAAGACTAACCCAGTATCACTGAGATTCCTACTATCAGACAGTAGTATGTAAATACCACTTCCCACTAAGAGGAACTAACAGTCCTTGAAGAAATGGCTGATTCCAGGATGGGGCAGGAAAGGTACAAAATGTTCCTGGAATATCTTGTTTTACCAGAAATCAAGGAAGCTATCAAAAATTATTGGTCATGTCAAAAAGACGCAGAAGCCAACCCGGAAAGGCCTTTACTGGCCTGAGAATGTGAGCATCAAGAAGGATAATAATTGCAATAAATTGAAGCACATCAAATATGCTCAATATTGTGGGTTCATAATGATATTACAAAAAAAAAATAGCCATCACTGGTAAAGCCTAGGGGAAAATTCATTATTATGGCAATTGGTAAATAAAGGGAATGTGCATCTCTCCTGCCTATACCTCAGGGTAATCAAATAACTGATCAGAGAAAGAGTCCCCTTACAAAAGTTTCCCAACTAATATATGAAGAAGGAATGATAGAACTAGAATAGCACATTTTGTAATTCCTAATAAATTCACAGATCTGGGAAATCATCATCAATGCCTGCCAACATCACAGAGAAAGTAATGCCCAGCCATTATATGCCTCTTAGTGGAACTGCACACCACCTTCTATGAAGTATTTTTGGCCAAAAAAACAAAACAACAAAAACACACACACACACACACAAACCTGAACAAGTTATAGATCAGTTTATAAAGAACAAAAAAAAATTAACATCACAGGAATTCAGCAAAATCAAAAAACACAACAGAATAAATTAACTGGTTTTTTAAACAAATTTCAAGAAAAAAGACTGAGAAGGAACTATAAATTTAAAGTCTTAAGAAATATATAACTCAACTACTATGATTACTTTATTCGGATCCCAATTCAAATTACCAACTAAACAAAAGAGAGAGAGAATTGGGAAAAATCTGAAAAACAACTGTATATTTAATGATATTAAGGAATAATGACAAAAAAGGAAAGAAAGAAAGACCAGGTGCAGTGGCTCACACCTGTAATCCCAGCACCTTGGGAGGTGGAGGCGGGATGGATCACTTGAGGTCAGGACTTCCAAAACAGACTGACCAACATGGTGAAACCCCATCTCTACTAAAAATACAAAATTAGCCAGGCATGGTAGCGCATGCCTGTAATCCCAGCTATTTGGGAGGCTGAGGCAGGAGAATCGCTTGAACCCAGGAGGCGGAGATTGCAGTGAGCCGAGATGGTGCCATTGCACTCCAGCCTGGGCAACAAAAGCGAAACTCCATCTCAAAAATAAATAAATAAATAAATATATAAATAAATAAATAACAAATAAATAAAATAAAGGAATTATGATTATTTTTACTTATGTGTGATAATGGCATTGGCCTCCGAAAGTGCTGAGATTACAGACGTGAGCCACAGCACCTGGCCTGGATGTTCATGTGTTAAAAAAAGAGTCCTTTCCTACTAGATATATCCCGAAATATTTAGAAATGAAATGATGAAATCTGAGGTTTGCTTTAAAATAATTGAGACGTATACAACTATTATATATCAATTAAAAATTTTTTTATAAAATAAAGTTGACATTGGGAAGCCAAGGCAAGAGGATCTCTTGAGCCCAGGACCCCATCTCTACAAAAAAATTTAAAAATTAGCCAGATGTGGTGGCACACACATGTAGTCCTAGCTACTGGGGAGGCTGAAGTGAGGGGATTTCTTGAACCCAAGGGGTCAAGGAGGCTGCAGTGAGTTGTGATCCCATCACCAAAGTAAGATTGGCCATGAATTATCATTATTGGGCTGGGATCTTAAGATCTCAAGGTCTATTATACTGGCCAGGTGTGGTGGCTCACATCTGTAATCCCCGCACTTTGGGAGGCCAAGCGGGGGTGGATCACTTGAGGTCAGGAGTTCCAGACCAGCCTGGCCAACATGGTGAAATCCCATCCCTACTGAAAATACAAAAAAATTAGCCAGGCGTGGTGGCGGGTGCCTGTAGTCTCAGCTACTTGGGAGGCTGAGGCAGGAGAATCACTTGAACCCAGGAGGTGATGGTTGCAGTGAGCCGATACAGCGCCACTGCACTCCAGCCTGGGAGACAGAGCAAGACTCTGTCTCAAAAAAAAAAAAAAAAAAAAAGATCTATTAAACTATTCTCTCTACTTTAGGTGACTTTAAATTTTTCCACAATAAGATGTTAAAAAAATTATTTAGTTTTTATTTAATTATTAATAATTAACTTTTTATTTAATAAATTTTTTGTTTGTTTGTTTGAGACAAAAGTTTTGCTTTTGTTGCCCAGGCTGGAGTGCAATGGCAGGACCTCAGCTCACTGCAAGCGTGAGCCACCACGCTGGGCCAATAAATTTTTAAGTGATATGCAAATTTCATTTTGTATGTCTAAAAGTACACCAAGGAATTTTAGAGCTAAATGGGTCTGGGGCAAAAATTCTTACTTTACAGATGAAAAAAACTGAAGACCAGATAGGTTAAGTGACTTGGCCAAAGTCATGAAGCCAAGCAATAACAAAACTAGAACTAATGCTCATTTCAGTTTTCCACTTTGGATACCCTACACCTGAAAAAAAAAAAAAAGAGTTAGTTTTCTATTCTGAAGATTCTTCTTAGCCACTTTTTACTTTTATAGAGTTAATTCAGAAACAAAACCAAGAGCCAGTTCTCTAGCGTTTTTGGTCTTTGTGTTTTTTTGTTTTGCAGACAGTACCCTTGTGAGAACTAAATGAGACGTGGTCAGCAAATGGTCCAAAGTTTTACAGTCTTACAGCATTTCACTTCATTTTTTCTATTGACCTGGTGAAAAACCTTCCCATTACTTGGAAAGAAGTTTTGCCACAACCATACTGTCAATTTAGTAGTTTGTCCTTCTGCCATGTGTATAATAATGTAGATTCACACAGTTCTACCTCATTTTGCTTTATTTCCTTTTCTCTTTTGCCCTTATGGTACAGATACAGCATCTCCAACCTACAGATAGTTACTTTCCTACATGCAAGATTCCAAAACCAACCTCAGCAGGATTCCAATAAGATTTATGTAAATTTCAATACAGCAAGAGACCTCCCAATATACCTGCTAGCCAATCTAAATTAACATATAACCCAAAGACTCCATAAGGTCAACTAATAGCAGTAATTTAGGGTTATAATAATAATAGTCAACATGTACAGAGTACTTCTGTGTTCTAGGGACTGTGTTGGTGCTTCATATGTGTCATCTCATTTAAGTCTCACAAGAACTATACAAAGTAAATGTTATTGTCCTAGTTTAATTATTATTGAGAAAATTGAGGTTCTGAAAGACTAAGTGCCTTACCCAAAGATACACAGCTACTTTCTATGATTCTATAATTACTAAACTGTAAACACTCATTACTATGAGTAATATTTTACAAAATACTTCCATGAGTATCAACAATTCATCGATCTTAGCCAGGCACAGTGGCTCACACCTGTAATCCCAGCAATTTGGGAGGCTGAGGCAGGCGGATTAATTGAGGTCAGGAGTTCAAGACCAGCCTGGCCAACATGGTGAAACCCCGTGTCTACTAAAAATACAAAAACTAGCTGAGCGTGGTGGCATGCACCTGTAATCCCAGCTACTTGGAGGGTGAGGCAGGAGAATCGCTTATACCCGGCAGGCAGAGGTTGCAGTGAGCCAAGATCATGCCACTGTACTACAGCCTGGGCGACAGAGTAAGACTCCCCACCTCAAAAAAAAAAAAAAAAATCATATATTATTCAAAGACCAAAAATCTGATTAATATGGTTTACTACATCAATAACCTTTGAAGTTGGACCCCTCAATCTCTACCACAGAAAGGCAGCAAAACTGGCTGATTAATTACACAGCATCTAAAACTTCTGAAATGTAATACTAAGAAGCATATGTCCCTAGTCACCAAAGGTAAATAAATTGGTAAGTTAAGCAGTATCCTGTGATGCAGCAAAAGCATACTGAACAAAAAAAGAAAAATGTTTACACTGGTATCTGTCTTTATTACAGAATTCCCACTTTGTTTTACTATATCCAACTTGGGAACGCTAATATATAAAGGTATGTTTTGTCTGGCAATTGTTTCATATGCATACGTTTCATTTTCCTCAACTAGACAGCACCTTCTACCCCAACAGGCAGGCAGCCTCTGTGATACCGAAAGGTCTTGTTCCCTCATGGTACCCCACTGCAGACACAGCTGGGGCTTCTCCCATGGGAATGCAGTGTGGATGCCCCTATAGACAGCTTTCCTGGAACAATTCAGAATGATTGCGGCCCCACAGGAGGAGCACTCCCCAAATTCAGGCCAACACAAAAGGCAGAGTCACAATTCCTCCCTACTTGGAACATCAACATCCATACAGATGAAAAGAGGTCCGGTCTGATCTGAATAGCTGGAACACTGGGACACAGGAAACAGTAGTATAGCGGGAATTTAATAAACACTTTTCACCTGACTGGTGCATATTTTTGCCATTTACAGTATTCCATGCATGCCTATGATGTTTTTCAAATAAACTATCAAAATAAATGTTTTCAGAAGATTGACAGGAGCTAGGAATCAAGATACTATCTTGCCTACAACATACACTGTTTTTTAAGGAAAAAAAGTCTTCAAAACTATTATTCAAATGGAGTCTACAATTTCAAAGGCTCTGATGACCATGTCAATGCATCTTGCTAAAAGTGACCTTAACTAAACTCACAATCACATACACACACTTATACACATGCATGCACACACACACACACACACACACACACACACGCACAGATTATCCTAAATCCTAGAAGACTTATTCAAATAAGGAGGGAAAAAAAACTATTATAAACCACACAGACTAAATGAAAATAAATCGCAAAATTTGTCTTCATATTAAGAATTTAAATATATTTTCATGGAATCTAAAGAAACTATGTCAGCAATTAGATCTATGTCCCAAAGATCAAACATTTTTTACAAAATGAATGCAGCTCACATTCTGGCAGATGGATCATAGAATCATTAAAGAATGAAGAGAATTACCATTGTTAAATATTTTTCATTGTCAGGAGCAAAATCAAATTTCAAATGACAGGAATATAAAACATAATCTTTGAGTAGAAAAGAAAATAAAAACTCAGCCAGACTCTCACATAAAACCAATTCCCTATAGCTGGATTCCCACACTCCAAATAGCAGCACTACGTCAGCCTGTGAAAGGACATTTTAGGCAAAGAACACAGAAATGTTCAGTACAGATCTCTTTACAAACCAAGACTAAACAACATCTCAAATCAAATCCAGATAAATGGATAACCCAAATGAGTAACAAATTAACAAGAATCACCTTTTAGCCTTGTTTCATCGCCAAGAGGAAAACACAATTAAGTACAGTCTACATCTTTATTTAATAGAGATAAATGAAAGAACAGAATAAAAGTAACTCAAGTAAATAAGATAGTAAATAAAATCCAGTAACCTTTGAACTGCCCAAAGTGAGAGCAATTAAAGTCTTTTCAAAAGTGCAGACTTCAGGGCAAGCAATGCTTCCTAAATAGGCAAACATACACAGTGGCTCCAAATCCCAGAGCAGAAAAGAATATGAAATCAGGAGAAAGAGCATGTAATGGCATGTAAAACATGTGGTGGCCCTGGTGAAAATGATCATTTATAGAATAACTATCTAATGGGTGGTTTAAAAAGTTTGCAGTTATAAGCACATCTAGTTCTCAGATCTTGGTTTTAAATACCCTTCGTCACTCAATGGAATCAGGGCTTCTTGGATAAACAGTTGATTCCACAACTGGGGCAAGAAATAAAAACAGGCTGGGTGCAGTGGCTTACACCTGTAATCCCAGCACTTTGGGAGGCCAAGGCGGGTGGATCACTTGAGGTCAGGAATTCGAGACCCATCTGACCAATATGGTGAAACCCCATCTCTATTAAAAATACAAAAATTAGCCAGGCATGGTGGTGGGCACCTGTAGCCCCAGCTACTTGGGAGGCTAAGCCAGGAGAATCGCTTGAACACAGGAGGCGGAGGTTGCGGTGAGCCGAGATCATGCCACTGCACTCCAGCCTGTGCAACGGAGAAAGACTACCTCAAAAAGAAAGAAAGAAATGGAAGGATGGGTGGATGGATGGAAGGAAGGAAGGAAGGAAGGAAGGAAGGAAGGAAGGAAGGAAGGAAGGAAGGAAAGAAATGAAAAATAAAATAAAATAAGATGTGTGCTTGTGCCAAAAATTAAGAAAGTGCTGGCCAGGCATGGTAGCTTATGCCTGTAATCACAGCACTTAGGGAGGCTTAGGCAGGTGGATCACAAGGTCAAGAGATCGAGACCATCCTGGTCAACACAGTGAAACCCCATCTCTACTAAAAATACAAAAATTAGCTGGGCATGGAGGAGCCTCCACCTCCTGAGTTCAAGCAATTCTCCTGCCTCAGCCTCTCGAGTAGCAGGGACTACAGGCACACACACCACACCCAGCTAATTTTTGTATTTTTAGTAAAGATAGAGTTTCGCCATGTTAGCCAGGCTGGTCTTGAACTCCTGACCTCAGGTTATCTGCCCATCTCAGCCTCTCAAAGTGCTGGGATTACACCGCGCCCAGTCTATTCCACTAATTTTGATTTGAGAAATATCTGAGTAGCTACCATGTGCAGACAGTACTTCCAAAAAAATCAGAAGCACTTAAGAAAAACCATCAGTGTTCAATAGTGACAGAAGCAAATCCATGTAGCACCTCATTTTGCAAAACCTAGCTTCTAATGCCTCCATGGCTGGATATAAGGTTGAGGGACTGGAGAACACAGAGAAGAGGTATGGGCAGTAGTGAAGGTCTTATTTAATTGTATTACTCTGGTGACCCAGCATTGCTGCTCCCTGTGATTGACGGGGATTTAAAGCCTACTTATTGTAACACGGGGCATTGTAATAGGTTCTTCCAAGATCTCTTCCACTCCATCACTGGGGATATCTCACCACCAGACTTTTTTACACTGATGAATCTATCTGTTTTCCACCTGGTCACTTCTAAGTCCCTCCTCAGCCCCAGTCACCATCAGCACACCACCAGCTTCCTTCTGCCTGCTTGCGCAGGCTCTAAAACCAGCACACAATGTTCTTCTCTCTCTTACCCCAATCCACAGGAAATATTTGCAGAACTGCAGTGGCATCCCAAACCACAGCCCTCCAGACATTCTCTTAGTCTCTAAATATCTCAGGCGTGAATCATATATTAATCCACTCATCCACCAAGTTCAGGAAACAAAAATCTTACAGAGGTCCCAGTGAAGCCCCTTTCTTTTGCCATCAGATTATAAATTTTATAGAACTGTTCCTTCTGAAACTATGAACATTCAATTAACATTTATTAATTAAAAATGATTATGGGGTCAAATGCAGTGGTTCAGGCCTATAATCCCAGCACTTTGGGAGGCTGAGGAGGGCAGATTACCTGAGGTCAGGAGTTCAAGACCAGCCTGGCCAACATAGTGAAACCCCATCTCTACTAAAAATACAAAAATTAGCCAGGCGTGGTGGCACACGCCTGTAATCCCAGCTACTCGGGAGGTTGAGGCACAAGTATCACTTGAACCCGGGAGGCGGAGCTTGCAGTGAGCCAAGTTCATGCCACTGTACTCCAGCCTGGGCGACAGAGTGAAACTCTGCCAAAAAAAAAAAAAAAAGACCAATAACAGCTTTCTAAATTAAAAAATAGATAATGTAAACAAATGATTTATTTTATAATTAGATTTTTTTTTTTTTTTGAGACAGGGTCTCGCTCTGTCACCCAAGCTGGAGTGCAGTGGCATGACCTTGGCTCACTGAAGCCTCCTCCTCCCAGGTTCAAGCGAGTCTTGTGCCTCACCCTCCCAAGTAGCTGCGATTACAGGAATGCACCACCATGCCCGGCTAATTTTTGTATTTTTAGTAGAGACTGGGTTTCACTATGTTGGCCAGGCTGGTCTTGAACTCCTAACCTCAGGTGATCTGCCTGCCTCGGCCTCCCAAAGTGCTGGGATTACAGGCTATAATTAGATTTCTGATAATAATAATTTAAAAGTGTATTTTCCAAATGAATATAAATGAAAACTGCCTTTTGTTTTTCGGGTTGTTTTTGCTAAGTGCATGACAAATTAGACGGGATCTAACCATATTCATATATTTTGTATCTCCACTGATGATAAAGACACTGACTCTAAAAAGCTAAAACAAAAATTGTCCTGTGAATGCATCTTCAATACAGAAAATGTGGCTTCATACCAATTAACTTAACTTCCTCATTGTTTGAGCTAAGCTAATAGTAAGATAAATTTACATTCTCTTTCAACAATCCAAACAAGGAAGATTATGTCAAAACATTTTGTGTTGGGTGAGTCAGCCCAGGTTCAGAATTTTTCTGTGGCTACTCCAAAAATAAATAATTTAGAATTTGCAATCCTAAAATAAGAAACTTAAGGTGAGGCTGGCATTATTTTCTTGAAAAGGGATATATCTATGTATTTGTGGAATTGTGCCAAGAAGAGAAAATTTCCCACTTTTACATGAGAAACTACTGCATAAAGAGTACTTTTCCTTGTAGCCCTAAGTTAAATGGGGTGGATGAATCATTAAAAGCTCTCAGATTTTGTCACCTCCACATGCAACTTAGATTAAGTGGTGCTTCCTCCATTGTTACTCAGGGACTATCACTTGGCTTGAAGGCCTAATGGCTTAAAAATACTTGGTAACAGACTTATCAAAAAGTCATGAACCAATAACAACTTTCCTCCTGATATAGTCAAGTTGCAAAGCCAGGTTTATGTTTTTAATTCATAATAACTTTGTATCAGATGCATATAAATATCTGGAACACTCTGGGAATATCATTACAGCCAGATGGAATATCAGGGAATGCAGCAAAAGTAGTTCCTACTTCTGGGTCAGCATGGCAGCAGACAGCCATACCAGTACGCCTCTCAACATCTCATCAAAACACTTATAGAGAGAGATGATAAACATCAAAACTGGCCAAAGTGGGGAAAAACACTTTAAAGGGAAGATAACATCACATACCATGTTTAGTAGAGAATTTCCACAAAAAGCATCATTGGTGCAAAGGATTAAGAAGCACATTCTTAAATGATAAATCATGTGTCTCCTATTCTCAAATCAAAACAGTACAAACTGCCTTCAAACGAGTTGGGAAAAAAGCTTTATTTCTTCACATACTCCTATACTAAAAAACACCAGCCAGCAATTAGGGTAAACTTCCTTATTTTTACCAGCTTCTAATTAATTGACACTTGTTATAAGGGAGTGAACATAAGATTTAGAATTCTAAGGAAAAAAGTTGGATCAAAAGATTTTTTATTAACAAGTTGCCTTTTAATTTCTTAATTTTAATTTAAGGTATTATTTACACAGGTTTTTTTCTGCCCTTTGGTGATAAGAAGTTTTTTAGTTTTTTTTAATTCGTATTTTATTTTGTCTGTTTAATGTACATTTTAAACATCCAAACAGAAGAGTCACCACCCCTACCCCCGTGATTGGCATACCTGGTGGAGAGAGGCCTATCCTTCAACAATCTCCATTCACATGGCCTGGTCACAACGTCCCAAAGAGACAGTGTCACCTAACTTTTACAATTGAGATGACTGATCATGACATCCAATTACAACACTTTCTCCCCCCTTCATTTGGAAAAGTGGGAGCCAGGCTTCTATTGTTTAATAAAAATGTTATTACTACAAAGTAGTACATGTGTGTATTTCTTCTCCAAAGAGCAAATAATAATTTTGAAGAGCACCTCTTGCTTTCACTCCCTTTATTCTACTTACTAATTTGTATTTAAATGTGTCCGGAATTGGTGGGTTCTTGGTCTCACTGACTTCAAGAATTAAGCTGCGGACCCTCGCGGTGAGTGTTACAGTTCTTAAAGATGGTGTGTCTGGAGTTTGTTCCTTCTGATATTCGGACATGTCTGGAGTTTCTTCCTTCTGGTGGGATCCTGGTCTCGCTGACTTCAGGAGGGAAGCTGCAGACCTTGGCCATGAGTGTTATAGCTCATAAAGGTGGCGCGTCCAGAGTTGTTCGTTCCTCCAGGTGGGTTCATGGTCTCGCTGGCTTCAGGAGTGAAGCTGCAGACCTTCGTGGTGAGTGTTACAGCTCATAAAGGTAGTGCGGACCCAAAGAGTGAGTAGTAGCAAGACTTATTGCAAGGAGCGAAAGAATGTAGCTGGCACAACTTGGAAGGGGACCCCAACGGATTTCCGCCACTGGCTCGGGTGGCCAGCTTTTATTCCCTTATTTGGCCCCACCCACATGCTGCTGATTGGTCCATTTTACAGAGTGCTGATTGGTCCATTTTAGACAGTGCTGACTGGTCCATTTTTACAGAGTGCTGATTGGTGCGTTTACAAACCTTTGGCTAGACACAGAATGCTGATTGGTGCGTTTTTACAGAGTGCTGATTGGTGCATTTACAAACCTTTAGCTAGACACAGAGCGCTGATTGGTGTGTTTACAATCCTCTAGCTAGACAGAAAAGTTATTCAGGTCCCCACCCAATTAGCTAGACACAGAGCACTGATTGGTGCGTTTTTACTGAGTGCTGATTGGTGTGTTTACAAACCTTTAGCTAGACACAGAGCGCTGATTGGTGCATTTACAATCCTTTAGCTAAACCGAAAAGTTCTCCAAGTCCTCACCCGACCCAGAAGCCCAGCTGGCTTCACCGCTCAACAACGTCCCAAAGAGACAATGTCACCTAACTTTTATAATTGAGATGACTGATCATGACATCCAGTTACAACACTTTTCCCCCCACTTCATTTGGAGAAGTGGGAGCCAGGCTTCTATTGTTTAATGAAAATGTTACTACTACAAAGTAGTACATGCGTGTATTTCTCCAATGAGCAAATAATAATTTTGAAGAGCACCTCTTGCTTTCACTCCCTTTATTCTACTTACTTTTTTTGTTTTGTTTTGAGACAAAGTCTAGCTCTGTCACCCAGGCTGGAGCACTGTGGCACAGTGTCAGCTCACGGCAGCCTCTGCCTCCCAGGTTCAAATGATTCTCCTGCCTCAGCCTCCCAAAAACTGGGATTACAGGTGCACACCACCATGCCCAGATAATTTTTGTATTTTTAGTAGAGACAGGGTTTCACCATGTTAGCCAGGATGATCTCAAACTCCTGACCTCAAGGATTCCACCTGCTTTGGCCTCCCAAAGCGCTAGGATTACAGGTGTGAGCCACCACACCTGGCCCCCTTTATTTTAAATTGTGTAAATTATCCTCTTGGAATGGAACTCCCCAACCATGGATGACCAATTCAAGTGACACTAGTGACAGTTTTTCAAGCCCATCTTTTTTCAGGATAACCCCGTGGCAAGTAGCCAAATGTTTCTGCCCACAAATGCAAGATGTTCCAAGGGTAACCTGGTATAGTCATTAATTCTAGACTGCATGTCAAACAACAGATAGCTTTCTGAAACCCAAATTTGGGTTTTCCATCAGTCCCATCCACTTTTCTGTTTCTACAGCCATTCAGAGATTCCGAGTTACCAGTACACAACAGAGGAGAAAGTAGAGGAGGATGGGGAGAAAGGCACAACATGCTGGGATGCTTTGATACCTGAGGAACAGCACTGTAAGCAGGTGTGGAGACAACGATAATTCAGGAAGTTGGCCAGGCGCGGTGGCTCATTCCTGTAATCCCAGCACTTTGGGAGACCAGAGCCGGCAGATTGCTTGAGGTTTGGAGATCAAGACCATCCTGGGCAACATGGGAAAACCCCTTCTCTACAAAAAAATACAAAAATTAGCCTGGTGTAGTGGCACGAGCCTGTAGTCCGAGCCACTTGGGAAGCTGAGGTGGGAGGATCACTTGAGTCCCGGAGGCAGAGGTCGCAGCCAGTCTTAGATGGCGCCATGACACTCCAGCCTGGGTGACAGAGTGAGACCCTGTCTTAAAAAAAAGAAGAAGAAGAATAATTCTGGAATCAATTCAAGACAGGTTGGTGGGCAACGGAGAAGGGTAAACATCAAATGGTATCTGTGGCCCTAGCTTAATCACAGTATCAGGCAGTTAAGACAACAGACTAGAAACCTCAGTGCAGCAAACTCTTGCTAAATTCAGATACAGACTCCATAAACAATTTGCCATTCAATATAAGACTGAGGGGGGGGAAATGCCAGCATCCAAATGAACAGAGTAAAAAGAACACCACAAAGAAAATACTTACACTTGCCCTGAACATCCTGACTGCCTGTAATGATTTTTATTCTTTCTTATATGGAGAGGGTATTAATAAATTACAACACTTTTCTTTTTTTTTTTTTCGAGATGGAATTTCTCACTGTCACCTAGGCTGGAGTGCAATGGCGCACTCTCAGCTCACTGCAACCTCCCCCTCCCAGGTTCAAGCGATTCTCCTGTCTCAGCCCCCAAAGTGAGTAGCTGGGATTACAGGCATGCACCATCACACCTGGCTAATTTTTGTATTTTTATAAGAGGTGGGGTTTGACCATGTTGGCCAGGCTGATCTGGAACTCCTGACCTCAGGTGATCCACCCACCTTGGCTTCCGAAAGTGCTGAGATTACATGTGTGAGCTACTGCGTCCGGCCAACACTCTTCTTAAGCAAGCTTAAGCAGCCTTGTCCTATCATGCTTTCTTTTTTTTTTTTTTTTTTTTTTTGAGACGGAGTCTTGCTCTTCGCCCAGGCCGGAATGTAGTGGCACGATCTTGGCTCACTACAACCTCCTCCTCCCGGGCTCAAGGGATTCTCCCACCTCAGCCTCCCAAGTAGCTAGGATTACAGGCACCTGCCATTATGCCAGCTAATTTTTGTATTTTTGTAGAGACGGGGTTTCACCATGTTGGCCAGGCTGGTCTTGAACTCCTGACCTCAGGTGATCCGCCTGCCTCAGCCTCCCAAAGTGCTGGGATTACAGGCGTGAGCTACCACGCCCAGCCCCATCTTGCTTTCTTGTAAGCTATTTGTGAATCTGCCCCAAGACAAAATGAAGAAAATTCTTTTTAAAGCACCTTTTATTTCCCAAAACAAGTTAAAAAAAAAAAAAAAAGCCTTTCTCTGTGGATGAGAGCTGTAAGTAAATTGCATTTCATATCAATAATTTCTGTTCTATATAAGGTAATAATAGCTCAAATATTTACTAAAAGGTCTGGGCTGCAGGATATATTCATCTACCTCTACTTACCAATAGAGAAACAATTTCGAAATCCCAAACCATTCATGCCATAGAAGTTCCAAACCTTAATCTCTTAATATTAATTAGCTTAATGGCTTAATCTCTTAATTTTTTTTTTTTTTGAGACGGAGTCTTGCTGTGTCGCCCAGGCTGGAGTGCAGTGGCGCGATCTCGGCTCACTGCAAGCTCCGCCTCCCGGGTTCACACCATTCTCCTGCCTCAGCCTCCCAAGTAGCTGGGACTACAGGCGCCCGCCACCTCGCCCAGCTAATTTTTTGTATTTTTAGTAGCGACGGGGTTTCACCGTGTTAGCCAGGATGGTTTCGATCTCCTGACCTCGTGATCCACCCGCCTCAGCCTCCCAAAGTGCTGGGATTACAGGCATGAGCCACCATGCCCGGCCTAATCTCTTAATATTAAGCTCTTAACATTAATTGTATTTGATAAGAAGTAAATGATACATGAAACTCACTAGCCATTGTTTGCTAGTATCCTCAAAGTTCTGCATTACTGTGATTAAAATGTTCAAGAGGAGAGTGGGTGGTTCACACCTATTAATCCCAGTACTTTGGGAGGCCAAGGCGGGTGGGCCACTTGAGCCTAGGAGTTCAAGACCAGCCTAGGCAACAAGGCAAAATCCTGTCTCTACAAAAAAATAAAATAAAATACAAAAATTATCTGAGCATGGTGGCACGCGCCTGTAGTCCCAGCTACTTGGGAGGCCGAGGTAGGAAGATCGTTTGAGCCCAGGAGCTCAAGGCTGCAGTGAGTCATAATCGCTCCACTGCACTCCATCCTGAGCAACAGAATGAGACTTTGTCTCAAACAAACAAAAAAAAAGTGTTCAAAGTATAACGTGGCCCAGAAAAAGGGAGACATCTTTAATTTTGATAGACCCTAACGTATCTGCCATGCTATAAACTCTGGGAGTCTTTCTCAGTTATTTCTCTCATTCTCCATAGAGGGAATGCCTATGTGACTGATCTCATGTAGACATACGCATTCTCTCCTCTATACATATACACATACTCTTTCCTCTTTATCCACACTTTCTTTCTTTTTTTTTTTTTGAGACAGAGTCTCACTCTGTTGCCCAGGCTGGAGTGCAGTGGCGTGGTCTCGGCTCACTGCAACCTCCGCCTCCCGGGTTCAAGTGATTCTCCTGGCTCAGCCTCCTGAGTAGCTGGGACTACAGGCACATGCCACCACACCCAGATAATTTTTGTATTTTTAGTAGAGATGGGGTTTCACCATATTGTCCAGGCTGGTCTCGAACTCCTGACCTCATGACCCCCACCCCCAAGCCTCCCAAAGTGCTCGGATTACAGGCATGAGCCACCATGCCCAGCCCATAATTTCTACTTTCACTGAATCTCAATTTAGACCCACAATACCACTCATAAAGAACATCACCACAACTACAACTCTCTGCTCCCAGTCCCTAAGTTCTGACACACAAAGAGGTGCGAATCACAACCCTTAGTTTAGTGGCAGAGTAATCCTGGACAAGTGACATAACCTCTTTGTGCCTCAGTTCTCTCACTTTAAAATGATAATTGAAGCTACCCCATGGGGCTGCTGTAAATATTATGTAATATATTATAAATATTATGTCAGGTAATACATATAAAGTGATGAACAGTGACTAACATTTAATAAATATTCAGTCATTGCTATCATTATCCAACTACAATAAGGACTCCTTGAGGACAGTAATTTTTTTGTTTTGCTCATTGTTGAATTCTCAGTGACAGAAGAGTCTGGAAGGCAGGGCAACGGTTATAAGAAAATTTTAAACTCTATCAGTAAGAACCTCCTCAACTAACCTCTCTCTTTGAATGCGAACTTGTCAGAAAAAGGAGAGAGTACATAGCTTAGCAGTTGATAATAGTGTGGTTCAAACCGCTGAGTTCATGGTCTGACTATGCCAAGCACTGTGTGACTTCAGTTTCAAAATCTAAAAATGGAGATAATAATATCTATCTACCTTGCAAGGCTATCTTGAGGATTCCATGAGATAATTTATCAAAACAAGCACTGAGTTGTAGGGCTGATGCAAGGAGGAGGAAGGAGAAAAGGAGGAGAGAGAAGAAAAGAAAATCTTGAAAGGATAGAGGCATGTCAGAAAGACACAAAAGTCAACCTGAAAGAGCAACCCTTTGCCAAAGCTGAGAAATTTTAGCAACAAAACAAAAAACAATAATATTGGACTACAACTTGAAGAATAAAACAAATATACATAAGTCAATACTGACATAAACAAATACCTGAATAAACAAACAACTGGGAAAGAAGGAACAAATGTTGCTTTCAGAACAGTTACAAATAATAGAGATACTCCACACCTCCTCAGGAGGTGAAGCTTCATTCCCCTTCAGCAGAGAGGAGGCTGAACTTGAGTTCCAAGAATATCACATGGAAAAGGAAGGGTAGTAAATTTATAGTGGAGAAACCTGGCAGATACCATCCTAACGAAGAGATCAAAGTTAACGTCATCAGTGATGTCATGGTGACATCAGATAGTCCCTGACATGATGAAAAGAGAAGGGTACTTCACCTCTGTAATAGTCTTCCCAAAAGCCATCAACTCAGTTCCTAAGAAAACATCAGACAAACCCAGTTTGAAGGACATCTACAAAATATCTGACAAGTCTCTGACAACTGTCAAGGTCAAAAAAACAAGGAAAGACTGAGAAACTGTTACATGTTGGAGAAATCGAAGGAGGTATAATCATTAAATGCAGTACCACATGCTGGATTGGATCCTGGGACAGAAAAGGACATTAAGTGGAAAAGTTGGTCAAATTTGAATAATAAAGATTTTAACGCGTCTTTCTCAGTAATTGATAAGATAATTGATAAGACAACATAAAAAAACATTAAAAATATGAAAGACTTGTATAGTATAATTAATAATCTTGACCTATAGAAAGAAAACCTTCAAAAATTTTATTTAGTTTTAAATTTTTTCTGGCTTTGTTGAAGTATAATTGACAAAAATTATTTACATTTATGATATATGATACGACGTTCTCATATACATTGTGAAATAATTACCATCATCAAGTTAATTAATGTACCATCACCTCACAGTTACTATTTTTGTTTCTTATCAATCACTGAGAAAGACGCATTAAAATCTTCAACTATAGGCTGAGTATAGTGGCTCACACCTGTAATCCCAGCACTTTGGGAGGCCAAGGTGGGTGAATCACGAGGTCAAGAGATCTAGACCATCCTGGCCAACATGGTGAAACCCTGTCTGTACTAAAAATACAAAAATTAGCTGGATGCGGTGGCACAAACCTGTAGTCCCAGCTACTCGGGAAGCTGAGGCAGGAGAATCGCTTTAACCCAGGAGGCGGAGGTTGCAGTGAGCTGAGATCGCGCCACTGCATTCCAGCCTGGCGGACAGAGCAAGACTCCATCTCAAACAAACAAAAAAAAAATATTGAACTATAATCATCAATTTACATGTTCCTCCTTATAGTTTTATCATTTTTTCTCTTATATATAATGTGGCCATACTATTTGGGGCATATATCTTTTTTTTGGTTTTTGAGACAGGGTCTTGCTCTGTCACCCAGGCTGCAGTACAGTGGCTTGATCATAGCTCACTGCAGCCTCAAACTCCTGGCACAAGCAATCCTCTTGCCTCAGCTTCCCAAATAAATAAGACTAAAGGCATGTGCCACTATTCCCAGCTAATTTCTTTTTTTTTTTTAGATATGGGGTCTCACTATGTTGCCCAGGCTCTTTAGAATTGACAAACTTGGGAGACCGAGGTGGAAGGATCACTTGAGCCCAGAGGATCAAGGCTGCAGTGAGCCGCGATCATGCCACTACACTCCAGCCTGGACAAAAGAGTGAGATCCTGTCTTAAAAAAAAAACAGAATTACTCTCTGGCACTTTACAGAAAAAGTCTGCAGGCCCCAGATCTAGAGTATTTGGTATCCATGGCCTAAAGGTGGGGATAACACCAAGGATGTAGAGAAAAAAGGTACATTATTTGTTCCCTTTTGAGCTTCAAAAATCTAGGCCCTGAGGATACTTAGGATAGAAAATGCACTATGATGTAAAAGCCAAGAATGTGAGTCTTGTGCCCACATTCCCAAGAATGGAAATAATTCTTCCAGGCCCCTGCTCTAGATAAGTAAATTTGGGAACTGCAAAGAATCCAAAGAAATGCTGGGAATGTGGTGGTGTGAGAGGTGGGGCATGAGAAGAAAACATATTAAGCTCCACTCATGTCACTCACAAGCCCAGATTCCACCTGGGCCTTGTCCCGCTTTCTCTCCACCATCTTCATCTGAGATGTGTCTGGGCCACACGTCCAGTGTTCTGTGCCTTCCACGTTAGCTTTTGTTGTCTTAGATACTACAGGTCTCAAGGTGGTAATAATGATGGATCAAAAAGCTTATATTCAATAATCTCCATGCCTCGTGTATGTAATAAATAATTCAAGTCTAAGGCCAGCAAGGTGGCTCATGCCTGTAATCCCAGCAATTTGGAGGCCAAGGCAGGGAGATCACTTGAGGCCAGGAGTTCAAGATCAGCCTGGCCAACATAGGGAAACTCTGTCTCTACTAAAAAATACAAAAATTAGCCAGGCATGATGGTGGGCACCTGTAATCCCAGCTACTAGGGAGGCTGAGGCAGGAGAATCATTTGAACCCCAGAGGTGAAGGTCACAGTGAGCCAAGATCGTGCCATTGCCCTCCAGCCTGGGCAACAGAGCAAGACTCAGTCTCAATCAATCAGATCAATCAACCAACCAATAAAAGAGTTTGAGATCAGTCTGGGCAATATGGCGAAACCCCATCTCTACTAAAAATACAAAAATTAGCTCGGCTGGTGGCAGGTGCCTGTAATACCAGCTACTCGAGAGACAGGCACAAGAATCGCTTGAACCCAGGAGGTGGAGGTTACAGTGAGCCGAGATCACACCACTGCCCTCCAGCCTGGGTGACAGACTGTTAGATACGAGTTCTAAATTTCTTTCCAAAGAATTAATATGTCAGTATGTTCAATTCTTTGCCTTCTACTTTTAAACTTCCTCGTAAAGCAACCTTTTTGGATTACCTACACCACCCTGACTCATTCTGATCACCTGCTCCACCCTACCTTCCAATCACCTGCTCCACCCTAACTCATTCCAATTATCTGCTACCTGCTTTGCCCTGACTCCCGCCAAAGCACTCACCCTGTCATTCTCTTTAAATTAGCCAAACGGAATTAGTTTAGCCTGTGTGGTCTAACCCTAGCAAATAGGGGAACGACACAGTAGCAGGGGCCACATGCGTCAGGAATAAGAACCCCTTCCCCTTCCTTATCCAGGTGTGCGCTCACCATCGTTCCATCTGTAAGGGCTCACCCTTCTATATATAAATAACTTGCCTTGCTGAGAATTGAAAAGAAAATTTTATATTCGAGTGCTATTTCTTATACAGCACCAAAACTTTATATATAACAAGACTGTCTCAAAATATATATATATATACACATATATATATACACACACACACATATATATGCACATACAGCTTAATGGAATCATTGTATCAATATGTTGGGTTTGAAACACAACTGAGGGTGTATAGCAGGCAAAAACCAAGGTATGGTAAAGAAAGAAAAGTAGGCCAGGCGTGGTGGCTCACATCTGTAATCCCAGCACTTTGGGAGGCCAAAGTGGGCAGATCACAAGGTCAGGAGTTTGAGACCAGCCTGGCCAATATGGTGAAACTCTGTCTCTACTAAAAATACAAAAAAAATAGCTGGGCGTGGTGGCACATGCCTGTAATCCCAGCTACTCGGGAGGCTGAGGTTGCAGTGAGCTGAGAGCATGCCACTGCACTCCAGCCTGGGTGACAGAGCAAGACTCTGTCTCAAAAAGTAAATAAATAAAATTAAATTTTTTAAAAAAAAGAAAAATAGAAAATTCAAGGTATGAGGATGATAAGAGAACATGTCAGATTCTGGATGCATCTAACTAAGGTGAAGATTTGTCCCACACTACTATTTGGCTTTCCTTGGAGAGCTGTAAGAAACATGATGGAACTTTCTAGATGAACTATGTAGGGGAAATGTGCCTTCCTAGAAAAACTTGGGCCAAAATATTTCATTTCTTGGATTGAAATTTTAAAAATAATTATAAAATCTTTATTCTTTTGTTTGTTTGTTTTGTTTTGAGATAGAGTCTCACTCTGTCACCCAGGCTGGAGTGCAGTGGCACGATCTCGGCTCACTGTAACCTCCGCCTCCTGGGTTCAAGCAATTATCCTGCCTCAGCATCCCACATAGCTAAGATTACAGGCATGCGCCACCACACCTGGATAATTTTTTGTATTTAGTAGAGACAGGTTTTCACCATGTTGGTCAGGCTGGTCTCGAACTCCGGACCTCAGGTGATTCAGCCGCCTTGGCCTCCCAAAGTGCTGGGATTACAGGCATGTGCCACCGTGCCCGGCATGTTTGTTTTGTTTTGTTTGAGACGTAGTCTTGCTCTGCAGCCCAGGCTGGAGTGCAATGACGAGATCTGGGCTCCTGCAACCTCCACCTCCCGGTTCAAGCAGTTCTCCTGCCTTAGCCTTCTGAGTGTCTGGGACTACAGGCAAGTGCCACCACGCTCGGCTAATTTTTTGTATTTTTAGTAGAGATGGGATTTGGCCAGGCTGATCTCTAATTCCTGACCTCCTCAGGTGATCCTCCTGCCTCGGCCTCCCAAAGTGCTGGGATTACAGGCATGAGTCACGCCACCGCATCCGGCCCTTTATTCTTATTTTGAAGTAACATCAGCAACTCTCCTAGAACTCTCCTGATTATAACTATTCATTCTATTAGACAAGTCTTCTCTCCAGAAAGCACCAACTGAAACTCCCATCACTCATTCCTCTGAGTATTTCTTAGACAATTTTAGGAATGACAATTTACAATGGAATAACAAAATATGGTGAATAGCAGTAAGAATCTGAAGATGTGTATGGAATAGAATTTTGAGGATAAAAACATGAAATATTGGTCAAAATTTATTATTAAGCAAATAACAAGTATGTATCCTATACTGTACTAATTGCAGCAGATTGAAAAGAAAAACAAAATCCTTAAAATAAAGGGCTTTTAACTTAAACATGTAAGAATCAGTCGGGTGCAGTGGCTCACGCCTGTAATCCTAGCACTTTGGGAGTCTGAGGCGGGCGGATTGCCTGAGCTCAGGAGTTCGAGGCCAGCCTGGGCAACACGGTGAAACCCCGTCTCTACTAAAATAAAAAAAATTATCCGGACATGGCGGTGTGCACCTGTAGTCCCAGCTACTCAGGAGCCTGAGGCAGGAGAATTGCTTGAACCCGGGAGGCGGAGGTTGCAGTGAGCCGAGATCGCACCACTGCACTCCAGCCTGGGCAACAGAGCAAGAAAAAAAAAAAAGAATCAATTTATTCTTGAACAAGAGAATATTTTACATATTCAATACCTAGTTGTCAAATATTTATTTGTATTTGTAGACCATGATCCAAGACATATTAAAACATTTTCTACTACTTGTGACATAGTAATCTGAATTTCTTCCATGGAATACCTTATAGTTTAGACTATTCTTTCCTTTTTTTCTCTACTTTTTAAAATTGTGGCAAAATATACATAACAAAAAAATTAGTTTTAACCATTTTTAAGTGTACAGTGCACCGGCATTAAATATATTCACATAGTTGCATAACTATCACCACCATCCATCTCCAGAACTTCTTCATCTTGGAAAACTGAAACCCTATACCCATTAAACACTAACTCCCGAGTCTCTCCTTCCTCCCAACCTCTAGCAACTACCATTTTACTTCCTGTCTCTATGAATTTTACTGCTCTAGGAATCTCATATAAGTAGAATCATACAGTACTTGACCTTTTCTGACTAGCTTATTTCACTTAACAAAATGTCTTCAAGGTTCATCCTTGCAGCATGTGTCAGAATTCCCCGCCTTTTTAAGGCTGAATAATATTCCATCATTATTGCTTATTTATTCACCTGTCAATGGATACTTGGGTTGCTTTGATGTTTTAGCTACTGTGAATAATGCTGCTATGAAAATGCGTGTACAAATAATCCTTCGAGGTCCTGCTTTCAATTCTTTTGGTATATACCTAGAAATAAAATTGCTGAATCATATGCTAATTCTGTGTATAATTTTTTTTTTTTGAGATGGAGTCTTGCTCTGGCACAATCTCAGCTCACTGCAGTCTCTGCCTCTGGGTTTCAAGCAATCCTCCTGCCTCAGCCTCCAGAGCAGCTGGGATTACAGGTGCCCGCCACCACGCCTGGCTAATTTTTGTATTTTTGGTAGAGACAGGATTTCACCATGTTGTCCAGGCTGATCTCAAACTTCTGGCATCGAGTGACCCACCCACCTTGGCCTCCCAAAGTGCTGGGATTACAGGCGTGAACCACCACGCCCAGCTTCCGTGTTTAATTTTTTTGAGGAATGTCCATACTGTTTTCCATAGGGGCTGAACCATTTTACATTCCCACCAACAGTGCACAAGGGTACCAATTTCTCTGTATCCTCACCAATACTTGTTGTTTCCCGGTTTTTTGATAGTATCCATCTTAATGGGGGCGAGATGGTAGGTATCTCGTTGTGGTTTTGGTGTGCATCTCCCTAATGGCTAATGATGTGGAGCATTTTTCATGTGCTTATTGGCCATTTGTATGTCTTCTTTGAAGCAATGTGTATTCAAGTCCTTTGCCCATTTCCTAATTGGTGGCTTGCTAGACTAGTCTTTCTTTTTTCTTTTTTGAGCCAGATCTTTGCTCTGTCACCCAAGCTGGAGTGCAGTGGCACAACATAGCTCACTGCAGTCTCAACCTCCCAGGCTCAAGCAATCTTCTATGTCAGCCTCCCAAGGAGATGGGACCACAGGTGCGCACCACCACACTTGGCTAATTTTTTTATTTTTTATAGAGTCAGAGTCTCACTATGTTGCCCAGGCTGGTCTCTATCCCCTGGGCTCAAGCAATCCTCCTGCCTCAGCCTCCAAAAGTGCTGGGATTACAGCCATGAGCCACTGTGCCTGACCAGACTAGTCTTTCTTATAATCAAATACAATCTGCCTTTTGTATCCATGGGTTCCACATCCATGGATTCAACCAATCCACAAATTGAAAATATTAGGAAAAAACTTGCATCCGTGCTGAAGATGTACATTTTCTTTTCTTGTCATTACTTCCTAAACAATAGGTATAACAACTATTTGCACAGCATTTACTTTATATTAGGTATTACAAGTAATTTAAAGATGATTTAAAGAATACAGGAGGATGTGCATAAGTTATATGCAAACACTATGCCTATCATATCAGAGATTCGAACATCCACAGAAGGTCCTGGAACTAATCCCTCATATAAACTTAACTGTACGTTTGCCAAATTTCTTAAACTTTGATATTTTTCACTTGAAAAACCTTTGTGCATAATATATTCTTTACAAGTTGGATTTCACTGATTCCACAATCTGGTATTCCATCAAAATCCCTGATCTTTCCAGGTTCAAACTATTACCTACTCCACATACTTTTAACCTTTGTGATTAAATATACTGAGGTTCAAATAAAAGGCTGAAAGTTGTGGTATTGCACTAATGCTAGCTTGAAGAAACATGCAAAGAATGGAAAAAATAATTAGCGAGATGAATGCTATCTAAACACTATCTGACATGTATGTTTTTATCCTTTTAAGTATAAAATTTTTTTCTTATCTAACATTGCTTCTTTAAATTTATGGATTTATTTCCCAGGCCTATTACCATAAGGGGAAACAATTCAGTTTTGATGACAGGGTTTTTGGATGGTGGCTAAGTCCTGGCATGTTTATCTGGCACGATCTATAAAACATTCAATTTGTGAAAGTTTTGAAATAACTACTGCTGTGACATTAACTAGTATTGTCATCTTTTTCCTTTTACTGGTCCCTAGTCTCCAAGAGATTCTTTAAATTGGAAACTATTCTAACCATATATCAGAAATTAGAGACCAAAGATGAAATCAACTGATTCTTAGTGGGTAATGATCTATACTAAATTTATACTGTATTTCTAGGCCCAGGCGATCTCTTTGCTTCTGGAATTTTAGAATATGTAGAAAAACAGCTCAATCTCCTGTTAAAGTTTTGGGTTTCTCTTTTTTAAATCAATAGTATCAGAAAAATAAAAATATCTGGGAATTGAAGTAGACCACATACATTTATGTACAAAGCTGTGTCATGAGAGGGTACTTGCATATCCCTAATTACACCCAGCAGAGCTCTTCTAAGATGAACAATTTTGTCACTTTTCTTTTTTTTTTTTTTTTTTTTTTGAGATGAAGTTTTGCTCTGTCACCCAGGCTGGAGTGCAATGGCATGATCTCAGCTCACTGCAATCTCCGCCTCCAGGGTTCAAGTGATTCTCCCGCCTCAGCCTCCCAAGGAGTTGGCATTACAGGCATGCACCACCATGCCCGGTTAATTTTGTATTTTTAGTAGAGATGGGGTTTCACCATGTTGGCCAGGCTGGTCTCAAACTCCTGACCTCAGATGATCTGCCCACCTTGGCCTCCCAACGTGCTGGGATTACAGGCGTGAGCCACCGCGCCCGGCCAATTTTGTCACTTTTAACAGAATGGGAAATCACTTCATCCATGTTCCAATCCAATACATTTTCCTTTTTCCTTTTCCCTTTTTATTTTTGTTTTGTTGTTTTGTTGAGACAGAGTCTTGCTCTGTCGCCCAGGCTGGAGTGCAGTGGTGCAATCTCGGCTCACTGCAACCTCCACCTCCTGGGTTCAAGCGATTCTCCTGCCTCAGCCTCCCCGAGTAGCTAGGAGTACAGGCACACGCCACCACGCCTGGCTAATTTTTGTATTTTTAGTAGAGACGGGGTTTCGCCATGTTGGCCAGGCTGGTCTCGAACTCCTGACCTCAGATGATCCACCTGCCTCAGCCTCCCAAAGTGCTGGGATTACAGGCATGAGCCATTGCACCGGGCCCTTCTCTTTTTATTTTTAAGAGACAAGTTCTCACTCTGTCACCCAGGTTGGAGTGCAGTGGTGCAATCAGAGCTCACTGCAGCAATCAGAGCTCACTGCAGCCTCAAACTCCTGGGCTCAAATGATCCTCCCACCTCCACCTCCTGAGTAGCTGGAACTACAGGCTTGTGTCATCATGCCTGGCTAATTTTTTTTTTTTCAAATTTTTTCTAGAGACGAGGTCTCACTATGTCACGCCGGCTGGTCTCAAACTACTGACCCTCACGCAATCCTCTTGTCTTGGCCTCCCAAAGTGCTGGTATTACAGGCATGAGTTAATGTGCCTGGCTCCAAGATTTTCTTAATCCCACAGTTTCATAAAGAATTCCCAGGCCGGATGCAGTGGCTCACGCCTGTAATCCCAGCACTTTGGGAGGCCGAGGCGGGCAGATCACGAGGCCAGGAGATCGAGACCATCCTGGCTAACACAGTGAAACCCTGTCTCTACTAAAAATAGAAAAAATTAGTCGGGCATGGTGGCGGGCACCTGTAGTCCCAGCTACTCGGGAGGCTGAGGCAGGAGAATGGCGTGAACCCGGGAGGTGGAGGCTGCAGTGAGCCAAGATCGCGCCACTGCACTCCAGCCTGGGTGACAGAGCAAGACTCCGTATCAAAAAAAAAAAAAAAATTCCCAAGTAGGCTGGGCACAGTGGCTGGCTCATGCCTGTAATCTCAGTACTTCAGGGGACCAAGGCAGGAGGATCACTTGAGGCCAGGAGTTTGAGACTAGTCTGGGCAACATAGTGAGACCACATCTCTACCAAAAAAATCAAAAAATTAGCCAGTTGTGGTGGTGCATGCCTATGATCCCAGCTACACGGGAGGCTGAAGCGGGAGGATCACGTGAGCCTGGGAAGTCAAAGCTGTAGTGAGCTATGATCATGCCACTGCACTCCAGCCTAGGTGACTAAGTGAGACTTTGTCTCAAAAAAAAAAAATTCACAAGGAAAACTGTCATAATGTTTCTTATACCCAGTAACAATTCAATATCACCTTTCAATTGATTTTTTATAGCAGGAAAATATATTTTTAAATTATATATACAGAAAAAGTTAACCTTTTCACTTGGGTTTAAATAGTTGAAAATCTACAACATTAGCCAAAATATGTTTATCTTATTAAATAGATATTCTTTTTTTTCTTTCTTTTTTTTTTTCTGAGATGGAGTCTCACTCTGATGCCCAGGCTGGAGTGCAATGGTGCGATCTCAGCTCACTGCAACTTCCGCCTCCCAGGTTCAACCGATTCTCATGCCTCAGTCTCCCAAGTAGCTGGGATTACAGGCGTGCACCACCACACCCAGCTAATTTTTGTATTTTTAATAGAGACGGGGTTTCACCGTGTTAGCCAGGCAGGTCTCAAACTCCTGACCTCAAGCGATCTACCCACTTCGGCCTCCCAAAGTGCTGGGATTACAGGCATGAGCCACTGTGCCCGGCTTAAATAAATATTCTATTTCCATAGTTAGAAACTTTGAAGACAGCTATCTCATGTTCACTCGACTTAATGTTAATCCTTACTACCTGAAAAACATATTTCTTCAGCAAAATTTGCTTTAAAGAATGTTGCAAAGAGACTCCTTCTCTCAGTTTCATCTGAGGCTTCAAACCCCCAAAAAATGTCCTAGTGCCAGAACACTAGCACAGATAACACTAAAAGATTATGAAACCAGTTTTGCTGCCATTAGCTTATCATCCATTTGAGGATATGTGAGAAAAGGTGAAAAGCTAAATAAAACCTTCAGCTGAATTTCCTTGGAAAGAGTTGTTATTGTATGCTAGGCATCTCATTCTGTCATAAGAGAGGAGCAAGCTGTTTTCCCCTTAACTTAAGCCACACAAGAGAGACTTCCAAAAAAGCGTCAGAGACCTTGATACAAGCTAAGGGAATTTGGGAATTCTGGGAATTTGGAATTACCTAAGCACCTGTGGCATGTGTCTGAAAGAATACCAAAGGCAAGGGGTTATGGCTACATCGGCTAAAAGCAACAGAGCTAAGAGTTCGGAATAAACTGTACACCTGCCAATGGCCAAGGAGGAGGGAGGATTTTTCCCCATGGGCCAAGTTCACCATGAGGAAAGCAGAAGGAGTTTATCTGAAAAGGAATTCTACCCATGAGGGCTGCCTATAGGACAAGGTGATCATAACAGATAGACTCTGTGTATAGACAACCACAAAAAACAGGGACTGAAGTGGGAGAACTACAATCTGAGGTCTCTGAGGAGACTACAAAACTCCCCATAAAGAGAGCCACCTACAGAACTTCAGGCACACAGAAGGCTCCACTGCAGGTTACAACTACACCAGTCAAGTCATACCCTTATTGCACCCTTTAACTTGCTTCCCTTCCCTGGGAGGGCCTGATTCTGAAAAAAACCACAAATAGCAGCTAACAATAGGAAAAGATGGATAATGAAGAAACTGACTAGGCTCTTCCGAAACACATAGACATGCAGACACATGCATGCATGTGCATACATAATACAAACACACACACATGCAACATATGTGCACCTGTAATACAAACACACACACATCCTCTTCACATTCCCAAGAAAGTAGCCTGAAGTTGGGGAAAAGGAGACGTCATAAACTGGACAAGAGTCTGAGGTTTTGATATTAGACTGGACTGAACATTTTAATACTTTAAACGAAATAACTGCCAGGCATGGTGGCTCACGTCTATAATCCCAACACTTTGGGAGGCCGATGCAGGAAGATCACTTCAGCCCAGGAGTTCAAAACCAGCCTGGGCAACATGGTGAAACCCCATCTCTACCAAAAATACAAAAACTATCCGGGCGTGGTGGCATGCACCTGTAGTCCCAGCTTCTCGAGAGGCTGAGGAGGAGGATGATTTGAGCCTGGGAAGCAGAGGTTGCAGTGAGCCGAGATCGCACCACTGCACTACAGACTGGGCAACAGAGCCAGACCCTGTTTCAAAAGAAAAGAAAAGAAATAACTGAGGAGAAAAAAAATCTATAGGACTTGCCTGGGATTTCATCTATGAGCAAAGAGAATAAGTGGACAGTGCAGGTTTGCAGAGGTGGGCTGGGAGAGAAGAAAGCATCTGGTGGTACTCCAGTAAGTCCAACTCATGTAACACATCTGTTATATGTGTATGGGTAAAAAGAAATATTTAAAGATAAAAGGTTATACTGTTGGGGAATAAAATAAAGGCATAAAGTCATTTTCTGGAATCAGTCCATGTCTACAGACAAAATATAATCTCAGTCCTTAGCTCCAAGGGCTGTGTTTTGAAACCCTATATTTATATGCTAAGTTTCTCTTCCCCTGCAGAGATGGTGTCATTATTTCTTTAAATAATGAGCTTAATATGAAATGGTAAATATGTCAAACCACACTTTCACTAAAGATCACTGTCTATACAGTTGGACAGATGGCCACAATATCCTGAAACTCTGGTGAAAAAATATTTCCTGATATAAGAGGGTGCAACAGAGACACTCATAATTTAGACCAGTAGTTTTCAATTGTTTTGACTATGAGGGTTCCCTTTAATATCATCTATTAAACTATCATCTCCATATTGATTATTTATTCAGTCTAAAAATGATACTTAATGCAGTGTGAACATCGCCAGATGAACTAGACTACTGTCTTTAGAAATTTTTAAAAAATCTTGCTGATTGTTATCCCATTTTACTCCACTCTGCCTCTCTTATTTTATTCTTCCTTCTCTTCTTCCTTTCTTCATTCCCTCCTTCCTTTTTCCTTCATTCCCTCTTCCTTCCTTTCTTATTTTCCCTCTCTCTAGTCTTAATGTCTTTTCTCACCTTCAAAACATCTATGAATTTGCAGTATGGATTTGCAGATCCTATTCTAATTATTCTATCTTTTTTTAAAGCTATAGTTATGTGGTGAATATGCCGAAAATAAGAACACACACACACAGACTAACTCATGCCGTAAGAATCCAACTGCAGCAGTGTTTTGTTTTGTATTCCCGTTGCTGTGATATGAATGTAGAATGCAGTTGCTAAATAATTTGCCTCATCCATTTGGGCTCACCATTCTCTGCTATTGACTCTGAAACACTATGAGGGCCTTTAATAATCTTTAAAAAATTATCTTTATAGCTACTCTGTGAAACCTGAGCCCCATTTCAATCTCCAATGCCTATAATGAAGTCAGTCAACCAGGAATTGAATTCTACCTCTTTTTTTTTAATCTGCATTCTACTGAAAAATCCTACTTCTTTTAAAGATTATGATCCTACCCCTCCACTGCTCAGACCCATCCTAGCATGTCATGGCCCCTGCACACCTCTGCAGTATCTTTTCAAGCATACTGCTCTCAGTTTTTAGTGTTCCAAACACTTCGGCTTTCTCTTAGATCCTTAAAGGCGTCTAGATCTTTCCTACCACGGAGCCTTTGCACATGGTATTCTCTCTGCCTCAATCACTTCTCCCCTTGCTCATTACATGGCTGGCTCCTTGTCATCCTTCAGGTCTCTTAAATGTTACCCCCCTCAAAAAAAAACCTTCCCTGACAAGCCCATTTACAGCATGCAACCCCTCCTCTGTTAATCTCCACCACAGTACTATTTCATTCTTTCATAATAGTATAGTTTGCTAATACATGTTGTATTTATTATATGTTTTAACTTGTTTATAGAATGTCTCTGACCTAGGCTGTCAGCTCCTTAAAAATGCAAGGACAATGTCTACATTGTTTGCCCTGAGCACTCAACACAGCCAGGAATATACAGAAGATCAAGAAATAGTTGTTTGGGGGTAGGAAAGGGAAGAAAGGAAGGAAATAAGGAGGGGAGCTATTTGGGCATTTCTGAATCTTTTATTCTCACTTAAATCATAAAATACAGAATGACGAATACTCATGTACCAGCCAGTCAGTTTATTTTGTGAATATAATTGAAATTCTGTGGTTCTCTCTTCCCTGTCCCATATCCTACCTCCCCACTCCCCAGGGTTAATCATTCTCTTGAATTTTGTACTATTCATTACCTTGTATGTCTTCATATTTTAAACACATATATTTTGTATGATTTTAACTCTATGTAATGCTATATAAATAGAGATTAAGGAAATGTCCCTGAGGAATTCACAAAAATAAAAAAGGCACTTTTCAAACCCTCTTCCTTTAAAAAAAAAAAAAAGAAACTTCATTAAATGACATGTACAGTGTTCCCACTACAAACTCAGTCTAGTCAATAATATAATGAAATGTTTATCCTTCCAGAAAGAAAGAGTAATGAAATTAACAAGAACAGGAGAAATAACATTTTAAAATGTAGTGGCGAGGATTCCTACTGCTAAATTTTTATAATTAATAACATGTTCAGAAGATACGAGGGAAAGAAGGTACAACTTAAAATTAAATTGTTAGGGGAAATACCATTGTACTTCTAAAAGTATAGAGAAATATAGAGTGGTCACTTCACAAATATAAATATGTCCTTCAGAGAATCTTCCTACCCAGTGGTACACAGGAAACACTGCCCTTTTCACAAAAATAATTCCTAGTGAATAATAGCTGTTTAAACACTGCCCCCTAATGTGCATACTCAGCTTCCTCTGAAATGATAAGAGGACCATGCTAATAAAAATAATCAGGTCCTTCCTCCCTTGTGATCACTCTAGCATTTTTGTCCTGCAGACCAGATTTCATAGACTGAGGCAATTTCAACCACACAACTGTCAGAGTGCATTAAAGTCAATCTCCCAGCCATTCTAAGATTACTCTCATCAGCAATAGGGCCAACATGTGAGTGAGAACAAACTATTTGGGCTTGGACAGCACTGACAAGAGAGCAATACCATTGGGAAATATCAGGAAAGTCTAGGATCTCAATCACAACATGTGCAACTTTAGACTGATGTAATCAGTCTTATTAAAAAAAAAACACACACACACAGACACACTGATTACCAAGAAAATCAAACTTTTTTTTTTTTTGAGGTGGAGTCTCACTCTGTCACCCAGGCTGGAATGCAATGGCATGATTTCGGCTCACTGCAACCTCTGCCTCCAGGTTCATGCAATTCTCCTGCCTCATCCTTCCAAGTAGCTGGGATTATAGTCACCCACCATACCCAGCTAATTTTTGTATTTTTAGTAGAGACGGGGTTTCGTCATGTTGGTCAGGCTGGTCTTGAACTCCTGACCTCAGGTGATCCGCCCGCCTTGGCCTCTCAAAGTGTTGGGATTACAGTCACCCACCACCATACCCAGCTAATTTTTGTATTTTTAGTAGAGACGGGGGTTTTGTCATGTTGGTCAGGCTGGTCTCGAACTCCTGACCTCAGGTGATCCGCCCGCCTCGGCCTCTCAAAGTGCTGGGATTACAGGCATGAGCCACCACGCCCAGCCAAGAAAATCAAATTTTAAAAAAAGAGATGAACCTTGCTTTATATGCACACAAACTCACAACTCATGAATGACTTTGGCTTCCAGAAGAATCTGTTGAAATTTAGACTCCCTGACTAATAAATTTGTTCATGACTTCCACTATTGCAAATAAAATTAACAAGCGAAAGAAAATGGCAAAAATATATTATTCTCAAGTAGCACTGTTCAGTGTCACCTAATTACAAAATCTGTCATTACTTATTGATATGTCTAAGTATGGAAAGCATAGAGGCACTTACTACTAAGACAAGAAGCCTGAGTTTTAAACCCATCTGCTATTAAATAGCTGTGTGACCTTAGGTCTGGATCTGTTTCATTATCAGGAAATAAAGGAGAACGGAGTATATAGATGTTATTCTAATAACTGTCAGGAGGTGGGAATTAGGAGATTATAGAATAATGAGAGGTACGTTTTCAGACTACACATATCTGCCTATCACCCTCTCATTCCTCCATAATATCACTAAAAAGCACATGATAGAACCATTCTTCCTTGTCTGAGAACTACTGAATTATATAATCTATCTCCAATGCCATTTCACCACACTAAAATTTTAATACAGAATTTGAGAACTGTAAGAAAACTTAGAGACTCTCCAATCATTAAGTCAAGGCCCAGAAGAACTTTTGACCCTAACCAGTTAGTTATAAATGTGAATCATTAGGAAGTGTGGGCTTCCCAAGTAGACTAACATTTTTTTTGACTCGATGATGTGATAAAATGTATTATTATTCTCAATTGTCATCCTGCTCGAAACCCACACCCTATGCCATGTGACTTTGTAGTTCCTCCCTCTGAAACAGAATGTATTTCACCACCCATTGGTATTGGACTTGGCCATGTGACTTGCTTTGACAAATACTCCATTTGTTAGCAGATGCATTGGGAGCACAGGCTTTAAACACACTGGTGAAAATGGGCTTGTTCTCTTGCACTCCACCTTTCCCTATGAGGGGAGATGCATTTGGTGGCCACTGATCCAAGGAGGATAACAGACATGCAGAGCATACCAGTCCCCCAATGCACAACTTGGAGCCAAACCTAACCAGTCTGTATCAACTGAATCCCAGCCAACCACAGACATGGGAAACAGAAATAAATGCTTATTGTCATATAGCATTTTGCATTTGTTGGCTATGCAGCGTTTTTATGGTAATATGATAATTCAGAAGATAATTTACCTATATTAAGATTTTAAACCTCAACATTTCCATTAGATTACAAGATTCTGATGGAAAAAAATCTCTCCCTCACTCTGTCACACATATAAATATTGTTTAGACAGAAAAATGAAAATATGATTATGGATCTATAAAACAGCACATTTTAAAAAGTGAGATCTAGTGGCCAAGAATCATCTACCAAGTACAGAACCTGTCATTCAGTACAAAAGTTAATCATCAGGGCCGGGCACAGTGGCTCACACGTGTAATCCCAACACTTTGGGAGGCTGATGTGGGTGGATCACTTGAGGTCAGGAGTTCAAGACCAGTCTGGCCAACATGGTGAAACCCCATCTCTACTAAAAATACAAAAATTAGCCAGGCAAGGTGGTACATGCCCGTAATCCCATCTACTCGGGTGGCTGAGGCAGGAGACTCACCTGAACCTAGGAGGTGGAGGTTGCAGTGAGCTGAGATTGCACCAAAGCACTCCAACCTGAGGAACAGAGAGATACACTGCCTCCAAAAAAGAAACTGCTGTTGGCTGTGGAACCCCTATCATGTGCTCTGCATTACAGGTGGAACTGGGAATAGAATAACACAATCACATAAGGCAAGGAGTTCAAGACCAGCCTGGCCAACATGGCAAAACCTCATCTCTATGAAAAACACACAAAAAATTACCCGGGTGTGGTGGCTAGTGCACTTGGTGTTGTCCTGCCTAAAACCCTCTTCGCCAGTAGCTATGTGGTTCACTCCTTTACCCCATGCAGGTCTCTACTCAAATGTCACCATATGGGTAGGGCATTCTCTCACCTACCAGTTTGAAATAACTTATCCTCACCCCACCCCCTTGCCAACTACCAGACTCAATTACCAAAAACAAAAACAAAAGTGCTTATTTATTTACTATCTATCACCCTAACCTAGCATATAAATGCTCTAGAGAGCACAGATGGATTTTTATCACTCCTGTATTCCAGAATCTGAGTCTATTGCCTGGAAGATCAAAGGCTTGCAGTAAATATTTGGTGGATGACTGAGTAAAAACTTAAAATATTATGAATTTTTCTGATGCAAACTATTAATATAACATTTTATGTTATGAGTCACTTTTCTCTATCGCATCCCTAATTAAGAGTTAAGTACTTATATAGAAAACTAAGTAACACCGTGACTTTTTCCCTTTAGCCTAAACATACACATACATGCATATATAAGAGGTTCACTGGCAAGGGCTGAACAATTGGAAGACTTTATGCCACTCTTTTCCTTCCTTTGGCTTAGTGCTTCTGAATATATTGAAGGGATACCTTGGGTTCCTATGTTATTATCTTAAAGCCAATTAACATTTCAACTGTAGGCCAGGAGTGATGGCTCATGCCTCTAATCCCAGCACTTTGGGAGACCAAGGTGGGTGGATCACTTGAGGTCAGGATTTAGAGACCAGCCTCGCCAACATGGTGAAACACTGTCTCTACTAAAAATACAAAAATCAGCCAGGCATGGTGGTAGGCACCTGTAACCCCAGACACTCAGGAGGCTGAGGCAGGAGAATCCTTTGAACCTAGGGGCAGAGGGTGCAGTGAGCCGAGATCATGCCACTAAACTCCAGGCTGGGCGACAGAGTGAGACTCTGTCTCAAAAAAAAAAAAAAAAAAAAAAAAGAATTGTTTTCAACTGTAAATTCACCTATGCAAGAGTTAATAACAGTATTTTGTAAACATTTGCAAAACATCAACATAAAACTTAGCAAAACTATAGGCAGACAATTCAAAGAAGAAATACAAATAGCCAATAAATTTATGAAAATATTCATTTAGGTTAATGTTTCTTAATAATGTTCAGCAGCCAAGGCCGGACGTGGTGGCTCACGCCTGTAATCCCAGCACTTTGGGAGACTGAAGAGAGCAGATCACGAGGTCAGGAGATTGAGACCATCCTGGCCAACATGGTGAAACCCCGTCTCTACTAAAAATACAAAAATTAGCTGGGCGTGGTGGCGCGTGCCTGGTAATCCCAGCTACTCAGGAGGCTAAGGCAGAAGAATCGCTTGAACCAGGGAGTCAGAGGTTGCAGTAAGCCGAGATCGCGCCACTACACTCCAGCCTGGCAACAGAGCGAGACTCTGTCTCAAAAAAAAAAAAAAAAAAGAAAAAAGAAAAAAGTAAGTTCAGCAACCTAAACGGCCTTGGAAAAAGGAAAACAGAATAACTTCCAAAAAAAAAAAAAGCCAGCAAAAGGTTTCTTATAGCAATAAGAAAACACAGAAACTGGAAAACCTTTTAACTGACAAGGGTGTGGGGTTGAAATACCTGTGATGGAACAATAGATGATGTGAGGAGCAATCTCGTCTATATCTTCATATCCCAGGCCCATTGCAGACAGTTTGCCAGGGACATAGTTTTCCACAAACACATCACAAACAGCTGCAAGCTGATGGAAGAGGTGAACATGAGTCAGACTTCCACTCAACAAATCCCCACATGATAGAATTTTAACTTTACACAATTGATTCTCCCTTTGTAATAGCTCAGAAAAATCACAGGACTGATGAAGCAAATTAGATAAACATAGAAGTTCTAGTCAACTACTTAAAGCATTACTGTCAGTAAAATAATGGCTATTAAAGTTTTTGTAAGTACATGTAAGTACATGCAGAATGGATTCTGCATCCTTCAAATGTAATAAATATCTAGACTACATGGTCTGTCCAAATAGATTCTCAAAAGATTAGGTAGAAAAATTAGAATGTAAGTACACTAAATCAATGAAAAACATTTTTTAAACCTTTACAAGAAAACTAAATAGGCCAGGTGTGGTTGTTCACTCCTCTAATCTCAGCACTTTGGGAGGCCAAGGCAGGTGGACTGCTTGAGCCCAGGAGTTCAAGATCAGGAGTTCAAGACCAGCCTGGGCAACATGGCAAAATCCCATCTCTACAAAAATTAGCCAGACACGGTGGTGCATACCTATGGTCCCAGCTGCTCGGGAGGCTCAGGTGGGAGGATCACTTGAGCCGGTAAATTGAGGCTGCAATGAGCCGTGATGGCGCCACTGCACTCCAGCCTGGGAGACTGTTAGACCTTGTCTCCAAAAACAGACCTAAACACAATATCTCTACTACTCAGCATCCCTATTATTATGTAATATTCCTCATTATAACATGCACTTAACGCACTTAAGCAGGATTCTGAAATGTTTTCACACCTTTCAGATGCATTCTTCCCAAAGAGTTTTAAATGTATTTAAGAACCACTGGAGTTTTTTTTCTTCAGGCTACTAAACTATAGCCCAGTAAACCAGGAACTGTCAGGAACAAAATCCAGATTGTGATGCCCAGACCGCTGTTACGGGAATTAGAGGACAATGCAGCATTGTAAACCTTAATTTTACAGAAATTTTACAAAAAATTGGGAAATTTTTTTCCCAAAATTTCAATTGTGACTACATACTTTTAAAAATGTTTTTAAAGGGCCAGGTGCAGTGACTCACACCTATAGTCCCAGCACTTTGGGAGGCCGAGGGGGGCAGATCATTTGAGGTCAGGAGTTCAAGACCAGCCTGGCCAACATGGTAAAACCCTGTCTCTACTAAAATTACAAAAAAATGAGCCAGGTGTGGTGGCACATGCCTGTAATCCCAGCTACTCGGGAGGCTGAGACACAAGAATCACTTGAACCTGGGAGACAGAGGTCACAGTGAGCCGAGATCATGCCACTGCACTCCAGCCTGGGTGACAGAGTGAGAACCTGCTTCAAAAAAAAAAAAAATCTTTTTTAAATAAATTGGCCGGGCATAGTGGCTCACACCTGTAAATCCCAGCACTTTGGGGGGCCTAGGTAGGCAGATCACTTAAGGTCAGGAGTTCGAGACCAGCCTGGCCAATATGGCGAAACCCTGTCTCTACAAAAACTACAAAAATTAGCTGGACGTGGTGGCACGTGCCTGTAGTCTCAGCTACTCAGGAGGCTGAGGCAGGAGAATCACTTGAACCCAGGAGGTGGAGGTGCAGTGAGCCAAGATCGTGCTGCTGCACTCCAGCCTGGGGCAACAGAGTGAGACTCCATCTCAAAAAAAAAAAAAAAAAAAAAACACAGTAATTGGCCAGGCCAAATAGCTCACACCTGTAATCCCAACACTTTGTGAGGCTGAGTCGGGGGGATAGATCACTTGAGGTCAGGAGTTCAAGACATGCCTGGGCAACATACCAAGGCTTCGTCTCTACAAAAAATTTAAAAATTAGCCAGGCATGGTGGCACATGCCTGTAGTCCCAGCTACACAGGAGGTTGAAGAAGGAGGACTGCTTGAGCCCAGAAGGTGGAGGCTGCAGTGAGCCAAATTCTCACTACTGCACTCCAGCCTGGGCAACAGAGTGAGACTGTCTCAAAAAAAAAAAAAAAAACACTACTACAAGCACTAAAGAAAATAAACTGCAGGCTGGCCAGGCACAGTAGCTCATACCTGCAATCCCAGCTCTTTGGGAGGCTGAGGCAGGTAGATTACCTGAGGTCAGGAGTTCAGGACCAGCCTGACCTACACGGTGAAACCCCGTCTCTACTAAAAATTACAAAAATTAGCCAGGCATGGTGGTGGGCACCTGAAGTCCCAGCTACTCGGGAGGCTGAGACAGGAGAATTGCTTGAACCCAGAAGGCAGAGGTTGGAGTGAGCCGAGATCGCACCATTGTACCCTAGCCTGGGAGACAAGAGCAAAACTCCACCTCAAAAAAAAAAAAAAAAAAGAAAGAAAGAAAATAAACTGCATGCTATATAGCAAAATTCTAATATTTTTGTTTCATCTAGGCATAGGATAAATGAGAGTTCATTATTCTTTCAACTTTTCTGAATGTTTTAATTTTTCATAACAAAATGTTATAGGAAAATAAAACTCATGCATTGCTCTGCTGACCATAACACATGCCCATAATAATGATATTGTAACTGTCAACTAATTAACATAGAAAATTGTCTGAAATATTGGATAAGACATGATCAGAAGTTATCAAATCATATTGCCACAATAATACTAAGTTTCATATAGGTTTTCTAGGCAGAGTTTCAGTTTTTACACAACCTGTTTTTGGTTAGCCTAGCTGACAAAGGAGTCATACTTTTTGAAGCTCTCATGTATCCAGCTGATTGCCTTGTGTAATACTTTGGAACTGTTTCTATAAACTAAACTCATTGTATTAGCAATCATAGCCACCAAGGCCTAAATGGAGAGGGGTTATTTTTGCTAATCCTTTTTTTTTTTTTTTTTTTTTTGAGATGGAATCTCACTGTGTCACCCAGGCTGGAGTGCAATGGTGCAATATCGGCTCACTGCAACCTCCGCCTGTCGGGTTCAAGCAATTCTCCTGCCTCAGCCTCCCAAGTAGCTGGGACTACAGGCACGCACCAACACGCCCAGCTAATTTTTGCATTTCTAGTAGAGACAGGGTTTCACCATGTTGGCCAGGCTGGTCTCGAAGTCCTAACCTCATGATCCGCCCACCTCGGCGTCCCAAAGTGCTGGGATTACAGGCGTGAGCCACCATGCCTGGCATTTTTTGCTACTCTTAAGGCCAGAAGAGAAATCTGTACCAGAAATATGAAAGACTAGAGAAAAAATAATTTTTCCTTTAGATAGTAAGATACATAACTTATTAATTGTAATAACTATCTAAAAGCAATTGGCTGGCCATGGTGGTTCCCACCTGTAATCCCAGCATTTTGGGTGGCTGAGGCATGCGGATTGCTTGAGGCCAGGAAAACAATTTAGAAAAATCAAACCAAGTTTCAAAAGAAAAACAGAAACAAACCTAAGTTATGCTACAGGAAAGATATGGGAAGAAAGAGTGGTAAGATCAGGATGATTTTCAAGTTTTGGGTTCAAAATATATCTAGTTAACGAAAATTCTAAATTGGCTGCATTGATCCAGCAGAACTAAAAAGAATGGTCCCTGATTCTGATCTTAATAATTAAAGATTATCTTTCAATAACTGAGACAGAGAACATAAAGCAGCAGCAGAGCAATTGAAGCTAAGTTAATGTTTTGGTAAAAAATAAAGTTTGAGGCCAGGCGCGGTAGCTCACGCCTGTAATCCCAGCACTTTGAGAGGCCGAGGCGGGTGGATCACCTGAGGTTAGGAGTTTGAGACTAGACTGACCAATATGGTGAAACCCCATCTCTACTAAAAATATAAAAATTAGCCGGGCATGGTGGCACATACCTGTGGACTCAGCTACTCCGCAGGCTGAGACAGGAGAATTGCTTGAAACCAGGAGGCAAAGGTTGCAGTGAGCCGAGATCGCGCCACTGCACTCCAGCCTGGGTGACACGGCAAGACTCTGTCTCTAAATAAATAAGTTTGAGACTTGGTTCTCTAACCAAATAGCCCTAAGTACAGTTGGCCCTTGAACAACAGGGGTTTGAACTGTGCAAGTCCACCCCTAGGTGGATTCTTTTCAACCAAACGTGGATGGAAAATGCAGTATTCACTGGATGCAAAACCCATGTACCCTGACAGGCAATTTTTTGTATAAGCAGGTTCCACAGGGCCGACTGCAGGACTTGAGTATGCACAGATTTTGGTATATGTGGAGGTTCTAGTAGAACCAATCCCCTGAATACAGAAGAATACTATACAACCATTAGATTCAACTTAAACCTTAACAAGGATGGCAAACAAGGTTTATCCCACATGATGAATCCAACATCAGGAACATAGGAATAATAATAGCTAATACCTCATGAGTGCTGACTATGTGGCAAGCACTCGTCTACACATTTTACAAAGACTAACTCAATTCTAACAACAACCCTAGAGAGTAGGTACTATTGGGCTGGGCGCGGTGGCTCACACCTGTAAATCCCAGCACTTTGGAGGCCAAGGTAGGCAGATCACTTGAAGTAAGGAGTTCGAACCAGCCTGGCCAACATGGTGAAACCCCATTGCTACTAAAATTACAAAAATTAGCCAGGTGTGCTAGTGCACACCTGTAATCCCAGCTACTCCAGAGGCTGAGGCAAGAGAATTGCTTGAACCCAGGAGGTGGAGGTTGCAGTGAGCTGAGATCATGCCACTGCCCTCCAGCCTGGGCAACAAAGCGAGACTGTTTCTAAAAAAAGAAAGAAAGTAGGTACTATTATTACCTCCAGTTTACTAATGAAGAAACTGAGACACAAAGAAGTTATGTAACCTGTCTGAGGTCATATAGCCAGTAAGCACAGAAGGCAGGATTCAAATCCCATGCAAAGGTATCCACCCTTAATTTAACCACTGTGCCTTCCAGCTCCTCTAAGAAAGATGCTCAGATCAGGTCTGGATATATTGGTCATCTGAGTAAGGGTTAGAGAAAGCTTGGACTTTCCAGTGATGTGACCCAGATCCAAATGTCAGCTTTTCCCCATACTAGCTAGGGAATCTTGGAGCATCACTTAGGCACCAGGAAACTCAATTCCCTTTTATGTAAATGAGATTTCAATACTTCATTTACAAGGTAAAATCTGAGGATTAGAGGAGATAATGTGAGCAAAGTGCCCAAGCCCAGGATTTGCTGCAGAGTTGGTGCTCAGTCAATAGTAGCTAGCACCATAATGATACACAATATACAAAAAATTTAAAGCACATCACACTTACAAAGAAGTATACAAATCAAAGTAAATACTTAAAAGGTATTTGTTGCAAACGTACAGATCACCCATAAAATTGAGTTTTAAAACACTTTTGCTCTGATATTCCAAACCCTAATTATAACCTAGGTGGTAGGATGCTTTCTATACATCATACTGTACCTCTTTGATGATTTTCACCCCTTTTGGATCCTTGATATTAACAGCAATACTCTAAAAATTAAAAAATATATATATATATATTATTTCGATGACCAAAACACAAGAAGCCCAATCCCCACCACTATGCAATATACCCACATAACAAACATGCACATGTATCCCCTGAATCTAAAATAAAAAGTAAAAAAAAAAAAAAGTATGTGTATTAAAATACTATCATAAAAGTTTTTCTTTTTTTCTTTTTTTACTTTTTGAGATGGAGTCTTGCTCTGTCACCCAGGCTGGAGTGCAGTGGTGCAATCTTGGCTCACTGCAACCTCTGCCTCCCGGGTTCAGGCGATTCACATGCCTCAGCCTCCCAAGTAGCTGGGATTACAGGCACACGCCACCACGCCCAGCTAATGTTTGTATTTTTAGTAGAGACGGGGTATCGCCATATTGGCCAGGATGGTCTCGATCTCCTGACCTCGTGATCCGCCCGCCTCAGCCACCCAAAGTGCTGGGATTAAAGGCATGAGCCACCGTGCCCAGCCATGAAAGTTCTTCTTATTGCTGACAAGAAAGCCATTCATATCATAGATCATCCTCTTAAATTTATTTTATGCATGAAGAAATATTTAAATCATCTTTACTGATTCTATTTACCATGAGGATATATTAATATGCTAACAAGGATGATAGGAGATGTTTTTAAAGTATAATACCGAGTGTTAGGCAATTATTCCCTAATAATAACAAATGTAAGGAATCAAATAATTTTTCTATTTCATAAAATTATTTCCATTATAAATTCTTATGAAATGTTCTAAGTTACTTAGTAGGTAAGAAAGAGTAGTAAAAAGCTCCATTATTTCTACTTAGTGAATGGTAAATGAATAGAATTTTAATTTATTTGAAATATTAGTTACATCTTAATTTTTTTAAGGAAGAAAAAAACAAGCCACAATGATATCAACAGTTTTGCTATTATAAGAGAATTACACACAAAAAGCAAAAAAGGGATGATATTCTTACTTTTTTATTTCGGTTAACACTGAGATAATATGTACTTTCTGTCCCAACAAAAGGTGGCCCCCAAGTTCGTGTATCATCACCAGCTCCTGAAAATAATAACATGAGCTATTAATCTTTGGGGTTTGTTTTTTTTTTTTTTTTTTTTTGGAGATGGAGTCTTGCTCTGTTGCCCAGGCTGGAGTGCAGAGGAACGATCTCTGCTCACTGCAACCTCTACCTCCTGGGTTCGGGTAATTCTCCTGCCTCAGCCACCTGAGTAGCTGGGATTACAGGTGTGCACCACCATACCTGGCTAATTTTTGTATTTTTAGTAGAGACAGGATTTCACCATGTTGGCCAGGCTGGTCTCAAACTCCTGACCTCAGGTGATCCACCCGCTTCAGCTTCCCAAAGTGCTGGGATTACAGGCGTGAGCCACCGCGCCCATCCATTTAAAGCAGTTTCTAAGTGACCTTGAAAATAAAAATAAAAATAGTACTACCAACTTCTAGAACTATAATTTCACTGTACCATCAATTGCTAAAACTAGCTGGGATTACAGGTACCCGCCAACATGCCCGGCTAATTTTTGTATTTTTAGTAGAGACAGGGTTTCACCATATTGGTCAGGCTCATCTCAAACTCCTGACTTCAAATGATCCACCCGCCTCAGCCTCCCAAAGTGCTGGGATTACAGGTATGAGCCACCGCACCCAGCCAAGAAGCATTAGTTCTAACTGGAGATAAACCAATGACATCTCCTGCATCAGCCTCCATAGTAACTGAGATTACAGGCGTGCACCACCATGCCCGACTAATTTTTTATTTTTAGTAGAGACAGGGTTTCACAATATTGGCCGGGCTAGTTCCGAACTCCTGACCTCAATCCTGACTTCAAGTGACCCAGCCGCCTAGGCCTCCCAAAGTGATCCCACTGCACCAGGCTAGTAGTTTATTTTAGATATTTGCACTCATATCTCAGGTGGAGATAATGTCAGGAGTCTAAACTGGAGGCCTACAGGCTTTCCTGATCTAACTGGGGTTTCAGAAGGCTCTGTGTCCATGGCACATGACAGGAAATGTATGGTTAAAGGACATAAACTGGAAAAACCTGCAGCTTGGGAGACATGTTTTATTTGACCCACACAATTCTTTTTTTTTTTATTATTATACTTTAAGTTTTAGGGTACATGTGCACAACGTGCAGGTTTGTTACATATGTATACATAAGCCATGTTGGTGTGCTGCACCCATTAACTCATCATTTAACATTAGGTATATCTCCTAATGCTATCCCTCCCCACTCCCCACACCCCACGACAGGCCCCGGTGTGTGATATTCCCCTTCCTGTGTCCATGTGTTCTCATTGTTCAATTCCCACCTATGAGTGAGAACATGCAGTGTTTGGTTTTTTGTCCTTGTGATAGTTTGCTGAGAATGATGGTTTCCAGCTTCATCCATGTCCCTACGAAGGACATGAACTCATCATTTTTTATGGCTGCATAGTATTCCATGGTGTATATGTGCCACATTTTCTTAATCCAGTCTATCATTGTTGGACATTTGGGTTGGTTCCAAGTCTTTGCTATTGTGAACAGTGCCGCAATAAACATACGTGACCTGCACAATTCTTAAAATTTTTAACTAGCTGCCATGATTTCAAAATCTGGAAATCTTTAAAAATTCACACTGCCTTTCTTAGATGACCTTTTGACACACTCATTCATTCAACAAATATTTAATGAGCACCAACTATGTCACAGACACTGCTCTGTGCAGAGCAGACACAGCAGTGAACAAAAGACCAACAGCCCTGGCCTCGTGTCCCCTAGTGGAGACAATGCTGAAATTTCAGCTGCATCCTTGCTCACTTCCCTGCTCACTTTCCTCACTTAGGTTCCCTGCCTGGCCCTGCAGGCACACAGATACACCCACTGACTGGCTAACTCTACAAAAAGAAGAGTATACATAAATATAATATGCTCTTTGGTTACACAAATAAAAATAATCTCATCTAATAGTAAATCAGAAAACTACAACCAGGCCAGATCCGGTGGCTCATGCTGGTAATCCCAACACTTTGGGAGGCCAAGGTGGGTGGATCACTTGAGGCCAGGAGTTTGAGAACAGCCTAGGCAACATGGTGAAACCCTGTCTCTACAAACAATGAAAAAATTAGCCAGGTGTGGTAGCACACGCCTGTATTCCCAGCTACTTAGGACGCTGAGGTGGTAGGATCACTTGAGCTCAGGAGGTCAATGCTGCACTGAGCCAGGAGTGCGCCACTGCACTCCAGCCTAGGGGACAGAGCAAGATCCTGTGAAAAGAAAAGAAAAAGAAGAGAAGAGGAGGAAAGGGGAGAAGGGAGGGGAGGGGAGGGGAGAGGAGGGAAGGGGAGGGGAGGGGAAGGAATAAAAGAGAAAAGAAAGAGAAGGAAGGAAGGAAAAGAAGGAGAGAGAGAGAAAGAAAGAAGGAAAGAAAGGAAGGAAGGAAGGAAGGAAGGAAGGAAGAAAAAGAGAGAAAGAAAGAAAGAAAACAACAACCAAATTTTATGTAATTGAGGAACTGTAGAAGTGGATATAAAATGAAACTAGTTTTCTATTGAAATGTGAAAATACCACCAAGTTGCTTTTAATGAAAATCCCTTTTTCTCATATCTGTGTTGAATAACTATCTCAAAAACCCAAAACAATTAAATATATAATATGAATATTAAAATGTATTAATCAGAAGGGTGAAGACAGGGAGTCATAGTAACTGGTCAAAAAAAGGACAATAGGCCAGATGTGGTGGCTCGCCCCTGTAATCCCAGCACTTTGGGAGGCCGAGGTGTGTGGATCACCTGAGGTCAGGAGTTTGAGACCAGCCTGGTCAACATGGTGAAACCCCGTCTCTACTAAAAATAAAAAAATTAGCCGGGGGTGATGGCATATGCCTGTAATCCCAACTACTCAGGAAGCTGAGGCAGGAGAATCATTTGAACCTGGGAGGTAGAGGTTGCAGTGAGCCGAGATCGTGCCATTGCACTCCAGCCTGGGCAAGAAGAGCGAAAAGTCTGTCTCAAAAAAAAGAAGACAATAAATCCCTGCTAGGAACAAAGCCCGATACCAAGTGTATGGCGATGAGACATAATAAAGGCCTAGACAAAGAAAGATCTGTTGTGGTTTAGTTTCCATGGTGGAAACTAAAAAGTACAAAGAGGAAATAGGCCTCACTATATAGGGAACAACAATTTATAAAATTAATAGAAATACAAATGTTACCCTGGTGGCCAACAGAAATAGCAAGAGAAATTATTAATACATTGAATGTTCTATCTAGGAATGGAAAATGCAAGAAAACCAATGGTTGTAGTGCTGCAGTGTTGAAATCAGATAGCAATATGGAAATTAGAAGCTTTAAAGAAAAAAAACAAATGTTGAGCTAGAAAATAAACATTCTTCCGCATGTATCCAACAATGACTAAAAGCGATGAACATCATTAGCTGAATAAACAAAGCATCATCTCTGGGAGCAGGACTTGCCAGGCACTTCTACTGCCTAAGACTGTCAGGGATAATAAAAAGTAATAAAATATAATATACTAATATACAATATTCCCCATGCTCATCAGAGAATCTTCTGCTAACTGCTTTGGCCTCTTAAGAATATCTACTTAACAAGAAATTGAATCTTCCAGATCAAACATTCTACTTTCTGTAAAGACAAAATAAAATTTAAAATTTTTTAAAAAAGAAGGAAACAAACAAAAAGATATTCTACTTTATATGGCTATCACTTATGGTCAATTACTAAGTTGATGTAATTATAAATCATTCTCTTGTAAGTCTTAGAGATACATACACACTATTCAGCACTATACCAGTCTCACTGATTTGGGGATTCTGTTTAAGACCCGTAGGATCAGATCTTGAAACATAAATAATAATGCTAATTTTTGAAAACTTCTAAAACAAGCTGCATAGGCCATGTGTGGTGGCTTACCCACACCTATAATGTCAGCACTTTGGGAGGCTGAGGTCGAAGGATCGTTTGAGCCCAGGAGTTCAAGACCAGCCTGGGCAACATAGGAAGACCCTGTTTTTACCAAAAAAAAAAAAAATTTAATAAGGCCGGGTGCAGTGGCTCACAGAGTGAGACTCCATCTCAAACAAAACAAAAAAAATTTAGCCAGGCACAGTTGCGCACAACTATGGTTCCAGCTAAGGTAGGAGGATTGCTTGAGCCCGGGAGGTCAAGGCCGCAGTAAGCCATGATCACACAATGGCACTCCAGCCTGGATGACAGAGTGAGACCTGTCTCAAAAAAAAATAAAATAAAACAAGCTGTTTATATGATGATATAGCAGACATTAAAAAACATGGACTGTGCCCTTTAAGTGCTTATTGGAGAGAAAGGGCACAAAACAATGACACGTTCCTTTTTGAGATGGAGTGTGGCTCTTGTTGCCCAGGCTGGGGTGCAATGGCATGGTCTCGACTCACTGCAACCTCCGCCTCCCAGGTTCAAGAGATTCTCCTGCCTCAGCCTTCCAAGTAGTTGAGATTACAGGCATCTGCCACCATGCCCCACTAATTTTTGTACTTTTAGTAGAGAAGGGGGTTTCACCATCTTGGCCAGGCTGGTCTTGAACTCCTGGGCTCAAACGATCCGCCCACCTCGTCCTCCCAAAATGTTGGGACTACAGGCGTGAACCACCATGCCCGGCCAACAATGATGCTTTTCTAAGCAACTTTATCAATAACAGCTTGAACTAAACACCAAAATGCTAAGATGATACCAAACAAAAGTGAGAAATGTGTACACAGAATATATCTATTTGGTGAACAAAGGAGGAAGAAAGAACAGGAAAGATGTCAGATGAAAAACATAAAAGCAAAAAACTGATCTAAGCTTAGGCGTTTCCCGCTTCAAAACCTTTAAAATTATAAAATGGGGAAATGTTTCTTTTATTGGGAATAGAAAAAAATGGCCAGGAGTAGTAGCTCACACCTGTAATTCCAACATTCTGAAAGGCTGAGACAGGAGTTCAAGACCAGCCCAAGCAACATAGCAAGACCCTGTCTCTACACACACAAAAAAATTTTTATTATTATAGCTGGGCATGGTGGTACATGCCTGTAGTCCCAGCTATTCAGGAGGCTGAGGCAGGAGAACTGCTCGAGCCTAGTAGTTGGAGGCTATGGTGAGCTATGATCACACCACTGTACTCCAGCCTGGATGACAGAGGGAAATGCTGTCTCTAAAAAATAAAAACAAAAAGGAATAGAAAAGAATGACTTAGGTTGGAGTATTTGAGGTTTTTTGTTTGTTTGTTTGTTTGTTTTTGAGACAGGGTCTCACTCTGTCACCCAGGCTGGAGTGCAGTGGCACGACCTCGGCTCACTGAAACCTCCACCTCCCAAGTTTAAGAGATTCTTCTGCCTCAGCCTCCCAAGTAGCTGGAACCACAGGTGTCTGCCACCATGCCTGGCTCATTTTTGTATTTTTAGTGGAGACAGGGTTTCACCTTGTTGGCCAGGCTGGTCTCGAACTGCCGAATTCAGGTGATCCGCCTGCCTTGGCCTCCCAAAGTACTGGGATTACAGGCGTAAGCCACCACGCCCAGCCTTAGGTTGTTTTTTGAGGGACTGTGATTCCTTTTCCTTCTCTCCTTCTTCTGTACCCTATTTCTTCACTTTTATCCTCCTTTCTCCTGGCCTTCCCTTGATTCCACGGTGAGGGAGGGTGGCCAGGCCCATTGTAATCTCAGTCTCAATGCTAAAGCTAGGCTGGGGCTAAGGAAGGCCAGAATCATGGCTGAGGGTCTGGATATTCCTTATTACCTGTGTGCCCCTAAATAAGTTGCTTTACTTCTCTGTGCCTCCATTTTCTCCTTTATAAACTATGAATAATAGCATCAGCCCATAGGGTTGTTGTAAAGATTAAATAAGCCCAGGCAAAGCATTGAGAACTTTGCCCCGGCACTGTAGGTGTCATTATCATAGTTGTTATACGCTGCATCTCAGTCCCTTTTTTTTCATTTTTTTTTTTTTTTTTGAAACGGAGTCTTGCTCTGTTGCCTAGGCTGGAGTGCAGTGGCATGACCTTGGCTCACAGCAACCTCCACCTCCCGGGTTCAAGTGATTCTCCTGCCTCAGCCTCCCAAGTAGCTGCAATTACAGGTCCATGCCTGTCTACTTTTTTTTGTATTTTTAGTAGAGAAGAGGTTTCACCATGTTGGCCAGGCTGGTCTCGAAGTCCTGACCTCAAGTGATCTGCCCTCCTTGGCCTCCCAAAGTGCTGGGATTACAGGCGTCAACCACTGTGCCCAGCCTCAGCTTCTAACAAAAGCCTTCAGGTGCAAAGAAGAAACTGGCTTGAGCCTTAGCACTTAGCACACATAAGGAGTGAAAAAGATATCATTAGTGTTAGTTCACAGGAAAACAAGAAATGGAGAAGAAAAAGACAATCATTTCATTTTAATTCTCTCCTTATCCCACTTATAGGTACACTAAACATGGGTATTTAGAGAATTATTTTAAAATATTTATTAGCTTGTTTCTATTTTTTAAAGGGAGTAATAGCTTTACCTGGTCTCTCCACTTTTATAACTTCTGCTCCAAGATCTCCTAAATTCATAGTAGCAAAAGGTCCCGCCAGGACTCTACAATGTTAAAAATGATAAATAAATTAATTACCATCTTGAAAATGTTTATATTAATTATTTTCCAACAACCCGTCAACACAGACACGCTCATATAATCCTAGTAAGAATCAAAACAGTTAAAACTGTAATTTGGCCATATGTAATAGGAGCTTTAAAAATATATATCCCCTTTGATCCTATAATTCTTTTTCTTTTTTTTTTTTTTGGAGACGGAGTCTCGCTCTGTCACCCAGGCTGGAGTGCAGTGGCACTATCTCAGCTCACTGCAAGCTCCACCTCCTGGGTTCATGCCATTCACCTGCCTCAGCCTCCCGAGTAGATGGGACTACAGGTGCCCACCACCACGCCTGGCTAATTTTTTTGTATTTTTAGTAGAGACGGGGTTTCACCGTGTTAGCCAGGATGGTCTCGATCTCCTGACCTCATGATCCGCCCGCCTCAGCCTCCCAAAGTGCTGGGATTACAGGCGTGAGCCACCGCGCCTGGCCCCTATAATTCTTTTTCTAGAATTTTATCCTGAGGAAGAAATCAAAACTGAGGGAAACATTTGTGTACAAGGAAGCCTAATTTATAATCGTGAAAGATTAGAGGATGATTAAGTAATTATGTGACATCGATATATTAATTACTATTTCACTTTTTTGTTGAATTTTGAATAACATAGGAAAATATTAAAAATATAACATTGTGTTTAAAATATGGGTAAAACTAATTTCAATATGGTTCCAATTTTTGTTTTTTAAGATTATATATAAATATACATTGGGAAAAGGCATAAATACTACACTAATTGTCTCATAGAATGATGATATTACAGCAATTTTTCTTTTCTTATTTTCTTCTCTAAAATTTCAACATAAGCATATAAGTCTCTTCTTATAATTCAAAAAATTAAAAGTTTTTGAGGAAAGGGAAAAACCCAATCACCAAAATGTAGATAAACCAATACAAACCTTGTTAGATCCAGAATTTTTACCCCTTCCAATGGCTTTATATTGTTCATATCTGGCAAAACAGAGAAAACATTTCAAGATAATTCATTAGTAATTTTCTTACATTTTCACATACACCATTATAAGCTTGAGACAGATCACAAGGACTACAGTGATTCTTAGCAAGGGAGTCCACAGACCACAAGACTCTAGTAAAGAATACTGGAAGCTCAGCCAGGCACAGTGGCTCACTCCTGTATCCCAGCACTTTCGGAGGCCGAGGCAGGCGGATCACCTGAGATCAGGAATTCGAGACCAGCCTGGCCAACATGGTGAAACCCCATCTGTACCAAAAATACAAAAATTAGCCAGGCATGGTGGCACATGCCTGTAATCTCAATTATCGGGAGGCTGAGGCAGGAGAATCACTTGAACCCAGGAGGCAGAGGTTGCAGTGAGTTGAGATCATGCCGCTGCACTCCAGCCTGGGCGACAGAGCAAGGCTCTGTCTCGAAAAAAAAAAAAATACTGGAAGCTCATACAGTAGGCATTCTGTCCTTGAAATGAGCCAATTTATTATTTTGTAAGAAATTGCTGTCACAGGCCAGGTATGGTGGCTCACGCCTGTAATCCCACCACTTTGGGAGGCGGAGGCGGGTGGATCACTTGAGGTCAGGCACCTGAGACCAGCCTGGCCAACTTGGTAAATCCCATCTCTACTAACAATACAAAAAATAGCCAGGCACTGTGGGATGTGCATGTAATTCTAGCTACTCGCTGAGGCAGGAGGATCCTTTGAACCCGGGAGGCGGAAGCTGTAGCGAGCCGAGATCGAGCCACTGCACTCCACCTGAGCGACACAGCAAGACACCGTCTCAAAAAAAAAAAAATTACTATCACAATCACAGCAATAGCAAATATTTGAAGTGCGTGTGATTGGTGCATTATTTTCTTGACAGCATACTTACATGGAAAACCAAATTATAATCAGAAGGTAAACTGATAGGCAAAGCATCAGAAAAAGGGAAGTAGCTAAAACAATGTTTAATGTGGTAAATTGTTACAGCTATTTCCCCAAAAATCACACCTCCAGATATCCACAACCTCATACATTCTCCTCCCACGTTGGCACTGGGCTTGGACATCTGCCTTGTTTTCGCCAACAGGATATTAGGAAAGTTGATGCCAGCAGAGGCAGGATAAGTGCTTACACACTGGGGCTTGACTTTTTGGACCACTTCCATCTTCATGTGAAGAAGCACAAGATGAAAGAACACATGGAGAGAAGTTCAGCTGAGACTATCATTGCAGCAGTCCCGGCTGAGGCCCATACATCTGGATGAAGCCATCTTGGAACACCCAGGCCGAGCCAAGCCACTAGCTATTTGCAGACACATGAATAAACCCAGGTGAATCCAGCAAAAGAACTGCCCAACTGGCCGGGCATGGTGGCTCACGCCTGTAATCCCAGCACTTTGGGAGGCCGAGGCGGGCAGATCACCTGAGGTCAGGAGTTCCAGACCAGCCTGGCCAACCCTGTCTCCACTAAAAATGCAAAATTAGCCAGGTATGGTGACGCACGCCTGTAATCCCAGCTACTCGGGAGGCTGAGGCAGGAGAATCGCTTGAACCCAGGAGGCAGATGTTGCAGTAATCTGAGATGGCGCCATTGCACTCCAGCCTGGGCAACAAAAGCAAAACTGTCTTAAAAAAAAAAAAGAAAGAAAGAATTGCCCAATCAACCCACAGAACTTTGAGAAAAAAATAAAGTCTTGTTTTAACGCACTAAGTTTTGGAGTGGTTTGTTATATGGCAATAGATTAATACAATGGCTTACAGCAGAGATAACCTGTTATAGCAGTGAGAATGATCCTTTTTTATGTAAAACATAATATCCTTCCCTGCTCAAAATCCTCTATGGCTTCCTACTAAACTTAGAATGAAATCCAACTTCTTTCTGCAGCTCACAAAATCCTGCTTGTTGTGGCCCTTGACACTTAAAAATATGATAGAAGGAAAAATATTATAGAAAGGCAGAAAGATCGAGATAAGAAAATCACCTACAGAGCAGAACAAAAAAATAAAATAAAAGTGGAAAATGGAGAAAAGGTAAGAAAAATAAAACATCAGTCCAGGAAACCTAATAATATGAGCTTCTTTAGTGAACAGCAAAAACAGAAAAGAGAATATTACCAAAGAAATAATTCAGAAAAAATTGCCTAGAACTGAAAGGCATAAATTTCCAGATTGGAAGGTCCCTCTACTGGCCCAGTATAATGGATTTTAAAAAGACACAGAGCAAGCACACCAAGACATCATTGTGAAAATCTGGAATACTGACTTCTCTGACAAAAGGTCTTAAACATTTCTAGGGAGAAAAAAGCAGGTCAGATATAAAGTATTGGTTATCAGGAGGACATTGAATTTCTCAACAATGCTGAAAGACAAAAAACTGGAGCAAAAAAAAAACCCTTAAAATTCTGAGGGGAGAAATTCTTTCTCTCTAAAATTCTAAACCCAATTAAAGCACAAGTCAAGTGTGAGGGTAGAAAAAAATATATTTTTAGTCACACAGGTTTTCAAAAACTACCTCTCATGCATCCTTTCTCGGAAAAATTACTTTCAAAGGTAATCTAGAAATTTAGAAAATTACTTTATAAGAAAATCATTCCTCCCCACCTGAATATAAGGAAGACTCTAGATCCAACTTACAAATAAGTGACAGGAGCTATAGGAGACAGAGGACTATGTTCAAGGACACCATATGGAAGCAGGCAGAAAAATCCAGAATGCCTGAAACACTGTAGGAAATGGAAATGTTTATTTCTTTAAAAAATAAAAAGGCAAGGAAAATGCAAGATGTAGAAGAAGACCCCAAATTAAATGAGACTTAAGAAAAGTGTCAACCAACCGCAGTATATGAGCCTCACTTAGAGCCTGATTCAAACAAACTATTAAAAATCAGATAATGGTAGGCAAGGTGGCCCATGCCTGTAATCCCCGCACTTTGTGAGGCCAAGGCGGACCTATCACTTAAGGTCAGGAATTCGAAACCAGCCTGGCCAATAATGGTGAAACCCCATCTCTACAAAAATACAAACATTTAGCTGGGTGTGGCGAGGAGCACCAGTTGTCCCAGCTACTCAGGAGGCTGAGACAGGATAATCTCTTGAACCCAGGAGGCAGAGGTTGCAGTGAGCCGAGATTACACCACTGCACTCCAGCCTGGGCAACACAGGGAGACTCCATCTCAAAAATAAAATAAAATACAAAAAGAATAAAATAAAACAAAGCAGAGGGGTGAAGTGAAAGCTCAGGATGACAACAAGGAAGATACCAACACAATAGCTGAGAGGTTTGCACTTGCATTGCGGTATGGGATAAATGGAGGATAGATATTGAGAAGGCAATTAAAGAAACTGGACAAATATTAACAAAGAGAAATAAGAAGGTATACATGAGCAGCAATGTAATCAGAGTATGAATAATAATTGTACTATTTCAAAAAATTTTTTAAACAAACGTAATTTAACAGTTTAATTTAGCAAGGAAAAATGATTTGTGAAATCGGACAACCCCTCCCCACCCTCCCCCAAGTCACAGCAGATTTAGAGGGCCGCCAGCGCTGCTTGTATAGTGGGCGCAGTGGGAGAGAACTTATGGATAGAAAAAGGAAAGTGATGTGCAGGGAGCAGAAGCAAGGTATAGAAACAGCTAGTGCCTTATCAGAACACGATCTGAATAGCTGGTGGCTTAAGTCTTTGAGGTCCAGCTGCTGGGACTGGCTGAGAGTCAGCAACTGTTATTGAAGCATACCCCTAAGTTAGGTTTTCAGTTTGCTTACCTACTAAATTAGGTTGTGGGTTGTAGGTAAAAACTCAAGTATGTGAGTATGGAGGCTTTCTTAGGCCAGATTTTAGTTTGATGAAACAATATAATAACAACCTAAATACTGAATAGTGATCTAACAAAATGTATAATTTGGAAGGATGGAAAGGGCATGCATATTTGTTCAAATGGTAGTGAAAGAAAGCTAGTCTTTTTTTTTTTTTTTTTTTGGAGACGGAGTCTCACTCTGTCTCCCAGGCTTGCGATCTTGGCTCACTGCAATCTCCGCTTCCCAGGTTCAAGTGATTCTCCTGCCTCAGCCTCCCAAGTAGCTGGGATTACAGGCACCTGCCACCAGGCCCAGTTAATTTTTGTATTTTTAGTAGAGACGGGGTTTCGCCATGTTGGCCAGGCTGGTCTCAAACTCCTGACCTCAGGTGATCCACCCACCTCGACCTCTCAAAGTGCTGGGATTACAGGCATGAGGCACCGTGCCTGGCCTGAAATTTAGTCTTTATCTCTACCGATAGTGCCTTAAAAAAAAAACAAAATAATCAATAACATTATAATCAGGTTATTTAGCAATTTGGCAGAAAAAAAAGGCAAAAAGAATTGAAATTTGTTATCTCTGGGCAAAGGGAAGGGGCAGAAAGGCATAAGGGGTTACTCTTCTTCATAATTAACACTGCAGAACTTCTGAAGTTTTAAAACCAAGTATACCTAAAACTTTGATTTTAAAAATTAAAAGATAAATTATAAATTATACTACATTTGTGAACAAGAGTGAAGTATCATTCTGTGTATCTCCTGCTATACAGCCCCCTGCAGTGTTTTGATAAATATTTCCACTATGAAGCTTTTACTGACTCATTGTACACATGGCAGCAGCACCACAGAGGAATTACAGTTAATACTCAGATTCTGTATTTGGGAATTTGACTACTCACTAAATTTTTTTTTTTTTTCTTTTGAGATGGAGTCTTGCTCTGTCACCCAGGCTGGAGTGATCTCAGCTCACTGCAACCTCCACCTCCCGGGTTCAAGTGATTCTCCTGCCTCAGCCTCCCAAGTAGCTAAGATTACAGGCATGTGCCACCATGTCCCGCTGTTTTTTGTACTTTTAGTAGAGACGGGGTTTCGCCATGTTGGCCAGGCTGATCTCCAACGCCTCATCTCAGGTGATCCATCCACCTCAGCCTCCCACAGTGCTGGCATTACCGGCATGAGCCAGCCACCACGCCCAGCCTACTCACTAAAATTTATTTGTAACCCCAAAATCAATACATGTGGAGCTTTCACGGTCATTCCCAGACATGCACAGATGCAGGAAAATTTGAGTAGGTCATTGTGCATGTTCCCAGCTGAGGTTGAACAAGGTGATACTTGTTTCACCTCTCATACTATAAACAAGTGTCCTCTTGCAGTATATTTAATGTTACGTTTTTAACATTTTTGTGCTTTTTGTTGGTGATCTCACTGTTTATGGCCCAGAAGCATAGTGCTGTCTAGTGTTCCCAAGCATAAGAAGGCCATGATGTGCCTTATGGAGAAAATACATTGTTAGATAAGCTTCATTCAGGCATGAGTTATAGTGCTGCAGATCATGAGTTCAATGTTAATGAATCAATAGGGTGTTAATGAAATCAATAAGTTGTCTTTAAAAAGAAACACAGTCCAGGTGCGGTGATTCACACCTGTAATCCCAGCACTTTGGGAGGAGGAGGCAGGCGGATCACTTAAGGTCAGGAGTCAGAGACCAGCCTGGCCAGCATGGCGAAACCCTGTCTCTACTGAAAATACAAAAAGCAGCTGGGCATGTTGGTGCATACCTGTAATCCCAGCTACTAGGGGGGCTGAGGCAGGAGAATCGCTTGAACCCGGGAGGCAGAGGCTGCAGTGAGCCGAGATTGCACCACTACACTCCAGCCTGGGAGACAGAGTGAGACTCTGTCTCGAAAAAAAAAAAAATTTAAACGCACTACAGTGAAAGATACCATGAACACAATTAGAAGATAAATGACAGCCCGAAAGGCTAAAAAATAAAGAAGAAAGGTTTTTAAGTATAAAGAACTCTCACATATCAGTAAGAAAGAAACACAGCGTAATGGAAAAGTGGGAAAAGAACATGAGCAACCAACTCACAAATAAATAAAAATCTCCAGTATCATAGCAAAAGATGTTCATAGCAATTCCACTTAAAATAAAAAAGATGAATATTATCACAATAAAATTTTTTTTCTCACCACATTGGAAAACATTTAAAAGATAACTATTCAATACTCGCAAAAGTGGGGTGAAATGGACACTTTCATACATTGTGGAATATCAATCAGTAACAATCTTTTAGGAGAGCAATTGACACTTTCCATAATATTTTAAAATCTTAATAGCCTTTAATTAAGTTTTCCTGTTGGCAGAATTGAATTCACAGGAACATTCTATAAGTATGCTAAGACATAGGTATAAAAATGTTCATGGCAGAAATTTTGTTTTTTCTGCTGTACTTTAGATGTTTTATAATCAACTTTATTCATTTATTTATGTTTTGAGAGACAAGGTCTGGGCTTTGTTGCCCAGGCTAGGGTGCAGTGGCAGGAACATACATAGTTCACTGTAACCTCGACCTTCTGGGCTCAAGCAATCCTCTCACCTGAGCCTGCTAAGTAGCTGAGGCTACAGGCATGAGCCACTGCATCCAGCACCTAATTAACTTTATTGAAGAATGACTTACATATAATAACACTATATATAATAAATTATAATATTCTTAGCCAGGTGTGGTGGCATGCTTGTGGCCCTACCTACTTGAGAAGCTGAGATCGGGAAATAACATGAGCCCAGGAGTTCAAGGTTACAGAGAGCCATGATGGGCCAGGTGTGCTGGCTCACGCCTGTAATCCGAGCACTCTGGGAGGCCGAGGTGAGAGGATCACCTGAGGTCAGGAGTTCAAGACCAGCCTGGCCAACATGGCAAAACCCCGTCTCTATTAAAAATACAAAAATTAGCCAGGCATGGTGGCGCACACCTGTAATCCCAGCTACTTGAAAGGCTGAGGCAGGAGAATTGCTCCAACCCAGGAAGCAGAGGTTGCAGTGAGCCAAGATCATGCCACTGCACTCCAGCCTGGGGGACAGAGTGAGACTCCATCTCAAAAAACAAAACAAAAAAAATACAGTGAGCCATGATCACACCACTGCATTCTAGCCTGAGCAACAGAGCAAGACCCTGTTTCTAAGAAAAATACACACACACACACACACACACACACACACACACAGGATATACATTATATAAATAAATTATGTTATACAAATAACTATATATAATACATTATATATAATTTATATGATATACTATATATTATTTCTATAAATACAATAAATTGTACAATTAAATAAATTTTGACAGATGTATACACCTGTGAAATTGAGAGACAGGACTAGCTGGATTTCCTAGTCCAACTAAGAATTCCTAAGACTAGCTGGGAAGGTGACCACACCCACCTTTAAACACGGGGCTTTTAACTCAACTCACATCCAACCAATCAGGTAGTAAAGAGGGCTCACTAAAATACAATTAGGTTAAAAGCAGGAGGTAAAGAAATAGACAAATCATATATCACCTGAAAGCACAGGGTAAGGGACAATGGGATATAAACCCCAGGCATTTGAGCCGGGAGTGGGCAACCCCCTTTGGGTCCCCTCCCATTGTATGGGAGCTCTGTTTTCACTCTATTAAATCTTGCAACTGCACACTCTTCTGGTCCGTGTTTGTTATGGCTCAAGCTGAGCTTTCGCTTGCTGTCCACCACTGCTGTTTGCTGCTGTCGCAGACCCGCCGCTGACTTCCACCCCTCCGGATCTGGCAGGGTGTCCGCTGTGTTTCTGATCCAGTGAGGCACCCATTGCTGCTCTCAATTGGGCTACAGGCTCGCCATTGTTCCTGCATAGCTAAGTGCCTAGGTTTGTCCTAATCGAGCTGAACACTAGTCACTGGGTTCCACGGTTCTCTTCCGTGACCCACGGCTTCTAACAGAGGTGTAACACTCACTGCATGGCCCTAGGTTCCATTCCTTGGAATATGTGAAGCCAAGAACCCCAGGTCAAAGAATAAAAGACTTGCCGCCATCTTGGGAGCAGCCTGCCACCATATCATGGGAGCTCTAAGAACAAAGACCCACCCGTAACATTTGGTGGCCTCGTCTGGGGATTCTCCAAAGCTGTGAGTAATATTGGACCACTTTCACTTGCTATTCTCTCCTATCCTTCCTTAGAATCAGAGGAAATACCAGGCACCTGTTGGCCAGTTAAAAACGATTAGCATGGCTGCTGGACTTAACACTCAGGTGTGAGGCTTCCTGGGAAAAGGCTTTCTAACAACCCCCAACCCTTCTGGTTGGGAGCGATGGTCTGCCTGGAACCAGCTTCTGCTTTCACAATTTTCCTGGGGAAGCTGAGGGCTGACTAGAGACAGAAAGGTGTCATCCCAAACTCCCAGCATTGGCCGGTCGAGATCATGGTGCAGCCAGAAGTCTTTACTCAACAGTTGCCCATGCGTGCGCCCCTACATCTCCTTCTGACCCATACGTCCTGGGTCCTGATCATGACTTTTTTAAAGTGTAGCCTCAAAATTCTCCTTACCTCTGAATCTATTTCCTCTGATCCCTGCCTCCTAGGTACTAATGCTTCAGACTTTCACTTCCTCTCCCAAGTATTAGAGAAGCTTGTATCTCCAAAGGGATCTAAGGAAGCGCTACGCTGTGTCCTTAGGCATCTAGGCTATGAACCCAGGGAGTCTTGTCCCTGGTGCCCCTCCCAATATATAGCTCTTGACATGGGCAGTTATGTGGGACCCGTTTCCCACCACCCTTGCCAGGACCCCAAGTTTGTAAATGGCTAGGATTCCTCTCCCATTGTGTAAGATGCTCTCCTCCCCCAATTTCTACCCAGCTTCCCCCACTGCAATACAATCTCCAAGCCTCGGCTCCTTGGCCAGGGCCTTAGAACTGATGACCCAGTACTTTAACAACTGGAACTGGGTCTATGACAACATAATAGATCAGGATGAAAGCGAATTGAGTAAATTAAAGGGAGGCACACATTCCTATAGTGGCAAATGGGGGCAACAAGCTAACGTCCTTCCACCGTGTTCCCAAAATCCATCTACCAAAAGAGAGAGAGGGAAAGAGAGAAAAGGGAAAGAGAGAGAGAGGAAAAGAGAGAAAGAGAGATACACAAGTAGTTAAAGAAAAAACAGTATATACCCTATTCCTTTAAAAGCCAGGGTAAATTTAAAACCTACAATTGATAATTGAAGATCTTCTCCGTGACTCTATAACACTCCAATACTACCTTGTTGTCAGTGTAAACAAGGGCGTAGCCTGAAAACACTGAGACCACTGACAACACATACCTAGCCTTCCTATCAAAAATTCTTAATCCACTAACCTGCGGATGGCCCAAATGCATTCAATCAGTAATGGCAACTGCTTTGCTTAGCAGCAGTAGAAAAGTAACGTTTAGAGGAAACCTCATTGTGAGCACACCTCACCAGCTCAGAATTATCCTAATTCAAAAAAAGCAAAAACGTAGCTTACTAACTCAAAAGTCTAAAAGTATAGAGCTATTCTGTTAGAAAAAGGTGATTTAACACTAACCACTGAAAATTCCCTTAACCCAGCAGATTTCCTAACAGGGGATTTAAATCTTAATTACCATACAAAGGTCCAACCAGACCTAGGAGGAACTCCATTCAGGACAAGAAGGTAGATGGTTCCTCCAGGGTGACTGAGGGAAAAAACACAATGGGTATGCAGTAATTGATAGGGAAACACTTGTAAAAGCGAGTTAGGAAAATTGGTCTGCTCAAACATGTGAGCTGTTTACACTCAGGCAAGCCTTACAGTACTTACAAAAAAAGCAAACCCATCTTTTTCTCCTTGCTCTTCTTCTCGTAGGAAAAAGGCACATAGGATAAACAGGATTCATCTCTCATATTTCTTACCCAAAAGGACTTAATCTGGGGCAAGAAAAAGTTTAAGGTCGATAATTAGGGCACATTCCTACAAAGGAAAGAAGGACAAAGGCCCTAGTGGGCAAAAACTCTATCTCAATCCTAACCCAAAAGGTTACCTACACCCTCTCTGAAATAAATTTGCATAAGAACTGTTGCATCTTGATGGGGCAGCTGGGTTGTTATGAAATATTCAGGAACCCAGCCCAACTCTAGAACTCACCCCTGAGCGCAAAGGCAATGTCGGGTATGCTGGTAAAGGACCACTAGAATCCAGCAGCCCCAACCCCTTTCTCTGTGGTCAAGAGAGGCAGGAAAAGAGGTGCAGGACTGCTACATCAGTAAGCGTTAACTATTCCGATAAGCAGAGGTCCATGGGTGGTTATGCACCCTGGAAAGGAACTCACCTCTGAGTGCAAAGGCAATGTTGGGCAAGCTGTTAAAGGACCACTAGACTCCAGCAACCCATACCCCTTTCTTTGTGGTTAAGAAAGGTGGGAAAACAGGTGCAGGACTGCTACATCGGTGAGCGTAACTAATCCGATAAGCAGAGGTCCATGGGTGGTTATGCACCCTGGAAAGGAATAAGCATTAGGACCATAGAGGACACTCTAGGACTAATGCTCATTGGAAAATGACTAGAGGCACTGGCATCCCTATGTTCTTTTTTCAGATAGAAAATGTTCCCCCTAAGGCAAAAATGACCCTAAGATGTATTCTGGAGAATTCAGCCCAGTCAGAGTGTATGTACTTTTCTCCCTGTCAGACTTGAAGCAAATTAAAATAGACCTAGGTAAATTCTCAGATAACCCTGATGGCTATATTGATGTTTTATAAGGGTTAGGACAATCCTTTGATCTGACATGGAGAGATATAATGTTATTGCTAGATCAGACACTAACCCCAAATGAGAGAAGTGCCGCCGTAACTGCAGCCCGAGAGTCTGGCGATCTCTGGTATCTCAGTCAGGTCAATGATAGGATGACAACAGAGGAAAGAGAATTATTCCCCACAGGCCAGCAGGCAGTTCCCACTGTAGACCCTCATTGGGACACAGAATCAGAACATGGAGATTGGTGCCACAGACATTTGCTAACTTGCATGCCAGAAGGACTAAGGAAAATTAGGAAGAAGCCTATAAATTATTCAATGATGTCCACTATAACACAAGGAAAAGAAGAGAGACTGCCTTTCTGGAGAGACTAAGGGAGGCATTGAGGAAGCATAGCTCTCTGTCACCTGACTCTATTGAAGGTCAACTAATCTTAAAGGATAAGTTTATCACTCAGTCAGTTGCAGACATTAGGAAAAAACTTCAGAAGTCCACGTTAGGCCCGGAGCAAAACTTAGAAACCCTATTGAACTTGGCAACCTCAGTTTTTATAATAGAGATCAGGAGGAGCAGGCAGAATGGGACAAATGGGATAAAAAAAAAAAAGGCCACCACTTAGTTGTGGCCCTCAGGCAAACGGACTTTGGAGGCTTTGGAAAAGCGAAAGGCTGGGCAAATCAAATGCCTAATAGGGCTTGCTTCCAGTGCAGTCCACAAGGACATTTTAAAAAAGATTGTCCGAATAGAAATAAGCCTCCCCTTCGTCCATGTCTATTATGTCAAGGGAATCACTGGAAGGCCCACTGCCCTAGGGGACAGTCCTGAGTCAGAAGCCACTAACCAGATGATCCAGCAGCAGGACTGAGGGTGCCCAGGGCAAGTGCCAGCCTATGCCATCACCCTCACAGAGCCCCAGGTATGCTTGACCATTAATGGCCAGGAAGTTAACTGTCTCCTGGACACTGGCACATTCTTCTCAGTCTTACTCTCCTGTCCCGGACAACTGTCCTCCAGATCTGTCACTATCCTAGGGGTCCTAGGACAGGCAGTCACTAGATACTTCTCCCAGCCACTAAGTTGTGACTGGGGAACTTTACTCTTTTCACATGGCTTTCTAATTATGCCTGAAAGCCCCACTTTGTTAGGGAGAGACATCCTAGCAAAAGCAGGGGCCATTTTACACTATAATTAGGAGAAGGAAAAAGGGTAAATATATATACAGACTCTAAGTGTGCTTACCTAGTCCTCCATGCCCACACAGCAATATGGAGAGAAAGGGAATTCCTAACTTCCGAGGGAACACCTATCAAATATCAGGAAGCCATTAGGAGATTATTATTGGCTGTACAGAAACCTAAAGAGGTGGTAGTCTTACACTGCTGGGGTCATCAGAAAGGAAAGAAAAGGGAAATAGAAGGGAACCACCAAGCAGATACCGAAGCCAAAAGATCCGCAAGGCGGGACCATCCATTAGAAATGCTTATAGAAGGACCCCTAGAGTATGGGGTAATCCCCTCCAGGAAACCAAGCCCCAGTACTCGGCAGAAGAAATAGAATGGGGAATCTCAAGAGAAAATAGTTTCCTCCCCTCAGGATGGCTAGCCGCCGAAGAAGGAAAAATACTTTTGCCTGCAGCTAACCAATGGAAATTACTTAAAACCCTTCACCAAACCTTTCACTTAGGCATTGATAGCACCCATCAGATGGCCAAATCATTATTTACTGGACCAGGCCTTTTAAAAACTGTCAAGCAGATAGTCAGGGCCTGTGAAGTGTGCTGAAGAAATAATCCCCTGCACTTTGCACTGCAGGCCATACATTTCAATCCCTGTATCTTTAACCTCCTTGTTAAGTTTATCTCTTCCAGAATAGAAGCTGTGAAGCTGTAAAACTACAAATTGTTCTTCAAATAGAGCCCCAGATGCAGTTCATGACTAAGATCTACCACGGACCCCTGGACCAGCCTGCTAGCACATGCTATGATGTTGATGACACCGAAGGCACCCCTCCTGAGGAAATCTCAACTGCATGACCCCTACTACGCCCCAATTCAGCAGGAAGCAGTTAGAGTGGTCATTGGCCAACCTCCCCTACAGCACTTGGGTTTTCCTGTTGGGGGGTACTGAGAGACAGGACTAGCTGGATTTCCTAGTCCAACTAAGAATTCCTAAGACTAGCTGGGAAGGTGACCACACCCACCTTTAAACACGGGGCTTCTAACTCAGCTCACATCCAACCAATCAGGTAGTAAAGAGGGCTCACTAAAATACAAATTAGGCTAAAAGCAGGAGGTAAAGAAATAAGTCAAATCATATATCGCCTGAGAGCACAGGGGAAGGGACAATGATTGGGATATAAACCCCAGGCATTTGAGCCGGGAGTGGGCAACCCCCTTTGGGTCCCCTCCCATTGTATGAGAGCTCTGTTTTCACTCTATTAAATCTTGCAACTGCACACTCTTCTGGTCCGTGATTTTTATAGCTCAAACTGAGCTTTGGCTCACTCTCCACCACTGCTGTTTGCTGCTGTCGCAGACCCGCCGCTGACTTCCACCCCTCCAGATCTGGCAGGGTGTCCGCTGTGTTTCTGATCCAGTGAGGCACCCATTGCCGCTCTCGACTGGGCTAAAGGCTCACCATTGTTCCTGCATTGCTAAGTGCCCAGGTTCATCCTAATCAAGCTGAACATTAGTCACTGGGTTCCACAGTTCTCTTCCGTGACCCACAGCTTATAATAGAGGTATAACACTCACTGCATGGCCCTAGGTTCCATTCCTTGGAATCCGTGAGGTCAAGAACCCCAGGTCAGAGAACAAAAGGCTTGCCGCCATCTTGGGAGCAGCCCACTCCATCTTAGGAGCAGCCTGCCACCATCTTGGGAGCTCTAAGAACAAAGACCCACCTGTAACAAAATCACCTCCACAATCAAGAAAGAGAACTTTCTAGCACCTAAAACTTTCCACCTGCCCTTTGCAAACTACCTCTTCCTCAATTTCCAGCTTCAGACATCCACTGATCTGCTTTCTGTCACTATAATTTAATTTTCATTATCTAGAATTTTATATAAATGAAAAACAGTATGTATTTTTGTGTCTGGCTTCTCTCTTTAAGCATAATGATTCTGAGTTTCATCACATTGTTGCATTTTTATGAGTACACTCTACTGTATGGATATACCACATTTGTTTATACATTCAGCTGTTGACGGACACTGAATTGGTTTTTAGGCTACAGTGAATCAAGATGCTGTGAACATTTGTGTACAAATCTTTGTGAGAACATGTCTTCATTTCTCTTGTGTAAATACTTAGCGGAATGGCTGAGTTATATGGTAAGTGCATGTATAGCTTTTTAAGAAACTGTCTAAACAGATTTCTAAAATGCTTATACCACACTGTATAAGAGTTCCATATGTTCCATATCTTTGAAAGATAGGAATTGTTCTTTTTTTTTTTTTTTTTGAGGTGGAGTCTCACTCTGTCACCCAGGCTGGAGTGCAGTGGCGCAATCTCGGCTCACTGCAACCTCCACCTCCTGGGTTCAAGCAATTCTTCTGCCTCAGCCTCCCAAGTAGCTGGAATTACAGGCACCCACCACCATGCCTGACTAATTTTTGTATTTTTAGTGGAGACAGGGTTTCATCATGTAGGCTAGGCTGCTCTCAAACTCCTGACCTCAGGTGATCTGCCTGCCTCAGCCTCCCAAAATGCTGGGATTACAGGTGGGAGCCACCATGCCCAGCCATGGAATTGTTTATTTTTTAATGTTAGCTGTTTGAATGGGCGTATAAAGGTTTCTTGTTGGGGTTTTAATTTGCATCTCACTCATGACTAATGATGTTGAATATCATTTCATGTAAATAGTTGGCCATTTAATGAAACAAAAACTTGTAAATTGAATTCATTTAATATCAGGTAATGGAATTTTATTATCTGATAAGACACTCAGAAAGGACTTCTAGAGTATATTTAAGTCAAAATGAATGAGTGAGTTTTAAATCATTAAAAGTCAGACTGCCTGGATTCGACTCCCTGCTCTACTATATAAGAGCTCAGTGACATTGCATGAGGTAACTCCACTTCTCAAAGCTTCCCTTTCCTCATCTGAAGCACCTGTCTCATGGAGTTTGCAAGTTTTAAATGAAATGTTGTATATAAAGTGTTTAGTATACCCCCAGCATAAAGTAAATGCCACTAAAAGCTGCAATTGTTATTTTTATTTTTTTAAAGATGGAGTCTAGCTCTGTCACCCAGGCTGGAGTGCAGAGGCACAATCTCGGCTCCCTGCAACCTCCACCTCCCGGGTTCAAGTGATTCTCCTGCCTCAGCCTCCTGAGTAGCTGGGATTACAGGCGTGTGCCACCACATCCAGCAAATTTTTATATATTTTTTGTAGAGATGGGGTTTCACCATATTGGCCAGGCTGGTCTTTAATTCCTGATCTTAAGTGATCCACCAGCCTCGGCCTCCCAAAGTTCTGCGGTCATAGGCATGAGCCACCCACCACACCTGGCCTGCAATTGTTATGATTATCATCATTATCATATATGTATTATACAGTCACATGATCTATTACAGCAAATAACTTCTTGTTTGAAAACAAGAAAAGATAAACATATGATTATTCTAAGGAACAGGAAAAAAATCACTTCTTAATGCGCTATACTTAAAAAGTATATCTAGAGTCAAATTTTGCATATTTCTGAAAGAACTGATGGGCTGGGTGGGAGTAGGGGATGATTACAAGGCATGAAACAGTTGGAAAAGGCATAAATTGTAATGTAATTTGTTGAAATATATTGAGCAGCTTGTATATCTCTCTGTCTTTTTGGCCTCTAGTATGGAAAGCTATTATGATGATACAGCTGGTCAACCATGCAAAGAAGTATAATTATAATGAAGCTGCCATCAATTCTATGCTTGCCAAAGCTGCTTGGTAGGACTCCCCTGGTACTTGGCCCTGGGGTTTAGACGACACAAATAAACTTGAGCAACACCAGAGCAGGGATAATTGACAGATGCCCACACAAGTGGTTCATCTGTGTGACAGGAATCATGGCATCCCTTCCCACCCATACTAGCCAACTATTGAGATTAAAAAAAAATTCTTAAAGGCCAAGTCACAAAACAAACTGCTCAAATAGCAATATGAAACAGAAACCTGTGATATACACCAAAATAATTTTTTAATTTGATGATTTACAGAGAATTTAACCACCAGACCTTATGCATGAGGAGGCAGAAAATGGGCCTCTCTTCAAAGCATGCTCTCTTAATCTGCTGAAGCTTTATCTATAATAGTTAGCATGATGTTTCCTTTCCAGCATGTGTCTGAAGTCACAGAAGAAGCTCTGTTCCTAACAACCTAGTTTGATAGGAAATTTTAGGAGTGGAGGGTACCTGGAAAATTAGTATCCACTGGAAGACATTCCAGGGAAATAATAATTTGGGAGTCAGCAGGCAATAATTGTTTTCAATTTCTAGGTTCATGGGAAATAAGAAATGAGGTTCGTGGAAAAGGAGAGTAAAAGATCTTCATGGACTCAAGGAGGCTTCAATTCTGTTCATCATGGAAATTCATGAGTATGTATTGACGGATTAATTATTGTCTCATCATCATCCACTTTATTCCTCTTTAACACAATCACTCACAAAAGAATCACATCGAGATGATAATTTTTAATTAGATTTCTTTTTCTGAAATCTCTGGAGGCAGAGGGGACATGAATTTTCAGCATCAAATGTTTATGCATAATAAAAAACAAAATAGGAATTCACCTTCCAATTCAACTAATTAATATTAATTTTCTGAAGCCTCTGTTACATTAATAAAGTAAATACAGAGACACAACAAAAACAGAAAAAAAAATCCTCAACTTTTGCAATTAATTTCCATGTTTTCTCTTTACATAAACAATTCAGGCCGGGCGCAGTGGCTCATGCCTGTAATCCCAGCACTTTGGGAGGCCAAGGCAGGCAGATCACAAGGTCAGCAGTTTGAGACCAGCTTGGCCAATATGGTGAAACCTCATCTCTACTAAAAATACAAAAAAATTAGCTGGGCATGGTGGAAGGTGCCTGTAGTCCCTGCTACTTGGGAGGCTGAGGCAGGAGAATCGCTTGAACCCAGGAGGAGAAGGTTGCAGTAAGCAAGCCAATATTGCGCCACTGCACTCCAGTCTGCATGACAGAACGAGACTCCGTCTCAAAAAAAAAAAAAAAAGTCAAGGGTCAGGCATGGTGGCTCACGCCTATAATCCCAGGACTTTGGGGGGCCGAGGTGGACAGATCGCCTGAGGCCAGGAGTTCGAGACCATCCTGGCCAACTAGTGAAACCCCATCTCTACTAAAATACAAAAATTAACTGGGTGTGGTGGTGCATGCCTGCAGTCCCAGCTATCTGGGAGACTGAGGCAGAAGAATTGCTCAAACCCAGGACGTGGAGACTGCAGTGAGCTGAGATCATGCCACTGCCCTTCAGTCTGGGTGACAGAGCTAGACTCTGTCTAAAAAAAAAAAAAAAATTCAATTCAAAAAATTAAGAAAATAGAGCTAAAGAAAATTGACAAAATTGAAATCACTCATTTTTTCGTCACTTAAAGGTAATAATTGGTAGTGTTTTGGGTATAAATCCTTTCAGAGATAGACAAGTGGGTGGCTGCATACACAGATGCACCATTTTTGTTCAAAAAAACTAATCTGTGCTAGATATTATATAATAACCTGCTTTTTTTTTTTTTTTCTGAGACAGAGTCTCGCTCTATCACCCAGGCTGGAGTGCAGTGGCGCGATCTCAGCTCACTGCATCCTCCGCCTCCACAGTTCAAGTGTTTCTCCTGCCTCAGCCTCCCGAGTAGCTGGGACTACAGGTGCGCGCCACCACGCCCGGCTAATTTTTTGTATTTGTAGTAGAGATGGGGTTTCACCGTGTTAGCCAGGATGGTCTTGATCTCCTGACCTTGTAATCTGCCCACCTCGACCTCCCAAAGTGCTGGGATTACAGGTGTGAGCAACTATGCCCAGCCAACACTACTTTTTTAATAAAAGCTTGAGAAATTTGCAGATAGTACAAAAAGGCCAGAAAAAGAACTTTTGAATCATGGTTAAAGCATGTCACAATCAAAGTACAACTCAGTGCTAATCCCAAATCTCACTGCTCTTCCACATTTTCCAGCTTCTCTTGCAATTATGTTGGAGTCAAATGACTTCGATCTTGCCAGTGAAACACAGGCAAAAATAATAAAAGCCATTTCCAACTCTGACCTTTAAAAACACCCCATGAAATCCTCCAGGCCTCTACTCTCCTTAGAGCCCACAAATTTCAAATAGTGTAGCTACACATGTAAGATGTTTTTATTGTATTGAGCAACTGAGATTGGGCTAATTTGTACTGCAGCACAACCCCGCCAGTCCTGCCCAATAAAGATGCCAGGCATCAGAGGCAGCATGAGTTCTGAATGAGTTACCACCATCAACAACTAGGATGTCTATTTCAGGGTAGACTGTTTCACTGTCCTTTTAGTGGCAATCTTCAAATTGGAATATGTGAAGAATTCCCTAAGGGCTGGGCGAGGTGACTCACATCTGTAATCCCAACATTTGGAAGGCCAAGGTGGGAGTGTCACTTGAGCCCTGGAGTTTGAGACCAACCAGCACAACATAGCAAGATGCCATCTTTGCCAAATAAAAATAAAAAGTAAAAAAGTCAGCTGGGAATGATGGTGCATGCCTGTGGTCCCAGCTACTCAGGAGGCTGACGTGGAAGGATCACTTGAGCCCAGCAGGTCAAGGCTGCAATGAGCTATGATGGCATCACTGCACTCCAGCCTGGGCAACAGAGGAAGACCCTGTCTAACAAAAAAGGAAAATACTTGCCTAAGGGATGCATGAATCATTTCAGTAAATCAATTTCCAGATCTTCAACTTCCATAGGTATTCTTTCCTACAATTGATCAACCTGTAAGTAAGCCTTCTTTCACAATAAGCCTTCTCCTACAAGGCAAAGGAAAGCAGATTCCTAACATATCCCAGATCTTATTCTCACCTTGGTTTACAGTATAAAATTTACATAAGCGATGACAACTTTAAAATATCAACTTAAAATATGCAAATAATTCCTTTTCAAATCATTTAGGATTTGAAAATCACTTCACGGCCGGGCGCGGTAGCTCATGCCTGTAATCCCAGAGCTTTGGGAGGCCGAGGCGGGCGGATCACGAGGTCAGGAGATCGAGACCATCCTGCCCAACATGGTGAAACCCCGTCTCTACTAAAAATACAAAAAATTAGCTGGGCATAGTGGTGGGCGCCTGTAATCCCAGCTACTTGGGAGGCTGAGGCAGGAGAATGGCTTGAACCCGGGAGGCGGAGGTTGCAATGAGCCAAGATCGCACCACTGCACTCCAGCCTGGTGACAGAGCAAGAGTCTGTCTCAAAAAAATAAAAAAGAAAATCACCTCAAATTGGTATGTGGAAGGGTACAAAATGGTACCAATTTATAGATTTTATAAATCAACCTACAGTTATAGAATGCACAACCAAAAGTCAACAAGTCAAAGGAAAAAACTTAGGTGTTCAGGCTTCTTTAACGGGCCATCCTGAAGTTAGCTGTCCAGAGGATTAGAAGGGATTGAACCAGAAACTGGAGGGGAAATGATCACTGCAAATTACTATTCAATATAAGAATGCTCACAAACCCAAAAGATCCCTGGAATTTCTCAACATTGGTGACGTGATTCTCCTACGGAGAAGACTGACCAAAAGGAAGACTTTAGTGCAAACAAGAAAAATGCATCCCATCCAGGGGAAAACTGGCAAAGTAGTGACCATTCTAGGTTGGTTGATCAAACAACTTCATAGGTACTTAAGGAGAATTATAATTGTCACAGCAAAAAAAATATGCATGGGGTGGATGAAGACAGTGGAGTGTTGCAGTGTTAAGAGTGTGAATACAAAGAGCCTCTTGACACAAAAAAATATAGAGAGAGCCCATTCCATGGAATAGTTTAGATATTTAACACGGAGGAATAGAAGGGAAAGGAAGAGGCAGCTTGGAAGAAACGTGGGGGCGATACATATGTGAGAGATTTGTTTTATGATTTGATTTTGTTTTTAACAGCTTCCAGTGAGCAACTCTGAAGAGCAAGAGAAATGTCTGGAGAGAAGTTTAGAAATTTCTATGTGCTGGACTAAGGTATCCTCCCAGAGACTTCTCTTCAGGTAGTAAAGGTAAAAATTAGTCTTTAGTGCTTTCAGAGTTTTTGGAGATAGAGAAGGGGAAGCAAAGAACTTGCTTCCAAAGACAGAGGTAGGCTTTAAAGTGGCCTAGCCATATTCATGTTATGAATTCCTTAATACTCTTAATACATATTATCAAACCGTCCACCAAAAAGGGTATATATAATATTATATATATGTGTGTGTGTGTATATATCAGTATGCTATGAAAATCATGTTCTCTATCATCTTCCATAACCCTAAACATAATCTCCTGGGTTTGTGGAGTTTTTGTTTGTTTGCTGCAACCTAACAGTTAAAAATTTGCATGTCACTATTATTTTAATTTGTACTTATTTAATGACTTCTGAAATTGAACATCTTTTAAATCTGCTCTTTTTATATCTTCTCTTATAAATTATTCTTGATGTTGGTCCATATTTCTACATGCACATTTATCTTTTTCTTATAGGTTTATATGAATTATACATACACTAAGAATATTAATCTTTTATCAGTCATATTTAGTAAAAGTAATTTTTCCCTATCTGCTCTTCACTTTTCAAAGGTGTTTTAAGATTTCATGTTTTAAAAAAATCATTTCATCTGGGCATGGTGGCTCACGCCTGTAATCCCAGCACTTTAGAAAGCCAAGGAGGGTGGATCACCTGAGGTCAGGAGCTTGAGACCAGCCTGACCAACATGGTGAAACTCCGTCTCTACTAAAAACACAAAAATTAGCCGGGCATGGTGGCGTATGCCTGTAATCCCAGCTACTTGGGAGGCTGAGGCAGAAGAATCGCTTGAACCCGGGAGCAAGAGGTTGCAGTGAGCCGAGATCATACCACTGCACTCCATCCTGGGCGACAAAGCGGGTCTCCATCTCAAAAAAAAAGAAAAAAATTATTTTATGGTTTCTGCCTTTGGAATTGTTTCAGGGTTTCCCAAGACCACCCATATTTTCAGTGATTTGCTAGGAGGATCCACAGGACCTAACCATCTGGTTGTATACAGAGCTAAGGTTTACTACAGCAAAATGACATATGACAGGACCAACAAGAGGAAAAGACACAGGTAGAGATGGAAAAAATTCATGCCATGCAGAGGCTGCTTATGTTCTTTTGCTCTCATGGAAGGCCATATCAAGCATGCTTCTTTCTCCAGCAACAACAAAAAATAGATATAGAAACACACAAAGTTTCTGCCCAGGGAAACCCATTAGAGACTCAGAACCTAGGTTTTCACTGAAGACTATTTACATAGGCACTCTCTGCATACCATGTAGCACAATTCCAGACTCCCTCCCAGAAGAAAGGTAGGTGTTTACCATTGTTGAGGCACAGAAGCCACACCCAAAATGTAGGCATCACAGCAGCCTCAGAAGCCAAAGTTTTTCTCTGACCTCCTGCCTTCCTATCTCTCAGTCCCATGCTCCTCTGAGGATAGCTATAAAAACTAGAATCCGGCCAGGCACGGTGGCTCACACCTGTAATTCCAGCACTTTGGGAGGCCGAGGTGGGCAGATAACAAGGTCAGGAGATCGAGACCATCCTGGCCAACATGGTGAATCCTCGTCTCTACTAAAATAAGAAAAATTAGCCAGGCGTGGTGGTGCGTGCCTGTAGTCCCAGCTACTCAGGAGGCTGAGGCAGGGGAATCGCTTGAACCCAGGAGGCAGAGATTGTAGTGAGCCGATATCATATCACTGCACTCCAGCCTGGCAACACAGCGAGACTCAGTCTCAAAACAAACAAACAACGACAACAATTAAAAAAAACTAGAATCCCTCTTCCCTAAGAAGGGTCACAGAAACCAGACCTCTTTTCGCCAATGCCAGCCACAAAACCTAAAAATACTACTCCAATTGTCTCTCTGCCACATCTGTGTAAAAACCGGACATAAAGAAATTATCTGGCCAGGCGTGGTGGCTCACACCTATAATCCCAGCACTTTGGGATGCCAAGGCAGGCGGATCACTTGAGCACAGGAATTGGAGACCGGCCTCAGCAATATGAGGAAACCCTGTCTCTATAAAAAAAATACAAAAAAATTAGTCAAGCCTGGTGGCACATGCCTGTAATCCCAGCTACTCAGCAGGCTGAGGTAGGAGGATCACTTGAGCCAGTGAGGTCAAGGCTGCAATGAGCTGTGATCATGCCACTGCACTTCATCCTAGGCAATAGAGCCAGACCCTGTCTCAAGAAATACAATTTTAAAAAGAGATCTCTATTTTTCCTTGCTTTCTGTTTTCCTAAATATTTCACATTTTTTGCAAAATGTATCCATCATTTTAACAATTGAAAAAATACAAATATGTAAATGCTAGGGACATAAAAATTTTATTTACTCATTTTATTTATTTATTTTACTTATTTATTTATTTGAGACAGACTCTCACTCTGTTACCCAGGCTGGAGTGAAGTGGCACAATCTCAGCTCACTGCAACCTCTGCCCCCCGGGTTCAAGCAATTCTCCTGTCTCAGCCTCCCGAGTAGTTCGGCCTACAGGCACATGCCACCACGCCCGGCTAATTTTTGTATTTTTAGTAGAGATGGGTTTCACTACATTGGTCAGGCTGGTCTTGAACTTCTGACCTCAGGTGATCTGCCTGCCTCGGCCTCCCAAAGTGCTGGGATTACAGGCGTGAGCCACCACACTCAGCCATATTTACTCATTTTTAAATAAACTTTTAGTCTTGTATCTAGAAAACAATATTCCTACTCTATGTCTCTTCATATAGAAATAATCTGTCAGCAATTTTATTATTTTCAGTGAAAAACTTTTATAAGCATAACTTAATGCATTAATACCTGTGTTACACTTGGGTGAGGAATATTAGTCTACAAAGAAGTAAATATGTATAAAACATTTCTCTTGTGCTTGACTACCTTGCATAATTGGAAATGAAAATATCACATTTTTTTTTTTTGGATACAGAGTCTTGCTCTGTCACCCAGGCTGGAGTGCAGTGGTACGCTCTCGGCTCACTGCAACCTCCACCTCCCGGGTTCAATCTCCTGCCTCAGCCTCCTGAGTAGCTGGGATTACAGACACGCACAACCATACCTGGCTAATTTTTGTATTTTTAATAAAGACGGGATTCCACCATGTTGGCCAGGCTGGTCTTGAACTCTTGACCTCGTGATCTGCCTGCCTCAGCCTCCCAAAGTGCTGGCATTACAGGCGTGAGCAACTGTGCCTGGCCCCAAAATACCACATTTTAATGAAGCAGTAGAATTTGACTCTCGGAAACCCTTTAAAACAAGCCACTTCTAATTCTCCCTTTATCAATGAGATCATTATTTAAGTGACAGTTAAGCAATCTACTGTGTTCAGTGCAGGTCTAACCCTATCAACGAGTGAGCTAATCACATCCTACAGAAGCATTTACTTTTCCACTATTAGTAGCCTTTAACATGAAACAGCTAACAATAAGCACCTCTATAAGGAAAACTGATATAATCTGAAAAGTTTTAGGAATACTAAGGTAAAGCTTAAACCTGAAGTATACATACAATCATTTCTGTACAGAGAAATTATTAAGTATATTCTCCTAAGAAGTATTTTACATTAAAAATATTTAAGTTTTTAATCTCTATATTGATTCATTCTTGTAACCTGAAAGTAAACACAAAGTTTCTGGAGCAGAGATCAGAGTTATTATTACTTAAGTCAAGACATACATCATTTTCCCATACCTAATACCCCATAGACAATGCAATGAAAACCCATTGATAGGTAAGGGTTGAACCACAGGAGAAGAATCCCAAAATTTTGAATCTGTAGGTTTGTACAGGATAACTGCCCAGCTGCCGCCTTCGCCTGAGAAAGTGAAAGAAAGCAATCTACCTATGGTAAGCAAATTCTGCTTGGGAAGAAAAGGGGAAGATCCCTGGGATCTTACCCTTTGGAACATAAATAAATGTCTCCAGGAGAAGGTAAGATAAGCGTTACTGGGTTTACGATCTTGGGAATGCCTCCAACACTCTGGGTTTTATATCCCTTAAGTCATCTTTTAACTTCCAAGGCTTGTCTTTTAACCCAGGTTCTACTTTTCTATGCTCAGAAAGCCCTGACCATGCAGAAACATGAAAATATTTACCTTTTTTTTTTTTTTTTGAGACAGTCTTGCTCTGTCACCCAGGCTGAAGTACAGTGGTGCCATCTCGGCTCACTGCAAGCTCTGCCTCCCGAGTTCAAGCGATTCTCGTACCTCAGCCTCTGAGTAGCTGGGTTTACAGATGTGTGCCAACACGCCCGGCTAATTTCTGTATTTTTAGTAGAGACGGGGGTTTCACCACGTTGGCCAGGCTGGTCTCGAACTCCTGACCTCAAGTAAACCACCATGTCCAGCCAATATTTACTTCTTAATAACACATAGTGAAACTAACCAACAATTTCTATTTGTAGCACTGGTTAATACCTGACATCTACCTAAAATAGTGGCTTTCAAACCCTTTCTGCAGAGCCTTGGGAATTCCTCAGAGGTGCCACCAGGAGCCACCACCTCAGAGGTGGTGAAGGGGTAGGAGGGTAGTTAAAATAGGAGTACAGAGTGAGCAGGGCTCTGGGACTCCAATTCCTCCTTTGAATACAGCCCATTTGCTCATATATTGGGCTTCCAAGTGTAGTTTTTTAAGACAAGGCACTAAAAATCTTCTATTTCTTTGAGGCAGAGTCTCACTCTGTCGCCCAGGCTGGAGTGCAGTAGCGTGATCTCGGTTCACTGCAAGCTCCACCTCCCGGGTTCACGCCATTCTCCTGCCTCAGCCTCCTGAGTAGCTGCGACTACAGGTGCCCTTCACCACGCCGGGCTAATTTTTTGTATTTTTAGTAGAGACGGGGTTTCACTGTGTTAGCCAGGATGCTCTCGATCTCCTGACCTCGTGATCCGCCTACCTTGGCCTTCCAAAGTTCTGGGATTATAGGTGTGAGCCACCACGCCCAGTCAGCACTAAAAATCTTAGGTATCCTAGACCAGGCACAGTGGCTCACACCTGTAATCCCAACACTTTGGTAGGCTGAGGCAGGTGGATCACTTCAGGTCAGGAGTTCGAGACCAGCCTGGCCAACATGGTGAAACCCCGTCCCTACTAAAAACACAAAAATTAGCCGGGCATGGTGGCGTACACCTGTGATCCCAGATACTCAGAAGCTGAGGCAGGAGAATGGCTTGAACCCCGGAGGTGGAGGTTGCAGTGAGCCAGGATTGTGCCGCTGCACTCTAGCCTGGGCTACAGAGGGAGACTCTATCTCAAAAAAAAAAAAAAAAAAAATCTTAGGTATCCTAAGTAAAAATCCTCAGCCTCACAGAAATAGACAAGGTCCCATTTACATTTATACTTAAATTTTCTTGTCTTGTTACCCTTACTTGCATTAAAGCAGAACTTCTAAACACACACCACCACATCATTAATAACCAATTATTAACAATAATAACCAATTATTTATGGGGCTCCCCAAGAGGCTTGGGTGCTCAAATGTTCCTTGATGGTTTTTTTGTCTGATGATGTCTTCTGTATACAATGTCACTTGAAGATAGCCCCTAGCCACTGGAAGCATATTTCCTAAAAGCACTGCCTTATCCAGGATCTTGTCTTCTAATGTTGGGCCTCCTTCAACAGTGCTACAAGGATCTTTTTGTGGGAACCATACCTATGTTGCTCACAAAAACGAGCAGTGTCCTTTTCCCTTAGCTCAGAGGACAGCCACCATAAGCTCACATGCATCATCCCAGTTCTTCATTTGTCCTTTTTTTTTTTTTCACTGGAAGAAAACATTTCTTTTAATTTGCTTTGTGGGTCCCACACCTCAAATACCAATGTGTCTGCTATTTTTTTTTTTTTTGAGATGGGGTCTCGCCCTGTTGCCCAGGCTGGAGTGCAGTGGCGCAATCTTGGCTCACTGCAACCTCCGCCTCCCAGGTTCAAGTGATTCTCCTGTCTCAGCCTCCCAAGTAGCTGGAATTACAGGCATGCGCCACTACACCCAGCTAATTTTTTTATTTTTAGTAGAGACGGGGTTTCCCATGTTGGCGAGGCTGGTCTCCAACTCCTGACCTCAGGTGATCACCCACCTCGGCCTCCCAAAGTTATGGGATTACAGGCGTGAGCCACCACGCCCTGCCTCTGCTGTTTACAAATAGTAATGCTCTATGCTACTACTAACAGTATTTTTGCAATCCCTTTGATAAATCCTAGTCCTCTATTTTAGTTCTGAATAACAGATGCATATTAATCTGAATAACAGATGTGCATTTTAATTTTTAAGGCAGATGGTAAACTTTCCTATAGGACTTGTGAGATTTCATCTTATGGGGCAAACATTGTTCACAAAATGCAATACTTCACTTCTAGAGTTAAAGAATTTGAGCAACTGAATAGCACAGATACGCAGGCAATGAAATGTGGCCTAAGATGTAATTATGTTCTCTGCCTTTCCTTTAGGCCAGAGTAGCTTTCCGCTTGGCAAAATAGAAAACAGGCCGTAAAGCCTGAAAATAGGTCAGGTGTTGTGGCTCACACCTGTAATCCCAAAACTTTGGGAGGATTGCTTGAGCCCAGGAGTTCAAGACCAGCCTGGGCAACATGGTGAGACCCCTATCTCTACAAAAAACTATAATATTAAAAAAAAAGTTTTAAGCCTGAAAATAAAACGTTCTACACCCAAATCTCAGAGCGTTTTACTAGGCTTTTCACTAGGCATCTTTAAAAGCATTTTAAGCAAAATACTAATTGCCCAAAACACAAAACAGTGCCAAGGAAAAGCTCTGCTTTCTCATAAGACTTTTTCAATCCCATTACATTACATTACATTCACATCTTTTGCCAACTAGAGTGAAGAGCTCTGAACAGGTTTAAAGAGTGCACACTGCACTTTTTTAAATACTATTTTGCTCTCAAAGCAAGTTCTTCATGCTGACATTTCCAGTGTTGGGAAGTACGAGTACTATTAGTTAGCTTCAATCTTTGCATTACCAGAGCTCCTGTTTCTCCATCTTGTTCTGAAGGATGAACAAAAGCTTGAGGTGTACATTTCAAAATATAAACTGCAGCACAAAGACCCCCAATGTTCACCCGAACTGTATCCACTTTTCACCATACACATCACATGCCAGATAATGCTTTGGTAAAGCATTTCGCGTCCTGAGTACATCGTACAGCTTGGCCTGTTGTAGGTGTACACAGACGCAACTCATCTCCCATAGGCAAGGTGGATGAAGGTTCCAGTTTCTCTTCTTGGATCCCATCTTTTTTCCAAATGGCAAATCTGCCACAATAATATCCACAGAGCCAGTTCTTAATGGCATATTGCATTTATCCCATTGAACAGCATCTATGGGCAAGGATGGTTAGCCTTCTTTAATTTGGCTCTTGGTCAATAAAGATGTGATGTTGTTTGCTGCTCTATTCACAACCAGAGGATTATTATCACCAGAATATAACGTGAAAACATTAAGTAGTCCCCTCTATTGGTATTGCCCCTGTTCCACACATTGGATCGACTATTATAACATAAGGTAGCAGACCACAGAGGCTGAGTATCCCAGGGGTAAGAGTTGATAGGTCCAAAATGTGCCCATAGGTCCAAAATGTTGATAGGTACAAAAGAGTCATAGGTCCAAAATGTGTGATACGTCTTCAGTGGAGACTCGCTTTAGTCAATGCCATGCCCACAGTGATTTCATTATCATGGATATTCAAAAGAATCGCAACATCAAATTGGTCATGTCGGCCTTCCACTTAAAATAGCCTTAAACATCACCCCCAGAATCTCTTCCAGTCTCATTTGAGGGAAAGCAGTATTTCTCTCCTACTCTGTTGCACATGACTCTAAACTTTACACTTGAGGCTCAGTTTCTTCTTTTTTGCTTTCATCAGTCTCATCTCTGCAAGATGCCAAATCATCACCTACTAATGTTGCTATCTCCTTTGATGGCTGGAGTTTCACAATAATCTAAGATGTGTGAATCTAAAACATTGTAGTGAATGAACTCTTTTTTTTAACATCTCTTTCATCTGTTTGGACTTCTTGTCCATCATGAACCTTCCTTTTACTTGAATTCTGAATTATCTTTTTGAGCTTTGTTTTTGTTTGTTTGTTTGTTCCTTAAAATCAACATTAATTGGCTGGGCGCAGTGGCTCACGCCTGTAATCCCAGCAGTTTGGGAGGCCGAGATGGGCAGATCACAAGGTCAGGAGTTCGAGACCAGCCTGGCCAATATGGTGAAACCCTGTCTCTACTAAAAACACAAATACAAAAATTAGCCGGGCACGGTGGTGGGCGCTTGTAGTCCCAGCTACTCAGGAGGCTGAGGCAGGAGAATCACTTGAACCAGGGAGGTGGAGTTTGTGCAGTGAGCCAAGATCGCACCACTGCACTCCAGCCTGGCCAACACAACAAGACTCCATCTCAAAAAAAAAAAAACACCTTAATTTTCCATAAAATTAAAGTGTTTGACCACGGGAGTTTTCCAGCCAAGTCTTCAAAATCCTTTAGAATTTCTTTGTTTTTCTAAACTAGTAATCTTAAAACTCCTGAACAACCACAAATAAGTTATCAACCGATCTCGGACAATAAACCTAAGCCAAATTTTCACTGAAATGACAAAATATATCTTGCCATGGTCTCTGCTGATTGTATGGTGACCCCAATTTGTCTCTCACTTCTTCCACAGCTGTTTGCTCAAAGCTGGCTCCAATAGTTGAAATCACCTTGATGAAAACTAAAACAGTGAGAAAGTCACAACAGAGAAAGGGATCTGACCTAACCAACTCCATCTTGGTTCTAACCTCCAGGCTGCCCTTGTTTATTCCTGGGCATAGGCTGAACTATCTTTGGGTGGAACTTAAAGTTGAACTTTGAAACAAAGCCAATAAAAGTCCTTTCCCAAAACAAATCTCTTACTTGCCTGGGGACCAGACTGCCTTTGTAAAACTAACAAATTATCCACAAGATTAGAAATTATGGTTTAGGAGTCATGCACCCAGAGGCTGCAAGATTCTGAACCTTCCCAGTTGCTCTTAGGGATAACATCACTATTGTAAAACCTAACACTGGTGCTGAGGATATTTCCTAGACCCTGCGTTCTGATGCACCAGCTGGTGCCACCCAGACCAATAATCTGGCTCAACCTGTTCTGTGATCCCACCCAGAAACAAAAGAAAGCTAGAAAAACCCACTTTGACCCCCGGTGACTTCATCTCTGACCCATCCAATCAGCACTCCCTACCCTCTGGCTCCCAACCTGCCAAGTTATCCTTAGAAAACCTCAGTCTCCAAATTTTAAGGGAAACTGATTGGAGTAATAAATCTCCAGTCTCTTGTACAGCTGGCTATGCATGAATTAAACTGTATCTGGGCCACTGGGCAAAATGAATGCACTGGGCAGTTACATAGTGACTTGAGGAAGCTAAGACTCACCTCTGAGGTCACTTTCTGTCACTTGTGCAGACCTCTGGTTCTCATGCAGGTTTACAACTAGGAGCTGTTAGTGGCTTCTTGAATGTCAGACATGTTGGCAGTGCTTCCAAGATCCCTAACACTGTCCCAGGCTCTGGGATCCAAGGATGGCCATGAGGAGAGATCTTGGAAATATCTATACTATCCTCGTGCCAATGCCAGGCATATACAATAGTGTTTAACACTGATTCAATTTCTGTGCCTAAGGAGCTCACAGTCACTGTGAATACAATCTTCATCTAAAAAAGGCAGCTGAAGCCAGTGAAAAGGACATGTCCAGCTGCCACACAGATGCTTTCAGCTCCAGCATTCCACTGGCCTCATGTGCTCAGGTCACACGACTGGAAGCCACCTCCAGTTCTTAACTTTTCTAACTCTAGGTAATCCAAGATAAAACTTTGTTTCTTTATTTTGTTTTGTTTTGTTTTTAGAGACGGAGTCTCACTCTGTCACCTGGCTGGAATGCAGTGGCGCAATCTCGGCTCACTACAACCTCCGCCTCCCGGGTTCAAGCGATTCTCCTGCCTCAGCCTCCCAATTAGCTGGTACTACAGGTGCACGCCACCACGCCTAGCTAATTTTTTTGTGTGTATTTTAGTAGAGACAGGGTTTCACCATGTTGGCCAGCAAGGTCTCAATCTCCTGATCTTGCAATCCGCCCGCCTCAGCCTCCCGAAGTGCTGGGATTACAGTCGTAAACCACAGTGCCCAGCCAAGATAAAACTTTCTCCCTTTCTCTTCATCTCTTCTCTCCTGAATTCATCATCATATACATGGTAATTCCCTGGCTAAGGCCTAGGAATGTAACTGCCCAAGGGTTTCACCTTGCCCACTGTCTAGATAGAGCCGATTCATCAAGACAGGGAAATTGCAATCCAGAAAGAGTAATTCACGCAGAGCTGGCTGAGCGGAAGACCGGAGTTTTATTATTACTCAAATCAGTCTCCCCAGAATTCAGGGAGCAGAGTTTGTTTTGTTTTGTTTTGTTTTGTTTTGTTGTGTGTAGTTTCGCTCTTGTTCCCCAGGCTGGAGTGCAATGGCTGATCTCGACTCAATGCAATGTTCCCAACCTGGGTTCAAGTGATTCTCCTGCCTCAGCCTCCCGAGTAGCTGGGATTACAGGTGCCCACCACCTCGCCCAGCTATTGTTTTTTGTATTTTTAGTAGAGATGTGGTTTCACTATGTTGGCCAGGCTGGTCTTAAACTCCTGGCCTCAAGTGATCCGCCTGCCTTAGCCTCCCAAAGTGCTGGGATTACAGGCGTGAGCCACCGTGCCCGGCCCAGCGAGCAGAGGTTTTAAGGATAACTTGGTGAGGACTGGGGGAGCCAGTGAGCCAGGAGTGCTGATTGCTCAGAATGAAGTCACAGGGAGTCAGAGCTGTCTTCTTGATCAGTCAGTTCCTGGGCGGGGGCCACAAGATCAGATGAGCCAGTTTATTGATCTAGGTGGGGCCAGCTGATCCATCAAGTGCAGGGTCTGCAAAATATCTCAAGCACTGATCTTAGGAGTAGTTCTGGGAGGGTCAGAATCTTGTAGCCTCCGGCCGCATGACTCCTAAACCATAATTATTTTTTTGAGGCAGGGTCTCACTCTGTTCCCAGGTTGGAGTGCAGTGGCGTGATCTTGGCTCACTGCAACCTCCGCCTCTCGGGTTCAAGCCATTCTCCCACCTCAACCTCCTGAGTAGCTGGGAGTACAGGGACACACCAGCACACCCTGCTAATTTTTGTAATTTTTTGTTTGTTTTGAGACAGAATTTTGCTCTTGTTGCCCAGGCTGGAGTGCGATGGCGCGATCTCAGCTCACTGCAACCTCCGACTCCCAAGTTCAAGCAATTCTCCTGCCTCAGCCTCCTGAACAGCTGGGATTACAGGCGCCTGCCATCATGCCTGGCTAATTTTTTGTATTTTTAGTAGAGATGGGGTTTCACCATGATGGCCAGGCTGGTCGTGAACTCCTGACCTCAGGTGATCCACCTGCCTCGGCCTCCCAAAGTGCTGAGATTACAGGCGTGAGCTACCATGCCCGGCCGATTTTTATATTTTTAATAGAGACAGGGTTTCATTATGTTGGCCAGGTTGGTCTCGAAATCCTGGCCTCAATTGATCCACTTGCCTCCCAAAGTGCTGGGATTACGGGCATGAGCCACCGCGCCCAGCCCTAAAGTATAATTTCTAATCTTATGGCTAATGCTAGTCCTACAAAGGAAATCTAGTCCCCAGACAAGAAGGAGGTATGCTTTGGGAAAGGGCTGTTACAGTCTTTGTTTAAACTATGAACTATAAACTAAGTTTCTCCTAAAGTTAGTTCAGCCTACACCCAGGAATGAACAAGGACAGCTTGGAGGTTAGAAGCAAGATGGAGTCAGTTAAGTTAGATCTCTTTCACTATCTCAGTCATAATTTTGCAAAGGCGGTTTCAGGAAGACCCTAGCTACATGTATAAAAATCCAGTATTTAAGGTTGTATCTCTAAATCTTTAAATGTAAAATAAGCTACATGCTTATTTTACTTTTCAAAGAATGGACTGTGTTGGGACTCAAAAACTGAGACCCCAAAATATGGCACATTGACATGCTGAACTAAAGGAGAAACCTCAAGGACTCTCCAAGGTTCCCCACCCCTACCATCTCTTCTAAAGAAGTTTAAGATTTTTATCTGCCAAAACTCCAGGGTCACCCACCAAAGAAGAACAACTGTTTTTTCCTCCCCTCCCTGGAAGACCAAGAATGTAATCAGAACTGAACAGGCCCTTTCAGAAGATAAAGCCTGTCTCTCAGACTCATTCAAATTCTAAAGAGAACTATTTACCAGTTAATCTCCATCCGCATCCATTCATTCTCCCTAGCAATCCTTTATTTCCCCCAACAGAGTTCCTCTTCTCTCCCGGTTCCCATAACCTCTTTCATCAGAATCCAATCCCCCATTCTTTCTGTAACTTCAAGATGGTATAGGAGCTCATAAACCTCATCATGGGTTTGGGTCTTCATTCTGGTTTTTTTGTTTGTTTTTTGTTTTGTTTTGAGATGAAGTTTTGCTCTTGTTGCCCAGGCTGGAGTGCAATGGCGTCATCTCGGCTCACTGCAAACTCTGCCTCCCAGGTTCAAGTGATTCTCCTGCCTCAGCTGCCTGAGTAGCTGGGATTACAGGCATGTGCCAGCAAACCCGGCTATTTTTGTATTTTTAGTAGAGACGAGGTTTCTCCATGTTGGTCAGGCTGGTCTCCAACTCTCGACCTCAGGTGATCCGCCCACCTCAGCCTCCCAAGGTGCTGGGATTACAAGCATGAGCCACCGCGCCCGGCCAGGTTTTACCTTTCCACAACTGACAGTCCATTCATATTTCTTAGGAAACATAATTGCCTGTGTTAGATAGGAGTTCTAAATTTCTTTTCAAAGAATCAATATGTCAGTATGTTCAATTCTTTGCCTTCTACTTTTAAACTTAACTTCCTCATAAAGCAACCTTTTTCGATTACCTACTCCACCCTGACTCATCCCGATTACCTGATTACCTACTCCACCCTGACTCATTCCGATTTCCTGCTCTCTCATAACCATTTTTCCCGCCAAACCACTCACCCTGTCAGTCTCTTTAAATTAGCCAATCAGAGTTAGTTTAGCCTGTGCGGTCTAACCCTAGCCAATAGGGGAACAACACAGCAGCAGGGGCCATGTGCATCAGGGATAAACTCCCCTTCCCCTCCCTTGTCCAAGTGTGTGCTCACCATTGCTCCAACTGTAAGGGCATGCCCTTCTAAAGAAGTACATTGCCTTGCTGAGAATTAAAAAGAAAATTTTATATTCGAGTGCTATTTCTTTTGCAGCACAGAAACTTTATAACAATTTGGGGGGTCTCCTGTGATTACATTCCCCTCTGGGGGTGGTCTCTGGTTCTCTCTCATGAGGAGGTCCGCCCCGCCCCCTTGTGGCGGCCTCAGGGGTGAGAAATCAGGACCCACCCAGTGGGAGGAATAACCCGAGCTCTCAGCAACGCGGAGAGAAACTGGCCAGCAACCTAGCTTAAAGAATCCTCACATACTGTGGTGACAACTCTGTGCACAGACCAAGGAAGGAGAAGCCGCAGGAGCGGGTAAAGTATTTCCTTGGTGGTCGGGACTAAGGAAAAAGCTGCGGGGTGGTAAAGTATTCCTTGGTTAGGACATACCAAGGAGAGAGAAACCGCAGGGACAGTAAAGCATTCCTTAGTCGGGACTAGGGAAAGAAAGCCACAGGATGTGGTGAAGTATTCCTTAGTCGGGATGCTTGGAGGTTAAAAAGAGGTGAGAAATCCCCATTGAAGGCGGGGGTTGAACCTCAGAAAGAGGTGAGAAATCCCCATGATGGGGGGGTTGAACCTCAAAAAGAGGTAAGAAATCCCCATGGGGAGGGGGTTGAACCTCACACAAACCTCCAGTAGTAAGAAAAATATTCAGAACTCCCCTTTCCTTTCTTCTCTAGGGAAGAAAGAGTAGGTCCACTCCTGCTGGTCCCTCCCCTAGCGGAAGGGGAAGGAGAGGGGAGAACAGCAGCATAAGCGGCTGGCAGAGGCAGGGAAAGACCAGCAGAGAGGAAAGAGAGGGAGAGAGAGAGAGAGTGAGGAGAAAGAGAGAAGAAAGAGAGAGAAAGAGAGGCAGAGAGAAAGAGGAAGAGACAGAGAGACAAAGAGGGAATCAAAGAGACAGAAAGAGACAGGAAGTCAAAGAGAGGAAGAAAGAAGGAGAGAGATAGAAGTAGTAAAGAGAAAACAGTGTACCCTATTCCTTTAAAAGCCAAGGTAAATTTAAAACCTATAATTGAAGGTCTTCTCTGTGACCCTATAACACTCCAATACCACCTTGTTGTCTGTTGGGAACAGGCCCCAAAATCTGGCCATAAACTGGCTCCAAAACTGGCCATAAACAAAATCTCTGCAGCACGGTGACATGCTCGTGATGGCCTTGATGCCCACACTGGAAGGTTTACCGGAATGAGGGCAAGGAACACCTGGCCCACCCAGGGTGGAAAACCGCTTAAGGCGTTCTTAAACCACAAACAATAGCATGAGCGATCTGTGCCTTAAGGACATGTTCATGCTGCAGATAACTAGCCAGAGCCCATACCTTTATTTCCAGCACAACCCTTTGTTTCCCATAAGGAATACTTTTAGTAAATCTTACGACTGACTTGCTGTCAATAAATATGTGGGTAAATCTCTGTTCAAGGCTCTCAGCGCTGAAGGCTGTGAGACCCCTAATTTCCCACTCCACACTCTATATTTCTGCGTGTGTGTCTTTACTTCCTCTAGCGACACTGGGTTAGGGTCTCCATGACTGAGTTGGTCTCAGCAGTTGTCACTGTAAACAAGGGCGTAGCCTGAAAGCATTGAGGCCACTGACAAGCTGAGGCCACTGATTAGCCTTCCTAATCAAAAATCCTTAACCCAGTAACCTGCGGATGGCCCAAATGCATTCAATCTGTAGCGGCAACTGCTTTGCTAGCAGAAGAAAGTAGAAAAATAACTTTCAGAGGAAACATTATGAGCACAGCTCAACAGGTCAGAACTATACTAAGTCAAAAAAAAAAAAAGCAAAAAAGGTAACTTACTGACTCAAGAACCTTAAAGTATGAGGCTATTCTGTTAGAAAAAGATGATTTAACATTAACCACTGAAAATTCTCTTAACCCAGCAGGTTTCCTAACAGGATCTAAATCTTAATTACCGTACAAAGGTCTGACCAGACCTTGGAGGAACTCCCTTCAGGACAGGAGGATAGATGATTCCTCCCAGGTGATTGAGGGAAAAAGACACAATGGGTATTCAGTAAGGGATAAGGAAACTCTAACAGAAGCGAGTTAGGAAAATTGCCTAATAATTGGGCTGCTCAAACGTGCCAGCTGTTTGTACTCAGCCAAGCCTTGAAGTACTTACAGAATCAGGAAGGAGCCATCTATATCAATTCTAAGTTAATATGGACTGAACAGGGTCTTATTAATACCAAAGAATAATTGAAATCCCAAATTCACAAGGTTTTCAACAAAAGTAAAGTTTGCTAAAAGTTAACAGTGTAACATGTATTATCCTAACTTCTAATCTTGTGGCCTTAGACTAGTCCACAGACATGAAGGAAGTTCACTTTGGAAAAGAACGGTTATTATCTTTGAGAAAAAAAAAAAAAAGTGGGGAGGAGAATTTATGTAAAAACGAATGTTATATAGTAAATTCTTGTCCTAAAATAAATTAACTGGTTGTTTAAAGAAAGGGATGTTGCAACAAGTGAGAAAGCTGAGGCATGTCAAAGAATTGTCTGTGAAAGTCGTGAAAAAAAAAGTTATAAAAGGGAATTTATGCAAGAAATGTTGTATAATGTACAAGTAATTAGGCCTCTTGATTGTAAAACTATTGAAGAAACAGTTTATGTGCAAGGTGTGTAAGGAAAGTAAATATACTTTTGGTAAAAGGATTATAATGAGGCATAAGAATGTAGATTTTTACCTACATTAAAAGGTTAAAAAAATTTTTTGTTTTAAAGGTTTAAGCAAGTTTTGAAACATTAATTTTAAAGAAAATTCTGTTTGTAAACATATTGGCTAAAGTTAAAGGGGTATCATCCAGCTTTTCTGTAAACTGGACATTAAAATAAAAGCACAACAGGTTTTTCTTAAAGCACTAACCTGCTCTTTAACAAAAATTATACAAGGTTAAAAAGAGTCTATAAAAATCTTACCTTATGGTCAGACATTAAAAATTGGATAAATGTGTCTACAAGTTTTATTAAAATTAAGTTTATCACTAATAGCACACTAATATAAAGGTGAAATTTAGCTTTTCTGGTATAAAAATCATACAGGAAGCATTGTCAAATATAAAATGGTATTTGGCTTTCTTTGGTCTAAAAACTAATAAAAATAGGTGCTAAAGGAAATTTCTCAGTAAGAAGACACCAAGGACTATAAAGTCCACTGCTGATGTCCCCACATTTAAAACAAAAGATCAATTTCTTAGAAATTGTATACTTGGTTTATCTTCCACTTTCCTTTCCCTCAAAACTAAAAGTCTTTTAGCACAGGTACCACCCCTAGAATTTCCGGTAAACCAGCAACAGCCTGAAGATCATGGTCTCATCAAAGGGTGGAAAGAAGGAAAACTCCAGCCACCCTGGGAAGGACCCTACCTTGTGCTGCTAACCACCAAGACTGCTGTTCTTACAGTGGGAAAGGGAATAGACTCATCACACCTGAGTCAAGAAAGCGCCGCCCCCTCCAGAGTCATGGGCCATAGTCCCAGGGGAAAACCCTACCAAACTAAAGCAAAGAAAAATTTCACTCTCTTTCATCTATTCTATTACTCTTTCTTCTTTCCTCGCTCTATTGCTGACCATCTAGTTATTAACATAACCAAGTCAATTTCTCTTCAAACTATTGCATTTGATGCTTGCCTTGTTATACCCTGTGGGGACTTGCCAAGTCAAAGACAGCTCTCTACTTCAGAAAAGTACCTCTCTCCCTCCTGACTCTCCTGAGACTAGACATTAGTGAATTGAGACCACTTAATCCAGGGAGATTTTGGTAAAGACCCCAGTGTCAACCAGGAGTCTTGCCCCCCAGTGTAGAGCTTTTATGCCGTAGTTTGTCCAACATTCTGTGGACCACTAAAGAGCAAGGATGGACTGCCCCAACCAGTTTTTGTAATTTCCTAAAACCATACATTCATTTTACTAGAGGGACAGCCAACCCCCAACTGGGGGTCAGCTAAACCAGTGCATTCCAATACAGGTTATTATCTCGAACCCTCAAACTTCTTCCCCTTTTCTAAGCCAGTTCCCTTCTTTAAGCCAGTTTTATGGTATGGGGGCTGAGGTTTCAGGGACAGACCCTATTGGATTCTTTGAAATGTGTTTATTTGATCCCCCAGTGCCTGCACCTTCCTCTAAGCCTTCTTCCAAAACCTCTCACAACTGAACAATTGCCACTCCTCCATCTAACGACAAGACCAAGATAGCTATCATACAAGTTAAAGACTTAAAACAAACTTCGGCAATTAAGACAAGATACCAAGATGCAAATGCCTGGTTGGAATGGATCAAATATTCCGTCTGCACGTTAAACAAAAGCAATTGTTATGCTTGTGCGCACCGCAGGCCAGAGGCCCAGACTGTCCCCTTTCCACTAGGGTGGTCATCCAGTCAACCAGGCATGGGCTGCATGGTAGCTCTTTTCCAGGATTCTACAGCCTAGAGTAACAAGTTGTGCCACACTCTCTCTCTGCTATATCCCAAAGTCCAGCATGCTGCGGGTCAGCCCCCAAGGGCCATCCAGCCTCCATTTTCCAAAATCAATTTTACCTCATGTCTCCAACGACCAAGGGAAAAATTTGGCATTCCTTGGAGACTTAACAGGATGCAGTGAAGTGTGGCACTTCCAAGAGCTGACCTATCAGTCTGCCCTTATTCATCCCTAAGCGGATGTATGGTGGGATTATGGAGGACCTTTACTGGACACTCTGCCAAATAATTAGAGCAGTATTTATGCTCTAGTCCAATCGGCTATCCCTTTTACTCTGGCCTTTCATCAAGCAGAGGAAGGAAAAACCAGACGTCATAAAGCAAGGGAAGCCTCTTATGGGTCTTTCGACTCTCACATCTATTTAAATGCAATTGGAGTCCCACAGGGAATACCAGATCAATTTAAACCCCAAAATCAAATAGCTACAGAATTTGAGTCAATATTTTGGTGGGTGACAATTAATAAAAATGTAGATTGGATAAACTACATCTATTACAACCAACAGCAATTTATTAACTATACTAGAGATGCTGTTAAAGGAATAGCTGAGTAATTAGGGGCTACAAGCCACATGGCTTGGGAAAATAGGATAGCCTTAGACATGATATTAGCAGAAAGAGGAGGAGTTTGTATCATGATTAAAACACAAATGTTGTACCTTCATCCCAAACAACACTGTCCCTGATGGAAGTATAACAAAGGCATTGCAAGGTCTGAGTGCTGTGTCCAATGAGTTAGCCAACAACTCAGGGGTAAATGACTCCTTTACAGGATGGCTAGAAAAGTGGTTCAGTAAGTGGAAAAGAATAATAGCCTCAGTTCTTACTTCCCTCGCAGCCATAATGGGTGTACTTACTCTTGTCAGGTGCTGTGTCACACCATGCATCCATGGGTTGGTGCAGAGGCTCATAAAAACAGCACTTACTAAAACCTCCCTTAACTATTCTCTGCCTTATGTAAAGAAGCTTCTTCTTTTGGAAAATCTGTAGAACAACTAAGCCAAGACATGTTAAAGAAGTTTGAAGAAAAAGAGCCGTAAGGAAATGCAAGAGGACAGAATGTTAGATATGAGTTCTAAATTTCTCTTCAAAGAATCAGTTTGTCAGTAGGTTCAATTCTTTGCTTTCTAGTTTTAAACTTAACTTCCTGGTAAAGCAACCTTTTTCAATTATCTGCTCTACCCTGACTCATTCCAATTACCTGCTCCACCCTGACTCATTCCGATTACCTGCTTCACCTTGACTCATTCTGATTACCTGCTCCACCATGACTAATTCCAGTTACCTATTCCACCCTAAGTCATTCCGATTACCTGCTCATTCTCCACCCTGACTCATTCAGATTTCCTGCTCTGCCATAACCATTTTTCCTGCCAAACCACTCACCCCGTCACTCTCTTTAAATTAGCCAATTGGAATTAGTTTAGCCTGTGTGGTCTAAACCTAGCCAATAGGGGAATGACACAGCAGCGGGGCCACGTGCATCAGGGATAAGAACCCCTTCCCCTCCCTTGTCCAGGTGTGTGCTCACCATTGTTCCATCTGTAAGGGCGCATTCTTCTATAGAAGTACATTGCCTTGCTGAGAATTAAAAAGAAAATTTTATATTCCAGTGCTATTTCTTTTGTGGCACCAAACCTTTATTTATAACATGGGCTACTGGAGTCAGACCCTGTCTCAAAAAAAAAAAAAAAGAATTCCCTCTCCCTCAATCTTCATATATTACCTGTAAATGTGATAAGAAGCACACTTTTTTTTTTTTTTTTTGAGATGGAGTCTTGCACTGTCTGTCGCCCAGGCTAGAGTGCAATGGCACAATCTCAGCTCACTGCAGCCTCCCACTCCTGGGTTCAAGCAATTCTCCTGCCTCAGCCTCCCAAGTAGCTGGGATTACAGGTGCCCACCACCACGCCTGACTATTTTTTTGTATTTTTACTAGAGACGGGGTTTCACTATGTTGGCCAGGCTGGTCTCGAACTCCTAACCTTGTGATCCATCTGCCTCAGCCTCCCAAAGTGCTGGGAGTACAACCATGAGCCACCGCGCCTGGCCCAAGAAGCACACTCTCATGCATAATCTGTCAAAAATTTATAAATCAGATGGGCACAGTGGCTCATGCCTGTAATCCCAGCACTTTGGGAGGCCTTTGCAGTGAGCCTACATTGCACCATTGTACTCCAGCATGGGTAGTAGAGCAAGACTGTCTCAAAAAAAAAAAAGGAAAAGAAATCACTAGGATTTCTGTTCACCAATAATGTTCTACCCGAGGACGAAACCAAGAAGGCAGTCCCATTTATGATAGCTACAAAAAAATAAAACACCTAGGAATATATTTAACCAAGAAGGTGAAAGAAATCTACAAGGAAAACTACAAAACACTGATGAAAGAAACTATAGATGAAACAAAAAAATGGAAAAACACCCCATGCACGTAGGCTGAAAGAATTAATGTGGTTAAAATGACCATTGTGCCCAAAGCAATCTGCAGGTTCAATGCAATTTCTATCAACATCATTTTTTCACAGAATTAGAAAAAACAATTCTAAAGTTCATATGGAACTAAAAATGAGCCCGAATAGCCAAAAATATCCCAAGTAAAAAGAACAAAGCTGGTGTTATCACATTTTCTGACTTCAAAATATACTACAAGGCTATAGTAGCCAAAACAGCATAATACTCATAGTGTCTATAAAAACAGACACATAGGGCCAGGTGCGGTGCCTCATGCCTGTAATCCCAGCACTTTGGGAGGCCAAGACAGGCGGATCATGAGGTCAGGAGTTCAAGACCAGCTTTACCAACATGGTGAAACTCCGTCTCTACTAAAAATACAAAAATTAGCCAGGTGTGGTGGCGTGCGCCTGTAATCCTAGCTACTCAGGAGTCTGAGGCAGGACAATCGCTTGAACCCGGGGGGCGGAGGTTGCAATGAACTGAGATTGCACAACTGCACTCCAGCCTGGGCAACAGAGCAAGACTCTACCTCAATAAATAAATAAATAGACACATAGATCCATGGAACAGCATACATAACCCAGAAATAAACCCACATGCTTAAAGCCAACTGATTTTTGACAAAGTCGACAACATTTACTGGGGAAAGGATACCCTTTTCAGTAAAAGGTGCTGGGAAAATTGGATTGCCATATGCAGAAGAATGAAACTGGATCCCTGTATCTCACCATATAAAAAAATCAATTTGGCCAGACACGGTGGCTCACACCTATAATCCCAGCACTTTGGGAGGCCTAGGCGGGCGGATCAACTGAGGTCGAGAGTTTGAGGCCAGCCTGACCAACATGGAGAAACCCTGTCTCTACTAAACACACAAAAAATTCGCGGGGCATGGTGGCGCATGCCTGTAATCCCAGCTACTTGGGAGGATAAGGTAGGAGAATCGCTTGAACCCAGGAGGCGGAGGCTGCAGTGAGCCGAGATCGCGCCATTGCACTCCAGCCTGGACAACAAAAGCGAAACTCCATCTTAAAAAAAAAAGAAAGAAAAAAATAAATTCAAGATGGATTAAAGACTTGAATGTAAGGATGAAACTCTAAAAATACTGAAGAAAACCTAGGGGAAACTCTTCTAGACATTGATCTAGGCAAAGAATTCATGACTGAGACCTCAAAAGCACGGGCAACAAAAACAAAAATAGGCAAATGGAACTTCATTAAACTAAAAAGCTTCTGCATAGCAAAAGAAATGATCAACAGAGTGAACGGATAACCTGAGGAATGGAAGAAAATATCTGCAAACTACATATCCAACAGGGGACTAATATCCAGAATTTGTAAGCAACTCAAACAACTCAACAACAAAAAACAAATAATCCCATTAACAAATGGGCTAAGGACATGAGTAGGCATTTTTCAAAAGACAAACAAGCATATCAAAAATGTTCACCATCAGCCGGGCACAGTGGCTCACGCCTGTAATCCCAGCACTTTGGAAGGCTGAGGTGAGTGGATCAGCTGAGGTCCGGAGTTTGAGACAAGCCTGGCCAACATGGTGAAACCCCCGTCTCTGCTAAAAATACAAAAATTAGCCAGGCGTGGTGGCACACACCTGTAGTCCCAGCTACTGTGGAGGCTGATGCAGAACAATCCTTGAACCCAGGAGGTGGAGGTTGCAGTGAGCTGAGATCTTGCCATCGAACTCCAGCCTGGGTGACAGAACAAGACTTTGTCACAAAATTAAATAAATTAATTAATATTATGAATCCTGGATTTATTTATTTATTTATTTATTTATTTATTTATTTATTTATTTATTTATTTTTGAGCCAGAGTTTTGCTGTTGTCGCCCAGGCTGGAGTACAATGGGCAATCTCGGCTCACTCCTGACCTCAGGTGATCCACCCACTTCAGCCTCCCAAAGTGGTAGGATTACAGGCATAAGCCACCACGCCCAGCCTGATTCCTAAACTTAATCCAATAACAGATTTCTTCTCAAACATTGGCAGTATGCTGTAATCATTTTAAATTCATAACCAGAAAATGAGTTGAACAAAAAATTCAAGACTCTAGGGAAACAAAAATAGTTTGTATATTGCTAGAATTGTCTATTAAGAGTCATGTTTTCATGCCTTTTAATCTTCCCTGAAAATTTCTGTGTACTGCCATGAGTAAAATTTTTAAAAAATGTTCAACATCACCAATCATCAGAGAAATACAAATTAAAAACCACAATGAGATATCATCTTACACACAACAGAATGGCTATTAAAAAGACAAAAAAAATCACAGGATGTTGGTGAGGAAGCTGAGAAAAGGGAACTCTTCTTATACACTGTTGGTGGGAATGTAAATCAGTGCACCTTCTATGGAAAACAGTATGGAGATTTCTCACAGAACTAAAAATAGAACTACCGGAAGATGCAGCAATCCCACTACTGTGCATCTACCCAAAGGAAAAGAAATCATTACATCAAAAAGACACCTGCACTCATATGTTTATCACGGCACTATTCATAAAAGCAAAGATATGAAATCAACCTAAGTGCCCATCAATGGAGCACTAAATAAACAAAATATGGCATATATACAAAATGGAATACTATTCAGCCATAAAAAAGAATGAAATTATGTCTTTTGCAGCAACATGGATAGAACTGGGGGCCATTATCTTAAGTGAAATCACTCAGGCACAGAAAAACAAATATTGCCTGTTCTCCCTTATAAGTTGGTGGTAAATAATGCGTACATATGGAAGCAGAGTGTGGAGTGATGGGCAATGGAGACTTGGAGGGTTGGGGATGTAGAGGGAAGGGGATGGACTACAGGAGGTTGCTTGCTGGGTACAATGTGTCTTGTGCCAGTGATGGATGCACTGAAGGCCCTGACTTCACCCCAATACAATATATCAATGTAGCAAAACTGCACTTGTACCCCCATGAATATATGCCAAAACAAAATCATAACTGGCTGGGGCACAGGGGGCTCATGCCTGTAATCCCAGCACTTTGAGAGGCCCAGGTGGCTGGATTCTGTGAGCTGAGGAGTTCAAGACCAGTGTGGGCAACATGGCAAAACCCCATGTCTTCAAAAAATACAAAAATTAGCCAGGCATGGTGGCACACACTTCTGGTTTCAGCTACTTGGGAGGCTGAGGTGGAAGGATTGCTTGAGCCCAGAGAGGCAGAGGTTGCAGTGAACTGGGATTGCGCCACTGCACTCCAGCCTGGATGAAAGAGCAAGACATGTCTCAATACTTAAATAAATAAAAAATATATAGAGAGAGTATACTGCTATACGACAGAAAAACACAACTCAAACTTTTTTATTGGTCACTTTTATCTTGCTACAAAATGTACTACTAGAAGCTTAAAAAGAGCATGGCTTTTGAATTTTAATAAATTTTAGTGAACTTTAGTTAGATTGAAGTTATACAGATAAATGGGTTGATGGAATAAAGATCTATATACTCATTAGGCGTCCATCAGTTAAACTGTTTACTATTAAATTAATTTGTTGGTTGGGCATGGTGGCTCACCACACCATTTAATTGCAGAGTTTTGGGAGGCCAAGGCAGGAGAGAGGAATGCTTGAGGTGGGGAGTTCTGGGAAACACAGCAAGACCCTGTCTCTACAAAAAATAAAGAAATAAAAAAATTAGCCAGGCATGGTAGCATGAGCCTGTACTCCCAGCTACTTGGGAGACTGACGTGGGAAGATCACTTGAGCCCAGGAGGTCGAGGATGCAGTGATCTGTGATCTCACCACCGCACTCCAGCCTCGGTGACAGAGTGAGACCACCCCATGTCCATAATAATAATAATAAAGTTAATTTTGGTCCCCACCACTCTCACTTTTCTGCCCCCTCCCCTGAGTAGACTGGCTGATGATCTAAAAGGTGAAAATTACCTATGTGATGTATGTGAACCTTTTTTTTTTCCAGTGGGGTGGGGGGGCATGATAGGGTCTCGCTCTGTTACCCAGGCTGGAGTGCAGTGGCACAATAGCGGATCACTGCAGCTTCAACCTCCTAGGACTCAAGCCATCCCACCTCAGCCTCCCAAGCAACTGGGACTACAGGCGCACGCCACCAAGCCCGGCTAATTTTTTTTGTATTTTTGGTAGAAATGGGGCTTCACGATGTTGCCCAGGCTGGTCTTCAACTCCTGGGCTCAAGCAATCGTCCCACCTAGGTCATTTTATTCAATAAATATTCAAATGAGCAATTCCCAAGCATTAAGTTAAACACTAAAGACAATGTCCAGAAAGGTGAATTTTTGGCCAGGACAGAACTACTGTATTTAATAAAGTGGATAGGCTGGAGTCCTCCGACCTTAATTGTATCACTAAGCCTTAATGGCAACGTGCTACCTTGATTAAGTCTATCACTTGTATCTACAGAAGAAACGAAATGTAGTGAATTGAATTTCCACAGAATAAACAAACAAAAAAACTGTCTGTGTGTGTCTCCATTCATCAAGGAGGATAGAAGCTGAGAAGATACCACACTCGTCAGCTTGGGATGTCACAGAACATGTCAAAGAGACAGCGAGGAGTAGCAGCTACAAGAGGGTGAATGGAAATCACAGGTCCAGGCTACCCGTTAGGCTATGATTTAATGAGTCCTAAAGCTCTTTTAAGATTCTGTATCCTACGCCAGGCGCGGTGGCTCACGCATGAAATCCCAGCACTTCGGGAGGCAGAGGCAGGCGGATCACTTGAGCCCAGGAATTTGAGACCAGCCTGGCCAACATGGTGAAACCCGTCTTTACTAAAAATACAAAAAAATTAGCCGGGCATGTGGCACATGCCTGTAATCTCGGCTACTCTAGAAAGCTGAGGCAAGAGAATCGCTTGAACCCGCGAGGCAGAGGTTGTGGTGAACCAAGATCGCGCCACTGCACTCCAGCCTGGGCGACAGAGCGAGACTGTCTCAAAAAAAAAAAAAAAAATCCTGCATCCTGCAACTAATTTCAAGATTCATAGTGGGCCGCGCGCATAATCATAGAGATTACGTCTGTAATCTCAACACTTTGGGAGGCCGAGGCGGGAGGATAACTTGAGGTCAGGAATTCGAGACCAGCCTGGCCAATATGGCGAAACCCCGTCTCTACTAAAAATACAAAAATTAGTTGGGCGTGGTGGCGCATGCCTATAATCCCAGCTACTCGGAAGGCTGAAGCAGGAAAATCTCCTGAACACGGGAGGAGGAGGTTGCAGTGAGCCGAGATCGCGCCACTGCAGTCCAGCCTGGGCGAGACAGCGAGACTCCGTCTCAAAAAAAAGAGAAAAAAAGAAAAAAGGAAAAAAAAGATTCATAGTGGATTACCATTCCCAAATTCAGAGGGAGTAAAGAAAGTTCTATAACACTGTAGTAAAGCTAAATTTCATCCTCTAAATAAAATTCTGCAACAGGTAACTGTACAAGGGCATCTTTTATTGTACATGAAGTGTCAAGTTATTCAAAGCAGCGGGCTAAAGTCCTTTCTGAAATGTGGCTTGGTGTGCATTTTCGAAGTTACTTAAACTTGGCGGACGAAAGGACAGGAGTAAAGAGGCCCCAAACGCGAGCCGCGGGACGCGCAGGAGCGGGACCCCACGGCGCACGGAGCCCTCGGTCACAACAACGCACGGGACAGAGGCGACCCTGGGCGGCCAGAGCGGGGCAGGCCGGCCGCAGGCCCACGGAACGGGGTTGCAGGGAGGCGAGCAAAGCCACCGCTAAGGGGTCAGCAGAGACTTCAGACCCTAATTGCTCTCCTCAGGGCGCCCGAGGAGGCAAGCTGGGGCAGGGATCCCTTTAGCCACCCAGACCGAATCTCGGAGGGTACCTGACTGCGGGCGGCCAGTCCACAGCCCCCTCCCGCCGCCCCGGCCGGAGAAGAGGCAGGTTCTGCGCAGAGCTGCCACCCTCGCCAGCGTCGCCAGCATCGCGTGCGTCTCAGATGGCATCGGTCCCGGTGCAAGCGGCGAACTCCGTGCGGCGCCACCCGCCGCCACTGGGGGGCGCCCACGGACGCCGCAGACCCCGCCCCCGCCGGGCGGGGCTGAGCACTAGTCGCCTGCTGGGCCAGCTTCTAGTCTGTCGGTCAGACCAAGGGCACTCAGACTGGAAAGGTTGTTGCTGGGCTTGGGTGTCCGTCCTTTCCTGTCTCCTTTTCTTCCTCTTTTCACTTAAATCCACTGAGTCTCTCGCCAAGTCAGTGATTTAGGTAATCCCGCCGCCCCTGGCGGAACCTTTGTGACGCCGGAACTGATGTGCCGTAGGGTGGCTGCGGTCGGAGGACTGTTTTGGTAAAGGACTAGCAGTTCTCTGCGGAGGGCCGGTTGATACAGTTCCGGTGGGAGAACGCGGCTGCGAGGTTTTCGGCTTTGGCTCCTGATATGCAGCGACAGAATTTTCGGCCCCCAACTCCTCCTTACCCTGGTCCGGGTGGAGGAGGTTGGGGTAGCGGAAGCAGCTTCCGGGGAACCCCGGGCGGGGGCGGACCACGGCCGCCCTCCCCTCGAGACGGGTACGGGAGTCCGCACCACACGCCGCCGTACGGGCCCCGGTCTAGGCCGTACGGGAGCAGTCACTCTCCGCGACACGGCGGCAGCTTCCCGGGGGGCCGGTTCGGGTCTCCGTCCCCTGGCGGCTACCCTGGCTCCTACTCCAGGTCCCCCGCGGGGTCCCAGCAGCAATTCGGCTACTCCCCAGGGCAGCAGCAGACCCACCCCCAGGTAATAATAATAGCCAGCGTTTGCCGAGCTCTTACTTTATGGCAGGCACGGTACTAATATTCCCTTTACGTGGATTATTTTGTCTAATCCTCTCTGAGGTACTATTGTTAGCCCAATTTTGCAGATGAGCGAACTGAGGCTTAGAGAAGTTGAGTGACTTCCGGAAGATTATCCGAAAGAGTGGCAGAGCCGTACGTTCTGTTTTCGAGCCCTCGTGCTTTTAACCAATACACTGCCACCCGTACACAGATTTTCCTAATTCTCCATTTCCTCCTGTTTGCCAAAGGCCTTGCCAGTTTGTTTCAAGAAATAGTTCTTTTTCTTTTTTTTTTTTTTTTTTTTATCTTTCTTTCGAGCTACACTGGCTTCTGCTCCAACTTCCCTGAAAAGAAAATCGGTGGTAGTGGAAGTTTTCCATTCCTTTAGTGAGAGTAAATACAAAAGACAGAGAGAGTATCTCTAGCATGTCTGGGATTTCTGTGGTTTACAACTTGCAACTACGTGGTTTTCCAACTTGCTGTATTCTACACCAACCCCCTACCCCTTTTGAGCCTGGAGCTAAGGAGTAAAGAAAATGTTCATGAGCTAGAAAGGTTCTAGAAACTTTAAAACTATAGTATTGTTTTCTCCTGAAAAAAGTGAAAATTTCGAGGGAAAATTGAATATAATTACTTGATTTCATCACTGCTTGTATTTAATTACTGCAAAGTTACTACATTAGACACAAAAGTATTTGAGATGACAGTGGTCATGGAATTATAAATAAATGAGAATAACGAATTGCTTTAAGTACTTTTTTTAAAAAATAGGAACACTTGATTAAAGGAAGCATGGACTTTGTAATTGAACATTATTTAGGTTCAAGTCACAACTTTTAAGCAGCAATGTGATTCCCGCTAACCTTTAGCTAAAGGAAGAAGTACCAATTATCTTTACTAAGTGTTTTTTTAACTGATTTTTTTTCTAAAGGGTTCTCCAAGGACATCTACACCATTTGGATCAGGGCGTGTTAGAGAAAAAAGAATGTCTAATGAGTTGGAAAATTATTTCAAGCCTTCAATGCTTGAAGATCCTTGGGCTGGCCTAGAACCAGTATCTGTAGTGGATATAAGCCAACAATACAGCAATACTCAAACATTCACAGGCAAAAAAGGAAGATACTTTTGTTAACATTTCTGAAATTCAACTGGAAGCTTCATGTGTCAGGAACATCTTGGACAAAACTTTAAGTTGTGTTGATATAAATTTACCCAAAGATGATGACTTTGATTGGATAATTAGTAAGGTCTTTTTGTTATTTTTCATCGTATCAGGTATTGTTGATATTAGAGAAAAAAGTAGGATAACTTGCAACATTTAGCTCTGGAAGTACCTACCACATTTTAGAGATTTACCGTTTCCATATATTTAACATTCCTGGTTACATAATGGACATTTGTCTTTTAATGTTTTTTCAATGTTTTAAAATAAAACATTTTGTCTTCTAGCTATTGTGGTTTTGTGGTATGATAAAGAAGTAGACTTACTACAGTAATGCTTTGTAGTCACTTAGAGTTCATAGGTAAATGTTTTGCAAATTATTTTTGAAAATGAAATAGGTAAACCATCCTTTGAGCTGTAGACAGCTCTGTATTTGTTCGTAAATAATGAGGATGAGAATAACAGAGTTCTGTTCATACTCATTTTATCTAATGCTTCTGTTAAAATGCATTAAAACTTGAAGCCCCAGAAACCCATTTAAGCATAACTTTATACTCATTTAACTGGAAAAGGCAAGAATAGACCATGCATTGCTAAATCAAAGTGTTCTATCTGAATTTCTCTATACCTCTTAGCATTATGGAGTTAGTTTCTCTTGAGGCCAAAGAAGATAGCTACCAGCAGCCTCAAATCACTTCCATTGCAAAAAGAACATCTCTCATCTCCATCAATCCAAGAGAAGACAAATTTGCCATACTTAGATCATGTTTCTGTATTATTGAACCAATTAACTGTGGCCAAGGCCACAGTGAGACCTAATTAACTTGAATCATGGACACATCACCATAATGAGACAGGATTCTGTGACCTTGAACACCACTGGGCCTACCTGGAGTAGAGAAGTGGTTTTCCAAATTAAGGGATGCTATGGATATATACCTATAGTTCTGGAGAGAAAAATATGGAAGAATTGTTACCCCAACTATTTTTTAAAAATCAAGTGGTTTTTTGTTTGTTTTTTGAGATGGAGTCTGTTGCCCAAGCTGGAGTGCAGTGGTGCAATCTTGGCTCACTGCAACCTTCGGCTCCTGAGTAGCTGGGACTACAGGCACATGTCACCATGCCTGGCTAATTTTTGTATTTTTAGTAGAGACCATGTTTTGTTTTTTTTGTTTGTTTTGTTTTGTTTTTGAAATAGGGTCTCACTCTGTTGCCCACGCTGGAGTGCAGTGGCGCAATCTTGGCTCACTGCAACGTCCGCCTCCCAGGTTCATACGAGTCTCCCGCCTCGACCTCCTGAGTAGCTGGGAATACAGGCACGCGCCTGGCTCATTTTTGTATTTTGAATAGAGATGGGGTTTCACCGTGTTGGCCAGGCTGGTCTCGATTGAACTCCTGGTCTCAAGTGATCCCCTACCTTGGCTTCCCAAAGTGCTGGGATTTCAGGCATGAGCCACCGTGCCCAGCCCAGAACATGTATTTTTAGTATTTTTAGTATTTTTAGTTTCACCATGTTGACCAGGCTGGTCTCGAACTCATGATCTCAAATGATCCACCCATCTCAGCCTCCCACAGTGCTGAGTTTACAGGCGTGAGCCACCATGCCCGGCCAAAATCAGGTGTTTTAACATGTAACACAGACTCTAGGCATTTTGAAGTTACAAAATACGAAGATAGAGCTAGTAAAACTTTTGTTTCAACATTCCCAGAAAGAAACGTGTAAAAACAAAATGGTCACACCTCCTATTTGAACCATACCCACAGAAATTTGTTCATTAGGTATTTCACAGAGACTAGAAAATAAGAATGGAAGGCTTTTAGATTAATAAAAGCTCCATGAAAGCCAGGATTTTGGAAATGCTGTTTCTACAAGTTACTAGCTGGATGAGTTCACTTCTCTATGCCTCAATTTTCTCATGTGTAAGATGAGAAAATTAATAGTACCTGTGTCATAGAGGTGTTGTGTTGGAGGATTAAATGAATTTATGTATGAAACTCTTAAGCCAGAGCCTGGCACATAGTAAGCACTCAATAAGTGGTAGCTGTTACTTTCTCATTTACCCCCATTTCCTTAGTTTTTAGAATAGTGTCTGCAAGATAGTAGGTACTTAAGTGATAAATGGATGTAGAAATTCTGATTGTAACTACTATATTGTTCTACCTACACCCTGTATATAAAAGGGATAACTTAGTAATTTTTCCCCAGTATTTTAAAGAAAAAGTCCTTATTCCCAACATTATGTCTTTCCAGATATGTTGAGGTCATGATGTATAATGGAAATTAAAGCAAAGGGAATACTTTTTTAAATACTTTATTGAACTTTATAGGTAAGAAATGTTGTCTTTAGGAAATGACATTTGGAGATAATTTACTGAAGCATCTCTTAGATCATTGGGTTATTAGTAAAGACGAAAACAGAAGTTAGGATTTTGTGCCAGTGTATTTATATCATATTTGGAAGACATTCAAACTGTAACTCTTCTAATGGTCTACGTACATTTTATTTCACTGTAAGTGTAACATAAAACAAAGGTAAAATTTCTTGCTAACGCTTACCAACATCTACTTCTAGAGACCTGGCCTGAGTTTTTTAAGAAAAATTTTTGTCCTCAGGAAAGATGCATACACTGTAAGTAGTGTATTCAGTTATCAAAATTCTTGTGGCATTGGCCATTTGGTTTGTTACCGTTACTCTATTTTTATTTATCTGAGTAAAAGGAATTGATTATTCTTTAAAATGAAAGGGATTGTTTTTTAATGTTCTAGGATACACATTTTACCTCTATAAAAATGCTGAATAACTTTTTAGAAAAACTTACAATTAAGTATACATCTTAAAAATTCATATGCTTAAAGGATGGAAGTGTAGTCTATAGTAGAGTCTTCAAACAAGGGTCTACATACTCCTGGGAATATTAAACTTTCTAAGGGATATGCAGGCATAAATAGCTTTAAGGGAATGCAAATTCAGATCGCAGTGCCCATGTAAATCCTTTATTAAAATTGACCTACATAAAAACATATCCATATCAAGGGATCATGCCAGTTCTTTTTCCCTGCTGCCTTTTGGTAATCACTGGTCTCCCATTTTACAAAAGAAACCTATGGCAAGTTGTGTTTTGCAGAAATGACCCCAACAATATTTAAAGTCTCATACCCTTCTCGAACCTTGCCACTACCCTTATCAAGATGTGGAGTTACGTCCCTTCCCTTTGAACATTAACAGACTTTTTTTTTTTTTCAAAGAGTTAGAGGGTCTCCTTATAGGGGCCTCCCTGTATTACCCAGGCTGGTCTCTAACTCTTAGGCTTAAGGGGTCCTCCAGCCTCGGCCTCCCAAAGTGCTGGAATTACAGGTGTGAGCCACCACGCTTGGCCCCTTAGCCAACTTCTGACTGCCATAATTAAGAGAATATGATGGAAGTTAATCTATTTTCATTGTGGGTAAAGTGTGGTGTTAAAAATGAGTTATAGGCCAGGCACTATGGCTCACACCTGTAATCCCAGCACTTTGGGAGCCCAGGTGGGCAGATCACTTGAGGTTCGGAGTTTGAGACCAGCCTGGCCAATATGGTAAAGCCTCGTCTCCACTAAAAACACAAAAATAAGCTGGGCATGGTGGCGCGCGCCTGTAATACCAGCTACTGGGGAGGCTGAGGCAGAAGAATCACTTGAACCCAGGAGGCAGAGGTTGCAGTGAGCCGAGATAGTGCCACTGCACTCCAGCCTGGGTGACAGAGTGATACTCCATCTCAAAAAAAAAAAAAAATAAGTTATATTGGCCCGTGTGGAGATGTTCAGAATTCAGATGTATTATCAAGTTGGGAAATAATGATGAAAGTGTTCAGTGACCTTGCCTTTTTGTTTCTGGACTATTCAAAAAATCATTTCCTTTGTGGGTACATTGTGTGAAAGGAAAGCAAAGAGCATGAGTTTAACATGAAGGAAAAGATACCTTATTTTTAGGCAAAAAGCAAATGGTGAGGCTCTTTGCCTCATCTACCTAAGAATTAAAATATTCAAGATTAGTAAAAAAGCATGATTAGTTTTGGTGAATCTCCTGTGAAGCAAACTCTGTATTTCCACCATTCTTTTTTTTTTTTTTTTTTTTTTGAGACGAAGTCTTGTTCTGTCACCCATGCTGGAGTGCAGTGGCACGATCTCAGCTCACTACAACCTCTGCCTCCCAAGTTCAAGCAATTCTCCTGCCTCAGCCTCCCGAGTAGTTGGGACTACAGGCATGTGCCACCACACCCAGCTAATTTTTTGTATTTTTAGTAGAGGCAGGGTTTCACCCTGTTAGCCAGGATGGTCTCAATCTCCTGACCTCATGATCTGCCCAGCCTCAGCCTCCCAAAGTGCTGGGATTACAGGCGTGAGCCACCGCGCCCGGCCCTCCACCATTCTTGATAATTATAAAGAGCCTGATGAAGATATCTCAATTCCTGTCTCAGTAGCATAGTTTGCATGATATCAAGGAGGAGGAAGTTAAAAGTTTCATGTTTACTTCTGACATACTAACATTACATCTTCAAGTTAAAAACATTTTAGAAGTAAGTTCATGAATTTATATTTTCTGAAACATTTTCAGATTCTTAAGAGAAACATTTTCATTAACCCTTGCCAGTACATTTATTATTAGGTTCTATAAATTCCATATTAATTGTTTTACATAGGCCAAAGTCTCCTGCTATTGTCACTCAACCATTTCTCTGTATCATTCATTCCTACCATATACTTAGGTTTAAGTTAACAGAAATATGTTGTAGTTTTTACTGTAAATAAGACACATAATCGCCTGGTTGGAAGGTAGTGAGTTATCTTAATTGATTGTTCAGTCAGTTACAGATCGAACTCTTTGTTCTCGTCTTCCCCCCGCTTCTCACTGCTGCACTTGACTAGTCTGAAAAAAAAAAATACATAGTAGTCATCAGTACACCTGATATAAGCCCTGAACTTCCTAATGACCTCTTTTTTTGTGTGTGTGTGACAGAGTCTTACTGTGTTGCCCAGGCTGGAGTGCAGTGGTGTGATCTCGGCTCACTGCAACCTCCGCCTCCTGGGTTCAAGCAGTTCTCCTGCCTTAGCCTCCTGAGTAGATGGGATTACAGGTGCAAGCCACCATGCCTGGCTAATTTTTATATTTTTAGTAGAGATGGAGTTTCGCCATGTTGGCCAGGCTGGTTTTGAACAGCTGACCTCAGGTGATCCACCCACCTCAGCCTCCCAAAGTGCTGGGCTTACATGGGTGAGGCAGTGCACCCAGCCTGAATTACCTCTTTTATTTTGCTCATAATTTCCATAATTTATCATCTAATTTAAGATGCTTTGAGATTCACTATTATTTTATATGCCACTTAGTAAAAATACTGCCAGTTAAGCTGTGACATGTCATTGATTATAAGATACATCTTAATTTCAGAGATGTTAAATACATGTCTTAGTTTGATAAAATACCATACAATACTTTTCTTTTTTTTGAGACCGATCCTGCTATGTTGCCCAGGCTGGTCTCCAACTCCTGCCTCAGCCTCCCAAGTAGCTGGGATTACAGGTGTGTGACACTACACCCAGCTCACATACAATACTGTTTTTTGTTTGTTTGTTTGTTTTTTGAGACAGAGTCTTGCCCTGTCGCCCAGGCTGCAGTGCAGTGGCGTGATCTCGCCTCACTGCAACCTCCACCTCCCGGGTTCAAGCAATTCTTCTGCCTCAGCCTCCCAAGTAACTGGGACAACAGGCACGCACCACCACACCCTGCTAATTTTTTATATTTGGTAGAGATGGGGTTTCACCATATTGGCAAGGCTGGTCTCGAACTCCTGACCTCGTGATCTGCCCACCTCGGCCTCCCAAAGTGCTGAGATTACAGGCCTAAGCCACCGTTCCTGGCCTATAGTACTCTTAAAAGCAGAACATATACTTAGATATAAGTAGGTATATAGAAGTAAATGTCTCCAAAAGGTAGTGTAGGACAATACATTTGAAAATTGGCTTTAACCCATCCTGGCTAACACAGTGAAACCCCGTCTCTACTAAAAATAAAAAAAAAAAAATAGCCAGGCATGGTGGCGGGCGCCTGTAGTCCCAGCTAGTCGGGAGGCTGAGGCAGGAGAATGGCATGAACCCGGGAGGCAGAGGTTGCAGTGAGTTAAGATGGCGCCACTGCACTCCAGCCTGGGCGACAGAGCGAGACTCTGTCTCAAAATAAAAAAAAAAAAAAGAAAATCGGCTTTATTTAATTAGGGTTAACTCTTCTCAGATACTTGTATTTGTTCAAATTCATTAAAAACCATAATTGAGGCTGGGCGCGGTGGCTCACGCCTGTAATCCCAGCACTTTGGGAGGCCGAGGCGGGCAGATCATGAGGTCAGGAGTTCGAGACCAGCCTGCCCAACATGGTGAAACCCCGTCTCTACTAAAAATACAAAAATTAGACATGGTGGCATGTGCCTGTATCCCAGCTACTTGGGAGGCTGAGGCAGGAGAATTGCTTGAGCCCAGGAAGTGAAGGTTGCAGTGAGCCAAGATCTCACCACTGCACTCCAGCCTGGGCAACACAGGGAGATCCTGTCTCAAAAAAGAAAAAAATTTTTACAGTTGAAAGATTGCCAACAATCTAAATGACCATAGGAGAAAGGATAAATAAGTTGCATATTTGCACAGTATAACAAGATAGTTGATTAAATTAGAGCCATTTGATACAACATGAATAAATCTAAAATTGTGTACAAACAAAAGCCAAAGCAAAACTTATGTGATATTCTTTACGTCAAATTTAAAAGTCTGCAAAACAATATGCTGTACTCTCTATAAATGGTAAATATAAGGTCATAGTGTAAATACAAATGAAGGTAACATGCTTTAGATATAGTAATTATTTTGGGGTGGGTTCAGGGAGATACAAGCTTCAGATGGACATGGATGTGTGAGTGGATATGTATTTCAAGTCAACCAAATTTGGAAAATGTTAAAATTTATTAAACCTCACCATGGAATACACGTATATTTACTTTCTCTTCTTTGAAATATTTTATAATAAAAAATCTACTCTGACCTCCTAACTCATACTGTGATGGCAGCATCACCCTAATACCAAAGTCAGACAAAAACATTACAAGAAAGGAAAAATACTTACGAATATCTCATGACCATAGATGCAAAAGTTTTCAATAAAGTGTTACCAAATAGAATCCAGCAATAAATAAAAAGAATTATATTGGCCAGGTACAGTGGCTCACAGCTATAATCCCAGCACTTTGGGAAGCCAAGGTAGGAGAATCAGTTGAGCCCAGGAGATGGAGACCAGCCTGGGCAACAAGGTGAGACCTTGTCTCTACCAAAAAAATCGAAAAATTAACTAGGCATGGTGGTCCACGCCTGTGGTCCCAGCTGGATAGGACCACATGGGAGGCTGAGGCAGAAGGATAGCTTGAGCCCAGGAGGTCAAGGCTGCAATGAGCAGTGTTCACGCCACTGCACTCCACCCTGGGGACAGAGCAAGGCTCTGTCTCAAAAATAAAGTAAGATAAAAATAATTATATACCATGACCAAGTGGTATTTATTCTAGATATTTAAGGCTTAGCATCCAAAAATCAAAGTAATCCATCACATCAATAGACGAAAAAAGAAAAATCTCATTATCGTATGAATAGATGATGAAAAAGCTTTTTTTTATTTTTATGTTTTATTTTTTTTTATTTTTATTTTTTGAGATGGAGTCTTGCTCTGTCGCCCAGGCTGGAGTGCAGTGGCACGGTCTTGACTCACTGCAAGCTCCACCTCCCGGGTTCACGCCATTCTCCTGCCTCAGCCTCCCTAGTAGCTGGGACTACAGGCGCCTGCCACCACACCCGGCTAATTTTTTTGTATTTTTAGTAGAGAGGGGGTTTCACTGTGTTAGCCAGGATGGTCTCGATCTCCTGACCTCGTGATCCGCCCGCCTCAGCCTCCCAAAGCCCTGGGATTACAGGCGTGAGCCACCGCGCCTGGCCAAAAAAAGCTTTTTTTAAAGAAAATTTGAGACAAAGTCTCACTCTGTTGCCCAGGCTGGAGTGCAGTGACATGATTTTGGCTCACTGCAATCTCCACCTCCAGGGCTCAAGGCAATCCTCCCACCTCAGCCTCCAGAGCAACTGAGACTATAGTTGCACATCACCACGCCTGGGCAATTTTAGTATTTTTTATAGAGATGGGGCTTGGCCATGTCACCCAGGTTTGTCTTGAACTCCTGGACTCAAGTGATCCTCCCACTTCAGCTTCCCAAAGTGCTGATGTTATGGGTGTGAGCCATGATGCCTAGCCACAAAAAAGCACTTGACAAAATTCAATACCCATTCATGACAAAAACTCTCAGCAAGCTAGGAACAGGAGGGAACTTTCTCAACTTGATTTTTTTTTTTAATTTACAAAATTCTACAACTAACATCATACTTAATGGTAAGAAATTAGATTCTTCCCACTAAGATCAGGAAAAAGGTCAGGATGTCCTCTCACCACTCCTATCAATATTGTACTGAGATGCTCGCTATAAGACAAGGAAATAAAGAGTATAGAAATTGGGAAGGAAGAAGTAAAACTGTTCCTCAAAAATGACATGATTATGCAGAAAATCAGAGAATTGAAAACGGAAAAACTTCTGGAACTAATAAGTGATTACAGCAAGGTTGCAGGATACAAGGCTAATACACAAAAATAAATTGCTTTCCTACATACCAGTAATAAACAATTGGAATTTGAAATTAACCTAATCCCATTTACCTTGGCACCAAAAAATAAGAAATGCTTAAGGATAAATCTAAGAAAATATGTATAAGACTTATATAAGGAAAACTACAGAACTGGTGAAAGAAAGAAAATCTTAAGAAATTTAATGTATTCCATGCACATGGGTAGGAAGATTCAATATTGTCAAGATGTCAATTCTTCTCAACTGGATTTGTAGACTCAACTCAGTCCCAGTCAAAATCCCAGCAAGTTATTTTGTGGGTATAGACAAATTGATTCTAAAGTTTAATTGTAAAGGTAAAGGACTCAGAATAGGCAACACAGTATTGATTGAGTACAGAGTTGGGGGACCGACACTACCAGACTTCAATATTTATTGTAAAGCTACAGTAACCAAGACAATGTGGTATTGGCAAAAGAACAGACAACTAGATTGATGGAACAAAATAAAGAGACCAGAAATAGACCCACGCAAACACACTTGTGTGACTCACACAAATACAAATTGATCTTAGTCAAAGATCAATTGATTTTTGATCAAGGAGCAAAGGCAATTCAATGGAGAAAGGACAGTCTTTTCAACAAATACTGCTGGAACTACTGGACATCCATATGCAAAAAGTGAATCAAGACACATCTAACACCTTTCACAGAAACCATCAAATGGATCATAGACCTAAATGTAAAACACAGAGCTATAAAAGAAGACAGCAGGAAAAAACCTGTGTGAAGTTGGGTTTGGCTATGACTTTGTTAATTTTTTTTTTTTTTTTTTGTATAAATTTAAGGGCCACAGGAGCAATTTTATTACATGGATATGTTACGTAGTGGTGAAGTCTAGGCTTTTAGCATAAGCATCACCTGAATAATGTACATCGATCGTATCCACTAAGTAATTTCGTATTCTTCAGCACCCTCCCACCCTTCCTACTCTCCAGTGTCTATTATTCCACACTCTATGTCCACGTGTTGCCATTATTTAGCTTCTACTTACAAGTCAGAGCTTGTAGACCAAGTGCGGTGGCTCACACCTGTTAATTCCAGCACTTTGGGAGGTCAAGGTGGGCAGATTGCTTGAGCCCAGAAGCTCAAGACCAACCTGGGCAACAAAGTGAGACCTCATCTCTACCAAAAATACAAAAATTAGCCAGGTGTTGTGGTGCACGCGTTGGTCCCAGCTACTTGGGAGACTGAGGCAGGAAGATTGTTTGAGCCTGGGAGGTTGAAGCTGCAGTAAGCCATGATCAAGCCACTGTACTCCTACTTGGGTGACAGAGTGAGACTCTGTCTCACAAAAATAAAATTAAAACCCAATGTAAAAATGTAGTGTCACCAGATTTTTCAGTTTTTCAAAAGACTCCCCAAAACTTGGGCTTTTTTACTCAAAATCTCCCAATTTGAAACTAATTTTTTGTTACTGTTTAAACAATGTACGTCAAAACCACATATCAGCTGAATCCCAACCCCAGGTCACCAGTTTATGACCTTTGTTATAAATGATTAACAGAATTGTGCACACATTGTTTTTTATTTTTTGTTTTTTTTAATTTTATTTTGAGACAGAGTTTCACTCTTGTTGTCCAGTCTGGAGTGCAATGGCGTGATCTCGGCTCACTGCAACCTCTGCTTCTTGGGGTTCCAGCGATTCTCCTGCCTCAGCCTCCGGAGTAGCTGGGATTACAGGCACGGGCCACCATGCCCAGCTAATTTTTTTTTTTTTTGTATTTTTAGTACAGACAGGGTTTCACCATGTTGGCCAGGGTGATCTCAATCTCCTGACCTCGTGATCCACCCGCCTTGGCCTCCCAAAGTGCTGAGATTACAGGCGTGAGCTACCGCACCCGGCCATTTTATTTTATTTTTTTAATAAACTTGTGGAACCAGTATCTTTCTGGGGTGGAAAAGTTATTATTCTATATATTTTTTGAGATGGTCTTGCTCTGTCACCCAGGCTGGAGTGCAGTGGCACAATCACATAGATCAGTATAGCCTTGACCTCCCCGGTCCAAGAAATCCTCCTACCTCACTCTCCAGAGTAGCTGGGACCACAGTCCTGCACCATCATGCCTGACTAGGTTTTAGTTGGTGGTGGTTTTTAGGTTTTTGCTTTTTTTTTTTTTTTCATAGAGACAGGGTTTCCCTATGTTGTCCAGGCTGGTGTCAAACTCCTGAACTCAATCGATCCATCCGCCTCAGCAAAAGTCACTTTTTAAGTTGGGACCAGGATTTATTAAGTAACTTACCTAAATATTCTCATAATGTGTAGATATAAAGGAATTCTCATTGTTGACTGACATTCTACATATTAGGGCTAGTTTTGTAATTCAACAGTGTCTATTGAGAATGGATGACCATGATGCTTTTTTTCTGAAACATAATTAACATCACTACATGAGCCCATGGAATATGTGAGCAGACTCCATATTATATTATGAATCCTGAATTTAAACCAATAACAGATTACATCTCAGACATTGGCATTATGCTGTAATTTTAAATTCGTAACCAGAAAATGAGTTGGACAACAAATTCAAGACTGTAGGGAAACAAAGTAAAAACAGTTTGTATATTGCTAGAATTGTCTATCAAGAGTCAAGTTTTCATGTCTTTTTTTTTTTTTTTTTTTTGAGACAGAGTCTCACTCTTGTCACCCAGGCTGGAGTGCAGTGGTGCGATCTAGGCTCACTGCAACCTCTGCCTCCAGGGTTCAAGTGATTCTCCTGTCTTAGCCTCCCGAGTAGCTGGGATTACAGGCACCCGCCACCACAGCCGGCTTATTTTTGTACTTTTAGTAGAGACGGGGTTTCTCTATGTTGGCCAGGCTGGTCTCGAACTCTTGACCTCAAGTGATCCGCCCACATTGGCCTCCCAAAGTGCTGGGATTACAGGCATGAGCCACCACAACCTGCTGTTTTCATGCCTTTTAATCTTCCCTGAAAATTTTCTGTATACTGCCATGAGTAAAGTGTTTGTCACTTTCAGCTATATGGCATTAATTCAAAACAAAAACAACTTTAGGGTCTCAGTGTATGACTTGAGTTCATAAAGTTAAGTAACTAATTGAACAAGGCAAATTAAAAGAACTGAGGCTTCAATTGTCTTTTGTTTAATAATCAAACAGTTTTCTCTTTATCACAGACACTCCTTAGCTGCAGTTCAGCTTGATGTTTGCTATTTCTGGTAATATGAATCATATATGCTCCTGTTAAAAAATTCAAATAATTCAGAAATGTGTAGAGCAGAATGTGAAAATCTCTTGTAATCCCAATCCAGTTAACTGATTAGTCTTTCCAAAGTTTGTTTTTTTGTTGTTGTTGTTGTTTGTTTTTTTGAGATGGAGTCTTGCTCTGTCGCCCATGCTGGAGTGCAGTGGTGGGATCTTGGCTCACTGCAACGTCTGCCTCTCGGATCAAACGATCCTCCCGCCTCAGCCTCCCAAGTAGTTGGGATTACCAGTGTGCGCGACCATGCCCAGCTAATTTTTGTATTTTTAGTAGAGACGGGGGTTTCCCCATGTTGCCTAGGCATGTCTCACACTCCCGACATAAAGTGATCCGCCTGCCTCAGCCTCCCAAAGTGCTAGGATTACAGGCATGAGCCACTGCATCCTGCCTCCAAAGATTTTCATATGCACTAACAAATACATTTTTTGATGGTTTCATACTAATTCACGGTTTTGCATTACCTCACTATAGTTAGCGATTTTTGTCTTAGTCTGGATTCTGTCAAGTTGTAAGATTCAGAAAACCCAACTTAAATGGCCTCATGGAACAAACATACTTTATTTTAAAAGTCCAGGGCCTGGCTGGGTAAAGGAGTTTCAGTAATGCTGTCAGTCCTTGGCTGTGCTCTTTTGTTCTGCTCTTTCCTGTCTTGGTCCCGTTTTCCAGCAGCCTCTCACCTCGTGATGACAATAAGATTAACACAACTCTTCTTATCAACCCCCCAGTGGAAAGGAGAGATTCTGGCTTTTTTTTTTTTTTTTTTTTTTCAAGCAGGGTCTTAGTGTGTCGCTCAGGCTAGGGTACAGTAGCACTATCATAGCTCACTGCAGCCTCAACCTGGCAGGCTTCTTAACAGTTTCACAAGAGTCTTGTAATTGCACCTCATTTGTTCTGATTAAATCACATGTCCATCCCTGAATCTGCAACTGTGACCAAGAAGATGTGATGTTGCTCAGCGGGTCAAGTCTAGGTCACTTGCTATCCGTAGAGGCAGAGGTGGAATTAGCGTCCCTCTAAATCACAAAGATGGAGAATAAGGGAATGCACAGTTTCCCAGTAGAAAATAGAATGTTGTTGAGAAAAAAAATGAATACTCAGTAAGAAAAGACATTCTTTTTTTTTTCTTTTTTGAGACGGAGTCTTGCTCTGTCACCAGGCTGGAGTGCAGTGACGTGATCTTGGCTCACTGCAGCCTCTGCCTCCCAGGTTGAAGCGATTCTCCTGCCTCAGCCCCCCTTGTAGCTGAGACTACAGGCGCACGTCACCATGCCCAGCTAATTTTTGCATTTTTAGTAGAGACGGGGTTTCACCATGTTGGCCAGGATGGTCTCGATCTCTTGACCTCATGATCCGCCTGCCTCGGTCTCCCAAAGTGCTGGGATTACAGGCATGAGCCACCACGCCTGGCCAGAAAAGACATTCTATGTCCTGGCAGCCCAGTTTCCATACACAAACCTTTTGCTATAATACACTATTTTGGTTTTTGTTTTTGTAGTTTTCTTTTTTTCTTCTTATTTTGAAAACAGGGTCTTGCTCTCACCCAGCCTGGAGTGCAGTGGCACCATCATGGCTCACTGCAGCCTTGACCTCCTGGGCTCAAGTGATCCTTCCATCTCAGCCTCCTGAGTAGCTGGGTCTATAGGCATGCACCACCATGCCTGGCTAATTTTTTTGCTGTATTATTTTTTGTAGAGACAGTATCTCACTATGTTGCTCAGACTGGTCTCGAACTGGGTTCAAGCCATCCTCCTGCCTTGGCCTCCCAGTGTGCTGGGATTACAGGCATGAGCCACCAGGCCCAGCCTTGTAGTTTTGTTTTGTTTTTATATTATATGTTGACTGTTAAATTTATAGAAAAGTTGCAAAGATAGTACAGAGTTCCCATATAGCCTTCACACAACTTTCCCTGATGCTAACATCTTACACAACCATAGAACATGTGTTAAAACTAAGAATACTAAACAAATTACAGACTTCATTTGTCTTTCATTGCTTTTTCCAATAATTATCTTTTTCTGTTCCAAGATCCAATCCAGGATTCCACACTGCATTTAGCATCTATATACTTTCTTAAAAATGGTCACACCCCAGCTAATGTAACTGTCTAACCTACATGACAAAACACACCTCCTCAGGGAGATAGCTGAACGTCTCATTATTCATTCCGATTGAGGGTCAGAAACCCATGGATGATTTGTGTTTCTTTTCAGGTCTAGATATAATACAACCTCTCATGGCAAATGATTGCCAAATTACACTTAACTGACTCCAGCTCAGTCAACATGCAATGGTAGAAAGAAAACATGGTGGCCGGGCACAGTGGCTCACGCCTGTAATCCCAGCACTTTTGGGAAGCTGAGGCAGGAGAATCACGAGGTTAGGAGTTCAAGACCAGTTTGGCCAACATGGTGAAACCCCGTCTCTACTAAAAATACAAAAATTAGCCGGGTGTGGTGGCGTGCTCCTGTAGTCCCAGCTACTCAGGAGGCTGAGGCAGGAGAATTGCTTGAACCCAGGAGGCAGAGGTTGCAGTGAGCTGAGATTGCGCCACTGTACTCCAGCCTGGGCAACAGAGCGAGACTCTATCTCGAAACAAAAAAACAAAAAACAAAACCATGGTAACCACAATTGGAAAAAAAGAAAAGACAAAGAAAGAAACTTCCCTTAGGAAAGGAAACGAAAACATACAGTGGTCACTGGTTGCAATCATACACGTATAACATCCCCTAATTGAAAGAAATAGCAAAAACTCGCAATCTTGGCAGCAAAGTGAACTTCTTTTTTTCTTTTTCTTTTTCTTTTTTTTTTTTTTTTGAGCTGGAGTCTTGCTCTGTCACCCAGACTGGAATGCAGTGGTGCGAACTCAGCTCATTGCAGCCTCCACCTCCCGGGTTCAAGTGATTCTCATGCCTCAGCCTCCCGAGTAGCTGGGATTACAGGCACCCACCATCATGCCAGCTTTTTTTTTTTTTTTGTATTTTTAGTAGAGACGGGGTTTCACCATGTTGGCCAGGCTGGTCTTGAACCCCTGACCTCAGGTGATCCACTCACCTCAGCCTCCCAAAGTGCTGGGATTACAAGCGTGAGCCACCGTGCCCGGCCTTTTTTTTTCTTTTTTTGAGATGGGATTTCACCATGTTGGCCAGGCTGGTCTCAAAATTGGCAGCCTCAAGTGATAGGCCCACCTTGGCCTCCCAAAGTGCTGGAATTACAGGCATGAACCACCACACTCAGCCCATATACAGATTTAATTTGTATTTGTTCATTAAAGACTAAGCTTGTATAGTGTGCCAGGCACAGTACTTGATGCTAGGAGCAGAGAAAATCAAAACAAACAAACAAAACTGTGGCCCTCATGGACCTTATATGGGGGAAAAAATGAGGCAGGAGAGAGTGGTGAGCTGGTGTGTTCTTTGTTTGGCAAGCAGAGATTTTCTAGGAGTCCAGATAGTTTTTCCATAGCAGCAGGACAGAAGTTAGTGAAATGGAAATGGTTGCAAAAGGTAGAACCGATGTAGTAGGAGTTATGGGATTTCTCCTATTTATGGACACGGTCACTTTCATAACAATACGTATACCATGTTATCATCATGGAATGTAAATTCAGGTTAGACAAGAGAATTTCACAAGTATAATAGCATTCTGTAGTATATAAAAGTTTGTGTGCCGGGCACAGTGACTCACGCCTATAATCCCAGCACTTTGGGAGGCCAAGGTAGGCGGATCACCTGAGGTCAGGAATTTGAGACCAGCCAGGCCAACATGGCGAAACCCCATCTCTACTAAAAACACAAAAATTAGCCGGGCATGGTGCTGGGCACCTCTGATCCCAGCTACTGGGGAGGCAGAGGTAGGAGAATCACTTGAACCCGGGAGGTGGAGGTTGCATTGAGCCGAGATCGTGCCACTGCACTCCAGTGGGAGACACACTGAAACTAAAAAACTAAAAAAACAAACCAACAAATTCTGTATACTTTCTGGCCAAACCAGTTTGCTCATAAGTCATTAATCAATTCCATTGTTTACAGTTTTTATGGAGAAAATAAGCAACACACACATTTTAATAGTGTTCATTTATTTTTGCATGAGTTCTTAAAATACATATCTCTTCCTTTCCTTTTTTTTTTTTTTTTTTTTTTTTTTTTTTTTTTTTGGAGACAGTCTCATTCTGTCACCCAGGGTAGAGTGCAGTGGCACAGTCTCGGCTCACCGCAACCTCCAATTTTCGGGCTCAAGCGATTTTCATGCCTCAGCCTCCTGAGTAGCTGGGACTGCAGGTGCCTGCCACTATGCCTCCTGACTAATTTTTTGTATTTTTGGTAGAGACAGGGTTTCACCATGTTGCCCAGGGCAGTCTCAAACTCCTGAGCTCAGGTAATCCGCCTGCCTTGGCCTCCCAAAGTGCTAGGATTTCAGGTGTGAGCCACAGTGCCCAACCAAAATACATATTTCTATTTCAAGATAACATTTAAAAATTATTCTAACAGCAGCAAAAATATAATTCTGCAATTACAAAAGAACTAAACTAGAATCCATCAGTTATTCTCGTGTTTACAATTGTGATTCTTTAATACTACTACTATACAGCTCTATTGTAAGCTTTCGAGGTTGGGTTTAAACACACACACATAGATACTGTCAGTTGTAGGAGGCTTTACAAGTTATATTCCATGCACTTTTTGGACAGAGTTCTGAAAGAGCCAGCCAGTCCACAAGACAGGCAGAAAAAAGTTAAACTAACTGGGCAAATAGGACTCATATAACATTCAAAATGTGAGATTCTGCAGCAAACTGGGAGTACTTCACGGTTGGCCTACTATCTTCTTTAGAACTAATTTCATCTTAACAGTTTAAGAAGGTGGACATTTCAACACTATGAAGTATATTTAGGTGACATGTATCTTTTATGTTAACTCTACTTCCTTTAATGACCTAGTTAGTAAACTATTCACTAGTAATTCAATCACCAGGCAAATCAAGCCTGCAAGAAAGGAAGCCAATATTCAAAATGCCGTGTTACCATCTTAACCCACTCAAATAGTTAATTTTCAGCATTAATATGTAACTTCAATAATGAGATGTCTAACTAAAGCAAGCTCCTCCAACAAGATCAAAACAACATCTCTTCTTCTAAGGCTCAGGTTTTGCTTAGAATTCCCGATACATGGAATAGTCCATACCAACAACAGCCATTGCTCCTACAACAAAGCCTAGGGCTTCCACACGCATGTGGATCAGATGATGGAATATTTTAGTATTTCCCCTGCTCTTCAATTTGTGTAGTCCATATGCAACAATTGCTACAAAACCTGCCATTCCAATGGGGGTGAATGGTGCCTCTTTAGCCTGATCTTCATTGTATGAAGAAAAGGAAACATCTGTGTCTGTCGACATAGTGATTGCTTGAAGAATCTCCCTAGAGCGAGAAAACCTGTTACATGCCAACCGGCTTCTCTCTCCTATTTATTTATCTATCTGTGAAATAAGAACCTCCAGCTAGACTCCAAACCCAGTGGTACACAGGAGAGAAAACAGTCATCACTGGAGAAAGCGACAGGGCAATCAGTGTCCTCAGGGAAGAGCCAGGTTTCAGTCAAAGCAAGAAGGCCAAGGGAACGCTTAGAGAAAAGCTATTCCTTAGAGAAAAGTGTATTCCTTAACACACTTAGTATGGTAATCTAAGGTCAAAATTATTATTATTGTTGCTAGAGACAGAGTCTCACTCAGGCTGGAGTGCAGTGGCACCATTTCAGCTCACTGCAGCCTCCATCTCTCAGGTTCAAGCGATTCTCCTGCCTCAGCCTCCCGAGTAGCTGGGATTACAGGTGCCCACACCACGCCTGGCTAATTTTTGTATTTTTAGTGGAGACGGGGTTTCATCATGTTGGCCAGGCTGGACTTGAACTCCTGACCTCAAGTGATCCATCCACCTCAGCCTCCCAAAGTGCTGGGATTACAGGTGTGAGCCACTGTACCCAGCCAAAATTATTTTCTCTTAGACATTGCAGAATCTTTTTTGCATGCAATGTTAATTGGTGAGGAGGTGGATGCCAGTCTGATTCTTTCTTTTGTAGACAATCTTGTTTTGTTATTTTCTCAATATAAATACATCTAAAGTTCCAATAAAATCTAAAATTCTGAAATTTTACTTTGATGTATTCCAAGTTTGAAACCTTTGTCATGTATCTTGCTTGGTATTCTATAGGCCTCTTAAATTAGAAGACTCATGTCTCCTTTAACTCTGGGAATTTTTCTTCTAGTATTTCTTTATTTCCTCCTCCAAATTCTCTGTGTTTTCTTCTTTTGGAACCCCTGTAGGATGGATAATGGGATATCTAGATCTATTCGTTTCTCAATTTGCCTTTATACTTTTTAAAAAATTTTAGTGGTTCATTTAAGGAGGATGATCCCTAGCATCTCTCAACTTGATAGTTAGGCAAATTTGCTCTTTTTTGAGATGGAGTCTTACTCTGTTGCCCAGGCTGGAGTGCAGTGGTGCAATCATGGCTCACTGCAATCTCTGCCTCCCAGGTTCAAGTGATTCTCCTGCTTCAACCTCCCGAGTAGCTGGGACTACAGGCACACACTGCCACACCTGGCTAATTTTTTATATTTTTAGGAGAAATGGTGTTTCACCATGTTGGCCAGGCTGGTCTTGAACTCCTGACCTCAGGTGATCTGCCCACCTTGGCCTCCCAGAGTGCTGGGATTACAGATGTGAGCCACCACGGCCAGCCTGATTTGATGTTTTAAAAAGCTGGATTATTCCCCCAAGAAAATGGGAGACATAATAGGAGATAAGATAGAGAAAAAGAGACAAACATTATCAGGCTTCTCTCAGAACTATAGAATTATGAATCATTGCTTCCTACCCAAGGCTGTTGTTTCAAATTGCTTCAAGGCCTAATACCATTAAATAGAAGGTCAGATCGATGAATAGGTTACAAAAATGAAGCATGGAATGGAAAATCTCTTATTGTCCCGTCACACTATTTCATCAGAAAAAAATTTGAGGCGGCGGGGGGCAGAGTCTCACTCTGTTGCCCAGGCTGAAGTGCAGTAGCGTGACTATGGTTCACTTCAGCCTCAACTTCCTGGGCTCAAGTGATCCTCCCACCTCAGCCTCACAAGTATCTGGGACTACAGGCATGCTTCACCATGGCTGGCTAATTTTTAAATGCTATTTTTGTAGAGATGGGGGTCTTGCTGTTTTGCCAGGGCTGGTCTCAAACTCCGTGGCTCAAGTGATTCTCCCACCTTGGCTTCCCAAAGTGCTGGGATTGGCCAGGCGTGGGGGCTCACGCCTGTCATCCCAGTGCTTTGGGAGGCCAAGAGGGTAGGATCACATGAGCTCAGGAGTTTGATCAGCCTGGGCAACAAAGAGAAACCCTGTAAAAAAAATTAGCCAGGCTTGGTGCCACACACCTAGGGTCCCATCTACAAGGGAGGCTGAAGCAGAAGGATCACCTGAGTGCAAGAGGTTGAGGCCGCAGCGAGCCATGTTTGTGCCACTGCACTCCAGCTCAGGTGACAAAAAAAAAAAAAAAAAGAAAAGAAAAAGTGTTGGGATTACAGGCGTGAGCCACCACGCCAGGCCTTAGATTTTTGTTTTCTTTTTTGAGACAGGGTCTTGCTCTCTTGCCCAGGCTGGAGTGTAATGATGCAGCCACAGCTCACTGCAGCCTGCAACCCTTGGCCTCAAGAGATCCTTTCACCTCAGCCTCCCAAAGTGCTGGAGTTATAGGCCTGAGTTACCACACCCAGCCTGGTCAGAAATGTTATAGAAGAAAGGCAAAAGAGTGATTCAAATTGTGTCCTTTTAACAGTTAACACAGTTGCAATTATAACACAAATTTGAACTACAAATTCAACAAATTTATCTTCATAGCTTTCACAAACTTTTTTCTCCACTATAGAATTCTCCCTACCACCACCATTTTAAGTGGAGTCTCTGTACGTTGTCTTTTGCTGCATCTGTTACACTGGCATGAAAAAGGACTTCCTGAATTTATTGGCCCTGAGCTTGAAATTTCCCTGGAGTTTTTCACCATGTGGTAGTTTCCACCAATGTTTTTGGTTATTTTCTCTGCTCTCATTTCTCCATCTGTTACAGTGTGGATACGTGTCCCCAGCCCCAAAGTCTCACAGTGAAATGTAATCCCCAGTGTTGGAGGTGGGGTCTGGTGGGAGGCGACTGGATCGTGGCGGTGGATTTCTCATGAATGCTCTAGCACCATTTCCCTTGGTACTGTTCTCATGGTAGTGAGTTCTCATGAGATCTGGTCATTTATATCAGCATGCAAGAAGGACATTAATTTTTGGGTGATGGAATGGTTATAGACTTACTATATGTATTCTCTCAAAATTCATGTTGAAGCCCAGTGTGACTATATTTGGGGTAAAAAAAAAAAAATTAAGGTTAAATGAGGCCATGAAGGTGAGGCCCTGATCCAATGGGATCAGTGCCCTGATAGAAAGAGACACCAGAGAGCTCACTCTTCTTTCTCCTCATGGACTCGGAGGAAAGGCCATGTGAGGACAAAATGAAAAGGCAGCTGTCTGCAAACCAGGAAGAGAGCGCTCACCAGAAATCAAATCATGCCAGACCTTTATCTGGGACTTCTACCTCCGTAACTGTGAGAAGTCAATTTCTGTTGTTTCAGCCACATAGCCTGTGGAAATTTGTAATGGCAGCCTTAGCTTACTAATACACTGATTATGCTCAAATTCCATCCCTGATACTAAGTGGCAGTCCCTGGCTACTAACCTTGGGTAATTTAATGTCTTTTCACCAGTGTCCTCATCTGTAAAATGTACATAGGAATACTATCTACTTCATAGGCATTATGAGGACCAAGTGATGTAATATTTATAAGAGCTAAGAATACTGCCTAATGCACAGTAAATACTAAAGTGTTAGTTAATCATCTACAGCAAATGCGGTAATAATTTTTTTAAAATTTTTCTAGAGACAGGGTCTCACTGTCACCAAGGCTGGAGCATAGTGGTGCAATCACAGCTGACTACAGCCTCCACCTCCTGGGCTCAAGCAATCCTCCGTCCTGAGTAGCTGGGATTACAATCATGCACCACTGCCTCAGCTAATTTTTTAATTTTTTGTAGAGACAGGGTCTGATTGTGTTGCCCAGGCTGGTCTTAAACTCCTGGGTTCAAGTGATTCTCCCGCCTCAGCCTCCCAAACTGCTGGGATTACAGGCATGAGACACCATGCTCAGCCCAGTAATAATTTCATGTGAATGTTTCCTATAGTGCCCTTCGATAAAAAGCTGAGAGCATAACAATAAAATGTTAGTTTAGGTAATTCTACAAACTTCAAGATAATGGTGGATAATGGTGGAAGTACTTAAATGTTATGAAGCCTAGCTTGATTTGAAGATACTGCTTAGAATAACTATAAGAATACATGGACTTGTTCCTAAGTTTAATGAAGTATTATTAGTGATTTTCTATTTTGTTCAAGATCATAACAATTTTTTCTACAAGCTTTGACATTAACCTTCTGTATGTATGTCTAGAATCTATCTCAAATTAATGTTTGAATATGGTGTGATGTATGAGCCAAGCTTCCTTTCTTTCCCCACATGGAACCCAATTGCTCCAGCAAAATGAATTGAAAAGACTATTTCATCTCCATTGAATTGCATAAAGCTGAAAATGATTGTGAGGTCTATTTCTGGACTTGTATTTTGTTCCATTGGTCTATGTCTATTTTTTTTATTTCCTTCCTTCCTTCCTTCCTTCCTTTCTTTCTTTCTTTTTTTTTTTTTTTTTTTTTTTTTGAGACAGAGTCTCGCTCTGTCGACCAGGCTGGAGTACAGTGGCGCTACCTTGGCTCACTGCAACCTCCGCCTCCCGGGTTTAAGCGATTCTCCTGCCTCAGCCTCCCTAGTAGCTGGGATTACAGGTGCCCACCACCACGCCCAGCTAATTTTTGTACTTTTAATAGAGACGGGGTTTCGCCATGTTGGCCAGACTAGTCTTGAACTCGTGACCTCAGGTGATCCACCCATCTCGACCTCCCAAAGTGCTGGGATTACATGCGTGAGCAACCGTGCCCGACCCGCTTTTTTTTTTTTTTTAAATATATGGAGTCTCACTCTGTCATCCAGGCTGGAGTGCAGTGGTGATATCTAGGCTCACTGCAACCTCTGCCTCCTGGGTTCAAGCAATTCTCCTGCCTCAGCCTCCTGGGTAGCTGGGACTACAGGCTCATGCCCCCACACCTGGCTAATTTTTGTATTTTCAGTAGAGACAGGGTTTCACCATGTTGGCCAGGCTGGTCTCAAACTCCTGACCACGATCCACTGCCTCGGCCTCCCAAAGTGCAGGGATTAGAGGCATGAGCCACCGCACCTGGCCCTGGTCTACGTCTATCTTTATGCTAATATCACACTGTCTTAATAGTTGTTGCTTTACATTAAGCATTGAAATCTGGTAGAGTAAGTTCTTCAACTTTGTTCTTCAAGGTTGGCTTGGCTACACTAGTCCCTCTGCATTTTCACATACATTTTAGTCTCAACATGTCAATTTACACACACACACAGACCTGCTAGGATTCTGATTATAATTGCATTGATCTATAAATTAGACCAATATGAGTAGCATTGACTTAATAATATCAAGCCTTGGCCAGGCGCAGTGGCTCACATCTGTAATCCCAGCACTTTGGGAGCCCAAGGCAGGCAGAAAGGTTGAATCCAGGAGTTCAACACCAGCCTGGGCAACATGGCAAAACCCTGTCTCCACAAAAAATATAAAAATTAGCCAGCGTGGTGGCATGCACCTGTCATCCCAGCTACTTGGGAGGCTGAGGCACGAGAATTGCTTCAGCCCAGGAAGGGGTGGTTGCAGTGAGCCGAGATTGCACCATTGCACTACAGCCTGGGAGACAGGAATGAAACTCTGTCTTAAAAGTAACAATAATAATAATATCAAGCCTTCCAACCCATGAACTTTATCTACCTACCTATTTATCTAGTTTTCTGGTTATATAGACAGTCATATGTTTCTTAGTGATGGGGATACAGTCTGACAAATGCATTGTTAGGCAATTTTGTTGTTGTGTGAACATCATAAAATGTACTTACACAAACTTAGATGGTAGAGCCTACTATATTCCTAGGCTATATGGTATATCCTATTGCTGCTAGGCTATAAACCTGTACATGTTACTATGCTGAATATTGCAGGCAGTTGTAATACAATGTTAAGTATTTGTGTATCTAAACCTAGAAAAAGTAATGCTTTGCCTTATGATGTTATGAAGGCAACAATGTCACTAGGCAACTAGCATCCTAATAAAGGTAGCTCATACAGCTAAAGACTAGATTGTTTTCCCCACAAGATAACATTCCTTTATAGCTCTAATGCTGAAAGAGCAGCTTTTTAATGTAACAAATGATCTAGGTACGGAAGTCATAGGTTTCTCTATGAGAAAAACGTTCAACAAAATATAAACCAAACAGCATCCCAGAGGCAATAAAATCTCATTGTACTGAAATGTATACAAATTAAGGCTACCTTGGTATATAAACAACTTAGAATTTATGATGGAACGTTCCCACCAAATTGTTTACATGTAAGAATTCAAGGTCAGGAGTGGTGGCTCACACCTGTAATCCCAGCACTTTGGGAGGCCAAGGCAGGTAGATCACCTGAGGTCAGGAGTTCGAGACCAGCCTGGACAAAATGGTGAAATCTCGTCTCTACTAATAATAAAAAAAATTAGCCAGGCGTGGTGGCACATGCCTGTAATCTCAGCTACTCAGGAGGTTGAGGAGGAGAATCACTTGAATCTTGGAGGCGGAGGTTGCAGTGAGCTGAGATCGCACCATTGCACTCCAGCCTGGGGGTGGGGGGCGACAAGTGAAACTCCATCTCCAAAAAAAAAAAAATTCAAGCAATTTGTTAAAGAATCAGTAGTGGGGCTCAGTTCAAACAAGTGAATATTATTCATCCTTTCGTTCAACTTAGTACACTCAGTTGCTATAAGGAGAGTAACTCTCACCTTACTTCTGGAAATACCACTAGTAATGTTAAGAATCCAAACCAGTCAAAGGGCAAAGTATTACAGCATTTGGCTCATGAATGAAGAAGCCTACAATTATAATTTAGTTTTTCTATAGAACATGATCCAAACATGGGAAGTTTTCTTTGCTTTTGTGGCTCTTAATGCCCTTTTGGTTTTCTAAGCAAGCTGAATACATTTCCTGATCAGTACTGCCGTATTTTTACTAAATCAAGGTTTCAAGATGGCACAATGTTCCCAAGTTATGTTTCAATTAGTACATCTTTCTGATGCCAGGGGGAAAAGAAAAAGACTAATATGTCCTATAAAAAATGGTGACATATTCCTAAAGCTGTGTATTTATGAAGAAAAGATGATTGTCCCACTTTATCCATGTGTAGATCCTGTTTTAGCCACTATGACAGAAGAAAGTCTCAGTGTAGAGGTCTACAATTCCGATAAATGTCACCGCATTTCCCTACACTAAGTTTAGCTACCTCCTGTCCAGAATTATAACCACAGACAGACATTGAGATGTAGCTCTCAGATCTCAAAATGTCTTTATTTTTTAGAAAATGGATTCCAGGAAGATTAAAAAGCAACACCAAAGGGTATAGGTGCAAAAGTGGATGTAGTCATTCAAAGCATTCAAGTAAAATTATGGCAATATAAATATCAGAAAAGCATCCCGTGGGTGATCAAAACAAAACGTATAAGTCATTCCTAACTCAATGAAGCTTTATAGCATTTTCCCAGGCAGGAAAGGGAAAAACAGTTAACATTTGACAGTCCTGAAAGCTTTTTCCTTGGTTAATTACATTAGATGGTTTGTCTTTGAGCCAATTCCTTTTTTTTTTTTCTTTTCAGACAGAGTCTTGCTATGTTGCCCAGGCTGGAGTGCAGTGGCTTGATCTCAGCTCATTGCAACCTCTGCCTCCCGGGCTCAAGCGATTCTCCTGCCTCAGCCTCCTGAGTAGCTGGGATTACAGGTGCCCGCCACCATGTCCAGCTAATTTTTGTATTTTTAGTAGAGACAGGGTTTCACCATGTTGGCCAGGCTGGTCTGGAACTCCTGATCTCGTGATCCTCCCACTTCGGCCTCCCAAAGTGCTGGAATTACAGGTGCGAGCCACTGCGCCCGGCCAAATTCCTTCTTTTTTAAACATGGATAAAAGTATTACAGGCCAAGCGTGGTAGCTCACATCTGTTATCCCAACACTTTGGGAGGCCAAGGTGGCTGGATCACTTGAGGACAAGAGTTCGAGACCAGCCTGACCAACATGGTGAAACCTCGTCTCTACTAAAAATAACAAAAATTAGCTGGGCGTGGTGGCCCACACTTGTAAGCTACTCAGGAGGCTGAGGTGCAAGAACTGCTTGAACCCGGGAGATGGAGGTTGCAGTGAGCCGAGATCACGCCACTGCACTATACCCTGGGCGACAGAGGGAGACTCCGTCTCAAAAAGAAAAAAAAAAGAAGTATTACATAGGTACACTGTTAAAACAGACGACATGTTGCAAATTAATTCTCATATAATATACTCCAACAAAGCTTAGAAAATAAAGATGTTGAGGTGGCTTGGGACTAAGTTGAATAGTCATTTCCTCTGCTGACAACTTCTTTACATGTTGGACCCAACACTATGGTATGTTCAATTGTGCTGTATATGATCCTTTAATGTCACATAATGGTGGGTATGGATCCACAATGCCCAAGTCACACAGATTCCTCAGAGCCATCAAGTACTTACTTTATCCCAATGCTCCATTATAATCTTATGGGACAGTGTCATATATGTAGTCCATCATTGACTGAAATGTGGAAATGTCATTATGTGGCGCATGACTGTATACATACTGTCAGCTATCGCATCCATGGATTCAACCAACTGCAGCTTAAAAACATTCAGGAAAAAAAATGGATGGTTTCATCCATACTGAATATGTACAGCCTTTTTTTCCTTGTCATTCTCTAAACAATATGGTATAACATATTTACATAGCAGTTTGTATCAGCTACTGTAAGTAATCTAGACATGATTTAAAGAATACAGGAGGATGAGCATAAGTTATATGGAAATACTACATCATTTTATATAAGGGCCTTAGACATCTGTGAATTTTGGAATCCTAGAGGGTCCTGGAACCAATCTCCCACAGATACCAGGGGACAGTGTGTATTTATATATGTAAGCACTTTCTCTCTTTATGTGTGTGTGTGTCTCTCTCTCTCTCTCTCTATATATATATGTATACATACAGTCTGTATATATGTGTGTATATATATTTAGTCTCTATATACACTCTATACTATAAACTATATAAAACCACTATATATAAACACTGTACACACATATATAATATAAATATAAAATATATAAATAGAATACAAAATATTGCAAGATATATACATAGATACATTTATCTTTTTTTTAGGTCTTCTTTACCATCTCAGCAATATTTTGTAGTTTTTAGTGAAGTACATCTTTTTAGGTTGTATTTCTTAGTATTTGTTTTTGACAGTAATGTAAGCAGTGTTTACTGAGTTTCATTTTCTAAATCTTTGTCTAATCTATATATATACAATTAATTTTTGTATGTTGATCTTTTATTTAGTTTTGTTACTAAATAAGTTTATTGTTTGTAGGTTCTTTTTGATTTTCTATGAATACAATCATGTCATCTACACATAAACACAGCTTTATTTCTTCCTTTCCAATTACTTCTTCTAATTTTTTTTTAGAAACAGGATCTCACTCTGTCACCCAGGCTGCGGTGATGCAATGATAGTTCACTGCAGCCTCTGTCGAATTCCTGGGCTCAAGCAATCATCACACCTCGGCCTCCCAAAGTGCTGAGATTATGGGTGTAAGCCACTGTGCTCAGCCTACAATCTTTATATATATATATTTTTTTATTCTCCTTACCTTATGGCCCAAACTTTAGTAAAATATTGACAAGAAACAGTGATAGTAAACATCCTTATCTTGTTCTGGACTTAAGGGAGAGAGTGTTCAGTATTTCCTCTTCAGGTATGTTAACTATAGGTTTTTTATAGATACCTTTTATCAGATCATCTATGTTCCTTGCATTTCTAGTCTGCTGAGAGTTTTTATCACAAGTGGGCGTTTAATTTTACAGTTTCTGAATTTGAGATTATCACATGATTTTTCTCCCTTATTCAGTGAAAGTGGTAAATTACATTGATTTATGAATGTTTACCCAACCTTGCATTCCTGAAATAAATCCCATGTGATCCTGATATATCATCCTTTAGAAAAAAAAAAATTTCACCGGGCACGGTGGCTCACACCTGTAATCCCAGCACTTTGGGAGGCCAAGGCGGGGAGGATCACTTGAGGTCAGGAACTTGAGACCAGCCTGGCCAACATGGGGAAACCCCATCTCTACTAAAAATACAAAAATTAGCTGGGCGTGGTGGTGCACACCTGTAATCCCAACTACTCGGGATGCTGAGGCAGGGGAATCTCTTGAACCCCAGGAAGTGGAGGTTGCAGTGAGCCTAGATGGTGCCACTGCACTCCAACCTGGGCAACAAGAGTGAGACTCCATCTCAAAAAAAAAAAAAAAAAAAAGAAAGGAAGAAAGAAAGAAAAAAAAAACCTCTGGATTTTCCAACTTTTTTTTTAAGGATGTTCAAGAGAAATATTGGCTTGTAACATTTTTGTAAAGTCCCATGTCAGGTTTTGGTGTTAGAGTTGCACTAAACTCAGAACACCAGTTGGAACATGTTCCTTCTATCTCTAATCTCACGGTGTATAAAAAAATATTTTTTTCCTGAAGTATTTGGAAGAATTCATCAGGAAAGCATTCTGAGGCTGCAGTCACATTTGTTTTTTTGTGTGTGTGGAAAGATTTTCAATTACAGATTCATTCTCATTAATAGATACAAGATTTTGGGATTTCTTCTGTCAGTTTTAAGCTGTATTTTTCTGTATCATCTAACTTAGCAGATTTATTGGAACAAATTAAGCTTAAGAACAGGCAAAACTAACCGAGTGTTAGAATAGTAATTTCTTCTAGGGGTACTGATTGAGAAGAACATGATCTGGAGTAACACAGATTTTCTCCATCTCGACCTAGGTCATTATGTGAGTGTTAATATAATTTAAAAATCCATTAAGTGTACTTAATTTAACTTTAATGTAAACATATTACAATTTAAAAATTACATGGAAAATAAACTTAACATATGATTTTGATGCTTATTCAAGACTGAAAATTTTGAGTTCAAGTGTGGCCTGAGAGCCGATTTGAGCACTTACTGGAGATCTAAATTTTCAAAGTGAATGGTTCCTATGCTAGGATATTTTATTTATACCATTTCCTCCTAGCAAGCATAGAATTTGCTTATTCTATAATCTCTTCCAATAGAGAGCAGAGAAATAAATCACGTGAAATTGAAGAGAGTAAGTTCCAGTGTTTAAATGACAAGGAATAAATGGATTACATATACTTCTTGTTGTTGTTGTTGTTGTTGTTGTTGTTGAGATGGAGTCTCACTCTGTCACCCAGGCTGGAGTGCAGTGGTGTGATCTCGGCTGACCTCGGCTCACTGCAACCTCCGCCTCCTGGGTTCAAGTGATTCTCGTGCCTCAGTCTCCCGAGTAGCTAGGACTATAGATGCGCACCACCAAGCACAGCTGATTTTTGTATTTTTAGTAGAGACGGGGTTTTGCTATGTTGGCCAGGCTAGTGTTGAACTCCTGGCCTTAAATGATCCACCCACCTTAGCCTCCCAAAGTGCTGGGATTACAGGCATGAGCCACGGATTACGTATACTTTAGACAGTTCTTCATTAATCTTTTTCTATCAGATATTTAAGGTGGAACTAGACAGAAAGTAGTTTAAAACCGGAAGGAAAGTCTCAAGAGTGAATATTGTTGCTTTGTTGACTGGAACCCATAAATTCCTACTTAAAAATTTATTTTATTACAAATACATTTTTCTTAATCAAGATAAAAAATAAGCATCAAAGCAGCAGCAAAATTCCCCCTTCCCCACTCCCACCCAGTTCTTCTCTCAGTCACAACAGCAAACATTCAGGGAGCCCTGAAGTATGTACAAGGCACTATTCAGTTACTTAATCCTCAACATAAACCTTTAGGTACTGTACCCACTTCATGAACGAAAAAACTGAGAAATAAGGGAGTTTTAATAGCTTGGCTATAGCTATACAGATTAATAAATAGTAAAACCAGGATTTAGTCTTGGCTCACAAGTCTCTTTTTAAAACAATCTGCTCTATTATAACCCACAATCAGTTTCAGTTTTCAAATACTCTATGCACTATATAGAAATACTTATTTAATACAATGGAGTCATTCTATACTTTTATCCATATTATTTAACTGTTCTCCTACAAATGAATATTTAAGATATTTACCTTTTTTCACTTTATAATTATATATAAAATTATACAGACAGAAATAAGCTAAATATATATATGTCCAGAAGTGGAGTTGCTAGTCAAAGTGTATTTGTTCTTTCTCAGTATTTTAAAGTTTTCCCATTCAGATCTATGAAAATGTGTTATTTTTTTTTCAAAATTTGCCTCTTCCTATTTCTTCTTGTAGATAATCATTTGTCCCAGGAATCTTTATATCTGGTAGAACAAATCCAAAATCTTGTTCTTTGAAATTACCTTAGCTATTCATGGCCTCTTCTTCTACACACAGTAGTTCCACTTTATCCATAGTTTTGCTTACCCCAGTTATCAGAGGTCAACTGCAGTCTGAAAATATTAAATGGAAAATTCCAGAAACAATTAATGAGTTTTAATTTGTGAGCAGTTCTGAGTAGCATAATAAAATCTCACACCATCCTGGCTCTACCTGCTGTAGATGCTACCTGCCCATTAGTCACTTGTAGCTGCCTCGGTTATCAGATTGTAAAAACAGTATTATGCAGGGTTCGGTACTATCTGCAGTTTCAGGCACTAAGTGGTGAGTCTTGGATCACATACCCACAGATAAGGGGAGACTACTGTAAAAGTTACTAGCAATTCACACAAATCTATCAATGCTAATAATAGTTTATCTTGTGTGCTTTACATAGACAATCACTTAAGTCTGCCATTAATAATTTTTTCTGTTTGGGTACAGTTGCTCACACCTGTAATCTTCCCACTGTGGCCTCCCACTTTGGGAGGATCGCTTGAAGCCAGGAGTTTGAGACCAGCCTGGGCAATATAGCAAGACTCTGTCTCTAAGAATAAAATTAAAAATTAGCCGGGCATAGTGACATGTGCCTGTAAGTCCCGGCTGTTTGGGAGGCTGAGGCGGTAGAATGACTTGAGCCCAAGATTTCAAGGCTGCAGTGAGCTATGATCACACCACTGCACTCCAGCCTGGGTGACAGAGCAAAACCCTGTCTCAAACAAACAAACAAACAAACAAATAAATAAATAAATAAATAAATAAATAAATAAATAAAATTATGCCTTTTCAAACCCTTCTCTACCTTCCTCCATCCCTCAAAAATGCTGACAACCTGAACAGTAACTAATAATGGACATCCTTGTCTATTCCTCATCTTAAAATAAATGTCTAACATTCTACCCCAAGTATGTTTGCTGGATAACATTTTAGAAATAATTACAATAGTTAAGATAACTAAAACATCGCTTTTTTTACTATTATTATTTTTGAGACAGTCTTGCTCTGTCACCCAGGCTGGAGTGCAGTGGCATGATCTCAGCTCACTGCAACCTCTGCCTCCCAGGTTCAAGTAATTCTCTTGCTTGAGTCTCCCGAGTAGCTGGGATTATAGGCATGCGCCACCATGCCCAGCTAAGTTTTTTGTATTTTTGGTGGTAACGAGGTTTCACTATGTTGCCCAGGCTGGTCTTGAACTCCTGAGCTCAAACGATCCACCCGCCTCAGTCTCCCAAGTGTTGGGTTTAGAGACGTGAGCCACGGCACCCAGCAGGATCTATATTCTAAATAAAACATTAGTTTTCCAGCTTATTCTGCCAATCTGTCATAACCTGTTAATCAAAATTAACACAGATACAAAACATAGATACAAAGTCCTAAATACATGGCTAGGAATTAGAATATAACAGCATTTTAAATTAATGGTTATTACATTCTATTCTGTCATCAAAAGGTCAAAAGAGCAATTGCATATAATGTCATTTGAAAAAAACCTTTAACAGCTGATCCTAATAAGCAGGCTTCATGAAAAAAGATTCTTCTTAAACATAATATTCTATTTTTAACCTATAAATTACACGACTGAAACACTAAAAATCAGACATCAGTAAAATCAGAAACAAGAATGCCATTATACTTATTCACTGAAAACTATTAAAAATGATAATAAAAGTTATGTGGCCAGTTTAACAACAACAATTAAGAATCAGCTTTACAATATAAGTGGTGACTAGTTAAAAATATTATAATACGAGGAGTCCATATCTAAAAGCAACAAAAATATTTTTGGAAACTTAAAAAAAGAACATGAAGAAAATTTTGGAACCCTTACCAGCCTGGCCAACATGATAAAGCCCCGTCTCTACTAAAAATACAAAAATTAGTCATGTGTGGTGGCAGGGGCCTGTATCCCAGCCACTTGGGAGGCTGAGAAAGGAGAATCTTGAACCTGGGAGGCAGAGGCTGCAATGAGCTGAGATTACACCACCACATTCCAGCCTGGGCGGCAGAGTAAAACTCTTGTCTCAAAAAAAAAAAAAAAACAGTTCGAACTCTTAATGGAGAACATGTAAAAAAACAATTCTACTAAGCTCTCAATGGAAAGATCCCCTAAGTAAAAAACATTTAATATGTTTCCAACCAAAATCCTAACAGAATACTTGAGAAAATAATCTAAATGATTCTGAAAGTCACATGGAAAAATAAACAGGAATAGAAAACTCTGAAAAGGGGACAATTAAATTAAAGTTCTGCCTGACAAATTTTATGTGGTACACATTTTCTAGGAATTGAAAATAAAATTATTTTTAAAACACACACACATAATGTCAGATGCCTAGTTTATAATGATACAAGTGTAGGACTTGTAAACAGAAGATAAAGATTAAAAAAAAAGTGTAAAGTTGGATCCATATCTCAAAACAAACATCTATAAAATATAGAATGGTTTAGAATTAAATGTATACTAAAATATGTGTAAATGTTTAAATAACTTTGGAGTAGGAAAGCTTTTCTAAATGCTTTTCTAAAGAGAAACAAGGAAAAGATTAACAGACTTAACTACATATTAAAATTTTCCCATAACAAATATATATAACAAATATATACAATATACATACATAATATACATATTTACAATATATACATACATATATACAATATAGATATGTACATATACATACTATATATGTATACATGTATGCATTATACTATATATATACATAATATTAGGATCAGCTGTTAAAGTTTTCAAACATCTGAATAGTTAATAAAAGACCTGGCTAACATATGAAGTGTTGGACTTCACTAGTAATCCAAGAAACATGAATTAAAACAAGATGATTTATCACCTGTCTAACTAACAAAGATCTCTAACTTTTAAGTACCCAACATGGCTAAATGAAAAGGTTAAGGAACAGGAATGGGAAACTGGTAAACTTTTCCCTAGAGCGATTTGGATCTAGCAAACATTTTAAAAGTGCATTCTTTATACCAGCAACTCCAAGGAAATTGATTTATGTTTGTGTGTATGTATGTATTTTTGTGGATTTTCATCACATTATTTGTAACAGAAAAGTCCAAAATATTGTGTCCAGCAATGAGAAATTGTGAAAGTATGGTTCCTCTATAAAGCAATAATTTACAACCATTAAAAAGAGGGTGGGCTGGGCGCAGTGGCTCATGTCTTTAATCCCAGCATTTTGGGAAGCCAAGGTAGGAGGATTGCTTGAGGTCAGGAGTTCAAGACCAGCCCGGACAACACAGGGAGACTCCATCTCTACAAAAAATTTAAAAAATTAGCCAGGCATGGTGGTGCATACTTGTAGTCCCAGCTACTTGGAAGGCTGAGGCAGGAGGATCACTCGAGCCTAGGAGTTCAAGGCTGCAGTGAGCCATGATGTCGACACTGCATTCCAGACTGGGGGAAAGAGGATAGAATTTAACTGACTGATACCAAGAGATGTTCACAACATATTATTAAATGAAAAAATTCAAATTACAAAGCTATGGGCAGTATGATCCCATTGTTTTAAGAAAAAAAAAAACAAGATATGCATTCAAATACATCCATCAAAGGCAAAATATTATGTGGTTATCTGGGGGTGTTCTTCTCTGTGTTCCTATTTCCAAATATGTACTAATTATAAAAAGAAAAAAAAAGATTCCACATCTTAACCTTTGTCAAAAAAACGGCACAGTGGATTACAAGTGGTCATCTTTATCAGATAAGATTACTTCAAAAAGTCTGTTCTGGATAGAAGCAAAAAGCAAACAAGGCTGAAAAATGGCCTGGGAGTGTTACGGCAATTTATTTACAGACTATTGAATACGGCCTTAAAAAAATGGTAAAAAACAAATGGCTTATATTAATACATTAGATGTTAACAGTTACAAGACTTAACTTTTAAACGTTCTTGCAAGAGAGTACAACACTTTTAAACAAATTAACTGGGAAAAAACTTAGAAGAGTGATTCTGTATTCACTATAGAGCCTCATTTGAATACAATTAGAAAATTCATTTTTAATTGCACATTTGACAGGCTGAAATGAGTTAAGACCTGCAGACTCTGTTAGTCCATAAAATTAAAAGGATAAGTTCTTCCCTTTACAATAAAAATTTTCTATTTTCCCTGTCTTCAAATGGATCCCATGACAGCTTATTATTAATAGCTTTTATTTTTAAGTAGAAACATTTAAGAAATTATCTGGAGAAGCCTTTGGTAAATGGCAAACTATTGCTCCCCTTAAAAAACCACTTGAAATTACAAAACCCTGAAAGTATTTTTTTGTTGTTTTTTTTTTTAAAGTTCCAAATCAATAGGTTTTATTGCATAAAACCTTGAAAGAACTTAAAAGCAAATTATGTTTGCAAGCCTACTGATAACCAATCTTCTTTCAACAAATGAAAAATACATACAGGACTTGCCTTTTCAAAGATTATCCATATATGAAACAAACAGCCCCTTCAGGCTCCTAAATTTTGAAGATGTTTTTATTTTTCTATTTTTTCTAAATAAAAATTGTTTTTTAAGCAGACTTTTTAAAGCCACTTGTGTTAAACCATTAGTCCAATAGTCTAATTATTTTACCGTATCACTGGTCAAGTTATCTTGAAGCAATTTCCCTATTAAAAAGTTAAGTATTTACTGCAGAATTTAGGTATGGCTTAGAGGAACAAGCACAGGCAATCCAGCTGCCAAAGTTTCTGGCAATCCCTCTTTCTAAGCCTTATTTTTCTTAGTTGTAAAGTAAGAAGACCGACTGGATAATTTTAGGTTACTGGGACATCTCGTTCAGACTTTTAAAACATCAAAAGGCAGACTGGGCCAAAAAAAAAAAAAAAATTGAAAGGATATTATATCCCAGGGAATTAGCTATCTATATTCAAAACATATATTTCAGCTTTGTTTTTTTTACCTATGTCCTACAAGAAGGATTCACCTTTTTGGAAAAGAAAGCAAGTCCCCTTCCCCTAAAAAAAGAAAAAATAAAAATAAAAAAGGAAAACAAAAAGCCCTAGGATGAAAAATCATCCCAAATTGGATTAAGCTCAAAGAGCAAAACCTTAACTCAGAAGTACCAGATTTTAAGCATTTATGTATTCACTTTTCATTTTTCTCAAGAAGTCTTGATATTTCTTACAAATAGGCCATTGCAAACTGACCAGATTCAACTTAAAATTTTATCACTTTTAAGTGATATCAAACAGCTATTCCAGTTGTTTGATTTCTCTCCATAACCATCTCTATCCAAATTTCAATTTAAAATTTCAAAAAGATACTCAAATTTTCATGCCCTACATTCACTTAAGTGCAATTTAGATACAGCTGAGGGTAGCAAATACCACTAACTTCTCCAGACATTTAAAAAAATCTTGCTCACTGTCAGCACACTGAAAGTATGATTTAACACTGTTGACGGTTATTGATGTACCCCAAGGACTAGATTACTACCTGGCATGTTGTAGGCACTGACTATGTATTTGCTGACAGAATAAAGCTCTGAATCACAGCTAGAATTATTACCTTATTTCACATTCCACAAATGACAACTCCTTAAAATTGGCATTTTAAGGTTTCACAAATGACTTGCAACTCTCCAACAAATAATGAAGACGTAGGAAACATACTGAGTTGCATGCAGAAAAACCTGCTGTGTCAGTAAATACAAAAGGGAATTTCACGTGGGAGAAGATAAATACTTTCTTCTTTTGGCAGGTCAAATCTTTTATATTTTTGTCTTCTTAACTTGCAGTCTGACTTACCTGCTTTTTTCCAAAAAATTTAAGCAATATTTTGTGTTCTTTAGATTTCACTCAAATTTTCAGCGATGACTGCTGTTATAACCTACAGAACTAGTGATTTCCCAACTTTGTTCTATTAATCCAAATTCACTGAATTAAAATATTAAATGCTATGAAGGGAAGCATTAAAATTTTTTACTATCATATTTCATCAATTATAAGACATATTTTCATATAATATGTCTGAATCTGGGATGCAGCTTACAATTGATGACGTCTTAGCATTGTATTGTGGCTTAATTGGCAACATTTTTTCTTCTAAGTGACATATAAAAGACTAGTATGTCTCACAGTAGTGCTGTGTAAGGATAATATTAGAAGTTCTAGTTCAAATTTTCAATGTCAAAGCAACAATTTCCCTGTCCTCCCAGCCACTCTCCCAACATAAATATATAACTGAAATGTTTGATTAGAAAAACTATCCAAACACAGTTCAATTTTATATAAAATATTTAATTTTTAAAACACAGGCTATTCATGTCACATAAATATCTTCAACTGTAGGTTAGCTGCTTATGGTCAGCAGAATTATCAAGTGTGACTATTAAGAATAACTTAGATACTGTCACTTATAGGAAAGTCTAAAGCTCTAAGACTCACCATATTAAAATTTCAGATACTTGAATACTGTTGCTATTTTGCTAATTTCAAAATATTTCTTCATTTCCTGCAATGTAGTTTATAAGTTGTTAGTAATCAATATTCAAATAAAAGCAACATATTTTTTTCTTCCATTCATTTCTTTCTCCCAACAAAAAGAGTCCATCAAAAAATAAAATGGTCAACTGATATCAACTTATTTTATAGTAGTAAAATGGTAAATTATCCTCTTTAAAATAATTTTACTCTTATCAAACTACAGGACTTCCCACATACTGTTTTGAAATGAAGGTTCATAAGTTAGAGGGCACAGGGTTAACTGGCTTTAGAACTGGAGCAATATACATTCTGTAACAGTTGTTCCAATTTAAGATTCCAATAAAAAAAAATAAGTTACCAGAACAGTTGATGAACAAAATGATTAATTGGCACAACTCTAACTTCCAGTCAATTTTTCCATTTAGTGATAATGGAAACACTGGTTATTTACCTTTGGTTCCTTTCTAGAATTAGTATAATTGTGTGTGTATGTGTGAGAGTGTGCACACAGTGAGACTTGACACCATTACAGTTTAAATAAGGACTACTCCATTCTTTGATGCTCTTCATTAAAAAAAAATGTTAAAATGAACTAAAGTTGTTGCTCTAAGTCTGGCAGAAGTCATAATCAACTTTACAGAATGTGACAGGAAGGAAGATAAAAGTTCTCTCTCATTGCCTTTTCTTTTTGCTTCAATAAATTCAATCTAAGCAATGTTTCTAGTTAACAAGTGAATAGAATTGACTTTCTTAAAAGGGCAATTGCATAACTTAAAATACGGTATTTGCCACCCCTCCCCCATGAACTTTAACACATTTAGGCAAGTTCTGTTATTAACTCTTGCTTCTATACCATGACCCTCCAATTATCCATGGCAAATGGAAACAGGGATAATATGGCAGCCTGAAAGAAAATGGTACTCTAAAATTCTCCTGGAGCTATTACTTTCAACCATTTAAATGACAAAACTTTGTAGAACTTCTCAAACAATATGTACTGATTGCAGTTCTACTCCCTTTCTTTGCTCTCACTCCCCTATCAAGAGAAGGTGGTAGTGAAAGGCAACACAGCCCAAAGACAGGCAGAAAAGGAGAAAGTGTGACAAGCAGAGGGAATGGACCTAACAGGAACTGAACAGGCAGCCCCTGAAACTTCAGAGTTTCTTGCCTTTTTAATGCATTGATTCCCTTTAAAAGACAAATGGGGGTAAAAGTTAACTATTTTTTTCAGACCTTAAGCTTACCTGTTAAGGCACTTACTTTCCCTCCCCACCCCACCCATAGTTTTCATATAAAACCCACTATTTCATTTAAATGCATTTTGCTAGGCTTTGATAATCTGCAAAACAAAACAAAAATAACGTTGACCATTTTTTTTTTTATAAAACTGTTGCATCAAGAGAAAGGTTGTGTTTTATTTTCTGAAATGAGCACAAAGTACACCTTTCACAATAACACTGAAAGCAGGTGCAAAGACTGACAGTGACCTTTGACTAAAGGTAGCTTTGTAAAAAGAAAAATACCAAATAAATCAGTGCCCTTTCTGATTGTTGTAAAACTGGAGGTGGGGAGGGGCTGTTTGTTACATAAAAGTTGGTCCAAACTTACAAAAAAAGCACAAATGTGCATAGTTCAGAAGATCTGCAAGAGGGCCATAAAAGGCTTATGCCCCTAAAATTAGCATCCACTTAAAACTGCAAGAATACAAAATAAAATTGTTAACTAGAATTTGTGAAGATGTACAATCGATCTAGTTTTTAGAACAGCATGAATTTAAGCAAAGGTTTTTTTTGTCTTTTTTAAACTATTGTATGCAAGACCCTTCTCCACATAAAAATAAAGCTGTTGTTGAATTATTATTATTCAAGTCTCTTGGATTGCTGCCTTAAATTGCAGCTAGAAAAGTCTTTCCAGATAAAAATGATGTGCCTGAGGAAAAACAGATACTCAGTATGGTAACCCTCTGCCTCTGCCTCTGCCAGTTGATGTGCTAATATGTCCCCTGTATCCTTGTGAATATCCAGGTCCTTGGGCAGGAGAAGTCCAGGTCTGTCCATGCATGAGGCTGGGGCCACTCGGATTTTCCTGTAAGTTACCACCATAGTTATAGTTGTGCATCTTTGCTGGCAAAGGATGAGTACTCTCTGGCCCCGTGGAAGGGTCACTGCTGTTTGCCAGGACTGCAATAGGACCATGGCTATATTCAAATCTATGGTCCTTGTCTCCACTAAACAACATGGGACCAGCATTGAGGTAAATGTCTCCATATCCAGCTACTGAACTGGGAAATGACTCAGAAAAGGCAGAAGGCTGAGGTGGACCACCAGAATGAGATGAAGCAGTACTGTAGTTATCCAAAGACTGAATATCTGAATTTCCAATGAAACTACGTCGTTCTAGTGGTGGAGCAGAACTGCTTCCTAGACCATCATTGCTAACATAAGGAGCAGAAGAGAAAGAAGAGGATCCAAAGTTGTCCTTGTAGTCTGAAGTGGACACGTAAGTGTCTCCTGCTTGATAATCAATCCCACCTTCTCTTTTGGGGTCATCCTGGGGCTGATGCTGAGCAAGCAGCTGTAACAGGGCTGCCTTCACTCCGGCATGAGGGTCAGTTAATGAAGAACTGGTGGTGGGTACATGCTGGTTTTCTGTCCGATAATCTAGATCTTCCTCAGTGACTGGTGGTGGTTCAGGAGGCTCGGGAGGTCGTTGGTCAGGAGGCAGAATTCGAGGCCGGTCTGGTTCTGGCGTTAGCTCCAAGATCCTCATATCTTGATGCTGGATGAGGTCATCTTGTCCTAAGTGAAACAGAGCAAAAACAAGGTCAAAAGTTACCATGGAAAACTAAATATTCAAAATACTCAGTGTTTCCTGTAGGTAGTTCTAAAGATGATTAGAAGTTCCATCTCTGGCAAAATGTTAAATGAAAAAAGCAAAAAGTTTACAAGTACTATGGTAACTGGTAAATTTTACTGTATATGGCTTCTCTTTAAAAAAAAAAAAATTTTTTTTTTTTTTTTTGGTGACACGGTCTCACTCTGTCACCCAGACTGGAGTGCAGTGGAGTGATCACAGCTCACTGCAGCCTTGACCTCCTGGGCTCAAGTGATCCACCCACCTCAGCCTTCCAAGTAGCTGGAATCACAGGCATGTGCTACCATGCCCAGTTAATTAAAAAAAATTGTTTTAGAGACAGGGTCTCACTATGTTGCACAGATAGGTACTGAATTCCTGGGTTCAGGCAATCTTCCCACTTCAGCTTCTCAAAGTGCTGGGATTACAGGTGTGAGCCACTGCACCCAGCCGTAATTGGCTTTTTAAAGCTAATTACGGCTAGGTGCAGAATTCACGTATACTTCATTGCTTGAGGAACAAAAGCTACTGTGTACATAAATTATGCCTTAGTCAAGCATCCTTTCGTATTTGGAGTTAAATATTATTTCTTAACCATAGGTTTACCTTAGAAATATCTTTATCATTCACAATGAGTTCTATCTCACATGGATAATTTGTTAAAGAATCCATTCCTGGAAGTAAACAGACTGAAAAACCAACCTATTGCCAGTTACCTGAGATTCTTCAGGACATCTTTTGGCAATGTCACTGAACTATACACATTATATATAGTCAGCAACACTGAGTAGACAATGTAATGCAGCTGTGTTAGTGGTCTGGTATCTGCACACTTACCCGACACCGGAGTGCTAGGTTCTGGAGGTGGCCTGAGTTGTAATGACGCTTCATGTCCCGATCCATTTTCCCTCTCTTCTAGTAGCACATCTTTCTGCTTTGACTGCTGAGCCTTTATTAACTGAGTCAACAGAACTGCAAATGCACTCTGCACAGCCGCCTGGGCAGCATCAGTCTCCACTTTAGGCTGGATGGTCTGAGAAGAAGGCTGAATTCCTCCCAACGGTTTCGAAGACTCCTGTTGTGGTGTTGATGGATCTGTCTGTTTTTCACCTGTTGCCAAAATTCCAGCAGGAAGGTTTATTTTATTTAGCTGCTGTTGAGTCTCAGAGTTTACCTTAATGTTCAACACTTGGACAAAATCAGCCATATTAACACTTGTTTTAGATTGTAGTAGGTTTAGTAGAATTGCCAATTCACTGTGGTTTAAGTGCTGTCCAGGGCCTGTTTTTACTAAAGACAAAATTATATTAATTAGAACTGTCATAATTCACAGCTCCTCCCACTCCCACACCAAAATGGCTCTGTATTACCATATGAAAATATATATTTGAGGGAGAGTATTTAAGAAATACTGTAAAAAGAGAACCTCAAGTCTAGTTAAATATCATGTACATTTAAAATGTACCTGTACATAAAAAGAACTGCAGTCAATTTTGAATAAATCTTTAGGGGTAAATACTTCAAAAGGAAAATCAAGACCACTACTAAAACCTCATGTTATGGATTTAACCAGGAAACAGCACATTGTGAATGGGAAATGAATAATGATAATGATGACAGCTAAGGGAGTGTCACATACCTTCTAAGCATTTAATATCCTTTATTCCTTACAACAACCTTAGAAGGCAGACTCTATTATTAGCCTCCTTTTACTGAGAAGAAGAAACTGACACCGAAAGAGACCAAGCAACTTGCCCAAGGGCAAATATTCTGTAAGTGGCAGAGGTGAGATCTGAATCTGATATTCTGATTCCACAATCTGAGCTCTTAACTACACCGTACTTTCTCTAAAATAAAGTTTATTATGCAAAATCTAAGGTTATCTTTGCACTATATTGAAATCATGACATTTTTCAGATTCTGATAAAATGCCTGTGTTTTTCTTCAAATTACCTTTTTTTTTTTGTAACTTTGGGTAAGTTAGGAATGCCTACAGAAATATGCTTATTATTAATATATGCATATGATAGTATTAACTCATCACCAGTAATAAGGATTCAGTTGTTTTTCCAACTTTCAGTTTAGACTTGGGATAATTTACACAGGTCCTCCCTCACGCAAGCTTATCTGAATCACATATAACGACAAGGCTCAAATGCATATAATACCATATATGGTAACTATAAGACTGCAATGATAAGCAATTCCCATAATCACAGATGACAGATTGATAGAAGAGGAACTCTAAGATGATGAAAAACTGGTGTTTAATGCTTTTATATTCTCTTTATATATTTTGAGATACTTCTGCAAGTTCTTCTTATGATCCGTGAGCATGCTTGTTTGCTACAAATCAAAAGTCATTTTTCCTTATTTTCATTTCCCTATTACCACAGGTAGTCTCTCCATATGAATTCAGGGATGTGGTCTTTAATTGAGGTGCCTCTTTTGCTGAAGGGGCGTTTTCTTATTTCAGCATACTTACTGATGACGGAGAAGAAAATGACTCAGAGGATTCATCCTTTTTTCAAAAAACCAGAATTCTCCTTCTTTTTTTTTTTTGAGACAGAGTCTTGCTCTGTTCCCCAGGCTGGAGTGCAGTGGCATGATATGTAATCTCTGCCTCCCATGTTCAAGCAATTTTCCTGCCCCAGCCCCCACTAGGAGCTGGGATTACAGGCGCGTGCCACCATGCCTGGCTAATTGTTTTATTTATTTATTTTTTTTGAGACGGAGTCTCGCCCTGTGGCCCAGGCTGGAATGCAGTGGCACGATCTCGGCTCACTGCAAGCTCCGCCTTCTGGGTTCACGCCATTCTCCTGCCTCAGCCTCCCGAGTAGCTGGGACTACAGGCGCCTGCCACCACCACGCCCGGCTAATTTTTTGTATTTTTAGTAGAGATGGGATTTCACCGTGTTAGCCAGGATGGTCTCGATCTCCTGACCTCATGATCCGCCCGCCTCAGCCTCCCAAAGTGCTGGGATTACAGGCGTGAGCCACCATGCCCGGCCAGTTGTTTTATTTTTAGTAGAGACATGGTTTTGCCATGTTGGCCAGGCTGGTCTCGAACTCCTGACCTCAGGTGATCCATCCACCTCGGCCTCCCAAAGTGCTGGGATTACAGGCATGAGCCACCATGCCCAGCCTGGAATTCTCACTTCTTAATCACAATACTGATTCTTCTCTTTTCTCTTGATTTTTTAAGACAGGGTCTCACTTTATCATCCAGGCCACAGTGCCAGTGGCACAATCTCAGCTCACTGCAGTCTCGACCTCCTAGGCTCAAGCAATCTTTCCTGCTTCAGCCCCGCAAGTAACTGGGAATATAGGCCAGGCTAATTTTTGTATTTTTTGTAGAGACGGGGTTTTGCCATGTTACCTAGGCTGGTCTCGAAATCCCGAACATAAGCAAACAGCCCGCCCCGGCCTCCCAGAGTGCTGGGATTACGGGCATGAGCCACCACACCCAGCTATTTATAGATAACTCAAGGTCAGGAGTTCGAGACCAGCCTGGCCAACATGGCAAAACCTCATCTCTATTAAAAATACAAAAATTAGCTGAGCGTGATGGCACATGCCTGTAATCCCAGTTACTCTGGAGTCTGAGGCAGGAGAATCACTTGAACCTGGGAGGCGGAGATTGCAGTGAGCTGAGATCGTGTCACTGTACTCCAGCCTGGGTGACAGAGACTGTCTCAAAAAAAAATTAAAGTTAAAAAAGGAAAATAAAAAATAAAATTATCCACCATTAAAACAGGGTTGTAAAGTAAGTTAGAGCAAATTAACAACAAAATGAGCCCAGAAAGGGCAAATCATTTTTTACCAGCTAAAATGAGTAAACTACTACGTTTGGTAGAGTTTAAGACATCAGTTCCATGAAGAGGACCAGAAATAAAGACCTGAGAGTCTTGCCAAATATGACAACTGTTGCCTGGGAAAACAGATCACCATCCAAAATTTCTGTTATTGCCATTTCACATCCTTTTGTTAGCAGGACAAATATTTTAATGTATAAGGGGAACTCACTATTTCAAGAAAGAATACTTTTGAACAACAAATAACAATTGCTTTTGGTATTCATTGAATGAGTACTTTAAGTATGCAGTTGAACCAAGGTCAAGTAGAAGCTTGTAGACTACATTGGCAAGCATTAATGGTTATCTTCCTAAAGCTTTCTCAGTTAATCTATATTTATCTTCAACCACCAAAAGTTCAGTCTGATCCACACATCTGTTTTAATCAACTAACTCATCAATCAACATATACTCATCTCTTAAGAAGTGCTAGTCTATTTTTTCATGTTTAATAAGCCACCACCTACACACACACACACACACACACACACACACACTCTCTCTCTCTCTCTCTCTCTCTCTATTTTATATCAGTCTCTGTTTTCATAAAACTTCAACTAAAGATGGTGTTAAATTAAAGATGGGTGTTTCTGGATGTTTTAGGCAAAATGAGGGAGTGGAGGTCCTTTTAAAAAGTTGTTAAATGATTTTAACACTCTTGACAACATTGAAGAGGCAGACTTTGCATCAAAAAGCTTACTCTATGACAGACTGAGTCAAAGGAAGAAATTTAAGTTTCCCTAAAATAACTAGATATAAGATATCCTTTTTTTTTTTTTTTTTGAGACAGTCTCGCTCTGTCACCCAGGCTGGAGTGCAGTGGTTCAATCTTGGCTCACTGCAACATCTGCCTCCTGGGTTCAAGCAATTATCGTGCCTGAGCCTCCTGAGTAGCTGGGATTACAGGTGTGTGCCACCATGCCCAGCTAATTTTTTTTTTGTATTTTTAGTAGAGACAGAGTTTCAGGAAGTTGTCTGGGCTGGTCTCGAACTCATGGGCTCAAGTGGTCTGCCCATCGTGGCCTCCCAAAGAGCTGGGATTACAGATGTGAGCCACCATGCCTGGCCTTCCCTTCTCATATTTTAAGTTATTTTGGGCACAAATATCAGATTCACTCACACACACACACACACATATTTTGAGATGGAGTCTCGCTCCTGTCGCACAGGCTGGAGTGCAGTGGCGCAATCTCGGCTCACTGCAACCTCCACCTCCCCAGTTCAAGCGATTCTTCTTCCTCAGCATCCGAGTAGCTGGGATTACAGGTGTGTGCCACCACGCCCGGCTAATTTTTGTATTTTTAGTAGAGACGGGGTTTCGCGATGTTGGCCAGGCTAGTCTCGAACTCCTGATCTCAGGTGATCCATCCGCCTCAGTCTCCCAAAGTGCTAGGATTACAGGCGTGAGCCAGCATGCCTGGCCCCAATCTTTAAGATTCTTTAATATAACCAGAGAAATTATAACATTAGGAGTGACATGAGGACGCTATAAATGGTATGAAAGAGCTCTCATTATGATTTTTGGCTGTTTTCTTATACCTTTCTTCCTACTGCTTAAGCATCTATAGACATTGAATGCTGAGCCTCACTGAGAGTAGTGTCAGTAAAAGACCTACTCACTCCTGCACTAAGAGTAAAAAGGAAATACAGAAATCCGAGGACTTGCCAGTCAGGTAATTTGATGCTTCTTTATAAGTTACCTTAAGATTACTTAAAATTGTGGTGCCAATAGCAATGAAACTTCTGTACTGGCACAAAGAAATGTCTAGTTCAGTGAATAAATGTTAATTTTCATTGTTAGCCACAAGATGCTTTAACATTAGAGCAATATGATCAGAATTAACTGCAAAACAATGTGAAGAAAACCAACCCATGGAAGCATTACTGACCAGGTGCCACATTTGAGCTGCCCTGAGATTTCAGCTGTGAAGATGGCAGCACACCCTGGGGTGTGTTGGTTCTGCTGTCATCCAAGCCCAGAGACAAGTCCTTCCTGGGGGCTTTAATTGTGGAAACATCATCAGTCATGCCCATCTGCTTCTGTCTTCTTCGCTTTTTACTCCATAACTCATGACAATCTTGCCATAAAGGGAGACTGAAAAAAAAAAAGGAATTAAATTGTAAATGGCATTTCTTAACAAAAAATGCTACAGTTACTATATAGCAACAAAGTTATGCCCCCACCCCAAATAGTTCTTGAAGACTTCATAGAATGGCTCTGTAAAACTCTTCCAATAAAAATCATCCTTATTGTCCCACTTCCTTCAGGGCTTGCTTTGCCTTTACAGATAATCTATTTTTCTTTGGCTTTTGAATAATCAATAAATAATCATTTATCAAAATTATGAATGAAGAATATATATTCATAAAAATAGGCTACTATGCTGGGCATGCCTGTAATCCCAGCACTTTGGGAGGCCGACATAGGTGGATCATCTGAGGTCAGGAGTTTGAGATCAGCCTGGCCAACATGGCAAAACCCCGTTTCTACTAAAAATACAAAAATTAGCCAGGCGTGGTGGCGGGCACCTGTAATCCCAGCTACTCAGGAGGCTGAGGCAGGAGAATGGCATGAACCCGGGAGGTGGAGGTTGCGGTGAGCCGAGATTGCGCCACTGCACTCCAGCCTGGGTGACACAGCGAGACTCCGTCTCAAAAAAAAAAAAAAAAAAAACACCACTATTGCTGTTGGTGCAACCTTTCAAAGTCAGTTCTTATGATAGTACATCATACACTGAATAAGACATGAAAAAGAAGGCAGAAAAATATGCCATTTCCAGCCAGGCACAGTGGCTCACGCCTATAATCCCAGTGCTTAGGGAGGCCAAGACGGGAGGATTGCTTGAGCCCAGGAGTTCAAGACCAGCCTGGGCAACATGGCAAAACCCTGTCTTTGCCAAAAATACAAAAATTAGTTGGGCATGATGTTGTGCACTGCAGTCCCAGCTACTTGGGAGGCTGAAGTGGGAGAATAGCTTGAGCCCAGGTGGTGGTGGTTGCAGTGAGCTGAGATCATGTAACTGCACTCCAGCCTAGGCGACAGAACCAGGCCCTGTCACACAAAAAAGAAAAACATGCCATTTGCAGAAACCAGATATGGGATAAAAAAGTAGTAAAGGGCCAGGCGCAGCAGCTCATGCCTGTAATCCTGGCACTTTGGGAGGCTAAGGTGGGTGGATCACTTGAGCTCAGGAGTTCACCAGCATGGGCAACATGCTGAAACCCTGTCTCTATAAAAAAATTAGCCAGTCATGGTGGCACATGTCTGTAGTCCCAGCTACTCGGGAAGCTGAGGTGGGAGGATGGCTTCAGCCCAGGAGGCAGAGGCTGCAGAGAGCCAAGATCATGCCACTGCACTCTGGCCTGGGTGACAGAGCCAGACCCTATCTCAAAAAAAAAAAAAAAAAAAAAGAGTAAGGCTAGAACATAACATTTGTGAAGAACTTAACAGTAAAAGCTTACTTTTTACTAACTTGCTTGTCTATCCAAATGCTCTAGAATTAAACTGATGCTACAGACGAGTTTTCAAAATAGGTAATCCTGGCATAGAGCGGCTCATCATTTATCAACAGAGTTGCGAATAACAACTATCAAAACTGCCCACAATTCCTAGTCAATTCTATCTTAAAGTAACTTCATACAACTGATAACACTAGAGAATAACTTTTGCTTAAAGATACAAATATTTGGTTTATAAATGCTTTCTTCTTACCCTAATTAAGTATTTAATGGAACGTTACTGTTGTACCTATTTTAAAGATGAGAAACTTGAGGCTTAGAAAGGTGAATAAACTTGCCCAGAATATCTACAAATTCCCTTAAGCAACCCCACCTGGTAATATATACCTATAATCCTCAACCTGGATCTGTTTACCTCTAGGAGGTACCCGAAGACTCTCCAAGAGGGTACACCTGGAATTTTTTTAAAGGAATTTCCATATCCATATGTCTGCTTTCCTAAGACTGAGCTTTGAGGATGGCCTGCTTGTTTAAGCAAGTTCTTTTACATCTCCTCTTTCACAATTAGTCATGTTATAAAATAAAGGCAGATGCAATAATATGGTTGAATCTTAGCAATATTAGTTTAAAAAGTCATTCCCAAAATATTACAAACAGCATGACGCGCTTTTATAAAATTAACAACTAAAATTTTTAAAATATAACCTTTTATGAGTACATATAGATGGCAACAAAAAGTATATACAAAAGAAAACAGGGATGATGGTTACCTCAGGTGGAGGAAGGCAAGGGGATAGGTTGGTGGGGGTAGGGGTAATATGATTACAGTATGTTATTTTCAGCATTCTAGCTTTTGTTTGGTAGGTTCATGGCTGCTTATTAACATTATTAAAAATAACTAAAGTAACTAAAATAAATAAAAGAGAGCCATGCATGGACCAATGATGAGTGACACAAGGATTATGATTAAACCAAGTCTATGCACCTGAGGTCCAAAAACAAAACAAAGGCATACCTCTCAGCCATCTTACTATGATGCATTGCCTCAGCGTGTAAAAACCTCCTGGAGTAACAAACAAAGGGACAATTTGAAATATCGATATTGGGAAGCTTTCAGGCATCATAAACCCGCCAAAGAATTTCCTTTCTAAGTGTTTGTATGATATGATGTGGGTCTCAGTCTCTGTTGGGATACCTTAAATTCAGATATACTGTAGTACTGCACAGTGGGGTAACTGGAGTGATTCCACCTTTCTATCCTGAAGCTCAGGGAATGCATTGCTCTTGAAGGACAGCCCCATGAGAGCAAAGCAAAGTAATCCATTAAAAAGGGCTTTTGTTCCCTCCCACAATTTAAAAGTAAGAGATTATTTTCTTTCCTTTTTTTTTTTTTGAGATGGAATCTTGCTCTCGTGCTCTGTCACCCAGGCTGGAGTGCAGTGGTGCTATCCCGGCTCACTCCAACCTCCGCCTCCCAGGTTCAAGCAATTCTCCTGCCTCAGCCTCCCCAGTAGCTGGAATTACAGGCACATGCCACCATGCCTGGCTAATTTTCGTATTTTTAGTAGAGACGGGGTTTCCCCATGTTGACCAGGCTGGTCTTGAACTCCTGACCTCAGGTGATCTGCCAGTCTTGGCCTCCCAAAGTGCTGGGATTACAGGCATGAGCTACCGTACCTGGCCCCCTTAAAAGTAAGAGATTCTTTATGGATGATCTTAATACTCATCTCTAGGAAAGATAAATTTTACCCAAGAAATAGCTAAAATAGTACAGGTTACTGATGCTGATACTTTCAGATGGATCAGGAATGTCTTCCAGATAACCAAACTTTTATTTGCTTTCTTGAAGGTTCAAATGCCAGCTCAGTCACTTACTTGATGTGTCTTAGGCAAATAACTGGACCTCTGTGCCTCATTTTCCTTGTCTTTAAAAATGGGATTAACAATACTATCTACCTCATGGGGTAGTACTGTATGTTAACATGTGCAAGCTCTTCAGCAGTGCCTCTTACAAAGTAGGCAATGTATTAATTCATGTTTGACATCACTGATCATTTAATTCATAGTTTACAACTATTTCCATCAAATCATTATTGTGAAATATTCATTCTAATGGCAACTGATATTTTGTCTTATAAATGGCTTAATGCTTTTTACTTGCTGTTAAAGAAAGCTTACAGGCTGGCTGCTAGTCTAATTCACTTTCCAGCTATATATACTTTACGTTTGACAGGGCATCTAATACAATTAATGGAGTTATTTCTAACTTTTTTGTTTGTTTTTGAGACAGAGTTTCACTCTTGTCACCCAGGGTGGAGTGCAATGGTGTGATCTCAGCTCATTGCAACCTCTGCCTCCTGGATTCAAGCAATTCTTGTACCTCAGCCTCTCAAGTAGTTGGGATTACAGGCATGTGTCACCATACCCTGCTAATTTTGTATTTTTAGTAGAGATGGGGTTTCACCATGTTGGCCAGGATGGTATCAATCTCTTGACCTCGTGATCTGCCCACCTCGGCCTCCCAAACTGCTGTGATTACAGGTGTGAGCCACTGCGCCCGGCCTAATTTTTGTATTTTTACTAGAGACGGGGTTTCACCATGTTGGCCAGGCTGGTCTTGAACTCCCGGCCTCAAGTGATAGGTCCGCCTCGGCCTCCCAAAGTGCTGGAATTATAGGCATGAGCCACTGCCACCGTGCCCAGCCTATTTCCGATTTTTAAATACCCCATTCTCTCATTTGATTATTCCTAAAAAATTGATCAAAAGAGTTTGATACACCTTCCAACTTTCTAAAGGAATACCATGTATTTCTTCATAGTCCTTACCTCATAAGTAATGCATAATTTTAACTACTCATTATATCATATTGCAAAATAGTGAGAGATATTATATTATATTGTTTATAAAATGTTTTTATTTAAATATTGGATCAATCTGATACTCTTTACTTGATTGCTTTAGTAATGTATCTAACAAGATACATTCCATAATTTGTTACAGATAGCTTACAGAATGTTCCTTGAATGTGTTTTTAACATGTTTGTTTTTAATGAAAAAATGCAGTCAGGTGTGTTCTGATAAAATTAAGTCTGATTTAGGTGATTTGCTTTACAATAAGGACACAGTTTATGATTAGAATATAAGGTAGGCATTTCCCATAAATTGAGTGGGATAAACCTATAGTTCCAAGTTTTGGCAAAATACTTAAAAAACATAATTAAGAAACAATTTTAAAAATGGACTGGCAAAGTAGCACTGATATTACATGCTGATTTCCTAATCTTTTCTAGGTATACTGGATTAAATGTGCTGTGAAAAGAAACAGTAACAAGTACTAGAAAATGTCATTTCATAAGCATTGGTAAGACAACTGAAAAGGCAAATAATTACTAGACAAGAAATCCTTCTTTAGATCATGTGATCTCTAATTCTTCATCTTTTTTTTTTTTTTTTGTAAAGACAGGGTCTCCTTATGTTACCCAGGTAGGTCTCAAACTCCTGGCCTCAAGCAATCCTCCTGCGTTGGTTCCCAAAGTGCTGGGATTACAGGCATGAGTCACCATGCCCAGCCTCCAATTCTTTACTATCCAAAAAACTGAAGGAGAAAGAATCTTAACACCTAGAAGGTCATTAGAATCTTTTTTTTTTTTTTTTTTTGGAGACAGAGTCTCACTCTGTTGCCCAAGCTGGAGCGCAGTGGCGCGATCTCGGCTCACTGCAGCCTCCGTTTCCCAAGCTCAAGCAATTCTCGTGCCTCACCCTCTGGAGTAGCTGGGATTACAGGCGTGTGCCACCACGCCTGGCTAATTTTTTAGTATTTTTAGTAGAGATAGGATTTTACCATGTTGCCCAGATTGGTCTCAAACTCATGGGCTCAAGGGATCCACCTGCCTTGGCCTCTCAAAGTGCTGGGATTACAGGCATGAGCCACTGCACCCGGCCTAAAATAACTTTTTTTTTTTTTTTTTTTGAGGCAGAGTCTTGCTCTGTCACCCAGGCTGGAGTGCAGCGGCAAGATCTTGGCTCACTGCAATCTCCACCTCCCAGGCTCAAGTGACTCTCCTGCCTCAGCCTTCTGAGTAGCTGGGATTACAGGCACACGCCACCATGCCCAGCTAATTTTTGTATTTTTAGTACAGCTAGGGTTTCGCCATGTCGGCCAGGTTGATCTCAAACTGCTGGCATCAAGTGATCCTCCTGCAGTGCTGAGATTACAGGCATGAGCCATTGTGCCCGTCCTTTAAATCTTTTTTTTTTTTTTTTTTTTTTTTTTTGGAAATGGAGTCTCACTCTGTCGCCCAGACTGGAGTGCAGTGGCGCCATCTTGGCTCACTACAACCTCTGCCTCCCAGGTTCAAGCAGTTCTCTGCCTCAGCCTCCCGAGTAGCCGGGATTACAGGCACCCGCCACCACACCTGGCTAATTTTTGCATTTTTAGTAGAGACAGGATTTCACCATCCTGGCCAGGCTGGTCTTGAACTCCTGGCCTTGTGATCTATCCGCCTTGGCCTCCCAAAGTGCTGGGATTACAGGCGTGAGCCACTGCGCCCAGCCTAAAATCATTTTTGATGAAAGGCTTTTCACACATAATGTCGAAGGAGTTCCAAGAACTCAGTGATATAACTATGACAAAACTCCTTACATTCTCAAATGCTAATTTACAAGCATACTTATAGAACTAAAAAATAAAATTGGAATTCATATGGAAATATGTCTCATTCTAGAATAAGCAATATTAATCAACAGATATGCAAACTACTTGGGAAAAAAATCTCAGCCCTCTCTTTCATTAGGTTGTACTTCCAACAAAATTTACTAATTTTTTCTTTATTTAAAATGGAAATATTTGGGCTGGGCACGGTGGCTCACACCTGTAATCCCAGCACTTTGGGAGGCCAAGGCAGGCGGATCACCTGAGGTCTGGAGTTCGAGACCAGCCTGACCAACATGGAGAAACCCTGTCTCTACTAAAAATACAAAATTAGCCGGGCGTGGTAGCGCATGCCTGTAATCCCAGGTACTCAGGAGGCTGAGGCAACAAGAGTAAAACTCCATCAATCAATCAATAAATAAATAAGGAAATATTCATTACTGATATTTACAATGACAATTTAATCAAGAAAAGAGCTTTTAGTCACAGGAAACGTGAAATTTAATTTCCATTTATATACATGTATTTGTTTTTTAAAATATATGATACAGTAATCAATAAAATACTTTCTAGCATAAATACTTTACATTAGAATAAAAGCCTACGGGAGTAACATAAGTTCAAGATGAAAATGGAACAACGTACAACTGCTCAACATTTTCCAAATGACTATTGGTGGTGGATATCAAAATGCTATGATAGTTGCTTTCCACTTGATATATTTACAAGAGTGATATAATTGCTCTACTTAAAAATGTCAGCATTTACTATGTTGACATTTTTAAGTACAGTGGTTACATCTCTTGGTCAAAGTTACCATTACCAATAATAATGGTACAAAGTAACATTATGTTCTCTTGAACATAATTATCACAGAGCAGGATCACCATCAACATTACATTCTTGCCCCCCAAACTCTTAATCTAATTCTGATAAAAAGAAGGCAATCAAATCCAAATTGTGAAATATTTTACCAAAGAGCTAGCTTGGAATCTTAAAAAATGTTGAATGTCAAAAGATCTCTTCCCTAGAGAGTGATTAAAGATGAAAAGGACATAACAAATAAACAGAATGCTGAACTTTGAAAAATTCTTTATCTTAAAAAAAAAAGTCTATAAGAGAAATTATTGGGTCAACTGGGGAAATCTGAATGTGGATTGACCATTAAATATTCTCATGTTAAATTTCATATGCTTTATATGGTATGCATGTAGAATAAAGTCCTAGTTCTTACAGATATGATTACATATTTATAAGTGTCACCTCCACAACATGATATCCAACTAGTTCAGGAAAAAAGTAGACAGTGATAAAGCAAATGTGTCCAACTATTATTAACTGTTGAATCTAGGTAAAGGATATACATGAATACTCTTTGTACTATTCTTCCTATTTTTCTATAGAGTTGAAATTTTTCCAAATCAGAAGTTTAAAAAATGTTATTTGAAGGGGTACTGAGCCCAAGTTTTAAGATTACTGATACACACTAAGAAAAAAGCAAACATGAAACAATAATTCAACAGTGAAAAATTCAGGTCCCTCATGATGTCAGGTAATAGATCCTTTTTGGCTCCCAAATCATCCCATAAAGGCCAACCATGTACAGCTCAATAAAAGCTTACTGAAGCTGAATATGACAGCCTCATAGAAATATAATAAGCACTATCTAACTGATAAGCAGAAGAACCAGGATTTGAACTCCAGAGCCCATGTCTGTTCATTTAAAATATGCTATTTTTATTACATGGAAACATTTTATTATTATAGATAATAGGCTTGCTTTTAATGATGCTCCTTATCATTTTAAAAATTATTAAGAAAAGGCTGGGCGTGGTGGCTCAAATCTGTAATCCTAGCAGTTTAGGAGGCCAAGGTGGGTGGATCACCTGAGGTCAAGAGTTCAAGACCAGCCTGGCCAACATGGTGAAATCCCATCTCTACTAAAAATACAAAAATTAGCCAGATGTGGTGGTGCATGCCTGTAATCCCAGCTACTCGGGAGGCTGAAGCAGGAGAATCACTTGAACCTGAGACGCAGAGGTTGTAGTGAGCTGAGATCGTGCCACTGCACCCCAGCCTGGGAGACAGAGTGAGACTTTGTCTCAAGACAAAAAAATAAAATAAAAATTACTAAGAAAATACCTACAAGGTTTCTAGATCCTGTCAAGGAATGCAAATGAACGTTTTCCTTCCCCCCTACTCCCCAAATCAATCCTAGAGAAATAACAGGAGCCATTTGAAGTTACAGGTTCAAGAGAAGCCAGCTATTTTGACTCCCAAACTCTATATATTTCCCCCATCAGACAATAATTCCTTCTATACAGGCTTCTGATACTAACATTCTTTTCATTCAATGATAAGAAATTTATATTGTATACTATGCTATAAAGTATTTTCAGAACCTCTCTTACTTATTGGACTAATGTGAATTTGAGAGCTGGCTGTACCCTTTACTAGATTTGTATTCTTGGGCAAGTTTCTTAACCTCTCTGAGCCTGCTTCCTCCTCTGTGAAGTGGTGATGATAATAATACTAATACCTACCTTATAAGGTTATAAAGATTAATGTAATAAATGAAAAATGCTTAGCATGGCACTCAAAATTATGGCTATAGCTGTACCAGTAGTAGTGTTAAGTATTTAGTAGAAGTAGTATTAGAATAGCAACAGCAGTAATATTTTTTTTTTTTTGAGACGGAGTCTTGCTCTTGTCACCCAGGCTGGAGTGCAATGCCATGATCTTGGCTCACTGCAACCTCCGCCTCGCGGGTTCAAGCGATTCTCCTGCCTCAGCCTCCCAAGTAGCTGGGATTACAGGCGCCTGCCACCACGTCTGGCTAATTTTTGTAATTTTAGTAGAGACGGGGTTTTGCCATGTTGGCCAGACTGGTCTCAAACTCCTGACCTCATGATCCGCCCACCTCGGCCTCCCAAAGTGCTGGGATTATAGGCGTGAGCCACCGCGCCCGGCAGCAGTAATATTTTCTTAGAGTTGAAATATATTATTAAATCTTGAGGTCAATCAAGCCTAAAATTAGCTAGAAGGCAGCTGTTTTTGCTAGCCCTATGGGTAAACATTAAGCAAGCATCTATATCCCAGATGTGCAAATTATGTGTATTACTGCTGTTTTATCTTTCCTTTATTATATTTTTCTCATAACCAGACATGAAATATCTTATTATATATGTTATTAAAACTGTTTTAATATAATAAATATAATAATAATATATAATAATAATAGGATAAAAAGTCACTTACTCTGGTGGAGGCATTTTTGAGGGTTCCACATCTCGGAGGAACTCGCACTGAAGAGCCTGTTCAGCAGTGCAGCGCTTACTAGGATCCAAGGCAAGCATGTAATCAAATAAGTCTAGCGCAGCTGCAGGAATACTAGCATGAGAGGATTACAAAAGTTAGATGTGTTCTTTAGACACAAGCTTATGTTTCTTTAGGAGCTTAAATTATTTTTAATTAAATTTTAAAACTAAAACTAAGATCATTTAAAAATAATTGTAAATACTTTTTTAATATGTGCATAATACTTTACTTCAATAAATCCGAATTTTCCTTTGAATAAATATTTCATTTTTACATAATTTTTGTAACCACTTTCTAAACAATAGTATATATTGTTACTTATCGGTAATTTGCTGTTATTATACAAATTAAGAACTGAACAGTATAGTTTTTTCTAAAGCAAAATGAAAACTTGAGCTCAAGTAACTTGAAAGCTGTTCCAGTAACATTTAAATGATCTTATTAAAGTTCTTTCACGTAAGCACCAAACCAAACACACAATCTCAAATCACTGATTCCATAATAATGGTAAAATGGTAATCTGCATGTAGCAAACAGAACTCAAAATTAAATGCCCTAGAAGAATTATAGGTTTACCTCAGATCACTAGAGAATAGACTAACATTTATAATTCACTAGAATTAAAGTAAAACATTCATGCAATAAGGATGTTTACACATCCCCTTCTTACAAAACAAATTCTTCTCTTAACTTTCGACGATATTGCTTCTTTGGTTTCATGGTGTTGAAATATGGTAGTTTGATTACATCAGGCCACACTGCAGGACATGGACTCCCACATATTCGGCTAAGCAACACACAAAAGGAAGTACATCACTATCAACTACATAAAGAATACATACAACTGTTATACAAAACATCAACTCATTTTTAAATACACAAAAATTGAAGCCTTGGTCTATAAAAACTTTTGTTATTTTATTCTTTCTTTTTTTTGAGACAGAGTCTCACTCTGTCACCCAGGCTGGAGTACAGTGGCACAATCTCAGCTCACTGCAATCTCTGCCTCCTGGGTTCAAGTGATTCTCCTGCCTCAGCCTCCTGAGTAGCTGGGATTATAGGCATGCGCCACCACGGCCCAGCTAGTTTTTGTATTTTTAGTAGAGACAGGATTTCCCCATGTTGGCCAGGCTGGTCTTGAACCCCTGTTCTCAAGTGATCCACCTGCCTAGGCCTCCCAAAGTGCTGGAATTACAGGCATGAGCCACCACGCCCGGCCCTCGTTAAATATTTTAGTCATCCGAATTTAATTATTTAAGAAATTAATTTATTTTCAGTGGATACTTTTAACAATCCAAGCATTCCAATTCTTAGAGGACTTTCATTATTTGCAAAATGAAATCTTAAAACATGATGACACTCAAAATATGTGACTTACACCTTAAAACCAACATAAAAAATTTATGCCCATAAATTAAGGAACTAGAGTTGAATATATGTCCCTCTCTGGTTTTTTGGTACCTGTCACTCCTCCTTCCCATGAATATAAGGCAGTCTACAATAATAGCAGAAACGGATTTCTATATGACCTCAGGAAGGTAACTGTAGTGTAAAGACTACTGCTAACTGCCATCAATGGAAGGACCCTAAACATAACACTCTTGAAACATTAAAGTTCTTCAATTTAAGTAGTGCTGCTGATCTTAAGTCATAAAGAAATTTTAACTGCTTTACTCTCGTTTATCTGTATCTTGAAAATCCTCATTATTTTAGCATTAACTAGTAAATCCTTGTTATGGTAATTTGTAGAAGAAATGCTATAACAAATAGGCAACTCCAGCTGGTAAACATTTAAAAACTAACTGATTTAGTAATAGGTAGATGAAAATTTGCTTAAATCTACTTATTTTTAGTATACCAAATTTCAAGGATGTTTATTATATATAAAATTGTCAGCTGGTCTGCATATGTAAAAAGAAAACGTTGATGTATCACTGATTAAAAGTAAAAATATTCCAAACATACGTAAATACAAATGCATGTATAAATGTATATGAACAAGTAATGGCTCAAGTTGCCAGACATTTTTTTAGCTGAGCTTTAGAATGATACCTCAGAAACACATATTTATAGGAGACCTTTTATGTTTTTAAAGCCGTATGTCACTGAAATGTACTTTTTTGTCTCAATATATTTAGCATTTTTATAAACCCAAGCTTTAAAGATACTAAGAACTTATTCTTTACATAGTTCTACTCTCTTTTGTCTTAAAGTCCAATTTTCACAACCTCCTCAACCCTACTCCCTTGAAAAGAAAGCCCAACTCCTGTAGCATGGGCTCTCTAGATCTGGTCCCAATCTGCCTTCCTAGTCTCATTTCCCAATGCATCTCTCCCCACAGGCCACTCCTTCATGTCTATGCTAATGCTCCTTCTCCCTAAATTCTATATAGCTGAATTATTTTCACTTCTCAAGATTCAGATCAAAAGTAATCTAATTAATAAAAGTCTTCTGTATTCTCCAATGCTACTCAGAATTACTCCTTGCATGCTACTGGTTTGACATTTCTTTCATCCTGCTCTGTATTTTAGTTGTTTACAGGTCTCTTTTCTATTTCTTGTTTTTGTATACTTTTCCAAGAAACCATGTAAACACAATTAATCAACCCCAGGCAGACTGTTGTGCACTATAATAGAAGTATAAAGCATACTGGAATCCAGGAAGGCAAAGATACTTTCAAGATGCAGAAATACAAGAAAACTTAAGTTAGGGAAAGAGTGAAGAATTTTGGTTATAATTCCAAGGATAAGTAAACCATAGACAGGTGGGAAATGGAATAAGATAAATTATGTTACCAGAAGAGAGAACACAGGCAAAGGCATGGAAGTAGCAAAGTATAGACATTTGGGAGGAACACTATGTAAATCAGTGTAGGGGGAATACAGGGCTCAGGGAGGCTCAGCTGGAAGCATAACCTGGGTCTAGATAATACTGCGGTAGGTTTGTCTGTAGACAGGTTTTTGCTATGTTGCCCAGGCTGGTCTTGAACGCCTGGCTTCAAGTGATCCTCCCACCTCAGTCTCCTAAAGTGTTGGGATTACAAGCATGGGCCGCTGCACCCAGTCCACAATACAGTTCTAAGGTACTTTGCCTATGTATAATGAAGACAGAATTTAAAAGCAAGTTTTATATTTGACTCTTGTCTGACATCGGTCAAATTACATTGCTTAGGAATCTGCTCCTCTTTTGGAAACTTAAGATTAATTTTATTTTGAAGCTACGAAATTAAATGAGCTAGCATCTGGCCCATTAATAGTCTTATAATAAACAACAGTTTCATTATACTAAAATTTTATTTCAATAAAATTTTATTTTATTGAAATTTTATTTCAATAAAAATTTCAATTATTTTATCATATGTGATGTTGAAAGATATCTGAGTACCGAATTTATCTAACTGAAAGCAGGATACACAATGGAATACACATACCGATGCAAGGAAAGTTCCTAGAAACTAGAGAGGTAGACATGACAGCAACTGATAACTGCATTTACAAAATCTGTGCCTGGTGGCCAGTCAACTACTCCCAACACCATTTACTACTGAGATGCATCATACACTAAGGTATATGCTAAATCCCCAATTACCTGAGGTATACTTTGGGAATCTATCGTGATTCCATCAATCTACTCTGGTGTCAATACCATATTGTGCTTTTAATATTCCTTGAAAGTCTGATAGGACAAATCTCCTATCCACCTCTTTACTTATTCTCCTCAAAATTTTATTACACATGAATTATAATCAATACTATAACACTCCAAAAGAGAATCCTGCTAGGATTCAACCGCCACTCTAAATTTATAGATTTAGAACCAACTACTGCCTTTACAATGCTTAATATTTCTATCTTAGAATTAGTGTTTCTATTTCTTTCCTTTATTTATTTATTTATCTATTTTCAGTGAGATTTTGTGTATTTCCTTTACGGGCTTTTTGTTTTTTAAATATTTTGTTTTTTTTTTTAAATAGACACAGGGTTCCACTGCTACCCCAGGCTGGAGGTCAGTGATGCAATCATAGCTCCCTGAAGCCTCGACCTCCCGGTCTCAAATGATCCTCCTGCCTCAGCTTACCAGCTGAGACTACAGGAATATGCCACTACATCCATCTAATTTGAGACCCAAGCTGGCCTCAAACTCCTAGCCTCAAGTGATCCTCCTGCCTCAGTCTATCAAAGTATTGGGATTACAGGCATAAGCCACTGAGCCCAGCCTTAAACATGTTTTTAGCCCATTATATTTACTTTCTTTTTTTTTTTTTTTTTTGAGATGGTGTCTTGCTCTGTCGCCCAGGCTGGAGTGCAGTGGCACCATCTCGGCTCACTGCAAGCTCCACCTCCCAGGTTCATGCCATTCTCCTGCCTCAGCCTCCCACGTAGCTGGGACTACAAGCACCTGCCACCACACCCGGCTAATTTTTTTGTATTTTTAGTAGAGACAGGGTTTCACTGTGTTAGCCAGGATGGTCTCGATCTCCTGACCTAGTGATCCGCCCACCTCGGCCTCCCAAAGTGCTGGGATTATGGGCGTGAGCCACCGCACCTGGCCCATGCCCATTATATTTTCTAAGCAATTAATTAGAAAAGCTTGGCCAGGCATGATGGCTCATGCCTCTAATCACAGCACTTTGGAAGGCCGATGCAGGTGGATTGCTTGAGCAGGAGTTTGAGACTAGGCTCGGCAAGATGGGGAAACCCTGTCTCTACTAAAAACACAAAAATTAGCTGGGCATGGTGGCGCACACCTGTAATCCCAGCTACTTGGGAGGCTGAGGCAGAGAATCACTTGAACCTGGGAGGTGGAGGTTGCAGTGAGCTGAGATCAGGCCACTGCACTCCAGCCTGGATGACAGACAGCAAGACTTTATCTTAAAAAAAAAAAAAAAAGGAAAAAAAGAAAGGCCAGGCACGGTTGCTCACGCCTGTAATCCCAGCACTTTAGGAGGCTGAGGTGGGCAGATCACAAGGTCGCGATATCAAGGCCATCCTGGCCAACATGGTGAAACCCCGTCTCTACTAAAAATACAAAAATTAGCTGGGCATGGTGGCGTGCGCCTCTAGTCCCAGTTACTCAGGAGGCTGAGGCAGGAGACTCACTTGAACCTGGGAGGCAGAGGTTGCAGTGAGCCGAGATTGCGCCACTGCACTCCAGCCTGGCAACACAGCGAGGCTCTGTCTCAAATAAAAAAAAAAAAGAAAGAAAGAAAAAGAAAAAGAAAGAAAAAGAAAAAGAAAGAAAAGCTTTATTACAGGAAAGGTTTCAAATTTTATTTATTTATTTATTTTTGAGACAAGGTCTCACTGTCACCCAGGCTGGAGTGCAGGGGTGCAAACAAGGCTCAGTGCAACCTTGACCTACTGGACTCCAGCAATCCTCCCATCTCAGCCTCCCAAAGTGCTAGCATTACAGGTGTCAGTCATCATTCCTGGCCACAAACAAAAATTTAATAATATGTAGCCATCTGAGATCGTAGGGTTCCTACCAGTTTTAGCAGTTGTTTCTTTGAGGTATTCCAGGTATATAAATCATATAACCCATGTTAGAATTCATCTATATTTTTTTCAAATGTATCTTTATCACTGTGGTATGTTACATTATGTGGCAATTACTAAACAATGTTAAAATGATAATGACAGTACACAATATTGGGTAACTTTATTTTCTGATTTTAATGGGAGCACATTCATTGTTTAGCCCTGGGAAGAATGATGCCTTTGGGTTTGAAAAACACATAACAGAAATATACTCACATATACACATACAAATTCACACATATTTCCTGTTAAGGAAGCATTCATTTATTCCTCTCTACTATGGATTTTAATTTTTGTGGCTTTTATATTCTAAGAGTGCTTTAGTTTTATCAGTTTTGATTTTTTAGAACTTCTATAACCATCATCATCTGCATTTTCTCCCCAGGCTACTTAATGTGAATTTTATCAACAGACTTCCTAATACATATTCATCATTATATTCAAAGGAAGAATACCATCCAAGCCTAATAAAAGTACTATTATTTCAATGTAATGCTGTATTTTCCACTTGTTAAGTTAGATGTTGTACATCAGTATTCGTATGTAAGACTGATATACAGCAACAGTTTTCACAAGTGGGGTCCAAGGACCACTGAGCGTCCCCTAGACACTTCAAGGTCTGGCAGGTCAAAGCTATTACTAAGCCATTATTTGCCTTTTTCCATGTGTTGATTTGCACTAATGGTACAAAACCAGTGGTAAAACTACCAGCACCTTAACATGATTCAACTCAGTGGCAACAAACTATATTAACAGGATGTAGTCTTCATTATCATGCAAATTTCAGGGTGGGGAGAAAAGCCAGTTTCACTTAAGAATGTACTTGTTAAGTGAGGTGCAGTGGCTCATGCCTGTAACTCCAGCACTTGGGAGGCCAAGGTGGGCGGATCACCTGAGGTCATGAGTTCGAGACCAACCTGGCCAACATGGCAAAACCCTGTCTCTACTGAAAATACAAAAATTAGCCGGGTGTGGTGGTGCGCACCTGTAGTCCCAGCTACTCAGGAGGCTGAGGCATGAGAATTGCTTGAACCCGGGAGGCAGAGGTTGCAGTGAGCTGAGATTATACCACTGCCCTCCAGCTTGGGTGACAGAACCAGACTCTCTCAAAAAAAGAATGTACTTGTTGAAGCAGTACAAATTGTTAATGGCATTTAATTCTGATATTTGAGTATGTATCTTTTTAATATTCTCTGCGATGAAATGGGAAATACTCATAAGCACTTCTACTGTACAACAAAATATGATAGTTATCTTGAGAAGATGTGCAATGATTTGACTTGCGAACTGAGGCAGCTGCTTTTTTCATGGACCACTATTTTTACCGGCAAAGAAAACTAACAAACTACAGTCATCCAAACTTGGGTATTTTCCAGACATTTTCTCAAATAGGAACAAAGTCAGCTTGTCACTTGAAGGAAAACAACAGTATTTATTGTCAATTATAAAATTGGAACTTTCCAGAGAAATTAGAATATTAGAAAACTTATATCCTCCACCGTGAGCTTAACAGTTTCAAAATACTGAAAAGCTTTTCTGATGAGATCAGTGGTGGTACAAATTATATAACATAAAACATTACATTTGGAAGATCTGTTCAGTGAAGCAGCATTTTTCAAATGACCAATGCATAATATCACAAAATCATCACAGATAAAAGATCCATTCAAAGTGTAAGACAGAACAATGGATTTCAATATAGTACACTATAAAATATTCCTTCATATGGTTTCAGATTACACATTACAACCTGTAAAAAACTAGCAATCATCTAATTTTTGTGGTTTCTAAGAAGAATATGCACCATTATCCAAAAAGGCTATTGAAAACAGCACATCACAGATATGAGGATCCAAGTGTCATGTCTATTAAACCAGACAGATCTGCCATTCCAACAACTTTTATTTTAGAAACTATAGACGTTATAGACTTTAAAACATGTTAACATTATTATGTTAAAATGAATTCATAAATATCTTTAATTTCTAATACGGTAAATCTCAGTAGATACAAAAACTCCCGGGATCTTTAATAATTTGAGCATAAAGAAGTTATGAAACCAAAAAGTTTGAGAAGCACAACTCTACAGAATATTTTATGCCATCAGTTTATGAAGGTATACATGATTCATTTCTTTCAATATGGGAAGCTTCCCTCTTTTCCTATCTTCTGGTACAACCAAAATCTAATTCCTTTAAAGTTTAAAAAATTTCACCTGTGTAAACCACCTAGGCCTGAGGGTTTGTGTGTACTGGGTGAGGTGGCAGATAGAGAAAAGGATTCATTTAATTCTAATCTACTTTCAATTTCTTCACTGATTATAATCCTTTTTATCTCATAAGCAATGTACATTGTGTGATATAAAGGCTCTTCAGCTGACTGCTAGAAGGCTTAGGGTAATGTGATCCTCATGTTTAAAAACAATTAAATATATATATATATATATGGCCACACAGAGCTTTCTGCCTTCATTCATCCCATTTTGTCCCAATGTGTGTTTTCCATTCTCTTCCTCCATCACTTTTTGTTTTGTTTTGTTTTTTGAGACACAGTCTCGCTCTGTTGCCCAGGCTGGAGTGCAGTGGCACGATCTTGGCTCACTGCAGCCTCCACCTTCCAGGTTCAAGCGATTCTCCTGCCTCAGCCTTCCCAGCGGCTGGGATTACAGGTGCTAGCTACCACGCCCGCTAATTCTGTATTTTTGTAGAGATGGGGTTTCACCATGGTGGCCAGGCTGGTCTCAAACTCCTGACTTCAAGTAAACCACCGGCCTTAGCCTCCCAAAGTACTGGGATTACAGGCGTGAGTCATTGTGCCCTCTATCACTTTTTTTTTTTTTTTTTTTTTTGGGATGGAGTCTTGCTGTTGCCCAGGCTGGAGTGCAGTGGCACAATCTCCGCTTACTGCAACCTCCACCTCCCAGGTTCAAGCAGTTCTCCTGCCTCAGACTCCCAAGTACCTGGGATTACAGGTGTGTGCCACCACACTCAGCTAATTGTTTTTTTATTTATTTTTGAGATGGAGTGTCGCTCTCTTGCCCAGGCTGGAGTGCAGTGGCGCCATCTCGGCTGACTGCAAGCTCTGCCTCCTGGGTTCATGCCATTCTCCTGCCTCAGCCTCCTGAGTAGCTGGGACTACAGGTGCCCGCCGCCATGCCCGGCTTTTTTTTTTTTTTTTTTTTTTTTTTTGTAGTTTTGGTAGAGACGGGGTTTCACCGTGTTAGCCCGGATGGTCTTGATCTCCTGACCTCATGACCTCATGACCTGTCCGCCTCGGCCTCCCAAAGTGCTAGGATTACAGGCATGAGCCACTGTGCCCGGCTTGTTTTGTATTTTAGCAGAGACGGGGTTTCACTATGTTGGCCAGGCTGGTCTCAAACTGCTGACCTCAGATGATCTACCTGCCTCGGCCTCCCGAAGTGCTGGGATTATAGGTATGAGCCACCGTGCCCGGCCTCCCTCCATCACTTTTTAATCTATGCTACTTCTATTATAAAATATTTGTAATCTGCCTAAAATACTTTCTGGAACAAAGCAAATTATAAATAAAATAACTCATTCACTATGGTGTAAAGCCATTTAAAGCAAATTAGTGTTATCACTCTTGATCAGTTTTACATGTATCTGTACTATACTGACACTAGGTCTCATCATTCCTGAGCCTATAAACAACCTAGCATTACTGTAAATAAGGTGAGGGAAGAAATATGTACTGAAAACTTATTTACATTTAATTCTCACAACCCTAAGCATGTTATCAGTCCTCTTTTACTTTTGAAGAAAAAAACTTAAGAGCATATGGGACCCTAAACCATAAGCGCAGGAAGTAGCTGAGCTGGCATTAGAACCCAACCCTGTAAGATTCTAAAGGCCACACACTTTTCGGTATACTCCGTTGCCTCATTATAGTCAGATTTGTTTATCAGAAACTTCATTTTCTTCATGTCTGAAAAGAAATTAATGCTATGAAATCAAAATTGAAGCATCTTTTTATGTTTTGTTGTTTTATTTCTGTTTTTTTGAGACAAGGTCTCGCTCTGCTGCCCAGACTAAAGGGCAGTGGTGCAATCACAGTTCACTGTAGCCTCGACCTCCCTTGGGTTCGGGTGATCCTTGTACCGCAGCCTCCCAATAGCTCAGGCTATAGGTGTGTGCTACCACACCCACCTAATTTTTGTATTTTTTGTAGAGACGGGGTTTGGCCACGTTGCCCAGGCTGGTCTCAAACTCCTGGGCTCTAGTGATCCACCTGCCTTGGCCTTCCAAAGTGCTGAGATTACAGGTGTGAGCCACTGTGCCCGGTCAATCTCTTTATAAAATTATAAGTATCTTAACAAAATAAAAACATGCTGAAATATATAAACTAGAAAATGAAAATTTCTCCTCCCTAGTCTTCTTGAAAGTCCATGTTCAGATTAACAATTTGAGTCTTTTGTTTTACCTAAATGAGATCAATCTCAATATAGCCTTCTGTAACTATTCATGCTGCTTTTCCATTTCTTTATCTCCAAATCAACTGTTTCCTTTTTTTTTTTTTTTTTTTTTTTTCTGAGACATAGTCTCACTCTGTCACCCAGGCTGGAGTGCAGTGGCACAATCTCGACTCACTGCAACCTCTGCCTCCCAGGTTCAAGCTACCTGAGGCAGGATGTTCCTGCCTCAGCCTTCCAAGTAGCTGGGATTACAGGCACACACCACTGCGCCCAGGTAATTTTTGTATTTTTAGTAGAGACAGGGATTCACCATGTTGGCAAGGCTGGTCCTGAACTCGACCTCAAGTGATCCGCCCGCCTTGGCCTCCCAAAGTGTTGGGACTAGAGGCGTGAGCCATTGTGCCTGACCAACTATTTCCTTCTTAGTAACAGTACAGCATGCTATAAAATGGATAAACCAAGCTTTCCCCCCATATGGTTCACTGAGAACATATTCCTAAAAAAAAAAAACCAAATATGCCTCAGAGTCTTTATTACTTTGCCATTTCTTCATTCAGATCTCTGCTCAAATGTCACTTAAAGGGAGATACCTTTCTTGACCCTCTGTATCATCTTAGCTCCCATCATTTTTCTGCAGGTTAACTTTGTGATAAAAAGCTGGATACTATTTGCTAGTACCTCCCTTAGAATTCTTGGATTAATATCTTATACAATTTTTCTTTTTTTTTTTTTTTGAGACAGTCTCAATCGCCCAGGCTGGAGCGCGGCAGAGCAATCTCGGCTCACTGCAACCTCCGCCTTCTGGGTTCAAGCAATTATTGTGTTTCAGCCTCCTGAGGAGCTGGGACTACAGGCGCCTACCACCACGCCCGGTTAGTTTTTGTATTTTTAGTAGAGATAGGGTTTCGCCATGCTGGCCGGGCTGGTCTCAAACTCCTGACCTCAAGTGATCCACCCGCCTCAGCCTCCCAAAGTGCTGGGATTACAGGCATGAGCCACCATGCCCAGCCTAATTTTTATATTTTTAGTAGATATGGGGGATGGGGGCGTTCACCATGTTGGCCAGGCATGGTTTCAGACTCCTGGCCTCAAGTGACCCTCCCACCTCGGCCTCCCAAAGTGCTGGGATTACAGGCATGAGCCACCGTTCCCGGCCTAATATCTTATAAAATTTTTCATGTTGTCTTTGTCAAGTACCGATATGTGTGTCATATTGATTTTGTAAAAGAAAAGATTCCAGGTAGTTTTATTTCCTATGTAGTTTATTTATTTATTTTTTGAGACCAATTCTCACTCTGTCACCCAGGCTGTAGTGGAGTGGTGCGATCTTGGCTGACTGCAACCTCTGCCTCCCAGGTTCAAGCAATTCTCATGCCTCAGCCTCCCAAGGAGCTGGGATTGCAGGTGTGTGCTACCATGCCCGGCTAATTTTTGTTTTTAGTATATACGGGGTTTTGTCATGTTGCCTAGTCTGGTCTTGAACTCCTGGGCTCAAGTGATCCACCCGTCTTGGCCTCCCAAAGTGCTGCGATTACAGGCGTGAGCCACCGCACCCAGCCTGTACTTTGGAGTAATGGTTAAAAGTTTAGATCCTAAGGTAACACCTAGCAGTGTTTAAATCTCAATTTTGCCACTTGCTAGTTTTATGACCCTGGACGAATTCTTCACCTCTCTAAGGTTCAGTTTTCTTAACTATAAAGAGAAGACATAGGGTTGTTACGAAGCTTAACTGAGATAATTCAAGTGAAACTCTTCGAATAATGCTGATATTGTATATGAACTAAATAGATGTTAACTATCTTTAATAGAAGCCCTAGTTTCCAATACAATCAGGACCAAGAGTTGGCTGGTTGGGTTTAACAAAAAAAAAATGGGTTAGAAGGAATCGTTTAAAAAAAAAAGGTTAGAAGGAATCGTTTAAAAAAAAAGATACACAGATATATAATTTAAACATTTTATTTTAACTGAAAGTTTATAAATGTACATTTGTTTTCCCATCTTCTGACAAAGGCCAAGGCTTTCTCTTTAAACAGAGGATTCACTGAATGGAATTCTGTATTAGCTCTCTTGTACAAACCACACCCATAACACATCATCAAGGATTTTTAGTTTTGATTTCTTTAAATAAATCTAGAAATTAAAAACACTTTCAAAGCAATCTAATACCACATCTTGGATTTTTATAACTTTTCTAACTTACACAATTACTTGTCCATCCCTAATTAGACAGCAATGTCTTAAAGTTTTTGTAAAGCACTGTATCTACGCTTAAACTATGTAATTATAATAATAAAAAGCATAAAAATTGAAAACTAACAACTACCTCCTGTTCAGCATACTCTTCAACTGGTGGGATAAATACATAGTCTTACTAGAAAGTGACAGCCTACTAGCTACAAGCATTCAGCTTGCCATGTTATCAAGCCAGTTTTTCTTTACAGAGGGAATGAAGAGCATCAATTAATCTAATAAGACTCTTCAAGAGAAGACTGAATAAGAAAGCTTGTACTGAATTATTCTTATGTTCTGGAATAGTTTAAAGAACATTACAAGTACTGGTTTCTAAAAGATGTGTAATAATTTATCAAAGAAAATAATGGGGCTGGTTTTTTATTTTGGAGACATGGTCTCACTCTGTCAACCAGGCTGGAATGCGGTGGTGTCATTAGCTCACTGCAGTCTCGACTTCCTGGGCTCAAGTAATCCTCTCACCTCAGCTTCACGAGTAGTACGGACCACATGCTCACCCTCCAATGACTAGCTAATTTGTTGTTGTTGTTTTTGTTTGTTTGTTTTAATTTGTAGAGACAAGTTCTCACTATATTGCTCAGGCTGGTCTAAAACTCCTGGGCTCGAGTGATCCTGCCTCGGCCTCCCAAATGCGGAGATTACAGGCATGAGCCACCGCATTCAGTCTTTTAATTTCTTTATACTCTCTTTTCATATGAAGTTAAACTAGTAGACTAATTTATATTGCATATATGTGTGAATAAACCCAAGACCAGATCATAGGTTTCTTCATAAATTTTACATTTTATGTATTATAATTCATTTTTATTTCCTGGGTTTATTTTGCTGCTTTTGTCTAGTTTGTCTGTAGAATGCTTAATTAATTTGCTTTCCTTTTCTTATTTAGTAGTATATTTAAGGTTGTGATTTTCTCCTAAGCACAGGGTTATTAGCCCATGGATTTTTATACTTATCACTCTTTTTAAACCTAGATGTTCTAAAGCAAGCTTGTCCAACTTGCAGTCCATGGGCTGCATGCAACCCAGGATGGCTTCGAATGCAGCCCAACACAAATTCATACTTTCTTAAAATATTATGAGATTTTTTTTTTGGAATTTTTTTTTTAGCCTATCAATCAGCTATCATTAGTGTTACTGTATTTTATGTGTGGTCTAAGACAACTATTCTTCTTCCAGTGTGGTCCAGGGAAACCAAAAGACTGGACAACCCTGTCTTAAAGTTTGATTTCTCTTTAATCCAGGATTTTTTAGCATATGTAAATTTTTAGATAGTTAAGAGACTTTGTTGTTTCCATGTTTATATTAATTTCTAGTTTTATTCTATTTTAGAGAATTTAGCCTATAGTATTTCAACGTTTTGGAGTTCCTTCCTCTATTAATATATAACTAACTTTTGTAAATGCCCAATTAGCACTGAAAGGTATATTTCTTTTTTCCAAGAGTATCAGTTCTTCTTAACCCTTTTTACTTGTCTATTGCACAATTAAAAAGGTATGACACATTTTGGGAGGCTGAGACAGGATGATCGCTTGAGTCCAAGAGTTGGAGACCAGCCTGGGCAACATAGAGAAAGCCGGTCTCCAAAAAAAAAAAAAAAAAAAAAAAAAAAAAAAAAATCACCCAGCATGGTGGTGCATGCCTGTGGTCCCAGCTACTTGGAAGGCTGAGGCAGGAGGATTGTTTGGCTCCAGGAGGTCAAGGCTGCAGTGAGCCATGACTGCCCCAATGCACTCCAGCCTAGGCAACAAAGTGAGATACTGTCTCAAAAAACAGGAAAAAAAAAAAAAAAAAGTAACATAAAAGTTTTCTATGTTTCAGGTGAACTCCTTCCCTTCCCTTCTTCTTTTTCATAATGTTATTAAAAGTGAGGCAACTGGCTGCTTTGGAGTTGAAGCACTACTAGTTTCTGGCTTCGGGTACTTCTGACTATAGCCAAGTTATCCCCAGAGAAGAAGCAGGCTCTAACTAGGGCACTCATCTTTCCCTGCTGTACCCTATAGTAAAAACCTTGCCTAACCACCAAAAAGGGCAATAGTAAGATTTTTAGTTTGATTCAATTTGTCTGTTTATGATATGATGTTGAGGTCCTTCTCTGGTTACTATTTGTTGCTTTATGTTCATTTTGTTCAGTTGGTAAAGTAAAATTCTGTAAATCTGTACCCCCTATCAATATCTTTCCTAAAAAACTTCATATATATTTTGAAACTTTCATGGAAATTTTATAAGTTGCACGTTTACATTATTACATATGAAACTGAAGCCCCCCCACCTTTTTTTTTTTTTTTTTTTGAGACATAATTTCGCTCTTGTTGCCCAGGCTGGAGTGCCGTGGCACAATCTCGGCTCACAGCAACCTTCGCCTCCTGGGTTCAAATGATTCTCCTGCCTCAGCCTCCCAAGTAGTTGGGATTATAGGCGTGGGCCACCACGCCGGGCTAATTTTGTATTTTTAGTAGAGACAGGGTTTCTCCATGTTGGTCAGGCTGGTCTCAAACTCCCAACCTCAGGTGATCCACCCACCTAGGCCTCCCAAAGTGCTGGGATTACGGGCGTGAGAAACCGTGCCTGGCCAAAGCCCATTTTTAAAATTAAAATTATTTTAAAATATAAGACGGGCTGGATGAGGTGGCTCATGCCTGTAATCACAGCACTTTGGGAGAACGAGGCGGGGGGCAGTCACCTGAGGTTGGAAGTTCAAGACCAGCCTGGCCGACATGGTGAAACCCCGTCTCTGCTACAAATACAAAAATTAGCTGGGCATGGTGGTGGGCACCCGTAATCTGAGCTACTCGGGAGGCTGAGGCAGGAGAATTGCTTGAACCCAGGAGGCAGAAGTTGCAGTGAGTGGAGATCATGCCACTGCACTCCAGCCTAGGTGACAGAGTGAGACTCTATCTCAAAAAAATAAAATAATAAAATAAAATAAAAGATAAAGAGAAAAGCGACTAAAATGTATGAGTAATTGCTTATGAACTAGGTCCTATGATAGGCTCCAAATAATGAAGGTCTACGCTAGGGGGTATATGCATGTATTTTAGTGTGTATACACACATATATAGACACATATTTTTATGTGTATTTACAAGAGTATTTTTAAACAATACCCCAAAACATGAATTTTTCATTTCTTTCATAATTAAAAAATATGTATCTAGCATTCATTCTCTCCTACATTTACTCTTCCTTGCCAGTCTTATCTTTTGGGCCTCAAGTCCTTTGACTTAAAAAAACGCACACATGCACGCACGCATGTACACATACACATGCACCCACCCAGGGGCTTTGATATCCTTAATTTCACTGGAACAAGTATCAAAGTGCCTACATTTCAGTTTGTCCTCCATTTAGCAGTCATAAGCCCTCCAGAGAACCATGTTGTTCTCTTCCTGAAAAGACAAACTTGGGAGAGTTTAAATTTCCTGTGGAGTATGACACTCTCCCAATTCCCACCAATATTATAATCAGCAGCTTACCTTATTAATTCTAGTTGTGCAAGTTCCTGATTTGCTTGAAATATAGGTTTTTTAGTGAAGAGTTCGCCAAGGATACAGCTAATGGAAAAAATACCCGTCATTACCAAATGATCTATTTTAATTCACTACCAAAAGTTTCAAGTAAAATAAACCAGTAAATAAGGCTATCTTACCCACAGCTCCATACATCAATGGCTGGTGTGTATCGTTCTTCTCCCAGTAGCAGTTCAGGTGGACGGTACCATAAAGTAATTACCTTGTTAGTATACGGCCGACTAAAAAACACAGAAAACAGTCTTTAGAGTTAGTATTTGTTGGAGTAAGACAGATTCTCTGAGGAAATATTATTTTACTAAAGCAATCCCTATAATCCTAACTAAAAACACTTTCATCTGCCTACTAAAAAATACAGACATCCAAAGGTATCTAATATAAGATCATAAAATGTATGTGAGGGCAACCTGTTTAACTAAAAATTCCCTTAATATATGAAGATAAAAACAAAAAGTAGTTGACTGATAGGCTGGGCACGGTGGCTCACGCCTGTAATCCCAGCACTCTGGGAGGCCGAGGCTGGCAGATCACGAGGTCAGGAGATCGAGACCATCCTGGCTAACACGGTGAAACCCCATCTGTACTAAAAAAAAATTAACCAGGCGTGGTGACGGGTGCCCATAGCCCCAGCTACTCAGGAAGCTGAGGCAGGAGAATGATGTGAACCCGGGAGGCAGAGCTTGCAGTGAGCCAAGATAGCGTCACTGCACTCCAGTCTGGGTGACAGAGCAAGACTCCGTCTCAAAAAAAAAAAGTAGTTTACTGGTATTAACTGCAATTTGGTCAAAGCAAAGCTTTAGTATCAACTCAATTGTTGAGCACTGTTTTTCCTTTCCATAAAAACCTTTAATGGGATTAACTGATTTAAAGAGCGTTGACTGGTTCTGATCAAATCTTGCTAAATTACTAATGGATGACAAGATATAGTTCAAATAAAGACCACCTAACAAAAGTTTTCAATTGATCATATTTTTGGCAATTTTTCACTGATTCACATACCCACTGTAGTGTGTGAATAGAAAAAAGCACACAAATGCAGAGTGTCTACTCAAGTATCTACTTGAGGTCTACTCTGCAAAGTAGCAATACATATCGTACTTTATCAAATAATTCCTTTATCACCTTCCGAAAAGAGGACATAAATATACTGCTACCTCTTTATTTGCCACAGACAAGATTATTTAGTCAAGTTATATTAGGGTCAGGTTTGACGAAAACAGCACAAATTATCTGGCAATGTAAAGTGTTCAACGCTCAGAGAATGGTCACGTTCTAGCTGATTGACACGCTTGAAGAGAATCCTAAGTAGTCAGAGGAGGTTCTTCGGCTGATCTGTAGTTACTTACTTCAGGGAGATCACATATATATTCAGATCAGCTATAAACATCTCTTTATATCCAGATGTTTTCCAAATCACAAGGACTCAAAAGCCATAGCAAATTCCCCAGAAAGGCTGTATTCCAAGCCCATTTACCTAAGCTTGGCTTGGTCCTGGACCAGTCTTGTTAAGGAAATGGAGCATTCAATTTAGAAAGCAATTCCCTCTTGCCACCTATAGATTTGCAGTTCCAGGCAGTGTAAGATCTGCCTGACCTGCTCTGCCCCCATCCAGCCAAATTTCTCCAAATAACTTAAGCACTAGCATTATAAAACTATCAATTTGGGCATTATAGCATTACCACAGATAGGACTATAGTTAACAGTGCTCCAAAGCTAGCAAAAACATTTGACTTTGGTAAAAACTGTGAAAAGAGGACAGAATAAGATGAATATTTTTAATAGTAAATTAAGATTAGGTTTTTCTAACATTATTAATGTACTTTTCTCAGTGATTTTTGCTTGTTTACTGGAATCACTTATCTTCACATAATGAGCAAGTCTTTCAAATTTTAGCTACTCTAGTTAAACTGAACTTAGTAATTCTTTAAAATTATGCTCACCTCTTTATGCTTTAGCCCCCCCGCCCTTTTTTTTTTTTGCGCTGGAGTCTCACTCTTGTCGCCCAGGCTGGAGTACAGTGGCGCAATCTCAGCTCACTGCAACCTCCGCCTCCCGGGTTCAAGCGATTGTCCTGCCTCAGCCTCCTGAGTAGCTGGGATTACAGGCACCCGCCACCACTCCTGGCTAATTTTTGTACTTTTAGTAGAGACAGGGTTTTGCCATGTTGGCCAGGCTGGTCTCAAATTCCTGACCTCAGGTGATCTGCGCACCTCGGCCTCCCAAAGTGCTGGGATTATAGGCGTGAGCCACTGTGCCCAGCTGCCTTATCCCCTTTTAATAAAATCCTTTCCCTATTTTTCTCATTCAAGTGCTATACTTCCTTTACAACACAGTAAAAGATGCATATTCATAAAGTCTAATCTCTATTAATAATATATTTATCTTCACATTCTTAAATTTACATCATACTTACCTGTCTTAACTCCCTATTTTGTATTTTCCCAGAAAGTTAAAAAACCTCGTAACATTCTTTATTATGAACCCCACACACAAAGCCCAAACAATGCTGGGCACAGGTCAGGCACCTTAATGTATATTGCCCTCTAACTTTAGATGACACATGATTTACTGGGTGGAAGAACAAAATTTGTAAAAATTATGACAACTAGTTTCTCAAACACATCAAGGATCTATGAGTATATCAAACCTATACAATGGTGTTATAAAAGTGCAACTGGATAACTAGGCTCAAGGAAATGTTTAAATTTATATAAATCTATCTACAAATAGTTAATTTTTATTTTACTTTAAAAAATATTTTTAGTGTCTTGTATTTTTTAAAAAATCTTAAAAATTAAAAGTATGTTGAATCGTAGAGAAACTAAACAAATTCAGGTGACTAAAAAGGAATAAGTAAAAGATTATTTTATATATTGTATATCAAATTCTAAGCAATATGTAGCATCATCTAATGCAATATTTAGCAGTCACCTTAGCAAACTAGAATATACTTTTTATTAATTGCTATAATGTTTTATTAATTCAGACGTGAAAATAGTAAATTTTCAAAAATAAACACAAAACCACATGAAATATATTTCTAACTGTACAGAAAAATATTTAACGTGTACTAATTAATGGCCTTTCCAAATGCTTAGTTTCTGTTAGACAAGAAATAAGAACTAGGCAAAATACTGAGACAAAACATTCAACTGTAAAATTTAATCTAGGAAGTTGAATTTTAAAACACTGATGTAATTTCAAAAATATGGAAATGTTTTGATTTATGAAGCAAACAAACATTCAGACTGATACATACTTTTTATAAAACAAAAAGTACCACACTCTAAAAATTATTTTTACATTCAAGGAAGTGTCAACGGAGTAGAGATCAAAGACTATCTGTTCATTGATAGATTCCAATACTTTGCCTCTGAACAATCCCAAGAAGGCTGGGTGCAGTGGCTCATGCCTGTAATCCCAGCACTTTGGGAGGCCGAGGTGGGTGGATCACGAGGTCAGGCATTCAAGACCAGCCTGGCCAAGATGGTAAAACTCCATCTCTACCGAAAATACAAAAATTAGCCAGGCGTGGTGGCATGCATCTGTAATCCCAGCTAATTGGGAGGCTGAGGCAGAGAATTGCTTAAACCCTGGAGGCAGAGGTTGCAGTGAGCTGACATCGTGCCACTGCACTCCAGCCCGGGTGACAGAGCGAGACTCTGTCTCAAAAAACAAAACAAAACAAAACAAAAAACAAAAAGCAATCCCAGGAATTCCAGAGATGGAGGGCAGGGAAGATGAGATACGGTTATGGCCTTCCCTACCTTAAGGCCTGATAAGCTGCACCGTATCCACAACAAACCAAGCAGTGTGATAAGGAGTGTGCCCCTTGGCTGGCACGTTTTCCACCTCCTACTGGTCTAGATATATATAGAAAAACAGAACAAAATCCTAGATCCTTGAAGTATTTGGGGGTTCTAGATAATCTCAGTTAAAATTTATAAAGCAGGGTTGCTGCCTTTGTTAAAGACCATTCTAAGTGAAAAAAATCATATAAAATGAAATACCTAAACCAGCTCTAAAATGTTTCATTTTTCCAACAACATATGATAAAGTCTGTACTTCTTTCTTCCTGCTTGAAGGCAACCCCCCCATGTACTTCTTTTATACTATAATTCATACTGTTTTGAGACAAAGAGAGTCTTCAGTAAACTAAATTCATCATATACACAAAATGCCATGTCATCTTTAAGACATTCACAATCCATTGCAGAAAAATCTATCAAACCTACAAAAGAAATCTGGGATCTATTTTCTAACACCTACCCAGCTTTTAATGTCAAAAATCCAAGTGTCATTCTTGATTCATCTTTCCCTCAAATTTCCAAACAACTTCTGCCAATTCTACATCCAAAATAGATCCCCAATCCAAATACCTAGTCCAAGCCATTATTCTTTTCACTGGTATGACCACAACAATATCTTAACTGGTTTCCTGGCTTCCATCTCTAATTGCACCCCCCCGCCCGCCCTGCCCGTTTTTGTTTTTATTATTTTATTTATTTTTTTTGAGACAGAGTCTCGCTCTGTTGCCCTGAATGGAATTCAGTGGTGCAATCTTGGCTCACTGCAACCTCTGCCTCCTGGATTCAAGCAATTCTCCTGCCTCTGGAGTAGCTTGGATTACAGGCATGCACCACCATGCCCAGCTACCCTTAACTTCTTTTCAGTTTTTTTATTAAGCATAAAACCAGGTATCAACTGCTTGCTTAAAACTGCCCAGTGATTTCCCACTGCAATCAAATAAAATTTAAACTTTACTTCAGTTGATAAGACTGTACAGCAAGGATCTTACCTCCTATTACACTGGGCAACCTTTGACCTTAAACCTCCCAAGTCTGTTCTCAGGCCGTACTGAGTTCCTTCTCCTTTGTACTTGGAATGTTCTTGGCCCAGGTCTTCATTAAGTTTTCCCTTTCTCATCACTCTGGTCTTAGCTCCAATTTACTTCCTAAAAGAGGCCTATCTTAACTCCCCTAACGAAAATTACCCAATTATCCACTACCACCCCTACTTTGACACTATAGTCGTTATTTTATTTGCTTTGTAGCACTCAGCTATTTTAAATTCCTCACCCTACATATGCATTGCCTAACTTATTAATACTTTCATATAACATAACTACATAACAATAAACACAATCTTTTCTCTCATGTTCTTTCCCCCTATTTGAACTCCTGTTTTTCTCCTTTTGATATCTTCCAAGAAAAATAACTTTTAAATTCCTCTATCATCACAGTGCTATAGAGAAACAAAACCAATTTTTTCCCAACTGATGCTGTCATCTAAGATCAGCTGTCTTACTTGCCCATTCTTATTACACAAGCAAATTTAGAAGTCCTATAAGTACCTACATTATTACCTTTTGCTAAAAAATGCATCTCTGTTCTTCTTTACTGTCTCAGCAAACAGCCTCACCATTCGTGGCAGATACTCATAGCTGCCCTCTAAAAATCTGTTACTCCTCCCTTCTATGGCAGCTGTCCAGCTCTGCTACATTTCCCATCCTCACTGCAGTTAGGTGTGGCCACATGACCAAGTGCTCTCCAGTGGAACATAAGCACGTGTGATAAGTGCCATTTCTAGGCCTGGCTCATTACTCTCCTCCCTCCTCTTTTCTCACCTCTGGCACCAGCATTGGAAGGCATGTGTAGAAGATGACAGATCTTCCAGTCTTCTTCTCTGAATAGCTGTATTGAAGCAGTCACCATTTGACTTGGTGGTATGGTTAAATAATCTTAATTGTGCACAGGGGTAAGCAACAACTGCTCAAAATTTTTTTTTTCTTTTGAGACAGTTTTGCTCTTGTCACCTAGGCTGGAGTGCAGTGGCGTGATCTCGGCTCACTGCAACCTCCACCTCCTGGGTTCAAGCGATTCTCCTGCCTCAGCCTCCCAAGTAGCTGGGATTACAGGCATCTGCCACCACACACAGCTAATTTTTGTAGTTTTAGTAGAGATGCGGTTTCACCATATTGGCCAGGCTGGTCTTGAACTCCTGACCTCAGGTGATCCATCTGCCTTGGCCTCCCAAAGTGCTGGGATTACAGGCGTGAGCCACCACGCCCAGCCACCACTCAAGATTATTAAGTGAGAAATACATATATAAACTTCTCATTCTTTAAGCCACTAACTTTTGTGGTTCTCTTTGTTACAAAAGTTTAGACTATCCTAACCAACAAATCATTCATCCAGTTGCTTAAGCAGAAACCTTACAGTAGGGGGTGGAGGCAGGGATGTATCTCACAACACATTCAACCATCAAGGTCTAACAAGTCTACATCCTTATGATATAATTAATCTGTCTTTCCACTACCTGTGCCCATTCCTTGGTTCTAGCTATAGTCATCCTATTTAGATTTACTGCAACAGCTTTCTTAAGTGATTGTTCTTGCTTCCAGACGTATAAGGCCAAACCACTTTCCAAAGTGCAGTCAAAGTGATAGCGTGAAATGAAACATGAATATGTTATGGCTATAGTACACATTGCTTCCATCTAGAGAATACCTACACAAGGCCTATAAAATCCATTATCATTTGGTTTTTGTTCCAATCACACTAAACCTTCAGTTCCCTGAGGCGGGTGAGCAAATGTTCATTTTCCAGAGAAAGGGGATAAAGCCAGGGAGAGAACAGAGCTGGCAAGAAAACTTTAAAGAAGTTAGTGGTACTTTAATTGTATTTTAAATATTTTTAATAAACTATTTTTTAAAAAGCTTTTAAAAGGTAACAATGACAAAAGACAAATGAAAATGACCGTTACTAAGGACAAGGAAAAACACCTGATTTACTCAAAAATTTTGCATAATAGGTACCATGCCTCACTTTCTACCTCTCTAATGAAAAAGAAGCAAATATTGAGAAAGTGTGCAGACAGAAGTATTTAATCATAAAAGCAAGTTCCAACGTAGGTGGAGTCAGAAGAGAATAAGGACAATTTCAGGTATCACCCAATTCAGTAATATAGTATACTATCAAACAAAAATCCACGTTACGATTAGGATGCTAATATTAAATCCCGTTAACCGTTTACAAATGTAAAGACAAAAGTAAAAGAGACTGAAACTATGTTTTGGTTCCAGGAAATTTAAAGCCCAGGAAAATTAAAGCACGTTGTAATATGAAAATACATTATCCAAAGACAGACAAATAAAAGAAAATCCATCCGGGCGTGGTGGCTCATGCCTGTAATCCCAGCACTTTGAGAGGCAGAGGCCTAAGGATTGCTTGAGCCCAGGAGTTCGGAACCAGCCTGGCCAACATGGTGAAACCCCACCTCTACTAAAAATACAAAACAAATTAGCCAGGTATCACGGTGCATGCCTGTAATCCCAGCTGCTGAGAAGGCTGAGGCATGAGAATTGCTTGAACCCAGGAGGCAGAGGTTGCAGTGAACCTAGATGACACCACTGCACCCCAGCCTGGTTGACAGAGCAAGAAAGACTCTGTCTCAAAAAAAAAAAAAAAAAAAATCCAGAATCCTCAAAAATGAATTTCAAACTTGCGCTATTAGATTTGGCTACCAACTGTCAACATCGTAGAGATGATCTTGTTTAGATCACACAAAGAAGAAGCAAACTGATGTGACACTACATATACGATGCTTTTTTCTTTCATGGATTAAAAAACAAATTACATTCTTGTGGTGTGTCTATACCCAGTATTTGCACAAAAAGCAAATTAACTCACAATGAAAAAGAAACAGGACTGAAAAACATATAGTCGACTTCTTAGATGTTATCAAATAAATGTGTACATACAAAAAAGAAAAATCTAAAAATGAAATGAACCACTCCACTTTACATAATTAGATCAATTCCAAGCAATAAACTCAATAACCCAGGAAAACACACACACACACACACACACACACACACACACACACACAGTCCTTCTGCCATTAAATTGGAAAACAAAATTTAGTAACTTCAATAAGTTGTTATTGGATGGCAAGAAACTAAACTTTGTAAAGACCCAAAAATAATGGTCTCAACGTTAACTATTGTGCATTTCAATTTCTACTTTTTTTAAAATAGAGATCTCACTATGTTGCCCAGGCTGGACTCGAACTTCTAGGCTCAAGTAATCTCCACATCTTGGCCTTCCAAAGTGCTAGGATTACAGGCAAGAGACACCAAGGCCAGTCCTTCTGCTAAATACTTTCATTTGTAAATCTCATTAATATTTTTTAAAAGAAGGCAGACACTATTTCTTTGTCTGCCAGGAAAGTAACACATTAGAAAACAAAATCAAACAATTCTTTTGTTTTTCCTTAAACCTTAAGTGATTAACCAAGTATTAAAATTTAAAGTCAGGCCAGGTGCCGTGGCTGACCCCTGTAATCCCAGCACTTTGGAAGGCCAAGGTGGGTGGATCACCTGAGGTCAGGAGTTCAAGACCAGCCTGGACAACACAGTGAAATCCCATCTCTACTAAAATTACAAAAATTCGCTGGGTGTGGTGGCAGGTGCCTGTAATCCCAGCTACTTGGGAGACTGAGGCAGGAGAATCGCTTGAACTCAGGAGACAGAGGTTGGGTTGAGCCGAGACTGCGCCATTGCACTCCAGCTTGGGAGACAAGAGCGAAACTCCATCTCAAAAAAAAAAAAGTCATCAGACTTTAATATAACTTTCATGGGAAAAATTACAGGTAATTTTAAATATTTGTTGCTATCAAAATATTTTTTGTTTATAGATTTCTCATTAGATATTTCAAGAGCTTTCAAACTGCTTAAAATATAATTAAATCCAATATGACAAAGGGAGATTCAAAAGTAGAAATATCACATAACTTCCTAATCTGCTGGAAGATTAAACCTACAGCATAACTCATTTGTCAAAAATATATTTGGAGGATGCAAAGACAAAAAGCAAAATTCAGCAGACCCTTTACTAAAAAAGAACTCTAAAAATTGCCATCAGCCTAATGGTACCTCTAAAGCAGACTTGAGAGGCCCCTAGAGTTCTCTACCTGGAAGATACTTCTAGGTAATCAAGGCTGAATTCAGAGTCTTACCAGAGAAGCACTCCCATATAATGAAAATAATCTTTCTGTCAAAAGATCCTGAGCTCTACTACTTATTGGTTGTGTGATCTTGCAAATGCACTTAAATTTTCTAAACTTCTGTAACTTTAAAATGTACATAAGAATGATACCTACATCATCCATCTCAACTTTCTTTTAAAATAATTCTTGTGAAAGGAAACTATGTATAATAAAGTGATGTACACAAACGTTAGTTAAGTTTGTTCTTTCCTTTTCCCTTCTTTTTCTTAAAAAAAAAAAAGAAAAATGGTGGTAATATAAATTATAATCATGTACTATAAATAATACATAGAATGAATAATATACTCTAAACACATAAAAGAAGATGTGCCCAATGATGCCTGTGGGATTCAGGACAGATTTCAAAGGCGGTAGGGCCTGAATTGCACACTGAAAGAAAAAAAAAATTTGTCAAACTCAGGTGAGAAGTATAATTACATACAAAAGAAACAGCTTATGTAGATTCACAAAGGCATTCAAGAGCACAGCAAGTTTAGGGAACTACAAATAGTTCAACATTGCTATTATCAGGGGGGCTGGAATGGCAGAAGAGAAGACCATAAGGGAGAAAGACCAGAGGACAGAAAAACCAATACAATTCTATTTACAATGGCCTATATGAGGTGACTGGAAACCTTTAACTAAAACGGGAAATAAAGGAAAAGGAGTAGACATTTTTCTGGGGAATGAAATAGATAGGTTTTGTAACAAGGTTTAATTTAGGGTACCCAAATCACCTGGGTAGAGATTTCCAATAAACAAAAGGTCTGGAGACCAGAAGAAAGATCAAGGATTGGAATTCAGTTTTGTAAGTATTCAGCAGTAATGTCTCGGATGATATACCCCCAACAGAAGGAGGGGGGAATTCTTTCCACTTTATATGCTCAAAAATGAAGACTACTCCATTAGAGTTGAAGGGAGAACAATTTAATCTTGATCTTACAGTTAAAAGTCAATGATCTAAATGAGATCTCCTTTCCTGAAGCTTGTTTAATCATATTATTTATTGTCATTCATCTGTTATTAGTAATTTTTTTATTACCATGGTTCCAATCTTGTCTAGTGATTCTCAGAAGATCCTTTTCATTACCTAGAATCCCCAAAGCTCCCTGCACTCATCTGCATCAGGAGGATCCTCCAGATGAAGATCACCTTCTCCCAGATCAGCATCAACCAAGCACTTATCATGAATGCAGTCAATGTTTTAGGGAACATAAAACACAAAAGAATAAAATATGGTAATACTATCTTCCTCTCTCATTAATACCTTCAACTTTAGGAAAATTTAGTTTTGCTTTCAATAACAATGTTCTGAAAAGCCACTAGATGGCGATACTGCCTTCAAAAAGGTGTGTGCGTTTTGGGAGGGTGGTATTAGTGAGCTAATGCTCTAAGGCCCTTTTCATTTTTCCCTTCTCTCTCCTTACTGGATCATCATATGGAAATGTAGTATGCTTTCTGGTTATTGTTTAAAAAACTTTCATTTTGATCATAGTAATATTATTAAAGATACGTTTTTCAGGGCTGGGCACAGTGGCTCACACCTGTAATCCTAGCACTTTGGGAGGCAGAGGTGGGTAGATCACTTGAGGTCAGGAGTTCGAGGCCAGCCTGGCCAACATGGTGAAACCCCGTCTCTACTAAAAACACAAAAATTAGCTGGGCGTGGTGGCAGGTGCCTGTAATCCCATCTACTCAGGAGGCTGAGGCAGGAGAATCGCTTAAACCTAGGAGGCGGAGGTTGCAGTGAGCCGAGATCACACCAGTGCACTGCAGCTTGAGTGACAGAGTGAGACTCCGTCTCATAAATATAAATAAACAAATAAAGTGTCACATTATAGTTTCTTCTCTAGAAAATGAGGCTAGTTTCAATTAATATGGAAAACTTTTTTTCATACAGGACGGTCACATAAAGAGAGAAAGATACTCCATCCTTTTGAAAACCACTGGAGCAATGACTTGGTAAAATAAAAACTAAGAAGAGGGAAACATTGTAGCTGTCAGAAAAACTATACTTAAAAAACCATATACTAAAAGATGAACAGTTAATGAAGAAATGGGGCAAAAATCTCTATTCTCAAGTTTTAAAATTCCCAATGCAGAATGGGACAAAGTATAAATCCCAATGTTCAAAATGAGAAAATGACTGAAATTTAAGAAATCATTTTCCCCTCTAATTTTAATCCAGTGGTTCTCTTTCTTTCTTCAATAGGCACATGAAGAGCAGATCCACATTGGTCACAGACCCCCAAGTACTAGCTGTAACTCCACCCAGCTTTCCTCAAATTCAAAAAAGGAACATCCAAAATCTAATGAGAGCTGTGGTTGATGCTATTACAGTTGTAAGCTGAAAACTGCTCTATTTACAAACAAAAAACCTTACACAAAATTCTTGAACAATTCAGTTATTCGATCTATATTAACTACTTAGAAAATAAAAACACTTCAAAGTGACTTTATACTTGCATGAGTATTACAGTAAGGCCCTACCTGGCTCTCTGTTTATAATGAAGCAGAAATATGAATGAAAAATCATTTGTTACATATTTATCTCAAAAAATATCTAGAAAATTTGAGACAATACAATAAATCTGTTAAAGGTAGATTTCTTTTAAAATCACAGTTATTAAGGTTCACTAGAGCAACATATGTATTTTAAAGGTATTCCATTATATTAATACTACCTCTCCAGGAGATTCTGAAGAAATCAGAATTATTCTCTTAAAAAAAAAAAAGAGAAGTTTTAAAGGAGTATATAAACCCCATAATGATAGGATATTTGCTCTTAAAACAAAATGACAGACTGAATTTTCCTCTTATACATTTAACTGAGCAGAAAAATTCAGTATACATTACCTGAAGATGCAAAGTTATGGGACTTTAAAACTCTGGTTCTCTAAACTCAAAATTTCTACATCAATCCAGCAGGGCAACAGGGACCATGGCCCAGTGAACACACCACACCCCGGCACTCCAATGGAACCCAAATTATATTTTAAAATGAAAATCAATGGGAAAATTAAGCCTCATAATATAAAATTTGGCTTTATAATCAGCTTTTCTGAAACATATCTATTCCAAATGTGCACAAATATCTGCATAACAAGAATCTATTAGATTAAAATGGTAATTAGCTGTTTTCCATTCCATAGGAAAGGATTTACATAATTAACAACAGACACAAACTTATATTAAGCAAAATCTAACTACAGTGAAATCTCAACCAGCTTAGCAGATAGAATTCTTAATTAACCAGAACTTGCCCAAAATAATAGCCACATTAATTTAGTCATATATATGCTTCTCAGCTGGGCATGGTGGCTCATGCCTATAATCCCAGCACTTTGGGAGGCCAAGGCAGGCAGATCACTTGTGGTCACGAGTTCGAGACCAGCCTGGCCAACATGGCGAAATCCTGTCTCTACTAAAAAATACAAAAATTAGCTGGGCATGGTGGTGCACATCTGCAGTCCCAGCTACTCGGAAGGCTGAAGCTGGAGAATCGCTAGAACCCGGGAGGCGGAGGTTGCAGTGAGCTGAGATCACGCCACTGCACTCCAGCCTAGGCGACAGAGTGAGACTGTCTCAAATAAAATAAAATACATATGCTTCTTAAACAGCAGAAGAAAAAAATATACTTCAAGTTAAGTTTTGGATTAAGTACAGTTCAGACCAATTTTTCCTTTCAACTTCTACCAAGAGGCACTATTATATATGACAGAAAGAATAAAAAATTGCGAATTGAAAACTTAACTATACACCCTTGGCTCTGCTAACATTTTTTGATCTTTAAAGTCACTCAACCCTTCACAATAGCCAGGATAGGGAATCAACGTTAAGCGTCCACTAAGAGATGGACGGATAAAGAAAATGTGGCCTGTAATCCCAGCTATCGGTAGGCTGAGGCAGGAGAATCACTTGGACCCCGGAGGTGGAGGCTGTAGTGAGCTGAGATTGCACCACTGCACTCCAGCCTGGGCGACAGAGTGAGACTCTGTCTCAAAAAAAAACAAAACAAAACAAAAAAAGGAAAATGTGGCATATACGCACAATGAAATACTATTCAAGTCTTTAAAAAACAAGGAAATCCTGTCATTTATGACAACATGGATGAACGTGAAGCGCATTGTGTTAAGTGGAATAAGGCAGGCACATAAAGACAAATAACTCATCATTTCACTTATACGTGAAATCTAAAAAACCTCAACTCATAGAGGTAGAGAGTAGAGCTGGTAGTTACCAGATACGGGGCATAGGGAGTATGGGGGGAAGATGCTGGCCTAAGGATATAAAAGTTCAGTTAGACAAAAGTAAATTCAAGAGATTTATTGTACAACTTGGCAGCTACACTTAATAACAATGTATTCTTGAAAATTGTTGAGAGTAGATTTTTAAGTGTTGGCACACACAAAAAAAATGTGGGGTAATGCATAGTAATTAGCTCAATGTAGCCATTTCACAATGTATACATATTTCAAAATTAAAAAAGGAAACTAACTCAGCCCTTTCTGGGTCTCAATTCGCTCAAATGCAAAATGAGGGACATAGCTTTTGAGCTTTAAAACAGTTTTAAACTTCAAAAAAAAAAAAACACTCATACAACCCTTTCCTAAAATAAAATGTTAATTTTAAGTGTAGTAGTTAAAACAAATAAAAACCAAGTAACTCTGGTGAAAGTTGGTACAGAGGACTGGAGGTCCAATCACAAAACCCCATCCACAGAACACTTTCTTTCCTTTCTCTCTCTCTGTCTCTCTTTCCTTCCTTCCTCCTTCCCTCTCTCCTCCCTTCCTTTTTTTTTTTTTTTTTTTTTTTTTTTGGAGACAGTCTTGCTGGAGTACAGTGGTGTGATCTCGGCTCACTGCAACCTCCGCCTCCCAGGTTTAAGTGATTCTTGTGCCTCAGCCTCCCAAGTAGCTGGGATTATAGGCGTGCACCACCAAGCCCAGCTATTTTTAGTAGAGATGGGGTTTCACCATGTTGGCCAGGCTGGTCTCCAAGTGCTGACCCTCAAGTGATCCGCCTGCCTCTGCCTCCCAAAGTGCTGGGATTTGTACAAGCATGAGCCACTGCGCCTGGCCCACTGCACACTTTCTGAGGGGTTTCATGGAACTTGAATAGATCCAAAACATATCACTTATAAACCTCTACTCTAGAACACTATATAAGGAAAATACTTTCCAGAATTATGTCACAGGCGCTGCAAGATTTAACAAAATAAGACTTTTTACTCTGAAAAATTCAAACGAGAGTTTTTGTTTATTGCTTTAACCAAAAAAAGCAAAGATTAAATGAAAGTAAACATCTATTCCTAAGACTGCAATCAACTGATGTTTCATTATATTAAATTATGGTGATATTAAAGAAATGACAAAATTGTCATAAAATAATTTTAAAATTCTTTAACTATATTATTTCAGATATATATATACACATATGGAAATAAAGACAAAAAAGGAATGGGGTAAATGGACTAAAGATTTATTAAGCCAAATTAATTCCGTATTTTATTTACATAAAACCTACTATTGCACAAAAATATTTTATTTTGAAATCCCATATTAGTTTTAATAAGACAAATCATATTTCACTACCACCAGGCACAAAGAAAGCCAAGTTGGGTATATAATCCAACTTTAGCCAGAAAAGTTCTACATTTTTGTGTCTTATACAGTGAACATCCTCCCAACAGTTGGTTTAAATAAAGGGTTCTAGGGAGTTAAAAAAACAAAGAACTGTAGATATAACAATAAAATCTGTCTAAAATAATAATGAAACCAAAGTTTATAAGTTTAAAAATGCAATTTAAAAGGTTTTCATTAAGAATATTTAATATCTGAATACGTATTAGAAATTTAAGTTCACTTCAGTTACACTTAAAGATGTTCATTTAAAAAAATCATTTTTACCTGTTGAAGATCAATTTTTAAATTGAGATAATGTATAAAATATTGTAATTACAATAATCAACCCAATATGGTATAAAATTTCAATGTTTTATGTACTAACCATGAAAAGTAAACTTCTCTTTTAAAAAATAAAACTATCAATAAGGTATTCTTAGTATAGCTTCTAATACTAAACTCTAGTATCTACAATATTCATTTGAAGGTATGCTTACCTTTCTTCTGAGCTATACAATCGAGCAAGTCCAAAGTCTGCAAGTTTTATCTGCCCTCTGGTGGAAATAAGACAAAATGAACAAAAGGTATTAATTTACTCTTAATTGACAATACACATTTATATTCTATGCCTAGAACTGATTAAAAAAAAAAAACCTATGTAAACTTTAACTCTGCTCACACTGCAATATCATCAAGGTAATACAGGGAAAGGCAAGTAGTGGATAAATTCACAAAACAAGAAAGTAAACTATCCTTGGATAGTCTTAAAATTATTATAGTAATATGATTATTATAATTACTGTATTATAATATTAGAATAGTATTTTATTACTATTCAGTTCCTATTTAGAAAAGCATACTTCAATGAAAATAAAATGAGATCCTTTTTATTACTTAGCAGTAAGACAAATTTCTTGTTCAAGGTAACAGTGCTCAAGAACGAAGTGACATCACTTTTAATTTGTTTAATTCTCCAGTTTTAGAGGGGCTAGGTGCATAGAACACTGTCTATTAATTAAAATGAGAACCAGCCATGCCTTATTTAAATTAACAAACAGTACCAATTACAAGAGAATTATCAGGGTTCAAATATAAGATGTTACAAATCTAAGCTTATTTACATAAGTTTTAAATATGTGAATGTGTATGTGTGTGTACACACTTCCAAGAAGTTCACTTTACAACTGTGACTGCTTTTTTAAAATTTTCTAAAATCTATTCTTAACCTAAAGCTGAAGTTACATTGCTTATCAGATGATCCATTCACATTACTTGGAATAATAGCAAACAGAAAAGTCAACTAAGTATTATTTTATATGCATTACAGACTATTATTAGATTTTTTTTTTTTTTTTTTTTTTTGAGACCGAGTCTTGCTTGCTTTGTCACCCAGGCTGGAGTGCAGTGGCACTATCTCAGCTCACTGACTCCACTCAACTCCACTTCTGGGATTCAAGCGATTCTCGTTCCTCAGGCTTTCTAGCAGCTGGGATTACGGGTGTGTGCCACCACACCGGGTTTATTTTTGTATTTTTAGTAGAGACAGGGTTTCACCATGTTGGCCAGGCTGGTCTTGAACTCCTGGCCTCAAGTGATCCATCTGCCTCATCCTCCCAAAGTGTTGGGATTACAGGCTGAGCTGCCCCACCCGGCCACTAACAGCTATGTAACACAACTTTTGAGGTATCCCAAGTTATAATATTGTTGATTATTTTTATTTTTATTTTTGAGCCAGAGTCTCGCTGTGTCACCTAGGCTGGAGTACAGTGGCATGATCTCAGCTCACTGCAACCTCCACCTCCTAGATTCAAGCAATTCTCATGCCTCAGCCTCCTGTGTAGCTGGCATCACAGGCATGCTCCACCACGCTAGGCTAACTTTTCTATTTTTTTGGTAGAGACAGGGTTTCATCAACGTTGGCCAGGCTGGTCATGAACTCCTGGTCTCAAGTGATCCGCCCGTCTCTACTTCTCAAGGTGCTGGGATTACAGGCGTGAGCCACTGTGGCTGGCCTGATTATTTTTACATAGTTTGTATAAAGTAAACTAAATTTTAAATCTTTTTTAACATAATCAAGGTGCAACATCATGTAACACCGTATCTTTATTTTAAAAATTTTAGATTCGGGGGTATATGTGTTTGTTGGTGACATGGGTATTACAAGTGTAATAGTAGGGGTTAGGCTTCTGGGGTACCCATCACCCAAACGTTGGACACTGTACCTAATAGGTAACTTTCAACGCTCACCACCCCCGACATTCCCCGCCGCTACGGTTTCCAGTCTATTCTCTCCATGTACATGTCCATGGTAAAACTCATTTTAAATATATATAAAGTTCATACCCATACCTATTATTTAGAAGGATATTGGAACATTTAATATCTCTATGCAAAAAGTTCTTCTTATGACAATAATCCAGACCCTCCATGAGCTGTCTCATAAATGACTTTATGTGATTTTCATTAAAATGAACCAAGCCTGATTCCAGTAGTCCCATCAGATCATGGTCCATATATTCAAACACCAGATAAAATGCACCTAAGAATGAGAATAATTAATACATTAGAAACTTATTCCTACAACCTTTCCATAAATTCACAATTTTTAACAATAAAAGGCTGGTAGAGGAAGAATTAATCCTTGAAAAGAAGTGTTACTTTGTTACTTTAATAACATTCATCTTTCTCTCTGGACTTAATAATATTAATAAATAAATCCCAAGGAAAACATCTAATCTATTTTCTTCTCCCCGCAAAAAAACAGTTATGATTTTAAAAAAAAAAAAAATCACCCTGCTGTTCTCCATATTGTATAGTTTCTAGGTGTGATTAATGTTTTAGACGTCAAATTGTCTCTTAGAAGCTGAATAAAGTCAATATAGTTTATCAAAAAATTAAAAGTTGGTAAAAGAACTGCTTTTAATTAAAAAAAAAAAAAAAAAGAGTACAGGCCAAGAAAGATGTTAGGCGACTTCTAAATGCCTCAATAAACATGTAATTTAATTCTGTTTATACAGCTCCAGAGTACCTAAAAGCAAGAATTTGAGGAAAAACAATATAATTTGAAATTACAACTTTATTTTATAAAAAACAGCTTAGTCCTGCTACCAAAACCTAAAATAGCACATAGCACACACACACAAACTATACAAACGTACTTACGAGAGATTTAGAAATCCTAAAAGAAACTTACACACAAACTGAATGAGAAATATAATTCATTACATTTGTGAAAAGCAGAAAAACTAACACGAAGACAAAAAAAGCATCTGAACTTGGTTCAGATAAGTTCCTAATTTTTAAAACAGAGCAAAGAACTCTCGGTAAACTTGCAACAGAAGGAGTCTTTCTTAAAAGTTTATTATGGTACCTCCCTGAAACCAACAACCAATGTCATATTTAATAGGAAAGGCTAGATATTATGTATGAGATTAAAAACAAAAATTGCCAGTGGCTCATGCCTGTAATCCCAGGGCTTTGGGAGGCCAAGGTGGGCGGATCATGAGGTCAGGAGATCAAGACCATCCTGGTTGACACAGTGAAACCCCGTCTCTAATAAATATACAAAAAATTAGCCTGGCATGGTGGTGGATGCCTGTAGTTCCAGCTACTCGGGAGGCTGAGGCAGGAGAATGGCATGAACCCGGGAGGCAGAGCTTGCAGTGAGCCGAGATCACGCTACTGCACTCTAGCCTGGGTGACAGAGCGAGACTCCGTCTCAAAAAAAGAAAAATCAATACTCAAAAAGCAAAAGACAGCCGGGCGCTGTGGCTCATGCCTATAATCCCAGCACTTTGGGAGGCTGAGGCAGGTGGATCATCTGAGGTCAGGAACATGAAACCAGCCTGGGCAACATGTCGAAACCCTGTCTCTACAAAAACTACAAAAATTAGCCTGGCGTGGTGGTGTGTTATCTTAATCCCAGCTACTCGGGGGACTGAAGTAGGAGGATGGCTTGAGCCCAGGAGGCAGAGGTTGCAGTAAGCTGAGATTGAGCCACTGTACTCCAGCCTGGGCAACAGAGCCAGACTTTGTCTCAAAGAAGAAAAAAAAAAAAGCAAAAGACTTCATATATGAAGAAACAATTCACTAGAAAATAAAATTTAAATGACTTCACAATAGAAAAAAATTACTACTAATGACCAGGACTAAACTTTAACAAGAATTATACAAAACTGAGCCAGGCGTGGTGGCTCACACCTATAATCCCAGCACTTTGAGAGGCCAAAGTGGGCGGATCACCTGAGGTCAGGAGTTAGAGACCAGCCTGGCCAACATAGTGAAACCCCATCTCTACTAAAAATACAAAAACTAGCCAGGCATGGTGGCGTGCACCTGTAATCCCAGCTGCTCCAGAGGCTGAGGCAGAAGAATCACTTGAACCAGGGAGGTGGAGGTTGCAGTGAGCCGAGGTGGTGCCACTGCACTCCAGCCTGTGCAACAGAGCAAGATTCCATCTCAAAAAAAAAAAAAAAATTATACAAAATTCATTAATAAACACCAAATTGTAAAACTCTGTATTTTTCTTTTCTTTTTTTTTTTTGAGACAGGGTCTCACTCACTCTGTCACCCAGACTGGAGTACAGTGGCACCATCACAACTCACTATATCCCTGACCTCTGAGCTCAAGTGATCTTCCTACCTCAGCCTTCCAAGTATAGTTGGGGTCATGGGCTCCCACCACCACATCTGGCTAATTTTTCTGTTTGTTTTATTTCTGGTAGAGATGGGGTCTCTCTATGTTACCCAGGTTAGTCTTGAATTCCCCGACTCAAGAGATCCTCCCACCTTGGCTCCCAAAGTGGCAGATTACAGGTTTGAGGTACCACGCACATATAAAACTCTGTATTTTAAAGCAATTTCAATAAAAGGACCAATGGTTTTTCTCTTTTGTCACCAGGAGCGAGGAGACTTAACTTGACAAAATAATTCTAAAATTATCCTTGAAGAAAACAAACCAGAGTACTAGCCAAAACATTTCTGAAAATAAACACTTGCCCTACTAGAAATTAATCTGACCTGTGTCATACCATAGGGACTGACAGAACAGTGGAAATAATACACACCAGAAAACAAATCCCAGTTATATATCTAATAATTATAAAAATAGCCAATTTAAGTCAGTGAAGAAAGAATAGATAAAATAGTGTTTTGACAAATGTATAATCCCACAAGGAGGTGGACAGTTACATCAAAGAAAAATGCAATAAAAAGCCAACAGATTTCAATTCATTAAATGAAAATGTAGAAGTACTGCCTAAGGAAACAATATGGAAGAGAGATAAAAGGCAAATGATGGCTGCGCATGGTAGCTCACGCCAGTAATCCAAGCACTTTGGGAGATCGGGGCGAGAGGACTGCTTGAGGCCAGGGGTTTGAGACTAGCCTGGGGCGACATGGAGAGATCCTGTCTCTACAGAAATTTAAAAATTAGCCAGGTGTGGTAGTGCACACCTGTAATTCTAGCTACTTGGGGGGCTGAGGCAGGAGGACTACTTGAGCCCCAGAGTTTGGAGACTGTGGCTGCAGGGCCACTGCATTCCAGCCTGGGTGACAGAAGGAGACAGACCCAGTCTCAAAAAAAAAAAAAGGAGGGCTGGAGCACGGTGGCTCACACCTGTAATCCCAACACTTTCGGAGGCCGAGGTGGGTGGATCGCTTGAGGCCGTAAGTTTTGAGACTAGCCTGGACAACATGGTAAAACCCCGTCTCTGCTAAAATACAAAAAAAACAGCTGGATGTGGGGCACATGCCTGTAATCCCAGCTACTTGGGAGGCTGAGGTGGGAGGATCACCTAAGCCTGGGAGGTCAAGGTTGCAGTTAGCTGTGATTGCGCCACTGCACTCCAGCCCGGGTGATAGAGTGAACCCTGTCAAAAAAAAAAAAAAAAAAAAAAGAAAGAAAAGAAAAGGACAAACTGGAGAAGTATCTATAACATATACTAGATTAATATCCTTAATATAAAATGAGATCTTACAAATCAATACAAAAACGGCTGGGTGTGGTGGCTCACGACTGTTATCCCAGCACTTTGGGAGGCCGAGGTGGGCGGATCACTTCAGCTCAGGAGTTCGAGACCAGCCTGGCCAACATGGTGAAACCCCGTCTCTACTAAAAATACAAAAAAATTAGCTGGGCTTGGTGGTACAAGCCTGTAATCCCAGCTACTCGGGAGGCTGACGAGGAGAATCACTTGAACCCGAGAGGCGGAGGTTGCAGTGAGCCGAGATCGCGCCAGCCTGGGAGACAGACCAAGATCTCAAACAACTACAACAACAAAAAAAGAATCAATACAAAAAAATACCAATCCCACAACAGAAAATAAGAAATCAAATGAACTGTCAATATGCAAAAGAATGCCTATGTCCAAAAAACACACGAAAAATATTTAATCTCATTACTAAACAAAATATACAAATCAAAGCAACTGTATAACACTTTTAAATTGCATACTCTTTCACGTGGCAAGACTGCAAAGATTTAGCTGTAAGCATGATCACTAAAGCAATGTAATAATAAAACACTTAAAAACAAAACAATATGTCAAAAAAGTTCTTCTGGTATATCTTATGCCACTCCATGTAACTTTGAAAAATGTTGTAGAGATGTAATTATTGATGTGGAAATGTACTGAGCATGCTGAGTAAAAGGAAGTCAGTTATCAAATATACACATACCGCTATCTCTGCTGTTATTTAACATTATATTGGTGGCATTATGTAACACAGAAAGATAAAAGACAGCATTAAGAGTTGCATGGTCCAATACAGTAGCTACTAGCCACTAGCCACATGTGGCTAATGAGCTCTTGAAATGTGGCTAGTTAAAAAATGCTACGAGTTCTGGTATGACTTTGAGAATTATTAAAAGTATATAGAAAAAAATTAAAAATAAAAATGCTATGAGTGCAAAACACATACTGAATTTTGAAGACAGTACAAAATAAAAGAATATAAAATATCTCAATAATTTGTGGTCTTGATTACATACTGAAATAATCTATTAGATACATTGGGTTAAATGTATTATTTGTTTAGTTGGTTTTTTTGAGACAGAGTCTCACTCTGTTGCCCAGGCTGGAGTGCAGTGGCACGATCTTGGCTCACTGCAACCTCCGCCTCCTGGGTTCAAGTGATTCTCATGCCTCAGCCTCCCAAGCAGCTGGGATTACTGGTGTGCACCACCACTCCTGGCTAATTTTTGTATTTTTAGTAGAGATGGGGTTTCACAATGTTGGCCAGGCTGGTCTTGAACTCCTAACCTCAGGTGATCCACCCACCTCAGCCCCTCAAAGAGCTGGGATTACAGGCACGAGCCACTGTGCCTGGGTTAAATACGTTATTAATTTCAACCTTTCTTTTTTTAAAATGAAGTTACCAGATGATTTTAAATTAAAATGCAATGGCTCACATTCTATTTCCATTAAACAGCACTTAATTCGAGATTTAAGAATTGACATAGGAAAGCTAAAACTATCTTTAAATGCAGATAACAAGTTTTTGGCCTCCGGAGAGCCATAAACACTCAATGACAACAAAAAAATTATTACAGTTAAACAGGTTAAAAAAGTAGAATATTACATATAATAGTCACTAACATCAACCACCAGTTAAAATATAAAATGGAAGACCCCATTAGTAATAGCTAATCAATTAATTAAATTTAAAAAGCTCACATAAGAAATGTGAGAAATCCTTTAAACTATAAACACTCTTACAAGACAGAAAAGTACACATGAGCAAATGGATAGCAGGGCTAAACATGATAAAGATGTTAATTATCCCTATGTTAGTTTATAAATTAGACACAGCCCAATTTTTCACAATACTTATTGGTTGTTTTTCTGTAATGTATATCCACGTAGAAAAATAATTAAGAATAGCAAAGTAACACCTGAAAGAGAAAGGGGGTATGTGTACACACTATCAGATATTAAACCAGTATACATTTCCATCGTTAAAAAGTGTGATACTGGTAAATAAACATGAAATAAAACAGAAAATTCAGAAATATATCCACATACATATGGACCTTTACTATATGATAAAGATGGCATATCAATTCAGTGTGGAAAAGATGGACTTTTTAATTGGTGGTATTGGGATAACTGAATAGCCAGAAAAAGATAAAACTTGTCTGTCTCTCACACTATACACCAGCATAAAAAGCAAATGAATCTACAAAATTACAAAAAATTAGCCAGGTGTGGTGGTGGGTGCCTGTAATCCCAGCTACTGGGGAGGCAGAGGCAGGAGAATCGCTTGAATCTGGGAGACAGAGGTTGCAGTGAGCTGAGATTGTGCCATTGCAATCCATCCTGGATGAACAACATGAGCAAAACTCAATCTCAAAAAAAAAAAAAAAGCAAATGAATCAGTTATCTAAATTTTTTTAAAGAACTATAAAAGTACTTTTAAAAAAACACAGAATTCCTTAATAACCTAAGAGTAGAAAAAAAGTTCCAACTAGGAATCAAGAAATAATTTATACCAAGAAATAATAAATATGACAAATACGACTATGTAAAAATAAAAATCCTCTGCATGGCTAAAAATACCACAAGCAAAATTAAAAGAATATAGCAACCTGGAAAAAAATTAGCTGCAACTTACACTGCAGAGTGATTATTAGTATCAACTACAGTCCAGGCACGGTGGCTCACGCCTGTAATCCCAGTACTTTGGGAGGCTGAGGCAGGTGGATCACTTGAGGTCAGGAGTTCGAGACCAGCCTGGCCAACATGGTGAAACTCTCTCTCTACTAAAAATACAAAAATTAGCCGGGCATGGTGGTTCATGCCTATAATCCCAGCTATTCAGGAGGCTGAGGCATGAGAATCACTTGAATGCAGGAAGTGGAGGTTGCAGTGAGCTGAGATCCTGCCACTGCATTCCCGCCTGGGCGACACTCTGTCGCAAAAAAAAAAAAAAAAAAAAAAATTAGCCGGGCATGGTCGTGGGCACCTGTAATCCTGGCTACTTGGGAGGCTGAAGCAGGAGAATCACTTAAGCCAGGAGGCGGAGGTTGCAGTGAGTCACAATCGTGCCACTGCACTCCTGCACTCCAGCCTGGGCAACAAAGCAAGACACTCTCTCTCTCTCTATCTGTATATATAAATAAAATAAAAACTCTCTAAATTAGGGGGAAAAAAGATCAACGACCTTACAGAAAGTGAGAAAAAGAGACAATTAGCTCATCCGAAAAAAGAGCAAAGTGCCCCTAAGTGAATGCAAAGTTAAAAACTCTAAATTAGGGGGAGAAAAGATCAACGACCTTACAAAAAAGTGAGAAAGAGAGACAATTAGCTCATCCGAAAAAAGAGCGAAGCGCCCCTAAGTGAATGCAAAGTAGCTTAATCTTGCTCACAATAAAAATTTGTGGCCAGGCACAGTGGCTCACGCCTATAATCCCAGCACTTTGGGACGCTGAGGTGGGCAGATCACCTGAGGTCGGGCGATCGAGACCAGACTAACTAACACGAAGAAACCCCGTTTCTGCTAAAAATATAAAATTAGCCAGGCATGGTGGTGCATGACTGTAATCCCAACTACTTGGGAGGCTGAGACAAGAGAATCGCTTGAACCCAGGAGGCAGAGGCTGCGGTAAGCCAAGATCATGCCATTGCACTCCAGCCTGGGCAACAAGAGCGAAACTCCGTCTCAAAATAAATATAAATTAATTAATTTCCCAAACTAAAACTTGACCAAGATACTAAATTGACAAAAATCTAAAAGTAGAACTCCAGAGTCTACTGACAAAGCTGTAAGAAACACTTTCATACATTGGTAGTAGAAATAACACAAAAAAAAGCCCTCTGAAGAGAAATTTGGCAATATCTAGCTAAATCACATTCAGTATTTCCCTTTGACTTAACAATCCCAATTCTAGGAACTTGTACCAAAAATTCACTGGCCAAAATACAAAATGATGTATGCATAGGGCTATTCAATGCAGCATTATTTACACAATGAAAATATCTATCATTAGGAAACTAGCTGAATAAACTATAGCATACCCACACAGTGCAGTGCCTCTAAGCAATGCGTGATTTTTGTCTACTAACAAAATGATTTTTGTCTACTAACATGGAGTAAACTTCAGCATATATGGTTAAATGAAAAGAAAAAGGTACAGCAGAGCACTTACAACATTGCTACCTTTTTTTATATATAAAAAAAGGAATGTGAATATGTACAAAAGAAACATTGGAGGATGAAACAAACATTTAAAATAGTTACCCATGGGTAAGGGAGAGAACAAGAAAAAGAAGAATGGAAGTGACACTATTCTGAATGTACCTGTTTTATAGTTTAGAGTTTGAAACCAAGTAAATGTTTTATATAATTAAAATACATTATTAAATCAAAAAGGGAAAAAAAGCAATCCCTAAAAAACTGGAAACATATCCACATTTAGGTGGATTTATGTTTATCAAATTGGTTGCATAAACTGTCTACAATAGAGTATACTGACTATATACAGCTGGGGGGTATATTTTAAGGACAAAAAGAATCACTAAGAAATCTTAAACTGCATTCAGTAGTCTTTTTAGTAATTAATATCAGCATTGTTACTTTGAAATTATTACATGTATATGGTAGAACAAAGCAAGCTATGTTAATATTTTAGGAACCAGGGCTTTTAGTTTACAAGAAAGATAAGGTCAAAGATGTATAAATCCTGTACTCTGAAATTGAAACTGAAATCATCTACAGTAGCAAGCCTCCAAAATGGTCCTAAATGATCCTCACTATCTGGCATCCATGCCACGCCACAGTGATTCAAGGACGGTCTGTGTGACCAACAGAATATTGGAGAGTGAATGATGTGACTTCCAAGTCTAGGTCATAAAGACAATGCAGCGTCTACCTTACTTTTTTAGATCATTCAACCTGGGAGAAGCCAGCCACCAAGGCTGTCAGGATATTTAAGCAACTTTGTGGAAGGCCCATGTAAAGAATAAGTGAGACCTCCCATCAAGAGAACAACTTGCTAGCCATGTGAGGGGAGCCATCTTGGAAGTGGATTCTCTAACCCCAGTCAAGCCTTCTAACGACAACCCTAGCTAACATCTCACTGCAATCTTATGAGAGACCCCAAACCAAAACTGCCAAGCCAAGATTCTCCCAAATTCCTGCCCACAGAAACTTCAAGATATAGTAGCTTCTACCATAATCTTTTAAGTACAACTGCCAAAGAATTGAATTTGTATCTAAATAAACTTCTGGATTTAATTACTATTTAGAGGAAAAAAGAGGGATAGAAGAACAAGCTAACTAACACCCAAAGGAAGCATTTGGCCAAATTGAAAATGCAGTCTACTCTCCAATAAATAAATGGAATAAAATGTTTAAAAGGCAAGAAGAGCTACTATAAATTATGAGACTTAAAATATTAATTAATATGAATAACATGCCATCTTGTTTGTATCCAGGTTCAAACAAAGCAGCTATAAAAAACATTTTTGAGACAACTGGGTAAACGTGAATGTATATCATTAGATGACATAAAATTATGGCTGATTTTGTTAACTATAAGGTCTCTTTTCTTTTTAAATGTAACTACAATTTCATTATCTATTGTCTCTCCATAATCAAAGACTAACTTTTATAATACAATGAGCCTGAGATTCACTTAAAAATAATCCAGGAGTTTTTTGTTTTTTTTTTTAAGTTGACAGGGATAAGTAAATTTAGCAAAATGTGTTAACTATAAAAGTGAAAGATGGGGACACTGGGGTTCATTATACTATTTCCTCTACTTTTATTTTTATATTTTAATGTAATTTAATTTAATTTTTTTTGAGACGGAGTCTCGCGCTGTCACCCAGACTGGAGTACAGTGCACGATCTCAACTCACTGCAGCCTCCACCTCCCAGGTTCAGGCAATTCTCCTGCCTCAGCCTCCAGAGTAGCTGGGATTACAGGTACCTGCCACCACACCTGGCTAATTGTTGTACTTTTGGTAGAGACAGGGTTTCGCCATGTTGGCCAGGCTGGTCTCAAACTCCTGACCTCATCTACTTTTAGATGTTTGAATATTTTAGTAATAATGAGTCTCTTAAAAATGTAAATAAAATTTTAGAAGGCTTTGAAATTATTAAATTGAATTAAGAGATAAATTTCATGTTCCTATATTTTAAAACTGGTTTTCACTTTTTATCAAGGTTTTATATGTGTGTGTGTGTGTGTGTGTGTGTAATTTATTTATTTATTTTGAGACAGGGTCTCACTCTGTTGCCCAGGCTGGAGTGCAGTGGTACAATCTTGCCACCACTTCCTAGGCTCAAGTGCTCCTCCTCCTGCCTCAGCCACCCCAGCAGCTGGGACTAAAGGTGTGTGCCACCACACTTTGCTAATTTCTGTAATTTTTTATAGAGACGAGGTCTTACTATATCACCCAGGCTGGTCTCAAACTCCTGGGGGCTCAAGCTATCCTCCTGCCTTAGCCTCCCAAAGTGCTGGATTACGGGTGGAAGCCAAGGTTATATATTTATGTAGTTTAAAGCAGCGATTCCCAACCTTCTTGGCATCAGGGACCAGTTTCATGGAAGACAATTTTTCCATGGACTGGGGATGGGGGGATGGGGGGACGGGTGGGTGGAGGGATGGTTTTGGGATGATTCAAGTACATTACATTTCTTGTACACTTTATTTCTATTGTTATTACACTGTAACATATAATGAAATAGTTATACAACTCACCATAATGTACAATCAGTGGGGGCCCTGAGCTGGTTTTCCTGCAACTAGATGGTCCCATCTGGGGATGATGGGAGACAGTGACAGATCATCAGACATTAGATTCTCATAAGGAGTACACAACCTAGATCCCTTGCATGTGCAGTTCACAATAGGGTTTGTGCTCCTATGAGAATCTAATGCTGTCACTGATCTGACAGCAGGAAGAGCTCAGGCAGTTATGGGAGCTATGGGGAGCCACTGCAAATACAGATGAAGCTTCACTCGCTCACCTTCCACTCACCTCCTACTGTGCGGCCCAGTTCCTAACCAGCCACAGACCAGTACCTGTCCATGGCCTGGGGGCTGGGAAACCCTGGTTTAAGGCGATGTTTTTCAAACTGTGGGTCATGCAATCAATTGAGTAGGTCATGACCTGCATTTTTAAAAACATTTTTATATTGCTTCATATTTTTCCGATATTGTATTTAAAAATTAATAAAATCATATGTAATGTAGTTGTGGAACTATAACATGCCACATAAAATTTCATTATGGTAGGAAAGCTGATATATATACATATCCTTAGAAAAATATTAGTATCAAAACTCTAAGAGTTTATCTGTGTGAACAGATAAGTGATTTTTACTTTCTCTTATGCTGCAATTTTCTAAATTTTTCTAGAAGTATAATTTTAAGAAATATTATCAATTGTGCCTAACAGATGAATAAGGGGAACAGCAAATAACCCAACTGAAAGTAAATGTCAATGTCCACAAATAAAGAATCCAGAGAGGAAATTATAATGTTAATAAACATATGTAAGATGCTCCATACCTCACCAGTTTTCAAGAAAGTACTAATCAAAGCAATGATGAGATACCATTCTCTTCTACCAGACTGACAACATCCAGTAATAGCCAAAGAAAGGAAACTCATACACTGCTATGTTTGGGCAAAGTAATCAGACAATATGTATTATTAAAAACACAAATATCCTTTGACTTAGCTATCCCACTTTTAAGAGTAAATGTAAAGAAATAACAGCACTAGTATGCAAATATACATGTACAGGAATATTTTTAGCAGTACTATTTATAATGTAAAAAAGCTGAGAAAACTTGAATGTCCATCAATAAACAAAGGTTGAATAAATCTAGTATATCCATATTGTAGTATATTATGCAGCTAGAGATATGTTATAATCTTTAATAAGAAAAGTAAAATATAGAAAAAAAATTAGCCCTGCAGATGACCGGTTTCTGGTCTGGAATTTAAGGAGTTAAAAACTGCCATTCCATACTCAAAACAAAAGAAAAGCAAAGGTGAAAAGCAACAACTCTTCGTAAAGCCATTGCAGAAATTGGAGTCACAGGGCAAACCACTGCCCCCAAAATTAGAGAGAGAGGCAGGCAGGTTCAGGATACAGAGAACCACAACTTACAACTGCAGAAAGCTCCTTGGGAACCATTACCAAGGTAGGAAAGCCTAAACCAAGCTGGAGGTTCAGTGTGAACAAGTTTTAATTAAAAACTACAGCAGGACCCTGTCTGAGAGGCCTCCACATTTTGTCAGTTTTTAACAACCAGAAGCCCTGCCAGATTATCATAGCGAAGATCAGAAAAAAATATGTAGTTATGATGAAATATGCCCAGAGCATTCTGTCCTTAACAAGGCCTGACTTCAAGAGAAATTAATTATCAGAGACTAACCTACCAGGGTTCCACCAGAGCCTTACCAATCTAGAAGGGAAATATTCAACTCCAGAGCATTCTAGCCTTAGACTTAGGGTAATGAAATACCCAATACCAGCATCCTCTAGCACTCCTGTCTCACTGCAGGGAAAAACCAAAACTTAGAAGTACTTGTAGAGACTACAGACCAGGGACACAGGTTCACTAAAAGACTGAGAACAAATCTTTAGGCTATAGAACACTTCCCTCCCTCTACGCCTTACCACTATACAAATATGGCTCCTGTATACTAAGTGGAGAATACAACTAAACAAATTGCACACCTCAGACCTTATTTAAGAAGAAATTCCAAAGAAACCAAAAGACAACAGGGAAGACAAAAACATGAACACTAGAGGAAATTTTGGCCTCTGATACTTACAGGTACAGCAAACAGTGAACATAGCCTAACCCCTAGCCAGATAAACACAAAACCTTACACTAAAGGCCTATTTACCTCAGTTCCTTCTACACCACGTACTATCTCTGACTTTCAATGAAAAATTTTAAAGCACGCTAAAACACAGTTTGAAGAAACAAGCATCAGAGTCAGACTCAGATATAGCAGAAATACTGGCATTATCAGACTACTAATTTTTTTAAAGCTCTAATTAATATTCCTAGAGCTCTAATGGAAAAAAGGTGGGCAAAATGCAAAAGCAGAGAAATGGAAACTCTAAGAAAGAATCAAAGGACAATGTTCAGGCCAGGCATGGTGGCTCATGCCTGTAATCCCAGCACTTTGGGAAGCTGAGGTGGGCAGATCACCTGAGGTCAAGAGTTCGAGATCAGCCAGGCCAACATGGTGAGACCCCATCTCTACTAAAAATACAGAAATTAGCCAAACATGGTGGCTCACACATATAATCCCAAGTACTCTATATGAGGAAAACAATAAAACTCTAATGAAAGAAATCAAAAGAATGAAGAGAAATGCCATGCACATAGACAGACTCCACACTGTCAAGACGTCAGTTCTTTCCCAACTTGCTGTATGCATTTAAAGCAATCCCAATCAAAATCCCAGCAAGTTATTGTGTGGATTATCAACAAATTGATTCTAACGTTTATATAGATAGTAAAAGATTCAGAGTAGCAAGAAAACATTTTATGAGAGCAAAGTTAGAGGGCTGACACTATCCAACTTTAAGACTGACCATAAAGCTACAGTAATTAATACAGTATGGTATCAGTGGGAAAAAAAAAACATAACTAGACTAATAAAACACAATACAAAAGCTCAGAAATGCATCCATTAAAAAAACAGTCAACTGATCTTTGATAATGGAGTTAAAGCACTTCAATGGAGAAAGGATAGTCTTTTCAGCAACTGCTGCTTAAACAAGGGGACACCAACAAGTGAACAAAATGAAATTTAGACACAAACCTTATACCTTTCACAAAAATTAACTCAAAATGGATCAAAGACTTGAGTGTAAACTGCAAAACTAAATTTCTAGAACACAGAAGAAAATCTAGGTGATCTTGAGTTTGGCAATGACGTTTTATACAAGACACCAAAATCACAATATGTGAAAAGAAGAAACTAATATGTTGGATAGCGTTAAAATTTAAAACTTCTGCTCTTTGGCAGGGTGCAGTGGCTCATGCCTATAATCCCAGCACTTTGGGAGAACAAGGCATACGGATTGCTTGAACCCAGGAGTTCGAAACCAGTCTGGGCAACGTGGCAAAACCCTGTCTCTCCAAAAAATATTTTTAAAACCATACAAAAATTAGCCAGGTGCAGTGGCATGCGCCTTTGGTCCCAGCTACTCAGGAGGCTGAGGTGGGAAGACGGCTTGAGCCTGTGGGGAAGAGGCTGCAGTGAACCAAAGTCACACCACTGCACTCCAGGCCTGGGTGACAGAGCAGGACCTGAAACAAAACAAAACAACCGAAGAACAACTTCTGCTCTTCAAAAGACACTGCTAAGAAAACGAAAAGACAAGTCAGACTGGGAGATTGGTATCCACTAGGCATGGTGGCTCACGTCTATAATCCTAGCACTTTGGGAGGCCGAGGCAGGAGGATAGCTTGAAGGCAGGAGTTGGAGACTACCCTGGGCAACATAACAAGACCCCATTTCTCCCAATAATAATAATAATAATAATAATAATAATAATAATAACAATAATAATAATAAATTAGCCGAGCTTGGTGGTGAGTGCCTGCAGTCCCGGCTACTCAGGAGGCTGAGGCGGGAGGATCACTTGAGACTGGGAGTTTGAGGCTACAGTAAGCCATGATTGTGCCACCACACTCCAGCGTGGATGACAGAGCGAGATCCTGTCTCCAAAATAAAAGAAAAAAGAAAACAAACAGCCCAATTAAAAAGAAGGCAAAACATTTGAACAGACATCTCACCAAAGATGATATACCAATGGCAAATAAGCAAGTGAAAAAATGCTTAATATCATATTTCTTTTCTTTTTTTCGAGACAGAGTCTCACTCTGTTGCCCAGGATGGAGTGCAGTGGCATGATCTCGGCTCACTGCAGCCTCTGCCCCCTAGGTTGAAGCAAATCTCCTGCCTCAGCCTCCCAAGTAGCGGGGTCTGCAGGCACGTGCCACCACGTCAAGTTATTTTTTGTATTTTTAGTAGTGACCAGGTTTCACCATGTTGGCCGGGCTGGTCTTGAACTCCTGACCTCAAGTGATCCGCCCACCTTGGCCTCCCAAAGTGCTGGGATTACAGGCATGAGCCACCACACCCGGCCTTAACATCATATTTCATCAGAGAACGGCAAATTAAAACAACAATAAGATACCACTACATATCTATTAGAATTGAAAAATCCAAAACACTGACAACACCAAATGCTGGTAAAAATGTGAAACAACACAAACTTTCATTTATTGCTTATGCAGACACTACGGAAGACAGTTTGGCAGTTTCTTAAAAGGTAAACATTCTCTTACCATATATAATCCATCAATCCCTGGTGTTTACCCAAAGGAGCTGAAATTAACACAAAAACCTGCATACAAATATTTATTCATAACTGTCAAGACTTGGAAGTACCCAAAATATCCTTCAGTGGGTGAATGGTTCAACGAACTGTGGTACACCCATACAATGGAATATTTTGAGTGAAAAAATAACTGAGTTATAAAGCCACAGAAAGACAAGGAGGAACTTTAGGTGCATACTGTTAAGTAAAAGAAGCCAATCTGAATAGTCTACGTATTGTATGATTCCAACTACATGACATTCTGAAAAGGCAAAACTATGGATAAAGTTTAAAAAAAAAAATCAGTGACAGCATGCAGTAACTCACACCTGTAATCCCAGCACTTTGGGAGGCCAAGGCAGACAGATCACTTGAGGTCAGAAGTTGCATACCAGCCTGGCCAACACAGCAAAACCCTGTCTGTATTAAAAATACAAATTAGCCAGGCATGGTGGTGCGCACCTGTAATCCCAGCTGCTCAGGAGGCTGAGGTTGCAGTGAGCTGAAATGGCACAACTGCACTCCAGCCTGGGTGTCAGACCAAGACTCTTATCTCAAAAAAAAAAAAAAAAAAAAAAAAAAATCAGTGGTTGCCAGAGTTGCAGGGGTGGGGAAGGATGAACACTGGACTTTTAAAGCAGAAAAACTATTGTTTATTTTTGTGTCACTCTCAGATTCTCTGTCTTTGCATGCCAGACTGACTGAATGACTTTCTCTCTCTCTCTCTCTCTATATATATATATACACACACACATATACACACACACACACATATATATATATATAATTTTCTCTTCTAATTTCAATGGTGAGGTACTTCTGTTCTCTAGAAAAGATATAGTGTATAGTGGCTATAACTACTACTACTGAAATACTCTCCCCACATGGTTAGTACTTAAAAGAGATGCTACTAGTGCTTTTGAGACCGCTAAACATGGGTTAGAAAGAATCAGAGCAAAAGGGGTAGGGGATGCAATGAAAGACAGCCAGATAGAATCAAGAAATGACCCTGAGTGTCCTTATCCACTACTTCAGACAGTAAGAATCTAATCTAGGCCAGGCGCAGTGACTCATGCCTGCAATCCCAGTACTTTGGGAGGCCAAGGCAGGCGTATCACAACGTCAGGAGTTCGAGACCAGCCTGGCCAGCATAGTGAAACTCCGTCTCTACTAAAACTACAAAAAATTAGCAGGGCACGGTGGTGCAAGCCTGTAGTCCCAGCTACGCGGGAGGCTGAGGCAGGAGAATCGCTTGAACCCGGGAGGCAGAGGTTGTGGTGAGCCAAGATCACAGCACTGTACTCCAGCCTGGGCAACAGAGCGAGACGCTGTCTCAAAAAAAAGAAAAAAAAAAAGAATCTTTTCTCTCTCTCTCTCTCTCTCTCAGCCTCCCGAGAAACTGAAACTACAGGCGCGCGCCATCACGCCCAGCTAATTTTTGTATTTTTAGTAGAGACGGGGTTTCACCATGTTGGCCAGGATGATCTCAATCTCTTGACCTTGTGATCCGCCCACCTCAGCCTCCCAAAGTGCTGGGATTACGGGGGTGAGCCACTGCACCCGGACTAAATTTTTTTTTTTTCCACACAGTCTTGCTGTCACCTAGGCTGGTGTGCAGTGGCACGATCTCGGCTCACTGCAACTTCTGCCTCCCGGTTCAAGTGATTCTCCTGCCTCAGCCTCCCAAGTAGCTGGGGCTACAGGCGTCCATCACCACGATCGAATGATTTTTGTATTTTTTGGTAGAGATGGGGTTTCGCCATGTTGGCCAGGCTGGTCTTGAACTCCTGACCTCAAGTGATCCACTTGCCTCGGCCTCCCAAAGTGCTGGGATTACAGGTGTGAGCCACCACGCCCAGCCTTTTTCTTAATTTTTTAAAATTCTAGGCTACATGGTTCATCTGAGTTTTCTCAAATTGTTGCAAATCTCCAAAAAAAAAAATTTTCCAATATATTTATTTTAAAAATCTGCATATAAGTGAACCCATGCAGCTCAAACCCATGATGTTCAAGGGTCAACCATATATCTAATATATTTTTCCATTTCTGTTTTCCTTTTTTTGTAATATAGTATCAATGATATATACTAAGCTGTTAACACTGGATTTGGCAAAAAGTGGCAAAAGAAAATGGGAAATTAATTTTCTCTTTATGTATATTTGCATTATTATATATATTTATATATATTTGCATTACTGTGGTCATAGTAAACTCATTTATACTTCTTACAGAGGAACTTTATTTTGAAAAGAAAAATATTAAGGAATTTATAGTTAAAAAGTCCCTAAAAGACAAGAGATTTAAAATTCAATAAAAGTTGGAAACAATAAGTTCTAAACTCACAGGCAAAGCAAATAAGACTCAGTGAGACCACCATCAGGGGAATAAATAATTGTGTTATTTGCATTTCTGATCCTTTTCATTGAGTAGATAGTTAAGTATCTGCCCACCAACAGGTCTGTAAAAACCCTGGTAAAAAGTCAACTCAGGCTGGGCGTGGTGGCTCACACCTGTAATCCCAGCACTTTGGGAGGCCAAGGCGGGCAGATCATGAGGTCAAGAGATTAAGACCATCCTGGCCAACATGGTGAAACCTCGTCTCTACTAAAAATACAAAAAATTAGCCAAGCATGGTGGCAGGTGCCTGTCGTCCCAGCTACTCAGGAGGCTGAGGCAGCAGAATGACGTGAACCTGGGAGGCGGAGCTTGTAGTGAGCCTAGATCAGGCCACTGCACTCCAGCCTGGCGACAGAGTGAGACTCCATCTCAAAAAAAAAAAAAAAAAAAGTCAATTCAAGCATCTGAGATCCTGGGAATCACAAAGGATCTGACTTCTACCTGGTGAAAACCCCCACTCTGATCAACAAGAGAACGACCTTCAGCTGCTGGGGCATTCTAACACCATACTGAACCTCCCTAATCCATACTTATTTACTTGGAATGTCACTCTTGCAAGTGACAGAAAACCCAATGTACACTAATTTAAAAAAAAAAAAAAACAAGGTTAATTTCTCAATCTTCTGAGCTTCTACTGTAATTATGGAAAAAACAGAGCTATCAAAATCCTATGGCAAGGGCCTACGTTCCTTCTCTCCATTTCTCAGTGCTTGCTCTATTCTCAGAACCTATCCTGTCTCAAGATGATTACCCTCACACTCACACTGCACAGGTAAGAGGACCTCACTCTGTATAGGAAATCTCAGCGTTAAGTCTCAACCTCGTAAGAGAACTGTAAGGCTCCAACTGCCCAATCTGAGTCATGTACCCGTAGAAACAGAGCAGGCTTCACAGCTACACAGACTGAGAACAGAAAAAAGGTGAATCCTCAAAAAAAAAAAAAAAAAAAAAAAGCCCAAGGGTGTTATAGAAAGTAAGGTAAACCAGTGGTGGGTGGCCCCAAAACATGTCAAATACCATATCTCTCCCAAAGTAGGGCAAATACCAAGCTGTTTAGAACTAAGTTGTCCATTCGGAAGGCTTTAGTCTTAACATGTGGCTATTGCACAGTTGAAATGTGGTTAGACCCAGCTGAGATAAAATATGCTGTGAGTGTACAATACAAAGTGGATTGTGAAGATTTAGTACCAAAAAATCTAAAGTAGCTAAATAATTTTTATATCTGGGGTTAAATAAAAGTTTTTTTGTTTGTTTGTGTGTTTGTGTGAGACAGAGTCTCACTCTGTCATCTAGGCTGGAGTGCAGTGGCACAATCTCAGCTTACTGTAACCTTCGCCTGCTGGGCTCGAGACTCTCCTGCCTCAGCCTCCTGAGTAACTGGGATTACAGGCACACGCCACCACGTCCAGCAAATGTTCTGTATTTTTAGTAGAGACGGGGTTTCACCATGGTGGCCAGGCTGGTCTCGAACTCCTGACCTCCAGCGATCCACCCGCCTCGGGCTCCCAAAATGCTGGGATTACAAGCATGAGCCACTGCACTCAGCCTAATAAAAGATAATATTAAAATAATTTCGCTTGTCTTTTTAGTTTAAATGGGGTTTTTAGAACATTTAAAATTTACATACACGGTTAGCATTATTTATCAGAAAGGTGCGAATCATCTCCCTAACCAGCTAATAGCTTGAAGAGAAACCAGCTAAGTCTATATATAACTTGAAATTGTTTGTTGTTCAAAAAAGCTAATGAAATATCTTGAAGCAAACAGTTCCAGACTACAACTTTAACTACACCACAGTATTTTATTATTCGGATTATTTCCCAATTTTCTCCTAGTATTTTCATTTTAAAATGAAGGCTGGAAAGGAAATGAATGACAATCACCGCAAAGGTCTATGAAATCTGCTTAATCTACCATCTGCCTTTCCAACAGCATGTTTTGGCTATTTCAAGGAAAAACCAGAACAAAAACTGCTTTAAGTACCTTGTAGACAAAGTGAATAAATTTTATGGTTATTTATGAGGTTATTTAAGGAAAGAGTAAGAAAAACATATTCAGATTATTTTTAAATGGTAGATTGTTATTTATTTATTTCTGAGGCAGGGTCTCATTCTGTTGTCCAGGCTGGAGTGCAGTGCTGCAATCGCAGCTCACTAAAGCCTTGACCTCCTGGGCTCAAGCAAGGGATCCTCCTACCTCAGCCCCCCAAGTAGCTGGGACTACAGGCATGTGCCACCATGCTCAGCTAATGTATTTTATTGTTTTAGAGATAGGGTCTAGCTATGTTGTCCAGGCAGGTCTCAAACTCCTGAGCTCAAGAGATCCTCCTGCCTTGGCCTCCCAAAGTGCTGGGATTACAGGCATGTGCCACTGCATCTGGCCTAAATGGTATACTTACACAGAATTTATTTCTCTTTTAATTTCAACGGTGAGGTACTTTTGTTCTCTAGAAAAGATATAGTGGCCATAACCAATTCTACTGAAATACTCTCCCCACATGTTTAGTACTTAAAAGAGATGCCACTAGTGCTTTTGAGACTGCTAACCATGGGTTAGAAAGAATCAGAGCAAAAGGGGTCAGGGGTGCAAGGAAAGACAGCCAGATAGAACCAAGAACTAACCCTGAGTGTCCTTATCCACTACTTCACACAGTTAGAATCTAAACCTTGGCTTACTTTGGCAACAAAAAAAATTGCTTCACATAGAAAAATACCTGTTAGCAGAACTGGTATTAAAACTAAGAGAGAATAAAGCATTTGATTTTCTTAATTTTCTTCTCTAAGTGTTCATATAAGGCAAGAAGGGGGAAACAATACCAATAAAACAATAAATTCAATGGCACATTGGTTTAGATGAAACCAAAGTTTTCACTTATTACTAATTCCAAAATAAAATTTCACACATGACCAAAACATTATGGAAAGCAAGGTAGCACTATTTATAAAAATGTGTTTTAAAATTCTTCAATAAGATTATTCCTAATGGAAGAAAATCCCATCTCAAGAAAAAGGCTGTAAATGCCCAATCAACTTTTAATTACCAATTCTAGAAATTATCTGAATTAATATAGATCCTACCTGTTAAGACTAGTAAGTTGGCAAAGGTTGAAAGTAGATACAAGGAATAGCAATGGTGAAAGTGGATCAAAAAACTACAAGTTTACATTTACAAATATAATTTAAATAATTTTTAAATTATAATTTTATATAAACTCTACCAATTATTTTGGAATTTTTTCTTTGTGAGACTATTCAACAAAACAACAGAAGTTTATTGATTACAAGTACAAAGACAAGTAAGACTTGTTCACATCAGGAGGCTGGAAATTTATTAATACCACTGCAGATAAATATGTAAGTAAAGTAACTGTAGTATTATAATGCTTTGATAGGCTTAAAAATGCAGTGGTATCCCAAAAGATAAAACCTGATTCAGCTATCAGAAGAGATACTTAAGCTGAGATTTAAAGCAGGACTAAGAGCAAGCAGGCTGATAGGGATCAGGAGCATGAGTTTGAGATACCTTTGTGAAATATGAACATTGAGATACCTAGTGAATAGCTGTAGCTATCTGAAGCTAAGATCTGGGAATGTTTTCATAAGGTAATGGCACAGAGATATGATGATTAAAAAACCACAGAGCTACAGCTGGGTGCGGTGGCTCACACTTGTAATCCCAGCACTTTGGGAGGCCAAGGCGGGCGAATCACTTGAGGTCAGGAGTTAGAGACCAGCCTGGCTAACATGGTGAAACCCCATCTTTACTAAAAATACAAAAATTAGCCAGGCGTGCTGGCGCACACGTGTAATCCCAGCTACTCAGGAGGTAGACGCAGGGGAATCGCTCGAACCCGGGAGGCGGAGGCTGCAGTGAGCAGAGATCATGCCACTGCACTCCAGCCTGGACAAAAGAGCAAGACTCTGTCTCAGGAAAAAAAAAAAAAAAAAAAAAAAAAAAAAAAAACACAGAGCTACAGATATCTTGGAAGAAGACCACCACCAAGTAGACACCACTAAGAAAGACTATGAAGCAACAGCCAGAGAGAGAGAAAGCCAACCTGAATAGAACTCTTTCAGAAAAGGTAGAATTTTTAAGAGCAAGTCAACATAATAAACGCTGGCCAAGTCAACTAAGAAAACCTGAGAAATTGTTATTACTTTTAGCAAGAAATTACTACTGTCCTTATCTTTATAAAGTGGCGAGAAAATTCAGACCAATGGGTGAATGACAAAGCGAGGCAGTACAACTGGCATCTACTGATTACTCTTTCACAAAGTCTGACAACAAAAAGAAGTAGTGTACAGAGTAATGATCCATAAAGCAGACTCAAATTAGAGAAGGGTTTTTTTGTTTTAATACAGGAAATATGTGGGTAGGGTTAGCGCTGAAGGTAAGGAGTGAGTGGAGAGGGAAGCAGTTGAAAATACAGAAGAGGTAACACACACACGTCAAAGTACCTAGGAACTTGAGGGAATCTGCTTCAAGTAGGAAAGAGAAATATTACTTCCTCTGAGATAAATGAGTAAAACGGGTACAGAGTGAGGTAAATACATGGAAAGTTAAAAGCTGAGAGTGAGTTCTTGGCTGGTGTTACTTTCCCTGCAGAAAATGAAGCAATATCTTCTATTTAAGAGAAAAGAAATAGAAGTTGAACAAGAATCTTTGCTTTGCAGAATGGAAGACAGAGCTGACTAAGGACAAATAAAAGGATACTTTGGTAGCCCTGAAATCCTATCTTTGTTGACCATAAATCTGAGAAGAAAATAACCTAGATGGCTGTAATGATTCTTCTCCAGCAGTTTTAGTATTAAGAGATCAATCCAGGGCCGGGCGTGGTGGCTCACGCCTGTAATCTCAGCACTTTGGGAGGCCGAGGCGGGCGGATCACGAGACCATCCTGGCTAACATGGTGAAACCCCGTCTCTATTAAAAATACAAAAAATTAGCCAGGCGTGGTGGCGGGCGCCTGCAGTCCCAGCCACTCTGAAGGCTGAGGCAGGAGAATGGCGTGAACCCAGGAGGCGGAGCTTGCAGTGAGCCGAGATCATGCCACTGCACTCCAGCCCGGGTGACAGAGCGAGACTCAGTCTCAAAAAAAAAAAAAGAGATCAATCCAAGGTTGAAGGCTAGGGCAGGTGTGACACCAGAAGACAAAATATCAGAGGTATAAACTTCCCGATCAAAGTCTCAGAAAATCACCTATTTCAACCACGAATACCTTATGAAAATGTATAATCAGAAGTTTGCAGGGCACGGTGGCTCATGCCTATAATCGCAACACTTTGGGAGGACAAGGTGGGCAAATCACTTGAGGCCAGGAGTTCATCTCCTCTACCAGAAACACAAAAATTAGCTGGGCATGATGGCATACACCTGTAGTCCCAGTTACTCAGGAGACTGAGACATGAGAATCTCTTGAACCTGGGAGGCAGAGGTTGTGGTAAGCCGAGATAGCGTCACTGCACTGCAGCCTGGTCAACAGAGTAAGACTCTGTCTCAAAAAAAAAAAAAAAAAGTTAAGTATAAGTTGTACTAGAACTCTGCTTTCTCAAATTCAACAACAGAAATAACTAAGGAAGATAATTTCAGAAACAAGATTTAACAGTTCTGACTGTAAAACTAAGGGCTGCAACAATTGCATTGATCTTTACTTGAGAAAACAAGTAAAAGAATCAGACTATTTGCAAAGTTTTCAGGACATTCATATGAAATTCAAAACCATTTCTGCCTAACTGCAAAAAAAAAAAAAAGAAGACGAAAAGAAAAAAAACTTTCTTCCTATGGATCTACCTTTAATCTGTAATTGCTAGAAAACAATTCTAGTTTTAACAGGAGTAAGCAAATTAACCTAACATTAGAGTCCCAAGTCATACAGTATCGATGGAGGTAGATCAGGACATTCCTCTACTCTGCTTTGACCCTGGTTCAATTGGGACAGAGAGGAAAAAAAAAAAAAAAGATACTTCCTCTATTCCCCTAACCCCACCCCAGCCCCAATCCTCAGCCATTATGACACAACATAGGGTCTACCTTGTCTATTCCAAACACCTAGAACAATGTTTGGTATATAATTGGTGCTCAACAAATATTTGTTACAATATTTCTTTTAAAAGTATTCAGGGATCTTATTTCAACATTTCTATTTACCCCAAAGCCATGACCTGTAGAAGACATATGAAAAAACTATGCCTGAAGGTAGAAGGTGTAGTATGAGTATTGGAAGAGAAGGAACCTATACTATTCCATTTCTCGTTAGTATCAGTGGTAGGAAACCTAAAAATTGATACATGCACATTACAAGAAGTTTGTGGCTGATGGGGGCAGTAGCAATGAAAAGAAAAACTAGATCAATCCCTGAAATGGCAAAAGAGAAAGATCTGGTCACTGTGCTGACATGAAACCAAATATATATCTCAAACCCAGAGGTGTTTACACCAAAAAGAGGCCCTAAGAAAACTCTGGTCCTCAAACCTTCGAATGCTGAAAACTTAAGACCTCCTGGCTCTTTTCCATTCCAAATTTCAGGCCTTAAGGCCACTAGTGATAGTGAGCTGCCTAAGTAAATACTCGCCCTCAACGTGAAAGGTGGTAGGAATATAAAGAGTAAAAATCCATTTAATGACACTACAACTGGGAGTGGGAACAGGTGTGCATCTTGCCTCAAAATCTGAGTTCCAAACACATTTTCCCATAAATATACCTTGATAAATAATGAGATTCTCTACATCCTGTTAAAATCAAACCAACAGAAATAACTATCTGCTTGAAAAGAAAAATTTTAGTTGCTATTTTTCACATATTTAGTGCATGACAAAAATTCTAACTTTTCCTATACCCCTGTACCTCATTTCCTTCTCTATCCTTCATAGATTTGTTATGATGATTAACTGAATATTTCTAATTAGCTTAAAGCAGTGTCTAGCCCACAGTAAGCATTATACATATATATTTTAATTAAATAAAACACTACTTTTTTAGATTTGTTAAGTTTCTAACTAGTTTTCAAAAAAAAGTATGTTGGTTCTACTTTTTTAGTGATATTTTCAAAAATTTTTTGGAGTTTTATGTGTAAGAAAATTATCAAGTTAAAACAGACAAATTATTATTTCCTTTTTTTTTGAGACAGTCTCTATCACCCAGGCTGGAGTGCGGTGGCAGGATCTCAGCTCACCGCAACCTACACCTCTTGGATTCAAGCGATTCTCCTGCCTCAGCCTCCCAAGTAGCTGGAACTACAGGCATGCAACACGAAGCCGGCTAATTTTTGTATTTTTAGTAGAGATGGGGTTTCACCATGTTGGTCAGGCTGGTCTCAAACTCCTGACCTCAAGTGATCCACCCGCCTCAGCCTCCCAAAGTGCTGGGATTACAGGCGTGAGCCACCGCGCCCAGTCAAAATTACTATTTCTAAGAAAGCGTATGAACTGATCTTTGGGAATTTCAGACTTAAAACTTTATGTGTGTGTGTGTGTGTGTGTGTGTGTGTATATATATATATATATATACGTTTGTTTGCTCTGAGATGGAATCTCGCTCTGTCACCAGGCTGGAGTGCAGTGGCGCAATCTCAGCTCACTGCAACCTCTGCCTCCTGCGTTCAAGTGATTCTCCTGCCTCAGCCTCCCAAGTAGCTGGGACTACAGGCACCCACTACCACGCCCTGCTAATTTTTGTATTTTTGGTAGAGATGGTGTTTCACCATGTTGGCCAGGATGGTCTCCATCTCTTGACCTTGTGATCCACCCACCTTGGCCTCCCAAAGTGCTGGGATTATGGGCGTGAGCCACCGTGCCCACCCCTACTTTTTAATATATTTAAAGCAATCTATTCCTTAAAAGCTACCTTGCTTTTTAAAAATTTTACCTACAAAGCATTTCACCTATAGCTATAATATTACCATTAAAAGCATATTTATGTTTAAGCAACTTTTATTTAGCTTAATTATGAATATTCCATTGAACTGCCATCATTTAATGTAGTGTCTGTTATAAGAGTTGGAAATGTTGCAAGAAGTATGTGTAACCTCAATAACATTCTAAGACAAATGCAATCACTGTTAACATTTTAGGAGTAGCATGCCAGTTTAGCCTTTCTTAGGCAACGAAATACATTGGGGGAACAGCAGGAGGGAAAGGAAGAGCTTCAAAACTGAAGAGTAAAGGAGTATGAAAGTAGCAATAAAGGAATCCTGGTTGGTAAAGTGGCTGCTGCATTAGTAACATGAGGCGATAAAACAATTTGGGCCGGGTGCAGCGGCTCACACCTGTAATCCCAGAGCTTTGCCGGGAGGAGGTGGGAGGATTGTTTGAGCCTAGGAGTTGGAGACCAGTTTGGGCAACACAGAGAAACCCCATCTCTACTGAAAATACAAAAAGTAGCTGGGCATGGTGGCATGCACCTGTAGTCCCAGCTACTTGGGAAGCTGAAGCAGGAGAATCCCTTGAGCCCAGGAGCTGAAGGTTGCAGTGAGCCAAGATTGTGACACTGCACTCCAGCCTAGGTGACAGAGCAAGACCCGGTCTCAAAAAAAATAAAATAAAGTTGAAAGTTTATTATTTATATTAAATCTAGAACATATTGTAAAATTCCAATTCACTTTCAGAAAACACATTTAAAGCCAGAGACAAATAACAAAAAAACTTCATGAAAGTGCAAAAATCATTCAGTTCCTGTTATCCAAATTCTTGAGCGTGAGAATGAAGCATCATGCATTATGGCATACACTGAGTTTCTGATAACATCTTTATGCCACTAAATCAACCAACCCTAAACCCTGCCCTTATCTCTGGGTCTCTTCTCATGTAAGCTAACAGATTCCCATACGGTTTAAAAGTCTCTCAGTTAGGTATTTTGTCATTCTGCCAAAATCAACTTGTTACAGTTTGAAGGTTAATTTCATGTGCCAACTTGGCTAGGCTATAGTGCCCAGTTGCTTGGTCAAAACCAGCCTACATGTTGCTATGAAGGTATTTCTTACATACGATTAACGTTTAAATCAGAAGACTTTGGGGAGAAAAGATGAACCCTCACAATGTGGGTGGGCTTCATCCAAGCAGTTGAGGCCTTGAAAGAAAAGAATGAGGTCCACCAAAAAGGAAAAAATTCTGATTCCAGATTACCTTCAGACTCAAGACTGCTGGCCACCCCTACAAATTTCAGACTTGCCAGCCCCTACAATTGTGTGACCTAATTCCTTAATATAAATCTCTCTACACATATGTAAATATACATCCTGTTGGTTCTTTCTTAAAGGAATAAACTGAATTTTAGCTTAAGTTTGTTACATTTTAACAGAAAATTTTCTTTTACAGCTTCGATGTGTTAAGTGACAATAATAAGCTGCACATATTTAGAGGGAATGACTTAAATAGTTTTCACATAGGTATGTACCCATTAAGACTGTGGCTACTATTAAGACAGTAAATATATCCACCACCCTCAAAAGTTTTCTTGTGTTCCTGGAATAAATTTTAACAAAACTTTGGATGAAACTTTACCTAGTCCTTTGTAAACAGTATGAATAACCTTCCTTATAATTTAACTTTTACACAATGTATATAACCACATAGCATTCTCTAGTAATAATATACCATAGTTCTGTTCAACAATTCTCTATTGTTGAGATATTTATGTTGATGCTAACGTTTTGTTATTATAAACAATACAATGAAGAACATTCTTGTAGCTATATCTAGTCCTGATTACTTTAAAATTTTTTTTCAATTTTAATAGCTTTAGGGGTACAAGTGGTTTTTGGTTACATGGATGAATTGTATAGCGGTGAAGTATGAAATTTTAGTGCCCCTGTCACCCGAGTAGTGTACACTGTACCCTGCCTCCCACTCTCCCCCTTTCTGAGTCTCCAGCATCCTTTATACCACTTTGAATGTATTTGCATACCCACAGCTTAGCTCCCACTTATAAGTGAGAACATAACAGTATTTGGTTTTCCATTCCTGAGTTACTTCACTTAGAATAATGGCCTCCAGTTCCATCCAAGTTGCAGCAAAAGACACTCTCATTCTTTTTTATGGCTGAGTAGTATTCCATGGTGTATACAAACCACATTTTCTTTATCCACTCCTCAGCTGATGGGCACTTAGGTTGGTTCCATATCTTTGCAATTGTGAATTGTGCTGCAATAAACACACACATGCACGTGTCTTTCTGATATAATGACTTGTTTTCTCTTGGGTATGACTACTTCCCTTATGTTTCCAAAAATACAATTGCAGAATTAAAGAACACATTATATTTTAAGAAATAATGATTATTATAATAGTAACATAAAATGTTTATCTAGTATTTAGCACACACCAGGTTCTATACTACATCCCTAATTACTCTCTAACAATTTTTACTCTCCAGCATTACATTAATATGCTTGTCAATGATCCCACACCCTGACCAATTTTTTAAAAAGCATTCTTCCTCCCACACTAACATCAATGTAATTCCAGCCAAATTTCCATCAGTATGTTTTCAGACCTCATATCCATCTAAAATGCACAAAAATAAAATCTTTTTTTTTAAAGGGGAAAGAGAAGGCGATCTTTATCCACCAGAAACTAAAATATGCTATAGGGTGGTGATAATTAAAGCGATATAATATGGTGGCAGGACATACAAAAACATCAGTGAAACAGGAATCCTCAGAACATGTGGGAATTTAAAAAAAAAAAAGAACGTGGGAATTTCATACAGGCTAAAGATGGCAGAACACTGTAAGATAAAAATAAAAGATTAAGATACCTGAATACTTTTTCAAACTATAATAGAATTTTTTTTAATATAAAAAAATTCCTATTATTCTGCCAAGGATTCAGCCTTCCTAAGCATGAGAGAAACCACCCTTCCAAAATTAAAAAAAAGCCACCAAACAGACAGATGTGACCATATTTAAAGATTTAAAATAACAAAGAAAAACAAAGGGCAAGCAATATAAATGGGAAAATTATCTGACATATGAAACACATAAAACATTAATATCTGTATTTTAGTATCTCTCTAAATCAGTAGAAAATGTCAAAGGAACAGGCAAATTCACAGAAGAAATGGCAAAAATTATGGAAAAAAAGGTTTGACTTCACAAATAGGGAAAAAGGTATTACTTTCTCTTATCAGATGGGCAAAACCATAAAATCAATAATATACTGTGCTTCAGTAAAGTACCTATTCCCACAAAATTTTATTAGAATGTAAAAAAATTGAATAAACTTCCTTATAAGTTAATTTAGCTATAACTATTAATATACAAAAGAATTGTATCATCTAACTAGCAATTCCAGTTTTATGAATGTATCCTATGAAAGTCCCAAACAAATACACATAGATTTACACTTAACGATGTTTGGTAAAGCACTGTTGGAAGACGCTAAAAACCAATAACCGAAATATTCATCTATATGGGCAAGCCTAATAAAATACAAAATATATCCAAATTATAGAATTACAGAATACTATCTCTGTTTTTTAAGTGGCTATATCATGGCATATAAAAATATCTATTTTGCAGAATATTGCATATTAATGCCTCAATTTTGAAAAAATTCATGAATAGAATAATGCACATGCTTGTTTTGCACAAAAAATTTGTGGAAACTGAAAAAACGTGACTCTGGTGTCTCTTCATCACTGGCCATGGTATTCTTATCTGCTACATATGCATATTCCCATTCTATCCATTTATGCTTTTTATTTCCATATTTCCATTGTTTTAACTAAACCAAATATAATTTTATAATTCTAAAAAAACAAACGAGAAAAATTTTTTAAAACACTACCACTTTTGAGAGATAAAAAGTTTGTATCGTTTAAATTACATTTCTTTTATTATAGTGAGGCTGGATATTTTTTCTTTTTTCTTACATTTACCAGAAATTATTTTCTTCTTTTTGCCCCACCTTATGTACTTTTATAGTAAATCTTTAATGAGGTATAAAGAAGAACTATGCCTCCTTGTTTAAAAGTTATGCCACAGTTCATATTTCTCAACATCAGATGATGTATTTCTATAAATACATAACACCTGGTACTCCCAAACTTTAACATCTGACTTTCAACAAAATTCTAAACACAAACCAAAACAAGTAAGAAACCTGGAAGTTTTATATGGTAACTGTATGATGGATCAACTACTATATAAAGTCTCTCCTATCACATGGCATAGTAACAGTGACATCTAGTACATATAGGTAGACTCTAATGGTAATCATGAAGAATGGTGAAAATACTTCACATATTGTCTCACTTAGGTCTCACAACAACCCAAAAAGTATAATGATCTTCTTGTAACACTCAAGCTCAGAGACAATAAATAATTTGCCCACGTTGACATAACTACTGTGTGGCAAAAGTAAAACAATCCCCCAGCCTCATTGTCCTCTACTTTTCACAATGAAGAAACAGCAGTTAATCATTAGCTTCCTCCAAGAGGTACCAAAAACTGCACAGCAACGTAACAAGTATCTTTTAGCTTAATGTGCTCTAAATGGCACTCTGCCACTTCCACCCTTCACTGCTGGCATTTCTCCCAGTGCAGAATTTAACTGCAGAATTCTATCTGTTCTTGTTGGCTATAGTTATCTCAATCTCAACAGTATCTGCTCCTTAACTTCCTCTTCTACCCTCCATTTCTAACCTGTACCAAGGCATCTGCTCTTTGCATTTCCCTTATTATCTGCTCTTGAGTTTCACTTGTCAGTCTTCCTTTCACTGCCAGTTTGGGTTTGATCGCAACCAATGACTCGTTTTTTTCTTTCTGGTGGGTTAACCAATTACTCACAGCTAGTCAGATGTGACTGAAACTCTTCACAATTAGAGACTGCTTCTAAGCTTTCAGAAAAAAATTTTTTTTTTAAACTTCTGGATCAACTCCATTCCTGAGGTCTGATCTCCACATAATAAAATTTCACTAGAGGACTAAAACTAAAATTTTTATTTCTTCCAAAATTCCATCCTACCTGCCTAATAATTATTGTATTAATAATCTAATTCTGCCCTCAAAATCAATCTACTACCAAGCTAAACTTTACTGATGTGTGCTTACTATGTGCCATATTCTATGTGAAGTCCTTCACATGCACTATATCACTAAATAATTACAACAAACCTGTGAGTTAGTCATTATTACCCCATTTTGCAGATGAAGAAAACAGAGTATAGGATTCTAATTCATGCTCTTAACCCATTATACATATTACCATCACTATTACCTTATACCACCTGTTCCAAGAGCACATATTTCTAGTGCTCTACTGCACTGTTCAGGAAATAGTGACATGGGAAATGTACTCCCCACCCTACTTTCCATTCCTATCCAACTCCCTTCCCTACTTGCCCACAGTTTCCCTTTCCATTAAACTCCTAACAGTCCCTTTGCCATGTGTCATCTCCTGATGTGCATCTAACACATTCTGTTCTACGTTCTTTAAATTTCAAAACGTGGTACTAACTCTACATTTCCTTGAAACCCAGAGAAGAAAGTCATTCCAAATTAAGATTTGAGCTTTTTTCCTTTAAGACATTATTTGGTGTATCTTAACTAAAACACATTCCTCTATCATCTTCTACTAATTATTTGATTATTCTGAAACAGACTACAATCTATTTTATACATATTTTTCTTCTCAATTCAACTCACCCCTCAAAAAAATTTATTGATCACTAACATAAGAAAAACACTGAGAGCCAGAAAACCAGATGCCTGAACAGCTTTCAATGTTACTCAAAAGATGAACATTATTACTATGTAAAACATACAATTATAATCAATTAAGAAAAACACTAATACCCTAGTTAAAAAAGAGCAAAGGACCTAAACATGAAAATGTATGGTTAAAGAAATATAAATGGGCTGGACACAGTGGCACACGCCTGTAATCCCAGCATTTTGGGAGGCCAAGGCAGGTGGATCACTTGAGCCCAGGAGTTCGAGACTGGCCTCGGCAACATGTTGAAACCACATCTCTACAAAAAATTACAAAAATGAGCCAGGTGTGCTGGAATGTGCCTGTCATCCCAGCTCCTCGGGAGGCTGAGGTAGGTGGATCACTTGAGCACATGAGGTCAAGGCTGCAGTGAGCTGAGATGATTGTGCCACTGTACTCCAGCCTGGGTGACAGGGCAAGGCCATCTCAAAAAAAAAAAAAAAAAAAGAGAGAGAAATACACATGGCCTCTAAGTATAAGAAACTATTCAAGCTCCACAGAAATTAAAAAATGTGTATTAAAAAGACAAGACAGGCTGGGGGCAGTGGCTCACACCTGTAATCCCAGCACTTTGGGAGGCTGAGGCGGGCAGATCACGAGGTCAGGAGTTCGAGACCAGCCTGACCAACATGGTGAAACCCCGTTTCCATTAAAAATACAAAAATTAGCTGGGCGTGGCAGCACTTGCCTGTAGTCTCAGCTACTCAGGAGGCTGAGGCAGAAAAATCGCTTGAACCCGGGAGTCGGAGACTGCAGTGAGCCAAGACCGCACCACTGCACTCCAGCCTGGGCAATAGAGTGAAATGCTTGTCTCAAAAAAAAAAAAAAAAAAAAAAAAAAAGACAAGACAGCATTTTTTGCCTATCAAATGCCCAAAGATAAAATTACTATAAATGCTGGTTGAAATGTACAATAAGCACTGTATTATTTTTTGAAAAAAGTAGAAGTTTTTTGATATTTTGGTTCCTTGGCATAGTATTCAAACGTCTAGCACCTTTACAGTCTCATCTTTTATAACAGAGACACCCCTCACCCGTCTATCCCTCTCAATTTGGACTCTATTTTCATTAAACACAGAATTCATAGGAGCTAGTTATCGTTTTTTTCCTTAAATAACAGCTTTATTGAGATATAATTCACATATCATACATTCAACCACTTAAAGTGTTCAATTGGTTTGAGTGTACTTGGAGTTCTGCAACCATCATCACTACAATGAATTTTAGAACATTTTCATGACCCTAGAAAGAAACCTCACACGCATTAGCAGTCATTCTCCATTTCCAATCCCCTCCCCATGTCTCTGGCAATCACCAATCTATATTCTGATAATATTTGGCACCTATTCTAGATATTTCATATAAATGGAATCATATAATACATAGTCTGTTGTGACTAGCTTTCTTTCACTTAGCACGTTTTCTTGGTTTACCCAAATAGTAGCATGTATTACTTCATCTCGTTTAATTTTTTTAAATTGTGGCGAAATACACACAACATAATCTTAACCATTTTAAAATGTACAGTTCAGTGGCATTAGCATATTCATACTGTTGTGCAACCATGACTACCACCCCTCTCCACAACTCTTTTAATCTTGCAAAACTGAAACTCATTAAACAGTAACTCCCCATTCCTCTCTCTCTTAAGCCCCTAGTAACCATCATTCTACTTTCTGTCCCTATGAATTTGACTACTGTAGGTACCTCACATAAGTAGAATCACACATATATTATCTTTGTGACTGGCTTATTTCACTTGGCATGTCCTGAAGATATATCTATGTTGTAAGCATGTGTAAAAATTTCCTTCATTTTCAAGGCTTAACAGTACTTAATTGTAGGTACACACCACATTTTGCTTATCAATTCTTCCATCCAAGGACACTTGGGTTGCTTCCACCTTGCGGCTACTGTGAATAATGCTGCTATGAACATGAGCTTAACAAATCTCTTGGAAATGCTGTTTCCCTTTTTTTTTTTTTTTTTGACACAGAGTCTCACTTGGTCGCCCAGGCTGGAGTGCAGTGGTGCAATCTTGGTTCACTGCAACCTCCGCCTCCCGGGTTCAAGTAATTATCCTGCCTCAGCCTCCCAAGTAGCTGGGATTACAGGCGCCCACCACTGCGCCCAGCTGATTTTTGTATTTTTAGTAGAGACGGGGTTGCACCATTTTGGCCAGGCTAGTCTTGAACTGACCTCAGGTGATCCGCCCACCTCAGCCTCCCAAAGTGCTGGGGTTACAGGCGTGAGCCACTGCACCCGGCCTTCAGATTTTTTATTATCTTTTAAATGTTTTATTTGACAACATCTCACTCTGTCACCCAGGCTGAAGTGCAATGGAGTGATCATAGCTCACTGCAGCTTCAAACTCCTGGGCTCAAGCAATCCTCCCACCTCAGCCTCCTGAGTAGCTGGGACTACAGGCATGTGCCACCTCACCTGGTTAAATTTTTTAATTTTCTGAGGAGATGTGGTCTTGCTATGTTGCCCAGGCTGGTCTTGAACTCCTGGCCTCAGGTTATCCTCCCACCTTGGCCTCCTCCCAAAGTGCTGGGATTATAGCTATGAGCCACCACACCTAATGACAATTCTTTTGGAGATCCAGTAGTAGAATTTCTAGAATTCTATTTTTGATTTTTGGGGGAAAGGCCATACTGTTTTCCAAAGCAACTGCACCATTGTACTCTCTCTGTAGCAAAGAGTAAGGGTTCCAACTTCTCCACATCCTGGACAACACTTATTTCCTAGGGTTTTTTTTGTTGTTGTTGGTGGTGTTTTGTTTTTTATAATAGCCATCTTAATGGATATAAAGTGGTAACTCACTGTGGTTTTGATTTGCACTTCCCTAATAACTAAGTTGTTGAACATCTTTTCATGTGCTTATTGGCCATCTGCATATCTTCTTTGGAGAAATATATGTTCAGATCCCTTGCCCACTTTTTAATCACGTTGTCTTTTTTCATTATTTAGTTCTAAGAGTTATTTATACATTTAAGATACAAGTTCCTTATAAGATATACAATATACAAATATCTTCCCCGTTCTAAGTGTTGTCTTCTCATGCTGATGATAGTATCCACCTAAAGGACAAAAGTAATTTTGATGAAGTTCAATTTATCTATTTTTTTTCTTTTGTTGCCCCTGCTTTTGGTGTCATATCTAATAAGCATCTGCCCAATCCAAGATCATAAAGTCTTACTCCTACCTTTTCTTCTAATAGGTTTATGGTTTTAGTGCTTACATTTAAGTCACTGATCCATTTTAAGTTAATTATTGTATGAGGTATGAAGGGGTCCAACTTAATTCTTCTGTGTGTGGATATCCAGTTATCCCAGCACCAGTTGCTGAAAAGCTATTCTTTCCCTCTGAATCATCCTGCCACCTTGTCGAAAATCAGTTGAGCTTATAAAATGTGTGGAATTAATTTCTAGACTCTCAATTCTATTATTGATCTATACGTTTATCATAATGCCAGTACCACACAATCTTGAGCACTCTAGCTTTGTAGGAAGATTTTGATTTATGTAAATTTATAAAAATAGAGACAGGGTCTCACTATGTGGCCCAGGATGGTCTCAAGCTCCTGGACTCAACTGATCCTCCTGCCTCGGCCTCCAAGGGGTTGGGATTATGGGCATGAGCAAACGTGCCCAGCCTGTAGGAAGATTTAAAATTGAAAATTGTGAGGGTTCCAACTTTGTTCTTCTAAGATTCTTTTGGTTATTCTAGCTCCTTTGAATTTGCATATGAATCTCAGAATCAGCTTGTCAGATTCTGAAGTCAGCTGAGATTTGATAGGAATTGTGTTGAATATGTAGATCACTTTGAGAAGTACTGCCATCTTAATAATACTGAATTTTCTAATCGATGAACATGGAATGCCTTTTCATTGTCTTCAATTTCTTTCAATTATGTTTTCTAGTATTCAAGATACATGTCTTGCACTTCTTTTATCAATTTATTTCTAGATGTTTTATTCTCTTTAAGGCCTTTTTAAATTGTTTTCTTAATTCTACTTTGTTCATTACTTGTATACAGAACAATCAATTTCTGCATCTTTTATGCTGCCACTTTGCTGAACTTACTTATTAGTTCTAACAGTTTTTTAGTGCAGGGGTCCCCAATCCTAGTACTGGCCTGTGGCCTGTTAGGAACCAGGCCGCACAGCAGATGAGTGGCAGGTGAGCGAAGTTCCAACTGTTTTTTGTTTTGTTTTGAGATGGAGTCTCCCTCTGTCACCCAGGCTGGAGTACAGACGCATGATTTCAGCTCACTACAACCTCTGTCTCCCAGTTTCAAGTGAAATCTGCCTATGCATCCCAAGTAGCTGGGATTACAGGTGCATGCCACCATGCCCAGCTAATTTTTGTATTTTTAGTAGAGACGGGGTTTCCCCATGTTGTTCAGGCTGGTCTGGAATTCCTGACCTCAAGTGATCTGCCTGCCTTGGCCTCCCAAGGTGCTGGGATTACAGGTGTGAGCCACCACGCCTGGTCCTCCATCTGTATTTACAGTCACTCCCCACTGCTCGCATTACTGCCTGAGCTCCGCCTTCTGTCAGATCAGCAGCAGCATCAGATTCTCATAGGAGCACAAACTCTAGTATGAACTGTGCATGTGAGGGATCTAGGTTGCACACTACTTACAAGAATCTGATGCCTGATGATCTGTCACTGTCTCCCATTGCCCTGAGATGGGACCATCTAGTTGCAGGAAAACAAGCTCAGGGCTCCCAGTGATTCAACATTATGGTGAGTTGTTAATTATTTTATTATATTACGATAATAATAAAAATAAAGTACACGATAAATCTAACGTGCTTGAATCACCCCAAAACCATCCCCACCTCCCCCACAGTCTGTGGAAAAATGGCATGAAACCAGTCCCTGGTGTCAAAAAGGTTGGCGTCCACTGTTTTGGTGGATTCCACAGGATTTTCTCATGCATAAATATACACACACACAAACTAAAGACAGTTTTACTTCTTCCTTTCCCATTTGGACACTTTTTATTTCAGTTTCTTGACTAATTGCCCTGGCAAGAACCTCTAGTACAATGCTGAATACAGGTGGTAGAAGCAGATATCCCTGTTTTTCATAAGATGTCCTTTATCAGGTTGAGGCAGTTCCCTTCTACTTCTAGGTTGCTGAGTGTACCCTGGATTTGGGAGTATAAATTGGCACCTTTTTTCTGGAAAACAACTTGGTAATATATGTCAAGAAGTTTCAGAATTTAAAAACTTCGGTCTATCAATTCAATTCCTATTGATCTATTTAAGGAAATAATCAAATGTTAAAAAAAGAAATGTTTACCCCTAAGGACATTCAGAATGGAAGGAAATCTGGTTCTAGTATCTATGACCCACTGACTGCTAGGATTGATGCAACAGCTGCTCATTATGTAAGACTTTTGTCCTCAATTCTTCATTCCTAACCAAACCAGTAATTCAGAATTGATTAGGACTTTTCTTAGCACATGAAGCCTCTGCTTTAACTAAAGGCATATGAATAGTGGCAGGTACCTGCTAGAATATCCAAGCATAAAACTTCAATAGAAGGAACTATAATGAAATGCCTAAAGGAACTTAAATATGCAAAATGGAGGAATAAAATATAGTTCAGGCTACATTTCACCCAAGTGACATTATGCCATTACAAAAGCATTTTATTAAATAAGACAATAAAAGAAGCAGAACCTTCCATTTGGTAATCAATAATCATACAGATGTGAGAAAAGAGACACTAGAGGAAAATATAGACAAATGATGATAGTGACATTATCTGGGTCATCTTATTTTCTCTTTTACACTTTGTTTTTCAAATATATGACAAATATTTATTTTATCATCAAGTAAAGAAAACCTACACATTAACATTCTTCTTTCTCCTCTTCTGCCCCACCCCCAAAAAGGTACTAACTCTACACAGTAACAGTACTATGCCAACAAAGGGGCAGAATCCTAAAACTATGAATGCCTGACCTTATACCTTAATTGTAAATTTGATATAAAATTCCAGATAAAAATAAAATGTAGAACGCAGACTATTTTGTAAGTTTTATCTTTTACATAACATAATGAATAACATGATAAAGTAACTTATGAGTGACTTTCAACCCTGCCTTAACATGCTGCTGGAAGCCGCACTGTTACAGGAACATGTTATTTTCAATTAAAAAAACCCTGCAAGTTCATTTCTCTTTTTAGGAGGGGAAAAAAAGATACATAGTTTACAGTTGCTAAGAACAGACTCCTTAGCAAAGCTCCCTGACTTATTGGGTAGGTTCCACAGTGAGTTACTGTTTAAGTTTTTTCACTTCTTTTGAAACTCAACACCTTCAACTGAAATTCCAACAATTACAGATTAACTAACAATAAAGAAAAATCTCTAGGCAGAAACAGGTTTGTCATTCATGTATTAGTCTGATTCAGTTCTGGCAGTGTTTGCTGATTCTTCTGGTTCCAGAAACTAGGTTGAGTCAGGGACCAGATGTTTGTTTGTTTAATATCCCCAGTATTTAGATGGACATTATTCAATGCTAAGATGATGAAAATGTTCTGTAACTTCATTGTCCAAAATGTAGCCAGTAGCTACACGTAGCTACAGAGCACTTGGAACATGAATAGTGCAGTTAAAGAACTAAACTTTTGATTTTATGTAATACTAATTAACTTAAATAGCTACATGTGGCTAGTGGCTACTGCACTGGCCAGCCCAGATCTATCTAGAAACTAGCACAATAAACATTTGTGGAAAGAAAGAATGAACAAATCAATGTTGCTTTCTTCTCAAACCTCAGGAGATATCAGCAGTTCTAAACTGCGGGAATATAAATTCAGACCTAGAAAAACACAAGGTAAATAATTTGGAAGCTAGGTATTCTTTAGGAGATATGCCGATCTTTCATTGTCTTGTAAAAACAAGTCATGACACTAATAATTAGAATGCCCTCCACTATACCTATCCAAACTGCACCCACCTTTAACATTCCACCTATTCCACAGAACATTCCTACCTCTCCATTTCATTCATTCACTTACTCAAAATTTAATGATAATCAACTGTGTGCTGCACACAATGAACACAAAGAATAAAATTGAGTCCCTGCTCTCAGAAATACAGTAAGAATAAGATATGAAAACATGACAAGTTATATGAAAATACAAGTTATGGCTGGGCGCGGTGGTTCATGCCTGTAATCCTTGCACTTTGGGAGGCCGAGGTGGGTGGATCACTTGAGGTCAAGAGTTCAAAACCAGGCTGGCCAACATGGTGAAACCCCGTCTCTACTAAAAATAGAAAAAAATTAGCTGGGTGTGGTGGCGGACATCTGTAATCCCAGCTATTCAGGGGCTGAGACAGGAGAATCACTTGAACCCGGGAGGCAGAGGTCGCAGTGAGCCAAGATCATACCACTGCACTCCAGCCTGGGTGACAGAGCGAGACTCCGTCTCAAAACAAAAACAAACCAAAGCAAAAATACAAGTTATATGAAAGTACTATTACAGAATTACGTATGACATGCAATTCAAGTATACAGGAGCACCTAACACTGTTTGGGAATCAGAGAGTACACAGGGAGTGACATGTGAGGACTTCTTCCCCGGACCAAACAGTGACATGTTGCCACAAGCATTTGCTATAGAATACTGTCTTCTTGATTTTTAGGAAAATTCCACACTAGAGTGCTCAAATTCCCTCATTATAAAAACACTAATATTCCAAGTATTATAGCTAAATTAATTACGGGATAGTAATTATAATACTGATGTTTGGGTGTCCAGGATACCATGTTAAGTTTAAGTACCAAAACACTGTTAAGTAGGAAGATTTTATGTGAAATTTACAGTTAAGGTATAAGGTCACAGATTCATAGTTTTAGGATTCTACCCCTCTGTGTAGTACTGTTACTATGCAGAGTTAGTACCTTTTTGAGGGTAGGGCAGAAGAGGAAAAAGAAGAATGTTAATGTGTAGGTCTTACCAGCAGAGACTGGTACATTTCAGTTTAGGAATTTTTTTAATCTGAATACTGAAATATTTACATCTTGAAATAAAGATCAATGACTCGAGTTTTTACTTCATACAGCATAAAAATCTTCTCTAGCAAGATAATTTGAGACACAGTCTCACTCTGTCGCCCAGGCTGGAGTGCAGTGGCGCAATCTCGGCTCACTGCAACCTCTGCCTCCCGGGTTCAAGCGATTCTCCTGCCTCAGCCTCCATAGTAGCTGGGATTACAGGCGTGTGTCCCCACACCCAGCTGGCCTCTTGGCCAGGCTGGTCTGGAACTCCTGACCTCTGGTGATCCGCCCGCCTCAGCCAACCAAAGTGCTGGGATTACAGGTGTTAGCCACCACACTCAGCCTACCCAGAGAATTATAAACAGCACTAAAATGTTTAATATTTAATTAAATATTATTTTACTCATTCAGAAAGTATTTTTCTACAACTTTGTAATCCTCAGTGAAAGGAAGAAAGTAACAAAGAAAAGCTTATGTTGCAAAATAATTCTTTTATTTTCAGCAAATGCATCTCCATCCATAATCTGTTGCAGTATAAACACCCAACAGTTCAAAGACTTTTTGAACAGTCAAATATGAACATAAATACTGAAACTAATGTAAGTAACTGCATCCCACTCTCCTTCCATACATGAAGAAACTGAGTACCTAGAGGAACACGAAAGGCTCTCTCTGATCCCAAAACCCCACCTTGCTAACAATAAAAGATTAAAAATCAGACAAAAAGGTTCAAAGTTCCCCTCAAAGTGATTAAAAGAGATGAAACTATATGCAGATGAAAGCGTTAGGAGGAAATTTCAGAATCAGTTTATCCCCTGTCCATTCACCCAATTAGTTTAGAAAAAGTTTCTTCAGGCCAAGTGTGATGACTCACGCCAGTCCCAGCACTTTGGGAGGCCAAGGCAGGAGGATCAATTGAGCCAGGAGTTTGACGCCGGCCTTGGGGAACATGACAAGCCTCATCTCTACAAATCACTTTTTAAAAAATTAGCCAGGCACGCTGTCATGCGTGTGTGGTCCCAGCTACTTGGGAGGCTGAGGCAGGAGGACTGCCTGAGGTCAAGGCTGCAGTAAGCCCTGATTGCATGCCACCGCACGCTAGCTTGGGTGACAGAATGAGACCCTGTCTCAAAGAAAAAACAAAACAAAAAACAAGAAAAATCTTCTTCAGCATCTGCAAGTTTCTACACAAAAATATACCCATGACTTGGTGATACCACTTAACCCTCTGTTTCTTAAGAATAATTCCTTTTTTAAGACGCAATAAAATTTCACTTTTGGCAGGGCACAGGGGCTCACGCCTGTAATCTAAGCACTTTGGGCGGCCAAGGCAGGCAGATCACTTGAGGTCAGGAGTTCCAGACCAGCCTGGCCAACATAGCGAAACCCTGTCTCTACTAAAAACATAAAAATTAAAAATTAGATGGGTGTAGTGACACACACCTGTAATGCTGGCTACTTGGAAGGCTGAGGCACGAGAATAGCTTGAATCTGAGAGGCAGAGATTGCAATGAGCTGAGACCATGCCACTGCACTCCAGCCTGGGCAACAGAGCAAGACTTGGGTCTCAAAAAAAAAAAAAAAATTCACTTTAAATAATTAATTGAAATTAATAACCTTCGTGATTAACTTTTTCTCATTTTTAAGTAAAGCTAAGTTTTAAAAAAATATATTTATGATGTTTTCCTTTTTTTTTTTTTTGAGACAAGAGTCTCGCTCTGTCACTTAGGCTGGAGTGCAATGGTGCAATCTCGGCTCACTGCAACCTCCACCTCCCAGGTTCAAACAATTCTCCTGCTTCAGCCTCCTGAGTAGCTGGGACTATAGGCATGCACCACCATGCCTGGCTAATTTTTGTATTTTTAGTTGAGATGGGTTTCACCATGTTGGCCAGGCTGGTCTCAAACAACTCTTGACCTCAGTCGGGTGATCCACCTACCTCGGCCTTCCCTAAGTGCTGGGATTACAGGTTTAAGCCACTATGCCAGGCATTTATGATGTTTCTCTTACACAACTAATAGCTTAGTTAGTTATAACAGTGCAAATGTTTATATTTTTAAAAGTTAATATTTTTACTTGATTTTTGTATTGTTTCTAATTTGCATATTTACATTGTTTAACTTTTGCTTTTTAATGTTTATATGTTCTAATACACTCATTTTAGATTAGCCCATAACATTTAACCAGTGTTATTGAACTGTCTTTATGCTCTAACTAGACAATCAAATTTAGTTTAATACCACACAGCATGGCAATCACAATTAGTGTAATGTCATACAGCTAGCATGCTCAGGATTAGACTTCAAATCTAGTTCCCTTTTCGGAAAATCATGTTGCTTCATCATAGTTCCCATCAAAATTATTAGATTCATTTAAGAAATAATTATGTTTTAAATTTTATAACCTCTCACATTCTCTAATGCATTTAAGTAATTCTAGGTACCTACATGTAACTTCTCACATAGTAGAACACATTCTTATTTATCATGATGCATAGAATTACAAACAGGATTATGGTAGGAAGAAAGATGATGAAGGGTGCAAATAACACAAAAATCTATGATTTCTGAAATGCAGCGCTAGGCACTGAGGAGAAACAAAACTAAAAACAAAGCAAAATACAAAGGCTCTGGGAATTTATAACCTGATAAAGAAAATAAATTATGACCATAATTATAATACCAGGAAGACTATTAATATATTCACAAGTAGTACTGTTTAAGTATTAAAGTATAAATAGGATTATTAAAAAAAATAGAGCTCATATATTCATTCAACAATTAGTCATTCAGCACATTCTATGGTCCAGCCACTGAGCTAGGTAGGAGGCACAACAGTGAAGAAAACAGGTATGGTTCCCAGCTATCTGTACAGAAACAAGTAACAAACCATTATAATTATTCCCACTTATTAGGAAACATTAAATTGTCTGTGTCTATACGTAGTAGAAAGTGGGAAGACTGATCAGGTAAGGCCTCACTAATGAATAAAGCAACATTCAGGCTGAGACCTCAGGCGTGAGAAATTAGCCTTTCAAATTGTGCATGCGTGCATGTGTGAATGAGTGTGTGGGTATGTGTGTGTCTGTCAAGCTTGGTGGGCAATCAAAATGGCATAGATGGGATTGGAGAAGTAGGCAGGGAGGTGATCTCACAGATCAAAAAAGCAGGACGTCCCTGGTATGCTGGAGGAAAATCAAATACACTGATTTGGCTAGAGCCTGAGGTTAATGCAAAACAAACAGCATTTGCACAAACTTTCATGTTTAAAAGTCTTAATTCTAACTATGAAAGACAATGTTTCCCTTTTATGGATGAAGGGATAACAGACTCAAAAGGGCTAAAAGTCTTGCTAATAAGGCCACACCACTAATACACTAAGTCTCAAGACCCAGACATTCTAATTTAAGTCACACCAGTACCCCATCAACCACACAATAAGTAGTAATGAAAAATAAAGTTAAAAAGACAAACCAGGGTAAAAGTCAGGCTGAGAAATGAAAGCTTTACTAGGGACAAAAACTAACAGAAGTGACATCAATTAAAATGATGATTCTGAACTCCATATTGTACTTTCAAACAGTTCCTTTATGCAAAATAACTACCATGTAGTTTATCAATCATTTTGAATTGTGTCCCTCAACAGAGTAAGAGAGAGAGAGAGAGAGAGTGTGTGTGTGTGTGTGTGTGTGTGTGTGTGTGTGTGTGTGTGTGTGTGTGTGTAGCTGGGGAAGACAGGAGTCTAAGTACCATGTTCAATCAGAACATACCTACTTTAATCTTTTTCTTTTCGTTTTTAGAGATAAGGTCTTGCTCTGTCACCGAGGTTGGAGTGCAGGGTGCAATCACAGCTCACTGAAGCCTCTATCTCCTGCACTCAAGAGATCCTCCTGCCTCAGCCTCCTGAGTAAATGGAACCAAAGGCATGTACCACCAAGCAGGGCCAATTTTCTGGTTGTTTTTTTTTTTTTTTTTGTAGAGATGGGCTCTCGTTATGTTACCTAGGCTGGTCTTGAGCTCCTGGGCTCAAGTGATCCTCACACCCTGGACTCCCAAAGTGTTTGGCTTATAGATGTGAGACACTGTGTCTGCTTTATGTTAGATTTAGTTTGAGAAAAAGTTTTGCTGTTTGCAAACCTCAGAATACAGTCAGTAAACTTTGGTTCTAAAATCTCATAAAGATTTAAATGTAAGATTTATATAAAGATCCTATATTTACATCTAAAATATAAGATTTAAGATTTTATGAAGATTTAAATCTAAAATCTTACGAAGATGTAAAACATACCAACAGTAGAGCACTGCTTTCACCCATCATATGCCCTATAATAACTACTTTAATAAGCAGGCTAATTTTTTGTCAGCTTCTCTGCTAAATAATAACTATACATATATACATACCCCACTATAGATTATTAAAGGCAATTTCAAGTATGATTTTTGCCTCCACACTTTCAGAAATAATACATATGCCTACTGTAAAGTTTCCTTATATGTTAAGGCATTTGTAACATAAAAATGTAGGGTAAAAATACTACTACTATGAACTGGTTTTTCAACTACTAAAAAATGAATACTAAAAACTATACACTGATGCCCAATAAAACATATATTACTAGTGAATACTTTATGTGTAATATTGGCAAATACCCTTTACGAAGTTTACTCAAAAACCACTAAAGTAAATCAATTCATTATTCAACTCTACCAAACTTAAAAATATAGTTTCACGATTAGAGCAATAGTTTGTAATTACTCAAATAGTCACATCTATAAAAAAAATTTCCAAGTTAGCAACATCAATCATGAATACAAAAAATTCGTTATTTAAATATGCACACATACCTTTGTCCTTCTTGAAATCCAAAGCATCTTCTTTATCAGTCACTATTTCCTTCATATTGATAATACTCTGATGGGTAAGCTGCCGGAGAATTTTAATTTCTCGAATTGCTGTAATTGGAAAGCCTTCCTTTTCATTATCCAGACGTACTTTTTTTAAGGCTACCATTTCTCCTATTAAGGAATTTAATAAAATCAGGTTACCAGTTAACAAAAGCAGATGACATTTTTCTTAACTTTAAATGTATTTTAATTCAATTCTGTTCTTATTTCTCAAAAATAGAACCACAAAGTATGTTTCAGTTTCCAATATACCAAATAATATTTATAGTTCAAAAAATTAAGTCTGTCATTAAACAAATTATGGAATATTTACATAAACCAGGGAATACTATACAACCATTAGAAAGAATGAGGTAAGTCCAAATATACTATGCTCCCCATTTATATATTTAGTGAAAAAACTAAGATGCTTTTACATTCACTTGGGAAAAAATAAAAAGAAAACAGAAAGATGCTAGGCCAGGCGTGGTAGTTCACACCTGTAATCCCAGCACTTTGGGAGGCTGAGGAGGGCAGATCACGAGGTCAGGAGTTCGAGATCAGCCTGGCCAACATAGTGAAACCCCAACTCTACTAAAAATACAAAAAATTAGCTGGGCGCCTGTAACCTCAGCTACCTGGGTGTTTGAGGCAGGAGAATCACTTGAACCCGGGAGGTGGAGGTTGCAGTGAGCCAAGATCACGACACGCCACTGCACTCTGCACTCCAGCCCTGGCAACAGTGCAAGACTCCGTCTCAAAAAAAAAAAAAAAAGATGCTGAAGACTGGGTATATCACACTGTCATTTTTATTTTTTTTAAGTAAACGAGGGAAAGACAAATATAGCCAATATGCTTATGTATGCATAAAAATTTCTCTGAACAGAGAAGAAAAACTCTATCAGTGAAAAAAATACGCTCAGACATATTACTTGACCAAACCTGGCCAGTTACCTAGCAGTAAAACTGGAATTCAAAATCCAGTTACTTGTCTCAAAAATATATGTTCTTCCCCACTACACTAAATTGCCACATAATTTAAGTATGAGTCAGCTTTGTATCAGAAATGATCCAAATAGAAAATGAAATATACACACATACACGAAGCCTATTACAAGAAAAAATTCACTATAATAAAGGTTTGTTCATTCCACTTCCTTGGAGAAAAAAAATGTTCTTACAAATTTTCTAAAAGAAGGAAGCATATTCTTTTAATCATTAAACTTATTCTATTAATTTTTATGGAATGCCTTCTATATTGTGTATGAGTCCGTTTTACTTAACAGTTTTAAAAGTTGTCATTTAATCTTTTTGATAACACATCATTATAAACACCAATTATTACTCTATGCAGTAATTGCCCTCAGTAGTTTCTAACCGTAAGGTCATCTCCCATATACTATATGGCCTCTAATAGCTGTGCTATTTTAATCTATTTGTTTCTTTCTTTGAGACAGAGTCTCGTTCTGTGGCCCTGACTGGAGTGCAGTGGTCCAATCTCGGCTCACTGCAACCTCCACCTCCAAGGTTCAAGCAATTCTCCTGCCTCAGCCTCCCAAGTAGCTGGGATTATAGGTGCCCACCACCACACCTGGCTAATTTTTGTGTTTTTATTTTATTATTTTCTGAGATGGAGTCTCGCTCTGTCGCTCAGGCTGGAGTGCAGTGGTGTGATCTCAGCTCACTACAACCTCCACTCCCTGGGTTCAAGCCTCAAGCCTCCCGAGTAGCTGGGTTTACAGGCATGTGCCACTATGCCCGGCTAACTTTTGTGTCTTTGGTAGAGACAGGGTTTCTTCATGTTGGCCAGGCTGGTCTCGAACTCCTGGCCTTAGGTGATCTGCCTGTCTCAGCCTCCCAAAGTGCTAGGATTATAGGCATGAGCAATCACGCCCGGCCTATTGGTTTATTTCAATAAGCAGTTATGAGTAAAGAAAGATAAAATACTAGCTCTATGCATTATTAAGTAAAATACATAGCTTCTGACACAGCTACTTTTTGCTCTCCTGTGAAGCCTTTTAAAACTTTCTCTGAATTCCTGATTATGTTCTGAAAGATTAAGCTGCTAAAACTGGCCTCCAAGGATAGTTACTGCAGGAAAAAAAACTGAAGGCTAAATGAAAGTGTTGTGTAAGGCTTATGACAAAAAAAATTTACTACTAAAATTAATTCAGGTCAAGATACCTTTCCCTCTGATTAATAACAGTATAAGAATTATTCACCATAAAAGAGGAAAGAAAAACTAAATCCTACCATACAGTATATCACAAATACTAAAGGAACACTTTTTAAAATATACACATATACAGACCCACTTACATGTACTCATATCTTACAAAATGCATATATAGAATAAAAAAACAAGATGAAACAAAAGCACAATAAAATTGAATTTAATTTTTTGGAAAATTTCTGAAGCCAAACATCAGAAGAGAAACACAAACTAAGTACATTCCGTAGGCCCAAAGATCCCCAGAACTTGGCATTCTTACCAGTGTCTTTATCCCTGGCTTTGTAAACTTGTCCGTAAGTACCTTCTCCAATAATTCCGATGATATCAAATTTATCCACGCAGCGTTTTCCCCAGTCAATATCTTTTTCTTTGGTTTCACCATAGCGAGGCCCACATATTCTATCAAATATAGTTCTAAAGTTTTTATATACAATCAAGCAAATTGAATAAACTGTCTAATAACTCAATATCTACTCGCCACCCAATTGTATATTCTTTATTTTTCCCTACCCTTGCAGTATTTATCATCATCTATCCCAAACAAGTAACACTGATTTGGTATTGTAAGTTATCGTAAAAACTGAGGTATCATTTCTACATACTGACTCTTCTTCTGTAGACAAGTATTTAAACTGAGAAAAAAAGTAGTAGAGCTTGTATGAAGGCTTTTCAGAAATAAAATATAATTTTTCAGTGAGAAGATGAAACCAACACTAGTAGAGTCAAAATTCTCTAACCAATCTCCAGAAAGTTTTATTTTGCATCCATTAACAATAATATATATAATCTACTTTTACGAAACAAGAGTTTGATAAAGAATGTGAACAAAAATCTAACTATAAAACTTATTGACAAATTTAGACTTATGACTGGATGAAATCATCTGAAAAACATCAAAAAAAAAAGATTTTTCAGTCTAAGAGAGTACAAAAGATATTAATATAACCAACTCTCAGGAAGCCACGTTTAAGCAGATACAAATGGACAGGTAGGACAAAAATCTTACATTCTTCAAAAAGATACATAATTTTGTAGTATTTTAATATTATAGTAAATCACAGAAATTCAAGTAAAAGAATAAAACTACAGTGCTCAAGAAGAGAGTATTTTTTAGCTATTTTATTTTATCTTATTTTTTTGAAACAGGGTCTTGCCTTGTCGCCCAGGCTGGAGTACAGTGGCACACGATCACAGCTCATTACAGCCTTGACCTCTTTGGCTCTGGTGATCCTCCTGCCTTAGCCTCCTGAGTAGCTGGAACCACAGGCATGCACCACCACACCCGGCTTTTTTTTTTTTTTTTTTTTTTTTTTTTTGGTAGAGATGGGGTCTCCCTGTGTTGCTCAGGCTGGTATCAAACTCCTGGACTCAAGTGATTCTCCCACCTGGGCCTCCCAAAGTGCTGGGATTACAGGCATGAGCCACTGTGCCCGGCCAGTTTAGAAAATGACCTCAAATTCACACACTAGGCACTACCTCAACTGCAATTCTAAAATCAGATCTAACTTAAAGTCTTCACTGTCCCTTGGTTAAGAAGTTAAAAAAAAAAAAAAAAAGGCACCAGTGTTCCCCGCCTTTAACTGATTAACAGGTTTTAAGGGAAAGAGGTCTCTTTAGGCACTTACTTGAAGCTAATTTAGGATACAAATTTCAAAACTTCTTCTACTCCATCTCTTGCAAAGTGAAGAATATATTTGTTTATGGGAGAAAATGGAGCTAAAAGCAAAGGAAACAGCAGCTTGCCCATTACTAATTTTATTTGGTCTCACTAAATGCTGACTTCTACTCTGCCCAATTTCAGTGTTTGTGTTATTTCAATCTCTTAATAACAGAAAGTATCTTTAACATATACAATACCCCAGGAAATTAATACATTACAAATTACGAGAGAAAATTAAATTTGGTTTTATTAGTCATTGTGAATAGGAATGCAAGCAATTATGATTTTTTTCAAAACTCTAATAGAATTCATATATTTAAGTTGAAAGAATAAGTACATTTTTTATTTTAAACCTTAATTTAGTGTTTTATGAACTTCTGATGACCCAGAATCACTGCTGGTCAATTTAAGAGCAGGTAGAAAGCAAGCACATACTTAGGCCTCCTTTTACTATGTAACTGTGTTGCTGTTTTCTTTTCCTCTGGACTCTTTGAAAGATCATCTCCTCCTGGTAGCTCAGGGGGCAGCGGTAAATCAGCAAGAAGACATCGGAGTTTCTTTTCTACTTCTTTTTTAACTGCTTTTACTGAAATATTTCCTCGTAAGCTGAAAGTGAAAGAAGTCAGACAAATAAAACAAAAATTTTGTTGACTAATAAAAATATGCTTATGACTTACATTTAAGTAGCAATAGTCATGAATATTCAACAGTATTTCACATTATAAGACTATTGTCCAAGTTTCTTTCCAGCTAAAGTAATACACTATACTCAACTGTATAATGCAAAATTTGGAGTAAAAATGATATAGAATTAGGTAAAAACTAAGGAAATCTGTATAAAGTAGGAACTTTAATGATAACTTTGTATCAATATTGATTAATTGTTAACGAATGTACCATACTGATGTAAGATATTAACAGTAAAGAAACTGGGTACGGGGTATTCAGGGTCCCTGTAGTATCTTCATAATTTTTCTATAAATGTAAGACTGTTATAAAAATAAAGTTTATTTTTTAAAACGATACAGAATTAACTATAAAACTGTACATTAAAATTGAAAATCAACTAAACATGCTTTGCATAAAAACTCAGTTTTGCAAAGCATTTTTCTTTTTTTTTTTCTTTTTTTTTTTTTTTGAGATGGAATCTCACTGTCACCCAAGCTGGAGTGCAGTGGCAAGATCCTGGCTCACTGCAACCTCCACCTCCTGGGTTCAAGCGATTATCTTGTCTCAAGCCTCCCAAATAGCTGGGATTACAGGTGCCCGCCACCACAACCAGCTAATTTTTGTATTTTTAATAGAGACGGGGTTTCACCATGTTGGCCAGGCTGGTCTTGAACTCCCAACCTCAAGTGATCCACCCGCCTTGGCCTCACAACGCTCAGCTGCAAAGCATTTAGTTTGATTCTGGTAGAGACACAAAACATTTTACCGTAAGAAATAAAAGAAAGCACATGATAATATTTATCTTGCCCATTTAAATAACCACAAGCAACAGCTAATTCAGCTTTGACCCTTTTCAGGGTTAATTAATTTTTCTAAATTGGACAATTATTCTTCTAATTTTTTTAAGATTCCAGCTTTCTAGAATTACAGCTGAAATTTAAACTCCATTAGCTTTGTACTTTTTATGAATGCATAAAGAGCTCTGAGTTTTAAAGTATATCTTAACTTGGCAATTTATTTTAAATTTCCCTGATATGACAAAGTCTGTCATCTAATATAATGTGACATGTTGAAAGAGAATCTCATAATGATAATAAAATTTGGACTTCACATACTTTCATAGCAGTTGAGTCCCATAATGAAAAAATTTATTGCAACTACACTGCTGTGATCAGAAATTACTGAAGATATTATCAATGTAAATAATGTAATTGTAATTATCCTCCTATTCGTGTTGAATAATACTGTAAAACAAATGAATCCTTTAATACCACTTGATAAAAACAACTTAATAATACCATCTGATAAAAACGACTTAATTATCATAGTAAATTTATGTCCTGTGTTACTCACTGGAAGGTTCTTTAACAGAGAAAAAACATGCTTTAAAACAAATTGGTTTGTAGTTTTGTTTTGTTTCTTTAAGACAGTCTTGCTTTGTCACCCAGGCTGGAGTGCAGTGGCATGATCCAGACGGAGTGCAACCTCCATCTCCCGAGTTCAAGCGATTCTCCTGCCTCAGCCTCCTGAGTAGCTGGGACTACAGGTGCGTGCCACCATGCCCGGCTAATTTTTTTGTATTTCTAGTAGAGATGGGGTTTCACCATGTTGGCCAGGCTGGTCTTGTACTCCCGACCTCAGATGATCCACCTGCCTCGGCCTCCCAGAGAGCTGGGATTACAGGCGTGAGCCACCATGCCAGGCCTGCAGTTTTATTTTTAAAGTAATATATTACACAGCCCACTTCTCAATTTGCCTCTCCCTCCATTCAGCAAATATTGGTTGTGAGCTTCCATGTGCTAGGTATTTGTAAGGCACTGGAAATTTAACAACAAACACATTAAGCTATAGTTTCTTTCAAAAAGAGCTTACAGTCTGGAAGACAGGTAGGAAGTAGGATAAAGTGTTACACAAACAGATTCCTAGAGTAATGAAGTAGCTAAAGGGTGGCTAAATCAGGTCTGAAATACAGTAAAGGCTTCTTTCTAGAAAAGGTATCACCTGAATGCCAACTGAAAATAGGCCTATTTAGAATAACTTATTTAGGAAACTATAGTCTCTAACTTGTAATGAGGCTTTAGTCAAGAGTTCTTATTTGAAGATTCAAATCAACATTTTTTAGAGCAAAAAACTAAAGTCTTAATTTCACTTATAATTTAAAACTTAAAAGACTATCTATATTAAATGTCCAGTGTATTATCGAATATTACTTTCCAAGAACAATGTTACATAATTTAAAACATTTTTATTGAATATTTGCAATAATAAAATAGAAAATGAGCTTTTTAAAAACACTTCTATACACCCCAGCAACAAAAATAAAATGCCTTAAAAAGAAATACACACCAGCAACAGAAAAAAATAAAACATTTGACTGAAGAAATAAAATTAGATCTGAACGAATGAAAAGAAACCATGTTTTAATATGGGAAACTAATATTATAAAGCTGTCTCCAAATTATGACTGTATTAGATTTAATAGAGTTCCAAAAAAAATTCAAGGAAGAGTTGTTTTTTTTTTTAAATACAACTTGACAACCTGATTATAAAATTTGTCTAAGAATAACGGCAAAAGAACTGCCAAGAAGTTTCTCAAAAAGAAAAATTAAGTGGCATTTGCCCTGTCAACCTATTCAGAGATCCAGAACTAAAAGCCAAACGGTGGCTGAAGTCAAAGGATATATATTACTCAGTCTATCCAATGTTTTATAAAGAACTATGAATTGTAATTTTAAATCCAAAGATTTACATAATATTCAGGTTCTAGGCTTCCTCTTTTAAAAAAGCAAAAGTTCTAAGACAAGCTTAAATTCTTGTAGAGCAACATTGATGTTGAGGCTCAACAGCAGAGCCATTTACGCATCACTAATTTACTCCATCCCCTTCATTTTTATATTACTGTCTGCCCCTAAAATAGAAATTTGAGTTTGGGAGCCAATATAGAATGTATCTAAAGACACTACAACAGTTAAGATACTGACAAATACAATATGTTAAAAGAAAAGAAAGTAGAGAAACAGATATATGTAAGAATTTTTATATATGGAAATTAGTGAGATGAATTATACAATAAACGGTACCAGTAACAACACTGGGTTGGGGGGAGTGAAGAATCAGAACACTTCTTTACACAATAACCAAAACCAAACTTCTATCAGATCTGACTTAACCTTTTTAAATTTTATAAACCTAGAAGTTTTAAAGGAAAGAGAATAATAGATTTGACTAGATAAAAATGGAAAACATTCATATAACCAAAAGCAAAACAAATGTCAAAAATAAGCAACAGACTCTGAGAAGCAAAGGTCAACATCCCTAACATATCTACTAAACATCAATTCGAAAAAGGGAAACAACTTTAAGGAAAATCCAGCACAGAATACAAGCAAGCAATTCACCAGAAAAATAATAAACAACCAATAAACATTCAAGAAAATACCATACCTTATTATCAGAAAAATGCAAAATTAATTACATATTTTAAAGACTGTCAAAATTGACACTATCCAAAACTGTTAAGGCAATTTCATACATCTGGGTGCATAAATTGTTACACAGCCTTACTAAGACATAATGTGACAGTTTGTATCAAATTTTTAATGTGTATACTTTGACATGTAACTATCCTATAAAAATTACCTAAATATACACAAAATATTAATATATAAGGAGAGTTTAATAGCGAATAATTATAAACCTAAGTATCCATTAATCAACAGAAGAACACGATACATCCATTCCTGTAATAAGAATATTGGGCCCATCTATACCAACATGGAAAGATCTCTAACATATTAAATGAAAAAGCAAGTCAAGAAACATTATCCATGGTATGATTCTAATTTTAAAAATAATAATAAAACAACTACATTCTGTGAAAACACACAGATTACCATCTATCTCATGATTTTGTGGGAAAACAGACTGTAATTTTGAGAATGAAGCAAAATTCAAAGTGAACCTAACATATACCTTTAACTAGAAAGCAAGGAAACACAAAAAAACAAACGAGGTCATGTCAAAAGAATAAAGGAGTCAGCTTATAGGAGCTTCCACTGGCCAAATTTCGGACAATGTGAGGGTAAAAAAGAGTAGTGGCTATTACTATTTGTAACACAGAAAATAAATAAAAATCCATGAGAGTAGAATGATTAAATGGGATATGGGGAAACACGTATTTACAAAACAAGGCCAGCTAATGTTAAAAGGAATGGCAGAATTAGAAAATAACCATTTTTAATTTGTGCAGCAGCAATGGAAAAAAAAATCACCATGTGCAGTCCCTACTACAGTAACTGAATTAGACAAATACCATTAACGGTTGCTAAACCATTAGGTGATAGGTTGTTGGGAAAAAGGATATTCAATCACTGCCAAAAATATTACCCTACAGCTCACTTCTAATTGCAAAGAGGAAAATGCACCCTCATATATGGAGAGACCTTAACGTTGCTCATCACCTTAACCAAGTGATCACATCACTACTAGTAGAGTAAAACAATCTGATATTTTGGTCCTCCTGTAACAACAGCATAAAGTACATAAAATCACCTCTTAAATATTCTGGCTAAAAAACTGTGTATTCTTTATATAAACAAAGCACAAGTAATTTCCAGATTATGGGAAATAAAGGGGTTAGAGAAGAACAAGTTAAACGATACCAAGAAGAAATAATCAGATAAATCCAAAGGTGAGACATTCTGTAAGATTACTGGCCTAGACTCTTCAAAAAGTCATAGGGCTGGGGGCAGGGGGTAGGGGGGGAGTACTGATTATTGATTATATATAGTGGATGATATTATTATTTATTTCTGTTAGATTAACTACTGTTGATTTCCTTGTTATCACAATGATACTGTGATCAAGCAGGAGACTGACCTTATTCTTGGGAGATGACTTAAGTATTTACAGTATAGTAAAAAGAAAAGTATACACAGCTGGGAGCGGTGGCTCATGCCTGTAATCCCAACATTTTGGGAGGCCGAGGCAGGAGGATCACAAGGTCAGGGGTTTGAGACCAGCCTGGCCAACACGGTGAAACCCCATCTCAACTAAAAATACAAAATTTAGCTGGGCATGCTGGTGTGCGCCTGTAACCCCAGCTACTCCGGAAGCTGAGGCAGGGGAACTGCTTGAACCCAGGAGGCGGAGGTTGCAGCGAGCCTAGATGGCGCCACTGCATTCCAGCCTGGGCAACAGGGCAAGACTTCATCTCGGGGAGAAGTGTATACACACACACACACACACACACACACACACACACACACCCTCATTAGTTCTCTTAAACAACTAGAGATGGAGCGTGTGTGCTTGTGTGTGTGTGTGCGTGTGTGTGTGTGTGTGTGTGTGTGTGTGTGTGTATAATTTTTTCCTTTTTTTGAGACAGGGTCTCACTCTGTCACCCAGGCAGGAGTGCAGTGGTGCAATCACAGCTCACTGCATCCTCGACCTCTTGGGCTCAGGTGATGCTCCCACCTCAGCCTCCCAAGTAGCTGGGACTACAGGCCTGCACCACCACAGCAGGCTAATTTTTGTATTTTTTGAAGAGATGGGGTTTCACCATGTTGCCGAGGCTCCTCTCAAACTCCTGGATTCAGCCATCTGCCCACCTTGGCTTCCCAAAGTGCTTATTACACTTTGGGATTACAACTGTGAGCCACCACACCTGCTGAGATGGAGCATATAAAACAAAATGTTAACACTTCGTTAATCTAGATGGATAACTTCCATCCAGTAGTTCCAGTAGTTACACAGATGCTAATTGTATTATTATTTCAATTTTTCTAAGTGCTTGAATATTTTAAAAATAAAGAATTTATGAGGGAAGGGGAGAATTTACTTGGACATATAATAAAACAGCAAAAGCAAGTGGAGTACAGGTTTGCAAAATCAAGAGGCCATCCAAAACACACACACACACACACACACACACACACACACACACACTTTTGCTAATGTATTTGTGGATACAACAGTGAAAGTCAACCAGGAATATAGATACAGGCATGCTCAAAGAAAGCAAAGATCAAAAGCTTTCCTTAAGATACAGCAATGAGATTATGCAGACCATTACTCACTCTTCTTTAAAGTGATCTTTACATTTACAGTGAGTAACAAGTAAATAAAGATACCTCCCATATTCGGGTTTCCTAAAGTATGTTGTAACAGAAAAGATTGTTTCTTTACCTCAAGAGAAATAGTTTATAAACCACTTTCAACTAATAGCTGTTCAGCAAAAAACAAAAAGTATACAATGGTTACTAAAAAGAAACTTGTAAACAAAATTACCAAGAGCATTACTTTCAGATACATGAAAAAAATGGCCTGGGGGTGGTCCCCCTTCATTATAAAAGGGGATGGAAAACCAACCAATAGTTCCTCTTTTACAAAAACCAATCCTTTTCAAATGAAGCACTAGGTCTATTCGTTACACACCGGATCTACATGTTACACATATAATGGTTTATATATTATACAATGTAAATCATATTTTGTAATTTTTACTTTTTTTCAATAATCTAAAGCAGTTTTAAATATCTGTAGTATTTCCAGCAGTGCTGATTTATACTATGACTAATTACAATAACTGAGATGCATAACACTTTACAGCTTGCAAAATTCAGTCCATCAACTAATTTAATCTTTACAACTAATCTGTGAGGTTAAACTGTAAATATTTTCACCCATGAATAGAACTATGGACTGGGGCACAGAAAGATTAACTCATGAGAGTAGTAAGAGGTACAACTGGCACTAAAAACTAAGCTTTCTACTACAGCCCACTAACAAATGTTATTGTACTTCTAACAGTATTATAAATAGTAAATATAAAATAAGTCTCCTGTGCCATCCATTCCCTTCAGCGCCCATTTATTTCCAAAAGTAATCACTTCTAACCATTTCTTTTTACAATACATTTTTATTTAATCACCTAAAAACTTTTATAAAAAGTAAAACAATATCAAGTCTCTTCCTCATATGTAGTTAGTACATACATTTAGGTAAATTATAGACATCAAAATAAGGAAAGTTCCATTGGTGATGAGTTAATCTTTGGCCACACAGACATGTAGTAGAAGTGCTCATGAATCTTTAGAAACTTCCGTATCCATTAAACATACAAACACATTCAAAGAAAGAAGAGACAACAAAAAGGGGGAAAAGGAGAGGAGACAGAAAAGGTGAATCAAAAAAAAAAAGTAATGAACAAGAATTAAATGTGCCACCAACTAATTAAAGACAGATGCATAAGGAATATCCTCATTAAGCACTCACATGTATACGTAAGAGTTCTTGAAAATAACCTAGTAAAAATTTACTCCTAAAGCATACATGAAGAATAAAGTAGGTTGGGCGCAGTGGCTCACGCCTGTAATCCCAACACTTTGGGAGGCCAAGGCAAGTGGATCGTGAGGTCAGGAGATCGAGACCATCCTGGCTAACATGGTGAAGCCCCCCGTCTCTACTAAAAATACAAAAAATTAGCCGGGCTTGGTGGCGGGCGCCTGTAGTCCCACCTACTCGGGAGGCTGAGGCAGAAGAACGGCATGAACCCAGGAGGCAGAGCTTGCAGTGAGCCGAGAGAGCGCCACTGCACTCCAGCCTCGGCAAAAGAGCAAGACTCCGTCTCAAAAAAAAAAAAAAAAGGATAAAGTAGAGAAACACCAGTCTCAATGAAACATGGATTCTCAGTAACTGGTTACTCTCTAATGAAGTAATTCAATTCCACACTCAAGCCTCACAATTACAAATCACTACTGTTATGAACCTTCAGCGTTCCCTGAGAACAGTCAAACCTGCAAATACAACAATTATAGTAGTATAATTAAATAACACCCGATTAAATTGGATGGGGTCTCCCAACAACATTTTGATTATTTTTAAAAAGGCACCTCAAAGGGCATGAAACTCAAGAATTATTATTTCACTTTTGTTTGTGTTAAATTATAAAATTTTCATAATGCCAAAGTAAGCACTTGTCCACATGGCATTTTTATCCATCTGACTTCAAAATCTATTAAAAAAAAAAAAATCAGCTAGGAAAACTACTCATATAGTTGCTTTTTAATGGGGAGTGGGAGGGGGTGGAAGCTCTAATTTCTTCATAAAAATAAAAACAGCTAGGTGGTGTAACAGGCAGATAAACCACACAAGTCTAATTTTTCTACACTAGGATACAAAAAAGAAACATTCTTAGCTGTATTTTTACTGCCTCTTAAGAATATGTTTCTCAATAAAAAATAAGCCATACCCTCACTGTTCATAATAGAAATTTTTAAACATCTTAAAGGAAAGCATAATCACATTATGAATTTTCTCTTTTTTTTTTTTTTTTTTTTTTTTTGGTGAGACACGGTCTTACTGTGTCACCCAGGCTGGAGTGCAGTGGCGCAATCTCGGCTCACTGCAACCTCCACCTCCCAGGTTCAAGTGACTCTCCTGCCTCAGCCTCCCTAGTAGCTGGGATTACAGGCACCTGCCACTGCGCCCAGCTAAGTTTTTTGTATTTTTAGTAGAGACGGGGTTTCACCATGTTGGCCAGGCTGGTCTTGAACTCCTGACCTCAGGTGATCCACCCGCCTCGGCCTCCCAAAGTGCTGGGATTACAGGCTTGAGCCACCAGGCCTGGCCACATTATGAGTTTTCTATAATATAATGTGATTAATCCCAACTGCAAGACAGGCTAAAAAAATTTTTTTTTAATTAAAAGAGTTAAGAAAAGACTAAACTAAAAAGTGATAACAAAATCACTGACAGTGATAAATTTACAAGGCCACTGAAGAAACTTAGAAATAAATGAGACAAATGCTTGTGAGATGTATATTAACTAGGGCCAACTTATTCATAAAATATTCTGTCTCTGATTACATCATCAAGGAAAACTAAACCAAAGAGAATACTGGCATTTCTAATACCCAAAATCATATTGAAATATTCATTGTATCCCAAGACAATGGCAATTTTTCCCTGAATGTCTTAGTATAAACTTTAATTTTGCCATCTTGTATGCAATGTGCTTCATTTTAAGATGCATATAATCAAGAAAATTCATTCACTTGTAGTCTTTTTCACTAAAGTTGTTTCGAGGGGGTTAGGGGAGGTCAACTCATTTCTCACTTCAGACTTACATTTTTTCTTTGAACAGTTATTGACAAATACTTTTTGCACTTACCTATCAGCTTCTTTATCTTCAGGCAGCATGGGAGGCAAAGGTAACGGTGGTAATGTAGAGGTGACTAAAGCTACATGTTGCTCCTTCTCCTTGGCTCCTATGCTTGGTGTAAGTGGTTTGGTTTTCTCTTTAAGAGATACTGATTCCTCCTTTGTAGCAGCAGATTTACTCTCCTTTCCAACTATGACTGCTTTCTTGGTGGCTTTATCTACAATCAAATTATTTTCCACCTTCGTTACCTGAAGAGGTGGCTTTGTTTTTGCTTTGTCATTTTTTAAAGTTCCACCACTTGAGGGAGAAGGTGCATGTTCAATTTTAATTTTCTTCACATCCTTCACATGGTTTGTTTGTGATGCACTGGCACTAGTTTCCGTGTTCCCCTTGGTAGGTGTAGAAGTGTTTGAAGCTTTTGCAGCCTTGGCAGCAGCCTCAGCAGCCTTAGTTGCTTCTGCAGCTTTCGCTGCTTCTGCGGCTCTTGCTGCCTCTGCTGCTCGTGCTTTTTTATTCTTGTTCAATTCAGCTGCCAGGCTACTCTTCAGAGTTAGTGTGCTAGGAGAAATACTAGAATGACGACTTCTGGATCTAGACAATCTGTGCCTGCTACGAGATCTTGAATGCCTAGATGAATACGGGCTTCTGCTTCGGGATTTTCCAGACCGTCTGGTGAGAAATAATTAAGATTTAATCAGTAATTGAGAAAGGTTCAGTTTGGAATTTACAAAGACAGTGCTAATTCAAGTTTATGAAATAAAATAGAAATTTACTTAATTTCAAAGTTACATTTTTGAAGTTTTGAAAAATAAAAATTTCTTTAAAGTAGAGTATTATTTGGTGATCATAGTTTTCTTCAAAATGGATTGCCCTGATCTCGCTCTGGTCTACAAATGTAAAAATTAGGACGAAAAATGTGACAAGGCATCACTGCTGTCTCAGAAAAAAGAAGTAGGCAATAAGGCTACATCAATGGTAGTAGTAGCAGCAGGGTAAAGTCTGACAAATCTTTTACCAGGAGACAGTTGCCACATCTCAAAAGTACCTTCCTCAACTGTAAGTTCAGAAGTAAGCAGTGCTCTGTCTATGGCAAGAGTGAAAAAGACAAGACTTACTACTGGGCAATAAGTAGAGTCTCTTAGAGTTCGTTTCAGAAAGATAGTTTTAAGAAAATTTACAGCCAGGCGTGATGTCTCACGCCTGTAATCACAGCACTTTGGGAGGCCAAGGCGGGCGGATCACGAGGTCAGGAGTTCGAGACCAGCCTGGCCAACATAGTGAATGAAACCCCGTCTCTACTAAAACTATAAAAATTAGCCCGGCATGGTGGCACACGCCTGTAGTCCCAGCCACTCAGGAGGCTAGGGCAGGAGAATTACTTGAACCTGGGAGGCGGAGGGCTCCATTCAAAAAAATTAAAAAATTACATTCACACACAGTAACTAAAATAGACATAAGCATAATCACTTTACTCACGTAAACACACATATACAAGATAATAGCTTATGAGCTACATAATTTCACACAGAAAATGCAACAAAGTAAAAACTATCCAATCACTCTTAATCTGAGGCTCTGATACTTTTCAAAATGAATGAGAGTAAAAAAGTTAATATACATATCATTTAAGTCTTCAAAGTACTTGACAACTATTATTTTACCATAATATTAAACATTTACTAGTTAAGTATTATTACTCAATTTCTTAGAAAGGAAAAGCACAGAGAGGCAAAGTAAAAATAATTCCCACAAAGAACTATGCCACAAATAGTAGTATAGTCTGAACTAGGACTTAGGTTTTCAGGCTTCTGGCTCTATAAAACAATGACAAACTAAATCTTGGAAACTACTTGATAATAATGAGGCCATTCACTTCTCAAAAATTATTGGAAAACATATATTTAAAAGTATAGTGGCAAGCAAAGTTCCCACAAATTTAACACAGTACCAAGTGAAAGGAAGCTGAGGTTTTCAAATCCATGCATTACCAAGACTTTTAAAATATACTCACAAGACAAAGACATTATGATAGTACTTTCACATTATCTCATTTAATGCCCTCATCAACCCAGTAAAGTATGCATAGTTAACAGATAAGAAATTGGGTAAAATATTACGTTACCTGAAGTCAACACCTGAACTCATTAGTAGTTGTGTTGCTTATTATCTTACTACAACTGCCCTATCTCCCAATACCTTTCTGCCCTACTCTGTGCCCAATGATGCTGACCCCAACAGATATGCCTTCTGAGTTCCAGGGCTGTTCTGCCACTGACAGAAGGAGGCAGAGAAAGGCTGGATTATTTCTTCCTAGCTCCCTCCCTCCTCATGGCCACATTTTCTGGAAGAAGCTGCATCCCTCCACCGCCATGGTTGCTGTGAGGCACCCTCTTCACAGCTCTCAAGAGACTCCAATAACACTGTATTTTTCCTGGCCCTTTGGGCTTCTCTGCTGCTAGTAAAAACATGCCTTATGGGTTCCCTTAATCCACGGCACCTCTGTAGTCCCTGCATTAAAGTCTCTTATAAGATCTGAGTTGGATTCTATTTTTATCTACAACTCAGGTCTGAAACTCAGCATTTTTTTTAACTCTAAAGTAGGCAGGTTAACACATTAACACACTGCCAAGGAGCTAGCTGGCGAGAATGTGGAGAAAAGGGAACCCTTGTACACTGTAGATGGGAATGTAAATTAGTATAACCACTGTGAAGAACAGTTTGGAGGTTCCTCAAAAAGCTAAAACTAGAGCTATCTTATAATTCGGCAATCCCACTCCTAGGTACATACCCCAAAGAAAGGAAATCAATAATACTAAAGAGATACCTGCACTCCCATGTTTATTGCAGCACTATTCACATTAGCCAAGATTTGGAAGTAACCTAAGTGTCCATCAACAGATGAATGGATAAAGAAAATGTGGTACATATAAACAATCTAGTACTATTCAGCCATAAAAAGAAAATGAGATCCCGTCACTTGCAACAGCATGGATGGAACTAGAGGTCATCATGTTACGTAAAATAAGTGAGGCACAGAAAGGCAAACTTTGCATGTTCTCACTTATTTGTGGGAGCTAAAAATTAAAACAATTCAACTCATGGAGATAGAGAGTAGAAGGACGGTTACCAGAGGCTGGAGGGGTAGTGACATGGTGGAGGGTCGGGGGAGGGTTAATGGGCACAAAAAATACAAAGAATGAAGGTGACCTACTATTTGCTAGCACAATAGGCTGACTATAGTCACATTTTTTTTCTTTTTTTTTTTGTTTTTAGTCAGAGTCTCGCTCCAGCCCTGGCTGGAGTGCAGTGGTGCAATCTCGGCTCATTGCAGCCTTTGCCTACCGGGTTCAAGCGATTATCCTGCCTCCTGGGTTCAAGCGATTCTCCTGCCTCAGCCTCCTGATAGCTGATACTACAGGCATGCCTGCACCATGCCTGGCTAGTATTTGTATTTTTAGTAGAGACAGGGTTTCACCATGTTAGCCAGGCTGGTCTCGAACTCCTGACCTCAGGTGATCTGCCTGCCTCGGCCTCCCAAAGTGCTGGGATTACAGGTGTGAACCACCACACCCAGCCAACAGTCAAAAATAATTTAAGTGTACATTTACAAAAAACCATAAGAGGATAGTTGGATTGTCTGTAACACAAAGGATAAATGCTTGTAACACAAAGGATAAAAGGATGCCCCATTTACCCTGACATGACTAATATGCATGCATGCCTGTATCAAAATATCTCATGTAACCCATAAATATATACATCTACTATGCACCCACAAAATTTTTTTAAATTTTTATTTCGTGAATTTTTTTAATTCAAAAAAAATAATAAATAGGCAGATAATTTTTTTTTTTTTTTTGAAACAGGGTCTCACTGTCACCCAGGCTGGAGTGCAGAGATACTACCCACAGCTCACTGCAGCCTCGACTTCTTGGGCTAAAGCAATCCTCCACCTCAGCTTCCTGAGTAGCTGGGACAACAGGTGTGCGCCACCATGCCCAGCTAACTTTGTAGAGACAGGGTCTCACTCTGCTGCCCAAGCTGGTCTTGAACTCCTGGGCTCCAGGGATCCTCCTGCCTTGGCATCGCAAAGTGCTGGGATTACAGGCATGAGCCACCGTGCCTGGACACTGAAAATTTCCGTTCTTAGTTGACATTAATACAGTGTGGAGGGAAGTGTTTAGAAACATTCTAATTCTAGGACAAAAACAAAATGATGATTAGGTTTAGGATAAACTCAAACACAAATTCAACATCTACCCCCCTCTTTCAAAAACAAGTATGTGCTTTGGGTCAACTAAGGTTCAGTATTGAGGAAGCATTTCATAAAAACCCACACTTTAATATCAATAAGCTTATAATTATACATAGAAATGAGAAGAAATGTTTGGCTAAATATGAAGTGATTGTAAGCTGGTTGTGAAATAACTTGGTTAACTTTAATATAGGAACCAAAAGTGTCATAACATGAAATACTCAGCCACATTTTTAATTTCCTCTCCCTTCAGATTTTGTTGGAGCTCCAAACAAGTCTGATATACGTCATGTTTCTATCCCCTGATCAGATACTGATGAGTAGCAGAAAGGTAAGCAGCAGAAGAAAGCAGTGTAGGAAATCAACTTTTCCTACACTGGCAAGATTCTGGTCATCAATTTCATTCAGACACATAAACTATATTTAATTGAAATTTACAATCAGTGAATCTTATCTAAGAAAAGAGATACAAAGATAATAGGTAAAATCCCAACACAATTCATTCTTCTGAACTATTAATCTCTTTTAGACAGAATCTGAATAACAGAGATAAAGACTCAGAAAACTTTTGTTCTATATAAAGATATTTTGGGGCCGGGCGCAGTTGCTCACGCCTGTAATCCCAGCACTTTGGGAGGCTGAGGTGGGCGGATCACGAGGTCAGGAGATCAAGATCATCCTGGCTAACATGGTGAAACCCCATCTCTACTGAAAAAACAAGCAATGGGGAAAGGATTCCCTATTTAATAAATGGTGCTGGGAAAACTGGCTAGCCATATGTAGAAAGCTGAAACTGGATCCCTTCCTTAAACCTTATATAAAAATTAATTCAAGATGGATTAAAGACTTAAACGTTATACCTAAAACCATAAAAACCCTAGAAGAAAACCTAGGCATTACCATTCAGGACATAGGCATGGGCAAGGACTTCATGTCTAATAAAACACCAAAAGCAATGGCAACAAAAGCCAAAATTGACAAATGGGATCTAATTAAACTAAAGAGCTTCTGCACAGCAAAAGAAACAACCATCAGAGTGAACAGGCAACCTACAACATGGGAGAAAATTTTCACAACCTACTCATCTGACAAAGGGCTAATACCCAGAATCTACAATGAACTCAAACAAATTTACAAGAAAAAAACAAACAACCCCATCAAAAAGTGGGCAGAGGATATGAACAGACAATTCTCAAAAGAAGACATTTATGCAGCCAGAAGACACATGAAAAAATGCTCATCATCACTGGCCATCAGAGAAATGCAAATCAAAACCACAATGAGATACCATCTCACACCAGTTAGAATGGCAATCATTGAAAAGTCAGGAAACAACAGGTGCTGGAGAGGATGTGGAGAAATAGGAACACTTTTACACTGTTGGTGTGACTGTAAACTAGTTCAACCATTGTGGAAGTCAGTGTGGCGATTCCTCAGGGATCTAGAACTAGAAATACCATTTGACCCAGCCATCCCATTACTGGGTATATACCCAAAGGACTATAAATCATGCTGCTATAAAGACACATGCACATGTATGTTTACTGCGGCACTATTCACAATAGCAAAGACTTGGAACCAACCCAAATGTCCAACAATGATAGACTGGATTAAGAAAATGTGGCACATATACACCATGGAATGCTATGCAGCCATAAAAAATGATGAGTTCATGTCCTTTGTAGGGACATGGATGAAACTGGAAATCATCATTCTCAGTAAACTATCACAAGGACAAAAAACCAAACACCGCATGTTCTCACTCATAAGTGGGAATTGAACAATGAGAACACATGGACACAGGAAGGGGAACATCACACTCTGGGGACTGTTGTGGGGTAGGGGGAGGGGGGAGGGATAGCATTAGGAGATATACCTAATGCTAAATGACGAGTTAATGGGTACAGCACACCAGCATGGCACATGTATACATATGTAACTAACCTGCACATTGTGCACATGTCCCCTAAAACTTAAAGTATAATAATAATAATTAAAAAAAAAGAAAAAAAGAAGAAAAAAGAAAAAATACACAATAGTGAAAAAAAAAAAAATTAGCCGGGCGTAGTGGCGGGCGCCTGTGGTCCCAGCTATTTGGGAGGCTGAGGCAGGAGAATGGCATGAACCCGGGAGGCAGAGCTTGCAGTGAGCCGAGATTGTGCCGCTGCACTCCAGCCTGGGTGACAGAGCGAGACTCCGTCTCAAAAAAAAAAAAAAAAAGATATTTTGGAAGCTACTTTTTATAGTATTTGATCACTATATCAACTGAATTCTTCTACATACAACTTCCGTTCCTCTCCAACTCTTTTATTTCTCTACAAAAGTTCCTTCCTTAAACTATTTATTTCGTCTTAGTAAGTTTCCATTCTCTCAGATATTGTGATTTGCTAATAAATTCCAAAAATATATTTACTGTTTATAACAAACATGGTTTGGGAACCTAAAACTAAACAAATTTCAGTTTAGGCCATTTTTACTAATGATTAACATTTCAGCCATAAAAAGTTATGAGAATAAGAGAGAAGTGCATCTTTAAAACTATATAATGAATTATGGCATGATAATGTTTTACTAAAAGAACTGAAATGGAGGTAGGTAGCAGGTCCAACCTCCTTGTTTAATAGATAATTTTTTTTTTTTTTAAGACAGGGTCTCTCACTTTTTCGCACAGGCTGGAGTGCAGTGGCGCAAACAAGGCTCACTGCAGCCTTGACCTCTGGGGTCAAGTGATCGTCCCACCTCCACCCCCCAAAAGTAGCGGGGACTACAGGCGCGCACCACCACACTCGACTAATTTTTGTATGTTTTGCAGGGATAGGGGTTTCGCCATATTGTCCAGGCTGATCTCAAACTCCTGGACTCAAGTGATCTGTCCACTTTGGCCTAGGGTTACAGGCATGAGCCACTGCACCCAGCCAAGATTTTTCTTTCTAAAAATGTTTTCCTAATATTCCGACACTGTTGTAGAAATTAATGAATACATATTACCTGTTTCTTGCTTGTGATGTTTTTAAGAGGCTACAGGACCTCTTTAAGAAGAGAACTTTCTATGTTTCTAACAGGTTTTCCCAAATACACACAACACAAAGTAGTACCAGAATAAAAACCCAGTATCCTGAAACCCAACTGGTTAGTGCTCGTTGTTAGACTATTTAGTGTTCCTTGGAGAGCAATGTATATTGTTCACTTGACTATTATCTCACAGTTTCTCCAGGAGTCTAGGTCTTCTGAAAATTATTTCTAATTAGCAAATACTGTGTCCTAAAAATTTTACTGTAATACTGATAATATCCAGTCCTCCACTGTTGAAAATAACACAGAGCAGCATCACTCAATGGAACTTTCTGGATGACAGAAATGTTCTATACATATGATGCCCAATACAGTAGCTGCTATCCACAACATCTTTGAGGCCAATGTTTCCACTCTGCTTATTTCTCATGCTAATAGCAGCTGTGTCCATTTCAAAAACTTATTAACCCCCCCAAAAAGGTATGAATATGACTCCCAAACTGAAAATCACTATATAAAGTGATGATCCTGTGTATTTTGTCATGTAACGTTATTATAACAGCTCTATTAACTATATGTAACAGCACTGTGGTAGCCTCTTAAATTCATCTCCTTGTTTCAAATTTTCTTCCACTCTAATCTATATTACTAGACGCAAAATACTATTCTCACCAGTTCCTGAAATTATGACTTGCAAAGCAAATATACCCTCCTGTAACATCTACTCCTTACCATTCTCTATTTTTAATTTCACTACTCTCCACTCATTTACCCAGGCTAGAAATCTAGTTTCCCAGTTCCCATACCACAACCTCTTAATTGTCTCATTTTACTGATTCTAACTCTATACTATTCCCTTATATCCATACCCTCTGAATGTGTCTGATCGTTGTTGTAACAGAAAACTCCACAAAGTCAGCAGTTTAGAACAACACAAATTTATTTTCTTGCAGTTCTGCATGTCAGAAGTCCAAAATCAGTCTCAGTGAACTAAAATCAACATGTCACCAGAGCTTTGTTCCTTCTGGAGTCTCTTGGGAAAATGTTCCCTTGCCTTTTCCAGCTTCCACAGGCTGTCTACATTCCTTGGCTCAAAACCTTACATCACCTGGGCCTCTACTTTCATCATGACATTTTCTCTCTCCTATTCCTGTCATCACGTGAGTTCTCTGACTAGACCCTACAGCCTCTCTTTTATAAAAATCCTTGTGATTACACAGGACCCATCCAGATAACCCAGAATAACCCCGCCATATCAACATACTTAATTTAATCATATCTACGAAGTTCCTCTTAAAATGTAAGGTGTAACAGTCAGAGATTGAAAAGATTAGGGCATGGCACCTGGAGGGGGTGTGGTGTTGGGTGAGTATTATTCGGCCTACCACATCCTCCTCTTCCATTCTCGAGGACACTGTTCTACTTTAGACCTCATTACCACTTCCCTAGAGTACCATATCATCTTAAAAAAATAAGCAATCTCTTGGCCACGTGTGGTGGCTCAGACCTGTAATCACAGCACTTTGGGAAGCCGAGATGGGCAGATCACCTGAGGGCAGAAGTTCGAGACCAACCTGACCAACATGGAGAAACCCTGTCTCTACTAAAAATACAAAATCAGACGGGTGTGGTGGCGCATGCCTGTAATCCCAGCCACTTGGGAGGCTGAGGCAGGAGAATCGCTTGAACCTGGGAGGCGGAGGTTGCGGTGAACCGAGATCATGCCATTGCACTCCAGCCTGGGCAACAAGAGCGAAAACTCTGTCTCAAAAAAAAAAAAAAAAGAAAAAAAAGAAAGAAAAAAATCTACGTTACTAGTCTTTTTTACTTTATTACTAGTCTGTGTCTGCTCCATTTCTACAGACACCATAACCAAACTAATCCTCACTGTTCAGCGATTATTACATGTCCCAAATTCACTCATTTTCCTCCTCTTAGTAGCTATTCCAAACTTTCACAACTTTCATCAAGCTCACACAATCCCATTCCTAGTCTTCTCATAGCATAGCTTTACTTATTGTTTCACAGAAAAAAACAAAGACTACCAGGCATGTCTCTTGCCTGCAAATTTAATCTGTATTTCCTGTGCCTTCATCCACCGTACACTCCACCTCAATTAAGAAAGGAGGTGTTCCTCTTTCTATCTAAGGCTAACTCCCCTATAATGCATCAATCTCATACTCTCTAGAGCCTTACTTCTTAGAGTGTAGTCCATAGACAGGCAGCATCAGCACCAATTGTGAGCTTGTCAGAAATGCTGTGTCTCAGACTCCAGCCCAGACCTACTGAACCACAATCTGCATTTTAACAAGATATCCATTAAAGTCTGAGATGCACTATGCTAGGCTACTCTATGACAATAGCTGGCTTACTCTATTAATTGTGATGTTAACCTTTGCTGTTCATTTGTTAATTCCCCTGAAGGAATAAATTACTCAAATCTCTAAGATATTTAAAAACAGACAAGAAAACAAAACAAAGAGAAAATGATGACATACTGATATTATCTTTATCTGTCCTTCCAGTTACGGCCAAAATCTCTTTTGTCCTTTCAATCCTCAAATCACTACAATCTGGCTTATACATACATCCATTCTGCAACTGGTCACCTCTGAAGCAACCAATGACCTACCTTTCAAAAAAAGAAAAAGAAAAAAACGTCACTGTCTGTGATAATGTTGGCTACAACCTTAAAAGTCTCTCTCTGCTGCAATTATTTGGAGCACTTCCTAGCTATTTCTACTACCTTTCATCTTCATGATTTTCTTACTTCTATGGCTGTTTCCGCACCTTGAGGTTTTTCTTCCTTCCTATATTCATTCTCCCACAAGTTTAATTTATGCTATGTGTGGCTTAAATGATTACCTAAATGTTGTCAATTCGTCCCCCATCACCCCCGCAAATCATCCTCTCTACTTCCAACTCTGACATGTATCTTCAACACAATACAGCTAAAACTATTAAGCTTCCTCTTCAAATCCACCCTCCTTCTCCTTAAATACACCCTATTCTGAGGCAGTGGCACCCTCTAAAACAGCAGAAACCTGGAAATTATTCTACATTCCACATGATCTCTTTTATCTCTTCTCACAGATCTATTTGGTTTCCAAGCTCCACCAATTCTACATCTCAAGCATCTCTCCATTTTTCCATGCTCTTTATCCCCATAGCTACTATTCCACATTAGGTACTACATCATCACACACTGGGCCCAGTGCAAGTCTCCCTACCAGGTTCCCACCTCGAGTCTCCACCCTTTCCAATTAACTCTGCACTTGAATAATCTTTCAGTTACCCCAAAGCCTTCGGCCCTGCTTGACTTGCATATAAAGTCCTTGTCCAGCCATCACAAAATATAGGAAGTGTCAGGCCTAGAATGTTTCTCTCATATTCCTCTCTTCACCTCCTTTATGTAGGAAACAAAAGGATACTTCGTATCTCAGCACAGTGTTTACCACCTTTATAAAGCCCTCTCTTATTACGCCAGTCAGCTAGAGCTGGTACTTGTCCTACGATCCCATCACAATTCTGTTTATATCTCAGAATAAAAATAATCAGATAATCTATCTTCCCCAACTAAACTGAGATATTCTATCCTCAAGCCTTGACTTCTATCATAAACCTAGCAGTGGTAGATGCTCAATAAATATTTACACAATTAAAGACACTGCTGATAGTATTCCTATTGAAAAGAATTCACAGCAGCCTAGTATCAAGGTACTGCATAATTTGTCTGGTCCTAACCTACCTTTGCTTATCAAGTACTAAATTTGCCCAATACTTCCATGCCTTTATATTCCCACATACTGGCCTAGTGAGAATATCATCTTGCCCTCCATCTTCTATTCAAGGCTTATCCATCTCTCAAGGACTAGCATAAAGGACTTCATAAAGCCTTATGAAGAAAGAAGCCAAATCCAAACAAGCAGCACGGTCTCCATTCTATGAACTCCCATAGCATTTTATCTGCACCCTTCTTATGATAACTCTTAACTTCACATTTTAGATATCAACCACATTGTCTATCAGACTGCACCCTCTTTGAGGAGCAGAAACCGAGTCTAATTCATTGTTGTATCACTCCACAGCCCCTAGCATAATTCAGTGTTTTATTCACTGAATAAAACAAATACCGTACAGCAGTCCCCTCGTCCTCAATTTCACTTTCCATGGTTTCTCTTATGCAAGGTACGGTATAATAAGATATGTTGAGAGAGACCCTACATTCACATAACTTTTATTTTAGGGTATTGTTATAATTGTTCTATTTTATTATTGTTGTTAATCTCTTACTGTGCCTAATTTATAAATTAAACTTTATCACAGGTATGTATGTATAGAAAAAAACATAGTATATTTAGAGTGGAGTACTATTTTGGTGGTTTCAGACAACCGCTGGGAGTATTAGAATATATGCCCCATGGAAAACTGGGGACATGACTGTATACCACACTAACCCTCACAGGTTCACATTTATAAGCATTTTTCATTTGATTTGCTCCTCATGTGCAACCAAGGTATAGAGAAAGCAGATGGGGGAACTAAGAAGAGGCAGAGTCAATATTCAAACCCAAGTCTTTCACTTCAAAGCCAAGCACTATTTATTGCTACCACACTATCTCTTTCTCCTCCATTTGTTTCTGTGTGTGTGTGTGTGTGTGTGTGTGTGTGTGTGTGAGAGAGAGAGAGAGAGAGAGAGAGAGAGAGAGAGACGGAATCTCGCTCTGTTGCCCAGGCTGGAGTGCAATGGCATGATCTCGGCTCACTGCAACCTCCGCCTCCCGGGTTCAAGTGATTCTCCTGCCTTAGCCTCCCAAGTAGCTGGGATTACGGCACCCACCACTACACCCAGCTAAATTTTGTATTTTTAGTAGAGACGGGGTTTCACCATGTTAGGCTGGTCTCAAACTCCTGACCTCAGGTGATCCGCCCATCTCGGCCTCCCAAAGTGCTGGGAGTACAGGTGTGATCCTGTTTAATTCTTATCTATTTTGCATGGGTCAAGCTAAAGTCTCATCTCTATCACTTCCCTATTTGCTGATCACACAGTACTTGTTACAGGTTGGCTTGTATTTTATGTCTTTGTCTTTTAAAAACATAAATTGGATTATGCCATGTCCTTGCTTAAAACTCTGTAGTGGTTTCCAACTGCATTTAAAATAAAAATAAAACTCTGTGTTGTGACTCACAAGGCCTAAACCGCCTTCCATCTTTATTATACCCTTCTTTATTTACCAGACTCCAGCCATGCTGGTCTCCTTTCTGCTTTTGCAGAAGGTCAAGCTTCTTCTTGACTTGGTGCCTAAGCATGCATCATTTTCTTTTCCTGGGATGCTTAGATCATCACATGGCGGGCTCTCTCTCATCATTTCAACATTAATGCATACATTATTCATTATAAAACACTGTTCAAATGTTTCTGTACACATGGTATATGAGAAACCAATGTGGCAATCATTACACACATACTACAAAATAGGAGATTTCCTTTTTTCATGGCCCCTAGAATAGTAATGAATACTTATATTAATATATGCTCACATATAGGGGTCAAACAAGGTATTTGAGGGGTTTTTTTTGTTTTGCTTTGAGACAGGGTCTCACTCTGTTGCCCAGGCTGGAGTGCAGTGGTGCAATCTTGGCTCACTGCAGCCTCAACCTCCCAGGCTCAAAGCGATTCTCCTGCCTCAGCCCCTCAAGTAGATGGGACAAGTGCACACCACCAGGCCCGGCAAATTTTTGTATTTTCTGTAGAGACAAGTTTTTGCCATGTTTCCCAGGCTAATCTCAAACTCTTGGGTTCAAGTGACCCTCCTGCCTCGGCCTCCCAAAGTGCTGGGATAACAGGTGTGAGCCACCATGCCCAACCCAGAATTTTTTTTACACCAGAGCTTAAGACTTTGAGAGAAACAAAGTCTTTTTTTTTTCCTGACTTCTGCAATGACTTGGAATCAAAGTCATTATTTTTATTAAAAAATAAAACTAGCCATTTATGACGAATCTGCAGCTAACTACTTTGCGAATAAAGACTAAATGAGGAACAAGACAAGAAAGTCCCTTCTCATTCCTCTGTTCAACATTGTATTTGAGGTTCTAGCCATTGTAATTAGTCAAGGATAAGAAATAAAAGGAATTCCGGCTGGGCACTGTGGCTCACGCCTGTAATCCCAGTACTTTGGGAGGTCAAGGTGGGTGGATCACCTGAGGTCAGGAGTTTGAGACCAGCCTGACCAACATGGCAAAACCCTGTTTCTACTAAAAATACAAAAATTAGCCAGCCATGGTGGCACTCACCTGTAATCCCAGCTACATAGGAGGCTGAGGCAGGAGAATCACTTGAACCCAGGAGGCAGAGTTGCAGTGAGCCAAGACCGTGCCACTGCACTCCAGCCTGGGTGACACAGCGAGACTTCATCTCAAAAAACAAAAAAAAAAAAAAAAAAAGAAAAAAAGAAAACAATCCCATTGCAATAGCCTTTAAAAGGATGAAATACCTAAAAGTTTAAAAAGTGCAAGGCTTATACCCTGAAAACTACAAAACACACTAAAAAATATTAAGGAAAATCTAAATAAAAGGAAAGACATCCCGTGTTCACGTATTAGATGACTTAAATTGTTAAAAGGTAATACTCCCTGGCCAGGCGCGCTGGCTCATGCCTATGATCCCAACACCTTGGGAGGCCAAGGCAGGAGGAGCGCTTGAGCCTAGGAGTTCAAGACCACCCTGAGCAACATAGTGAAACCCTGTCTCAAAAAGAAAAAAAAAAAATTAACAAGATAATACTCCCCAAATTAATCTAAAAAGTCAATGTATTGCAGTTCTGTAGTGATGAAACAAAAAATTTTTAAAATCAATGTACTCCCTATCAAAATCCTAGCTGCTTTTTTGAACTAACTGGCAAGCTGATTCTAAAATTCATTTGAAAATGCCAAGAACCCAAACAGTCAAAACAATCTTAAAAAAGACCTAAGTTGGAAGATTCACACTTCCTGATTTCAAAAATTACTGCAAAATCAGAGTAAGCAAGACTGTGTGGTACTGGCATACGGACGGATACATAAATCAATGGAACAGAATTCAGAGTACATAAATAAATCCTAACATTTGTGATCAGTTGATTTTCAACAAGGGTGCTAAGACAATTCAATGGAAAAGGAATACTCTTTTCAACAAATGGTGCTGGGACAACTGTATATCCACACACAAAAGAATGAAGCTAGACCTCTTCCTTTCACCATACAAAAAACTAACTGAAAATGGATCAAAGTAGGAGCTATAACTATAAAATTTTTAGAAGAAAATGCAGAAAATCTTTGTGAACACAGATTAGGCAAAGCCTTCTTAGATTTGAGACCAAAAAACACAAGCAATAAATAATAAATTGGACTCCATCAAAATAAAATACTTTTGTGCTTTAAAAGACACCATCAACAAAGTGATAGAATGAAAGAAATTATTTGTAAATCATGTATCTGATAAAGGACTTACATCTAGAATAGACAGTATAAAAAACTCTTAAGATCCTATAATAAGACGACAGCCCAATTTAAAAATGGGCAAAGAAGGCCAGGCATGGTGTCTCATGCCCATAATCCCAGCATTTGGGGAGGCCAAGGTGGGAGGATTGCTTGAGCTTGAGTTTGAGACCAGACTGGGCAGCACGGCAAAACCTCATCTATACAAAAATACGAAAAAATTAGCCAGGTGTGGTGGCGTGTACCTGTGGTCCCAGCTGCTCAGGAGGCTAAGATAGGGAAATTGTTTGAGTCCTAGAGATGGAGGCTGCAGTGAGCCAAAATTGTGCCACTGCACTTTAGCCTGGGCAACAGAGTGAGACCCTGTCTCAAAAAAAAGAGGGGGTAGTGGGGGTGGACAAGAGATTCATGTAGACATTTCTCAAAAAAAGATTTTGGCCATTTCTCAAATGGTCAAAAACACATGAAAAGATGCTCAACTTTATTTGTCATTAGAGAAATGCAAATCTAAACCAAAATGTGATCCCACTGCAAATACCAAGATGGCTACAATCAAAAAGACAACTCTTGTTGAGGATGTGAAGAAACTGGAACCCTCATATGTTGCTGATATGAATATAAAAATGATGCAGCTACTTTAAAAAACAGCTTGACAGCTCTTTAAAATCTTAAACATAGAATTATCATATGACCCAGCAATTCTACTCCTAGATATATGCTCAAGAGAAAAACAAATGCTCATGCAAAAACTTGTACACAAATGTTCATAGCAGCATTAAAAAAATAGCCAAAAAGTTAACCCAAAGGTCCATGACTAATGATAAAATGTGGCATAACCATACAATGGGATATTTGGCCAATAAAAGGAATATTGATCCATATACTACAACACAGATAAACCTTGAAAACATTATGCTTTAGTGAAAGAATCCAGCCATAAAAGATCATACATTATATGATTCCACTGAAATGAAATATCCAGCATAGGTAAATCTACAAAGACAGAAAGAAATCACCAACCGTTGGTTGCCAAAACTGTGGAATGTGGGAATGGGGAGTGACTGCTAAATAGCCATGGAGTTTCTCTCTGGAGTGACTGAAATATTCTCAAATTAGTGGTTACACAAAGCTATGAAGAGACTAAAGACTAATAAATTATAGTTTAAAACAGTAACTGTACAGTATGTGAAATACATTTCAATAAACATGTTATTTTTAAAACTAGAAAAGATAACATAAAACTGAAATGTTTTGTGTTTATTCTAAAAATACACTTCCTTTATGGTTCTTATGCCATATTAAAAGTAACGACAACAACAACAAAAAGACACGTGGCTGACTTTTTGCAGATTTGCTCAAGCAAACATGTTCTAGTCCACTGAGCATAAATTCTGTGTTTGTCTTCATGTTTCCCTGAACCATGCCTTGATATGTATTTTTGAAGACAGAAAATGAAAAGCAGGTGAGAAGAGTAGAAGGGAGCTCAGTACTTGACATGCACAAAAGCACATACTTTGATTAGTCTCTCTGTAGCCATCAAGAATTTGTTCAAAGTGTATTACCAGACCTTATTAATATCAACAGAATTTTTCTAACCGTGTGGGGCTGGACCTTTTTTTGTTTTTTTTGTTTTTCATTTTTTGTCTTTTTGAGATGGAGTCTTGCTCTGTTGCCCAGGCAGTGGTGCAATCTCAGCTCATTGCAAGCTCCACCTCCCAGGTTCAAGTGATTCTTCTGCCTCAGCCTCCCAAGTAGCTGGGACTATAGGCGCCCGCCACCACGTCCGGCTAATTTTTGTATTTTTAGTAAAGACAGAGTTTCACCATATTGGCCAGGCTGGTCTCGAACTCCTGACCTCGTGATCTGCCTGCCTTGGCCTCCCAAAGTGCTGCGAGCCACCACACCCAGCCTGGACCTCTTTTTTTTTTTAATCCAAAGCAATTTATGCTGAAGGAATAGTTTGCTAGAAAATACAAAGTGTTTTTTTTGTTTTTTGTTTTGTTTTTTTGAGACCGAGTCTTACTCTGTTGCCCAGGCTGGAGTGTAGTGGCAAGATCTTGGCTCATGGCAACCTCCGCCTCCTGGGCTCAAGTGATTCTCCTACTTCAGCCTTCCGAGTAGCTGGGATTACAGGTGCACATCACCACACCCAGCTAGTTTTTGTACCCTTAGCAGAGATGGGGTTTTGTCATGTTGGCCAGGCTAGTCTTGAACTCCTGGCCTCAGTTGATCTGCTGCCCTAGCCTCCCAAACTGCTGGGATTACAGGCATGAGCCACCACACCCAGCCCTAGAAAATAAAATTATAAAACAAGACAGGCAATTTAATCTCACTTGCTAGGTACCTACTATCAAATGCTGTACTAGGTGCTTAAGAACCACAAATATTTAAAAAGTCACAGGACTTGAAATCCAATGGTTGAAGCAAAACCAAAATATTACAGAAATTTATCAGCTAGAAATGCAACAAGTCAAAATATTAAGGAAAAAATTTCAGTTTAGGATTCCACACCCAGTAAAACAATCTTTCAAAATGGAGACTTTATCAGACATAGAAAAAGCAGACCTACATAATAAAAAATGTTCAAAGCCATTCCTCCAGCCAGAGGAAAATGATACTACATGGAAAGTTGGATCTGTAAAAAGGAAAAGCATTTGAAAAGGTAAACATTTGAGTAAATATAAGTGCCTCTTCTCATTTTAAATTTTATGTCTGTATTTAACACACATACACCATGCAAACAGACATAAAACAGATGACAACAGGCCAGGCGCAGTGGCTCATGCCTGTAATCCCAGCACTTTGGGAGGCTGAAGTGGGTGGATCACTTGAGGTCAGGAGTTCAAGACCAGCCTGGCCAACAGGGTGAAATCCCAGCTCTACTAAAAATACAAAAATTAGCTGGGCGTGGTGGCACATGCCTGTAATCCCAGCTACTGGGGAGGCTGAGGCAAGAGAATTGCTTGAACCTGGGAGGCGGAGGTTGCAGTGAGCCAAGATCATGCCATTGCACTCCAGTCTAGACGAAGAAGTAAGACTCCGTCTCAAAAAAAAAAAAGATGACAACAGTACAAAAGACAAGATGAAAATGTAAGTATGCTATCATAATGTTAACATTATACATAAAAGTAGACTGAGAAACATGCACATTATAAGCCTAAGGAGAAAATATCTGTTACTGTGGGTTAGGCAAAAATTTTTTTGGACATAAAATGCATAAATCTGGCCGAACACAGTGGCTGGCTCACGCCTGTAATCCCAGCACTTTGGGAGGCAGAAGCAGGTTGAGGTCAGGAGTTTGAGACCAGCCTGGCCAACATGGTGAAACCCTGTCTCTACTAAAAATACAAAATTTAGCTGGGCGTGATGGCACATGCCTATAATCCCAGCCACTCAGGAGGCTGAGACACGAGAATCGCTTGAACCCAGGAGGCGGAGGTTGCAGTGAGCTGAGAACATGCCTGGGCGACAGAGTGAGACACGCTGTCTCAAAAAAAAAAAAAAAAAGCATAAATCACACAAATGCTAAACTGGTTTTTCATTAAAATTTAAAACGTTTGCTCTTGGAAATTACTGTTAGGGAAAGTGAGCCACAGACTGAGGAAAAAACGTTTGCAAAACATTTATTTGTATCTAGCATATACACAGAATTCTTACAACTTTAGTAAGACAACAACCCAATTCATGAAGAATGAACATTTTGAGACACTTAGCAAAAAATAGGAAGGGCAAATAAACATATGGAAGTATACTCAACATTACTTATCATTAGGGAATTGCAAATAAAACCACAATGAGATACCAATACACATCCACTAGAATGGCTAAAATCAAAGACTGACAAAAAAAAAAATAAGTCTTATTGAGGAGGTGAGGCATCTGGAATCCCATACTCTACTGACTGGAATGCAAATGGCAAAGACATTTTGAAAAACACCATGGGACTGTAGGAAGTCAAGCATTCGCTTCCCATACAACAACACAGCAAACCCTCTCCTAACTTATTCAAGAGAAACAAAAACAAAAGACCTGTACTCAAATGTTCAGTAGCTTTGCTCATAACAGCCAAAAACTGGAAATAACTCAAATGCCTACCAACTGGGTAAACTGGATGTAATAAGTACTCACAAAGTGATCTCAGTTCTAAAGGTATTTTTAAAAATCACTTCTGAACGAGATTAATGAAGACTTCATAGATAAAAATAACACCTGAGGCTAGGTGCCGTAGCTCATAACTGTAATCCCAGCACTTTGGGAGGCTGAGGCAGGTGGATCACCTGAGGTGAGGAGTTCGAGACCAGCTGGCCAACATGGTGAAACCCTGTCTCTACTAAAAATACAAAAACAACTAGCCAGGCGTGGTGGTGTGTGCCTGTAATCCCAACTACTTGGGAGGCTGAGACAGGGGAATCGCTTGAACCTGGGAGGTAGAGGTTGCAGTTAGCTGAGATCACACCACTGCACTCCAGCCACAGAGCGAGGCTCCATCTCAAAACAAACAAACAAACAAACAAACAAAAAAACCCACCTGAACTAAGGTTGAAAGAATGAGCAAGCCAGACTGGCAAACTGAAGGAAGGATACAAACTAAGATATAAGAAAATAGTAAACAGTCCAGTTTGTATTGTGATCAGGATATACGGTAAGAAGTAAGAGTAGTTTGGTTCAGTCTGTGTTGGGGGTCTTAAATGCCCCATTCAAGACTCTGATTCAGTGGAATACTCAAACCCTCAAAAGATCCCAAATGGCCAAAGCAATCCTGAGCAAAAAGAACAAGGCTGGAGGTATCCCACTACCTGACTTCAAAGTTTATTCCAAAGCTATGTTAATCCAAAGAGTATGGTACTGGCATACAAACAGAGACATTAACTGAAGGAACACAATAGAGAACCCAGAAATAAACCCATTTATAGTCAACTGATTTTTGGCAAAGTAGCCAAGAGCATACAGTAAGAAAAGGACAGCCTCTTCAATAAATGGTGATGGGAGTGAGGCACAGTGGTGCATGTCTGTAGTCCCAGCTACTGCAGAGGCTAGGCGGGAGGACTGCTTGAACCTAGGAGTTCCAAGACCAGCCTTGGCAACACAGCAAGACCCTGTGTCTTAAAAATAAACAGGGGTGGGAAAACTGGATATCCACATGGAGAATAATGAAAATAGACTCTCATCTCACACCTTATACAGTAGAAAGGAGAAGAAAAGCTCCATGACATTAGTTTGGGCAAAGGTTTCGTGGTTATAAACCCAAAAGTACAGGGAACAAAAACAAAAATAAACAAAGGGATGGAATCAAATTAAAAAGCCTCTGCAAAGCAAAGGAAACAATGAAGTAAAGTGACAACCTGTGGATAAGGAGAAAATACCTACAAACCACATATCTGATAACACATTAATATTCAAAATATATTAGCAACTCAAATCAACAGAAAGAAAATAACCCAATTTCAAAAACGGGCAAAGGACCTAAATAGACATTCCTCAAAAGAGGGAATACAGTTGGATTTGGTGATTAGTGCTTGAATCCCAGCTACTTGGGAGGCTGAAGTGGGTGAGGTGGGAAGACTCCTTGAGCCCAGGAGTTTGAGACCAGCCTGGGCAACATAGCAAGATCCCATCTCAATTTTTTTTTTTAAAAAGGACATACAAATGGCCAACAGATACATGAAAAAATGCTCATCATCATCAATAATCACCAAGGAAATGCAAACTAAAACCACTATGAGATACCACCTCCCACCTGTTAGAATGGCTAGCATCAAAAAAATGAAAGATAACAAGTGTTGGCAAGTGTATACAGAAAAGGAGACCCTTGTGCACTGCTGGTATGAATGTAAATTACTATAGCCATCATGGATAATGGTATGGAGGTTCCTCAAAAAAGTAAAAACAAGATTACCACATGATCCCACTTCTGGGTATATACCCAAAGGAACTGAAATCAGTATGCTTAGGAGATGTCTCCACTCCCATGTTCATTGCAGCATTATTCACAATAGCTCAGATATGGAAGCAACCTAGGTGTCCATTGTTAGATGAACGGATTTTTTTTTTTTTAATGTGGTTCAGGTTTGTTTTTTGTTTTATTTTGTTTTTGAGACAGGGTCTCACTCTGTTGCCCAGGCTGGAGTGCAGAGGCGTGGCGCGATCTCAGCTTACTGTAGCCTTTACCTCCAGGGCTCATGCAATTCTCCCAGTTCTGCCTCACAAGTATCTGGAACTACAGGTACATGCCACCATGCTGGGCTGATTTTTCTGTATTTGTAGAGAAGAGATTTCACCACGTTGCCAGGGCTAGTCTCAAACTCCTGAGCTCAAGCGATCTGCCCACCTCAGGCTCCCAAAGTACTGGGATTACAGGCGTGTGCCACTGCACTCGGCTTAGCTTTAAAAAGAAGTAAATTGTGGTTCTCCCAGCACGCAGCTGGAGATCTGAGAACAGACAGCCGGCCTCCTCAAGTGGGTCCCTGAACCCCGAGTAGCCTAACTGGGAGGCACCCCCGAGTAGGGGCAGACTGACACCTCACACGGCCAGGTACTCCTCTGACACAAAACTTACAGAGGAACGATCAGGCAGCAACATTTACTGTTCAACAATATCCGCTGGTCTGCAGCCTCCGCTGCTGATACCCAGGCAAACAGGGTCTGGAGTGGACCTCCAGCAAACTCCAACGGACCTGCAGCTGAGGGTCCTGACTGTTAGAAGGAAAGCTAACAAGCAGAAAGGACATCCACACCAAAACCCCATCTGTACATCACCATCATCAAAGACCAAAGGTAGATAAAACCACAAAGATGGGGAAAAACAGAGCGGAAAAACTGAAAAATCTAAAAATCAGAGCGCCTCTCCTCCTCCAAAGGAACGCAGCTCCTCACCAGCAACGGAACAAAGCTGGACAGAGAATGACTTCGACGAGTTCAGAGAAGAAGGCTTCATTCAGACAATCAAACTACTCCGAGCTAAAGGAGGAAATTCGAACCCATGGCAAAGAAGTTAAAAACCTTGAAAAAAAATTAGATGAATGGCTAACTAGAATAACCAACGCACAGAAGTCCTTAAAGGACCTGATGGAGCTGAAAATCAAGGCACAAGAACTACGTGATGAATGCACAAGCCTCAGTAGCTGATTCGATCAACTGGAAGAAAGGGTATCAGTGATGGAAGATGAAATGAAGCAAGAAGAGAAGTTTAGAAAAAAAAGAATAAAAAGAAACGAACAAAGCCTCCAAGAAATATGGAACCATGTGAAAACACCAAATCTACATCTGATTGGTGTACCTGAAAGTGACAGGGAGAATGGAACCAAGTTGGAAAACACTCTGCAGGATATTATCCAGGAGAACTTCCCTAATCTAGCAAGGTAGGCCAACATTCAGATTCAGGAAATGCAGAGAACGCCACAAAGATGCTCCTCGAGAAGAGCTACTCCAAGACACGTAATTGTCAGATTCACCAAAGTTGAAATGAAGGAAAAAATGTTAAGGGCAGCCAGAGAGAAAGGTCGGGTTACCCACAAAGGGAAGCCCATCAGACTAACAGCTGATCTCTCAGCAGATACTCTACAAGCCAGAAGAGAGTGGGGGCCAATATTCAACATTCTTAAAGAAAAGAATTTTCAACCCAGAATTTCATATCCAGCCAAACTAAGCTTCATAAGTGAAGGAGAAATAAAATCCTTAACAGACAAGCAAATGCTGAGAGATTTTGTCACCACCAGGCCTGCCCTACAAGAGCTCCTGAAGGAAGCACTAAACATGGAAAGGAACAACCGGTAAGAGCCACTGCAAAAACATACCAAATTGTAAAGACCATTGAGGCTAGGAAGAAACTGCATCAACTAATGAGCAAAATAACCAGCTAACATCATAATGACAGGATCAAATTCACACACAACAATAATAACCTTAAATGTAAATGGGCTAAATGCTCCAATTAAAAGACACAGATGGGCAAATTGGATAAAGAGTCAAGACCCATCAGCATGCTGTATTCAGGAAACCCATCTCACGTGCAGAGACACACATAGGCTCAAAATAAAGAGATGGAGGAAGATCTACCAAGCAAATGGAAAACAAAAAAAGGCAGTGGTCGCAATCCTAGTCTCAGATAAAACAGACTTTAAGCCAACAAAGATCAAAAGAAACAAAGAAGGCCATTACATAATGGTAAAGGGATCAATTCAACAAGAGCTAACTATCCTAAATATATATGCACCCAATACAGGAGCACCCAGATTTATAAAGCAAGTCCTTAGAGACCTACAAAGAGAGACTCCCACACAAAAATAATGGGAGACTTTAACACCCCACTGTCAACATTAGACAGATCAACGAGACAGAAAGTTAACAAGGATATCCAGGAATTGAACTCAGCTCTGCACCAAGCTAACCTAATAGACATCTACAGAACTCTCCACCCCAAATCAACAGAATATACATTCTTTTCAGCACCACACCACACCTATTCCAAAATTGACCACATACTTGGAAGTAAAGCACTCCTCAGCAAATGTAAAAGAACAGAAATTATAACAAACTGTCTCTCAGACCACAGTGCAATCAAACTAGAACTCAGGATTAAGAAACTCACTCCAAACCGCTCAACTACATGGAAACTGAACAACCTGCTGCTGAATGACTACTGGATACATAACGAAATGAAGGCAGAAATAAAGATGTTCTTTGAAACCAACGAGAACAAAGACACAACATACCAGAATCTCTGGGACACATTCAAAGCAGTGTGTAGAGGGAAATTTATAAGCACTAAAGCCCACAAGAGAAAGCAGGAAAGATCTAAAATTGACACCCTAACATTACAACTGAACTAGAGAAGCAAGAGCAAACACATTCAAAAGCTAGCAGAAGGCAAGAAATAACTAAGATCAGAGCAGAACTGAAGGAAATAGAGACACAAAAATCCCTTCAAAAAAAAAAAAATCAATGAATCCAGGAGCTGGTTTTTTTAAAAGATCAACAAAATTGACAGACCGCTAGCAAGACTAATAAAGAAAAAAGAGAGAAGAATCAAATAGATGCAATAAAAAATGATAAAGGGGATATCACCACTGATCCCACAGAAATACAAACTACCATCAGGGAATACTATAAACACCTCTACGCAAATAAAGTAGAAAATCTCTAGAAGAAATGAATAAATTCCTGGACACATACACCCTCCCAAGACTAAACCAGGAAGAAGCTGAATATCTGAATAGACCAATAACAGGCTCTGAAATTGAGGCAATAATTAATAGCTTACCAACCAAAAAAAGTCCAGGACCACATGGATTCACAGCTGAATTCTACCAGAGGTACAAGGAGGAGCTGGTACCATTCCTTCTGAAACTATTCCAATCAATAGAAAAAGAGGGAACCCTCCCTAACTCATTTTATGAGGCCAGCATCATCCTGATACCAAAGCCAGGCAGAGACACAACAAAAAATAGAATTTTAGACCAATATCCCTGATGAACATCGATACAAAGATCCTCAATAAAATACTGGCAAACCAAATCCAGCAGTACATCAAAAAGCTTATCCACCATGATCAAGTGGGCTTCATCCCTGGGATGCAAGGCTGGTTCAACATATGCAAATCAATAAACGTAATCCAGCATATAAACGGCACCAATGACAAAAACCATATGATTATCACAATAGATGCAGAAAAGGCCTTTGACAAAATTCAACAATGCTTCATGCTAAAAACTCTCAATAAATTAGGTATTGATGGACGTATCTCAAAATAATAAGAGCTATGACAAACCCACAGCCAATATCATACCGAATGGGCAAAAACTGGAAGCATTCCCTTTGAAAACTGGCACAAGACAGGGATGCCCTCTCTCACCACTACTATTCAACATAGTGTTGGAAGTTCTGGCCAGGGCAATCAGGCAGGAGAAGGAAATAAAGGGTATTCAATTAGGAAAAGAGAAAGTCAAATTGTCCCTGTTTGCAGATGACATGATTGTATATCTAGAAAACCCCAACATCTCAGCCCAAAATCTCCTTAAGCTGATAGGCAACTTCAGCAAAGTCTCAGGATACAAAATCAATGTACAAAAATTACAAGCATTCTTATACACCAATAACAGACAAACAGAGAGCCAAATCATGAGTGAACTCCCATTCACAATTGCTTTAAAGAGAGTAAAATACCCAGGAATCCAACTTACAAGGGATGTGAAGGACCTCTTCAAGGAGAACTACAAACTACTGCTCAATGAAATAAAAGAGGACACAAACAAATGGAAGAACATTCCAAGCTCATGGGTAGGAAGAATCAATATCATGAAAATGGCCATACTGCCCAAGGTAATTTATAGATTCAATGCCATCCCCATCAAGCTACCAATGACTTTCTTCACAGAATTGGAAAAAACTACTTTAAAGTTCATATGGAACCAAAAAAGAGCCCACACTGCCAAGTCAATCCTAAGCCAAAAGGACAAAGCTGGAGGCATCACGCTACCTGACTTCAAACTATACTACAAGGCTACAGTAACGAAAACAGCATGGTACTGGTACTAAAACAGAGATATAGACCAATGGAACAGAACAGAGACCTCAGAAGTAATGCCGCATATCTACAACCATCTGATCTTTGACAAACCTGACAAAAACAAGAAATGGGGAAAGGATTCCCTATTTAATAAATGGTGCTGGGAAAACTAGCTAGCATTATGTAGAAAGCTGAAACTGGATTCCTTCCTTACACCTTATACAAAAATTAATTCAAGATGGATTACAGACTTAAATGTTAGACCTAAAAGCCTAGAAGAAAACCTAGGCAATACCATTCAGGACATAGGCATGGGCAAGGACTTCATGTCTAAAACACCAAAAGCAATGGCAACAGAAGTCAAAATTGACGAACGGGATCTAATTAAACTAAACAGCTTCCACACAGCAAAAGAAACTACCATCAGAGTGAACAGGCAACCTACAAAATGGGAGAAAATTTCTGCAATCTACTCAAGTGACAAAGGGCTAATATTCAGAATCTACAATGAACTTAAACAAATTTACAAGAAAAAAACAACCCCATCAAAAAGTGGGCGAAGGATATGAACAGACACTTCTCGAAAGAAGACATTTATGCAGCCAAAAGACACATGAAAAGATGCTCATCATCACTGGTCATCAGAGAAATGCAAATCAAAACCTCAATGAGATACCATCTCACACCAGTTAGAATGGTGATCATTAAAAAGTCAGGAAACAACAGGTGCTGGAGAGGATGTGGAGAAATAGGAACACTTTTACACTGTTGGTGGACTGTAAACTAGTTCAACCATTGTGGAAGTCACTGTGGCAAATCCTCAGGGATCTAGAACTACAAATACCATTTGACCCAGCAATCCCATTACTGGGTATGTACCCAAAGGATTATAAATCATGCTGCTATAAAGACACATGCACATGTATGTTTATTGCGGCACTATTCACGATAGCAAAGACTTGGAACCAACCCAAATGTCCAACAATGATAGACTGGATTAAGAAAATGTGGCACATATACACCATGGAATACTATGCAGCCATAAAAAATGATGAGTTCATGTCCTTTGTAGGGATATGGATGAAGCTGGAGACCATCATTCTCAGCAAACTATTGCAAGGACAAAAAACCAAACACCGCATGTTCTCACTCATAGGTGGGAATTGAACAATGAGAACACATGGACACTGGAAGGGGAACATCACACTCTGGGGACTGTTGTGGGGTAGGGGGAGGGAGGAGGGATAGCATTAGGAGATATACCTAATGTTAAATGATGAGTTAATGGGTGCAGCACACCAACATGGCACATGTATACATATGTAACTAACCTGCACGTTGTGCACATGTACCCTAAAACTTAAAGTATAATTAAAAAAAAAAAAAGAAGTAAATTATGTCATTTGTGACAGGAAGATAAATACTGCATGATCTCACTTATATGTGGAATCTAGAAAATTCAAACTCATAGAAGTAGGGAGTAGAATGGTGGTTACCAGGGTCTAGGGGAGAGGAGTGTATAGGGAAAGGGAGATGTTGATCAAAAGACACAAAGTTTCAGATAGACAGAAGTAATAAATTTTAGCGATCTATTGGGCAGAATGGTGACTACAATAATGCACTGCATATTCTGATACTGACAAAACAGTAGTTTTTTTGTTTGAGACAGAGTCTTGCTTTGTGCCCAGGCTGGAGTGTCGTGGCGAGATCTCGGCTCACTGCAACCTCTGCCTCCCAAGTTCGAGCTATTCTGCTGCCTCAGTCTCCCGAGTAGTTGGGGTCTACAGGCACACGCCACCATGCTTGGCTATGTTTTGTATTTTTAGTAGAGACGGGGTTTCGCCATGTTGGCCAGGCTGGTCTTGAACTCCCGACCTCAAGTAATCCATCCACCTTGGCCTCCCAAAGTGCTGGGATTACAGGCGTGAGCCACTGTGCCCAGCCAAAGAGTAGAGTTAAAATGTTTTCTTCAATGGCTGTTTCGAGCTGTGTTAAAAAAAAAATTATTTTAAAAATGTTTTCACCACCAAAATAGGTATGTGATGTGACTGATTTCTTAATTATCTTGATTGAAGCCCTCCACAGGTAAACACCAAAACATCACACACATAAACATATACAATTATTTGTCAATAAAAAATAAATTGGCCGGGTGCGGTGGCTCACGCCTGTAATCCCAGCACTTTGACAGGCCAAGGTGGGCAGATCACCTGAGGTCAGGAGTTCGAGACCAGCCTGGCCAACATGGCAAAACCTCATCTCTACTAAAAGTACAAAAATTAGCCAGGCATGGTGGCAGGCGCCTGTAATTCCAGCTACTCAGGAGGCTAAAGCTGAAGAACAGCTTGAACCCAGGAGGCGTAGGTTGTTACAGTGAGCCGAGATCACGCCACTGCACTACAGCCTGGGCGACAACAGTGAGACTCCATCTTAAATAAATAAATTAATTTTAAAAGCATCTGATGGCCAGATGCGGTGGCTCATGCCTGTAATCCCAGCACTTTGAGAGGCCAAGGCGGGCGGATCACGAGGTCAGGAGATTAAGACCATCCTGGGTAAAATGATGAAACCCCGTCTCTACTGAAAACACAAAAAAAATTAGCCAAGCGTGGTGACGGGCGCCTGTAGTCCCAGCTACTCGCGAGGCTGAGGCAGGAGAATAGTGTGAACCTGGGAAGCGGAGCTTGCAGTGAGCCGAGATCATGACACTGCGTGCCACTGCACTCCAGCCTGGGTGACAGAGCGAGACTCCATCTCAAAAAAAAAAGTATTTGATTCTGTAAGTATCTTATAGAAAAAAAAAAATGATCAAATGAAAGTGGTATTTTAAATCTGAATGCAGAGAACAGGAGGGGCTCAAAGAGAAATCTAAAAGCAAGCAGAACTAACAAAGCATTCCAAGATAAATGTATGGACCAAAAGACCACTGGAAAAAAAAAAAAAAGAAAAAACTTTACAGAACAAGAAGTTCATTACAACTATGAAGAGATAAAAGTACTACTAAAGTTTGACACTAGGTACCTGGGAGAAACTACTACCACTTAAAACACACGTGTGCACACACACACAGAGACAAATCAAAAACCTAGTCCTAAAATAAAACGTTACATAAAGAAGGTTAAAAGATAAAAGACAAGCTCACGAAAAATACTTGCTAATGCCGCAAAAAAAAAAAAAAACAAGTTAGTAGCTATAACACACAAGTAGGTCTTGCAAGTTAATTTAAAAAAAAAAAAATCAAGAAATTAGAACATCTGGCCAGGTGCAGTGGTTCACACCTGTAATCCCCGCACTTTGAAAGGCCAAGGCAGGCAGACTGCTTGAGCTCAAGAGTTCGAGACCAGCCTTGGCAACACGGTGAAACGCTGTCTCTACCAAAAATAAAAAATTTAACTGGGCATGCTGGCATGCATCTGCGATCCCAGCTACTCGGGAGGCTGAGGTGAGAGATCACTTGAGCTGGGAGGTGGAGGTTGCAGTGAGCAGATGGTGCCACTGCACTCCAGCCTGGGTGACAGAGTGAGACCCGGTCTCAATTAAAAAAAAAAAAGAAAGAAAAAGGCCAGGCACGGTGGCTCACGCCTGTAATCCCAGCACTCTGGGAGGCTGAAGCGGGTGGATCACCTGAGGCCAGGAGTTCGAGACCAGTCTGACCAACATGGAAAAACCTCGTCTCTACTAAAAATACAAAATTAGCTGGGCATGGTGGCGCATGCCTGTAATCCCAGCTACTCGGAAGGCTGAAGAAGGAGAATCGCTTGAACCCGGGAGGCAGAGGTTGCGGTGAGCCGAGATCGCACCATTCCAGCCTGGGCAACAAGAGCAAAAAAAAAAAAAGAAAGAAATTAAAATATCCAGTAAACAGATGAAAATATATTAAACCTTATTAAATATCAAAGAAATGCAAATGAATGAAACGATAATGGTGCCAGGCACCAATAGGGGCTCACAACTATAATCCCAGCACTTTGGAAGGCCAAGGTGGGCAGATCATTTGAGGTCAGGAGTTCAAGATCAGCCTGGCCAACATGGCAAAACCCCATCTCTACTAAAAATACAAAACAACAAAAAAAACCAATAATGGAATATGTGACAACTCCAAGTGTTGGTGAGACTCAGGAAATGGGTAATTCCACACTGTTGGGAAATGTAAATTTGTAAAAGCCTTCTGAAAGGCATTTTGAAAGTGTATCAATGTTACAAATGTATATACCACCTTTGCCTCAAAAATTTTATCCCCAGGAAATTCAATCTAAAGATAATGGAACAAATACACAAAAAAAAATTTGCTTTAGATATACACACATAGCAAAAATTAAAAAAAAAACAAAACTAAGAATTTATCAAAGTGGATTCAGCCAAACAATTTATGCTATATCCATACAACAGAATACTAGGAGCTACTAATAAAAATGGTATGCTGTACTGTGGAGTACAGGCTACAAGACAGCATTGTTACATGTTCCCGCTTATGGAAAAATCATACATCCCTGTGCATATATGCATAAAAAAGTCTAGAAAAATATTTATCAAAATGTCATGAGTGATCATCTCATCAGGTAGCTGGACCTAAGGGGCCTTTTAATCTCTTATACTTTTCTATACTAACGGAAAATTTCTACCATTAGCCTCTATTATGCTTGCAAACAGGTGAAAAATAATAAAGAGCAGTAACAGAAAAAAAATGACTCTAAGAAAGGTGAAATAATTTAATGTTAGGTAAATTGAGTTTGGAATGCCAATAAAATATCCCAGTGAAAGTGCCCCTATGCAACTGAAAATGCAAACAGAAAAGCAGGGAGGCGTGTAGATCATTTACCATTTTCGGTTCCTCTCACTAACCTCATTTCCATTTTACTTACATTCCAGTTTTACCTATATTTATCCTCTAATGTACATCAATTTTACTTTCCAAATACATAAAAAACACTAGGTTCTTCCACAATTTAAATGTGCAGGAATTCAAGGAACAAAATCACTGCAAACAAGTAATGCTTCTGATTTTAGCTTGGTACTTTTGCTTCCAACACCCACTTCAAAGCTTATAAATTTATAGAAAACAAAGCCAACCAAAACCAAAATAACAACAACAAAATGATATTCACACAAAAAAAGTCCAAAATAAAGGAAAAAATTAAAATTATCTTATATGTGAATATTAAGCAACATTCACTTCCAACTGGTTTTTCAAAAATAGCTACAATTTTTCAGAGTTGGGAAATAAGTTTGACATAATGTCTGCTCAGAAAATTTTCTCTTTAAAGATTAATTCAAACGCACCAAGAATTTATCTTGATCAGCACAACAGAGGGCAAATATAAACACTAGGTCTGAATTTATTCCATTCACACTAAAGTGACTCCCAGCATCCTCTACTCATTCTAATAAAGTAGAAGCTAGAAGGAGGTTCTTAAATTCCCTCCTTATAAATCGAAACAATTACCTGCCCTATCCTAGAGTATGAGAGTGTATGTAAACCAAAATACCAAGCAAGTTTACAGATATAACTCGCATCTGTGCAGACTGGTTTGCACTAATCTGTAGAGAAAAAATGTATTTAAATTAAACCACCAATAAATAAGCTCTGTAATTTGTCCTCTAGGAGCTTACAATCTAGTAGGGAAAACACAAAGGCAGCCAGCCAACTAAGCAGATATTAAACAGAATTTTTTAAAACTCTACAACAAAGATAAAGTGCTGTGGGGGCACAGGAAAAAAAACTAACTTTTATCTAGATGAATGGAAAAAGGTCTCAAGATAGTGGGATTTAAGGCTGGACACACTGGCTCATGCCTGTAATCCCAACACTTTGGGAGGCAAGGACAGGAGGATTGTTCAACCCCAGGAGACCAGCCTGAGCAACACAGTAAAACACCATCTCTACCAAAACACACACACACACACACACACACACACACACACACACACACGACAGTGGGATTTTTGAGCTGAGTTTTAAATGCAAAGCTGGAGATGAAGAGCAAAAGAGAGTTTGGAGTGTCTCTTATCATTTAAGCTAACAGAACAGCAAGTATAAAAATAGAAATAAAAATGTCTTTGAAAACAGAACTGTGATAGAATGGAGCCAGATCATAAAAGGCATTAACTGATGGAACATTAGGAAGTTTAGACTTGGCCATGCACAGCTGCTCTTGCCTGTAATCCCAACACTTTGGGAGGCCCAGGCGGGAGGATTGTCTGAGGCCAGGAGTTCAAGACAAGTCAGAGCAACATGGTAAAACCCATCACTACAAAAAACACAAAAATTAGCCAGGCATGGTGGCATGCACCTGTAATCCCAGCTACTCGGGAGGCTGAAGCAGGAGGATCCTCTGGGCCCAGGAGTTCGAAGCTGCTGTGAGCCATGATCACATCATCACTGCACTCCAGGGTGGGCAAGTGACCTAGACACTATCCCTAAAAAAAAAAGTTTAGGTTTATTCTAATAATAATTCTAATATAATGGGAGTGACATGAGCTAAACAAAGATATTAAGAAAACTCTCCTGATACAGAATGAACTGAGAAGAATGGATGAAACGAGAAGAATGTTCACAGTAACATGAAGTCTAGCTAATTAACCTGAAATGGTGATAGAAATGGAAAGAAATAAATATTAGCGTTAGCGGAAAAGAAATGTGATAAGGACTGAGTAGATGTAAATGTCAGGTGAAGTTTGGTCAGAGAAGGAGCAAAACACAAGGCCATCACTTTGAGAATGAAAATAATGATTACAGCTTTGGAAATTTAAGACAGTTAACCTAAACTTCCATTCCCTTCTGAGAGTTTCTCCATTTGTTCTAGTATCCTATTTTTTGACACTTTTTAAAAGCATTTTAAGAATTCCATTCACCTAGGGATTTTCATGACTTATTTCTATTAAGTATATATTAAATCAGTGGCATATTTTTTGAGTTTTTTTTTCATTACGGAATATCTTCATTTCATATACTTTTGAACTATAGTTTTCAGGACAAAACACTAAATAATCCATTACAGAGGTACCACATATAACAATAATTTTTCTTATTTATATTTAGAGTCCACCCATCTTTTTCAGATTCTTAGGTTCTTATTATTCCATAATGAATGCTTCTGTGCTTCTTGGTGGAATGGAACTTCCATAGGTTTAGAGAAAGAACAAAACACACATAATAATTTCTTGCACGGATTTTAATCTGACATCAGTAACTTCAGATCAAAATAATTCTGGAAAACCACCACCAATAACTAAGAGTAATTAATGTCTTCAAGAAATGTTTTTAGCCAATCTTTGTAAAGACAAAGTAGGAAAAACATCCACAAGATTTAAACCCAATTGTTCATAAAAACTACAAATAAACACAAATAAGCTGAAAGAATCTTTAGAAGATTCATCTTTTAAAATCTTCAAAATGCTGATAAAATGGCCAAGGAACAGAAACCAACACATAAATACCCAAGCAGAAGCTGATTTTTCACCAAAACAGGTCATTATGTGAGGTGGCCAGCGCCCCTGAATGCCAACTAAATTTCAATAAAGCATATGCTTTAAGTGGTAAGTGGCCCATGTTCTTTAATGAATAGACTGCTGTTAGAATTCTTCATATTGTAACCAAAATCCACCTTCATATTGTAACCAAAATCCATGCTCTTTAATATTAAGAGCATGTACTTTCAAATCAGCCTAGGGTTTGAATCCAAGCTGACCTTGGAACAAATCGCTTAAAACCTTTTAGAGCTCCCGTTTCCCAATCCATCAATGGGAATGTTTCCAACTATCACATGGATTTTGGTGGTCAATATATGTTAAATATTTATCAATGCCTGGCACACAGTAAAACACTACAAACGGTACCCTCCCCTCTTTTCAGCACACCCTCACATTTATTATAGGGCCAGTCAGCAAGATTACGTGACCTTCCACACCCCAACAGTCAAGTAGTAAAGAAAATACGGCAAACAGATTATACAGGGGAAAAAGTAAAGCTAAGAGGGAACTGATGAAAAGAAATGCATGAGCCGAGGACTGAAGATTCAAATGAAGACAAAGAACAAGTTGTGAAGTGGAAATCACTAAAATGAAAAGGATTTATTTATCTGACATCAAAAAAAGCTTCAGGCTGGATGTGGTGGCTCACACCTGTAATCCCTGGACTTTGGGAGGCTGATGCAGCAGGTGGATCATTTGAGCCCAGGAGTTTGACACCAGCCTGGGCAACATGGTGAAACCCTATCTCTATTTTCAGCTTATTTAAAATTGTTTTTCATCTTCATACCACGATTTCAATACTATTTTGAATGTGTATGCATTTCCTTGAAAATATCTACGCTGACAATTCATTAATATGTAAGTTCTGCATAGGCTGGGGAAATATTACACTGTTTCTTACAGCATTACACATGGTCTGTATTAAATATTTTGAATGAAGTTTGTAATACAAAGCCCACATTAATATTTTGTATGTTCAGTAAACTCCAGCATCCCTTCATTTACACCTATTCAACATTTATTAAGAGTGTACTTGTGCCAGATACAGTGCTGAGCACTAGAAATACAATGATGGATAAGACAGCCCAGTTGCCTTCATGGAACTCACAGCAGTCCATTCATTAAAGAACATGGGCCACTTACCACAAGTAATAAATTCTGAAAATAAATAAAACTTTTCCATTAATCTGTACAAGTGAGTTCAATTAACCGTTCCTAAAAAGTAACAATACACTTATTATATTTTAAAATCTTTAGATTTTTCCAATCAACTATTTTAGCTATTAATTCTAGGCCCTATGTTTTAAGCTGGACATTTGACAAACTAGATATAATGTGAAAAATCTGAAAACCGTATGAGTTTTTTAGTCTAGAAGACTCAGAAATCATGACAACTGTCTTTATATTTTAAAGGGTTAGCATACACGTGTGCTCTGTACCATTCCAAAGGGTTAAACTTGGAGCAATGGTTCGAAGGTGGATTTTGGTCACAATATGAAGAATTCTAACAATTTGGGATATTGAATAATTCAACGACCTTAAATATTTCTGTAAGGCTGCATGCTTTAAAAAGATAAATTTTCACTTAATCCTTGAAATAATCCAGAAAAACAAGTGTTTCCCTGTTACAGTTTAGGAAACTGAGTCTTCAAGGATCTTGCTAAAACACTCAAGTCCCAAATCTAGTGAACAGGTTGCCTCTAACTAACGTGCTTCCCACCTCTAGATGTATTTCAGGCACATACCAAATGGCCATCTGTCAGCAATGTTAGCCAAGACACCCTAAAGTTCCTTCCAAATTCAACTCTTTAGAAATACTGGTGGTCAATGTAAACACCATGAAAAGATTATGTGTTGAACGGTCCTCCAGAATGCAAGCTCTATGAGGGCAAGTAACTTTTTCTTTCCTGCTACATCCCAATACCTAAAACAGTATATGGCATACAATACAGGGTCAAAAAATACTTGCTAAATATGAATAGTCCTAGTCATACATACCACGATTATATATTTCATATATGTATATAAAAAATACATACCACTATTATACAATAAAGGATCTCGCTGAAGTATCCAGCAACTAAAAAACCTGATAAGTACAAAATCCATTCTTAAAATTGCATCAAGCACTTTAAATTGTTCAAGTGCTGAAACTTCAACCAACCAGTTTGCAAAACAAATTCAACTGCAAAAACTGCAAACCCTTTGGCAAAGTATTATAGTTAAAAGTAACATACAAAGTCTTACAAGATACAATGGCTAATTTTGATGAATGAGTTTTTCAATTCTTCGCTAAGGTATCAACTAACATTTTAAGTATGCTTCAACACTCTTTAAGAGTGAAGCAATTTATAGAACTTTTTTGGCTTAAAGACAAACTCACGCTCAGATCTCTATAAACATCACACCTTTACATTTATTATGGTGATACTTCAAAAAGGTCTGCTAATTTTGCAGATGCATATTCGTATTATGTTGAGATTCCACATAACCCATACTTAGAGGTACTGTACATCCACTTGCCATTACTGAAACCCAGGAGGAAAAACTGATACAAATGTCATTTTGCAATACTCTACACTATAAGGTCTGGAATGTCCAAACATCTCAAGGAATATAAGAACCCATAAAATACTCGAAAGTTGTTTTTAATGCACTTTGCTTAGTGGATAAGTATATTTTAAGGCACACTTTTTAAAAAGAATATTATATAACAAAAAAGGCAAGAAAGCTACAGAAAAGTTTTACTCCAATTTCATTAAATTAAATTACACCTTTTAAAGATTTCTGGACAAAGATCCTGATATTTAAAGGTCTAGTTATATTGTGTTTTTATCCTTCGGGTATATATCTAAGAAAAAGTCTACTTAGCTTTTAAAGTAAGCAGTTACAGGCTTATAATAGTATAAGAATGTACTCAGCCATTCACTTGGTTACACTAGGTTACACCACCCAGATTTATAATGTTATTAGCAACTGGGTGTCATCACAAACCAACAAAGAAACCACAGTCTTGTCATTTTTTCTACCTTCTATAATTATGACTTTGAAAGATCAGGTAAAAACTATCCCACACAAGAATATCACTAAATAGATACCTTTTTTAACTTCAGTATTCAGAACTATCGGCTTCCACCTAAGCTTTTTTAACATACTAAAAGAATAAACTTTACAGAAAGGCTGCTTCTCCCATTTCTGTAATAATCATAAGAAACATCTGCAATCCACATCTAACTCTGACATCAGTACCTGATTCTTATTCCCCTGTACAATACTAGATCTTAAGTTGCAGTCCATTCCTAAATTCCCAACAATGAAACCTCTTCACAGAACTTTCAAAATTAAGACTTAAACCACCTCTAGGTTTACCCAAATTGTACCAGAAAAGCAAAGAGCAACTGAGAGAAACCTGTTAACACATTAATGCAACAAGTCTGAAACTTTTAATTCTTCCTTAGAAATCTTCCCTGCCACAGCTAGGAGAAAAGTTCCCTTCGCCCAGTTGCTTTGTCCCTTCGACCCCCTAAAAAAGTGTCACGCGCGCGAAAACGCCTATCCTTCCTGGGAGGCTCAGGCGGTGTTGTCTCGTCTCGGTGGTGGACCTGAGTCGTTCTGAGGACCCGGGCACCACTTTCCCTTCCTCCTGGGGATCTGGCCAGCGCAGCCAAGGCACACACAGGCAGAACGGCAGAACTCACCTGAGCACAGGGCTGTAGGGACTGCGAGAGCGGCGCCAGCTGCTGCTGCTGTAGGGACTAGGGGACACGTCGCCGCCCCGCTCGTAGGAGCTGTGGCGGCTGTAGCTGGGGGAGCGGCGGCGACTGTAGGGGCTCGGGGAGCGCGGCAGCCGCCGAGAATAGGGGCTGCTGCCACCTCCTGCCGGGCTGGGGGACTTGCGGCTCCTCAGGCTCTGAGAGGCCCTGTGGGACACCGGGCTGTCGTCCCGGCCTCCCAGTGGGCTGAGGGACCGCCGCCGCCTGTAGGCCTTAGGCTCGGTCTTGTCCTCCCGGTAGGCCTTGGGCGGTTCCTTGTAGGCCGAAGGCGGCTCCTTGGACGACTTAGTCCGGCTGCGGTGGGCCTTCGAGTCCCGGTCCTTGCGGCTGCTACTGCTGCTGGATGTGGCCGAAGCGCTTTTCCGGCGGCCGCCGCTGCTGCTGCTGCTGCCGCTCTTGGCGACCTCGGCCCGTTCCTCGCCGCTGTGGCTGTGGCGGCTGCGGGACTTGGAGGCCTCGCTGCCACCGCGCTGCCCATCCCGCCGCCGGTGCTCGCGGTGGCGCTCCTTGCTGCGGCCACTGCTGCTGCGGCGGTCCCGGCGGGGCCTGCGCTCCGACCCCTCCCCGCGCCGCTGGGTGCCGGAGGAGGAGGCCGGACTCCCGCCGCTGCCCCCCGTTCCCCCGGCAGCCGTCGCCGCCGTTGCCGCGCTGGCCCCCCCCAGCAGCAGCCCCTGCTCGGACTGGGAGCTCACATCCTCGTATTCCACCAGCGGGGTCACACCCCCGCCGCTACTAGCACCGCCACCGCCGTCCTGCTGCGGCTGGGGCAGCGAGAAGACCCGACGCTTCTCCGCCTCCTGCCCGGCGCGGGGCCCGCGACGCCGCTTCTGCCGCCCTCCTGCGCGCCTCTTGCCTCTCGCCAGCCGCTTGACCTCCAGAGGGGGGCCCGGGCTGAAGCAAGAGGAGGAGGCCGCGGCGGCGGCGGCTGCGGCGGCGGCCGTGCCGGGAGCAGCCAGGAAGAGCAGAGGCGGCGGGGGCGGCGGCGGTTGCAGGAGCTGCGGCTGCAGGAGCGGCAACAGCAGCGGCGGCTGCTGAGGGGACAGGAATCGCCTCCGCTTGCGGCGTTCCTCCAACTTCTTCTCCGCCCAGCTCAGGCCCCCGCCTCCCCCCAGCGCCGTGTCCGAGCTGCTCGGCATCGCCTAGAGCCAGCCGCAGAGCGCGGCGCGGGTGCGGCCTCCTCCCGGGTCAGATCCTGGCCATCTCCCCCGCCGGAAACGGGAGCGGCGGCGGAGGGACACCGAGCACCAGAGCCGGCCGGGAAAAGCGCCACGATAATCCGGGTCGGGACTCGGGTCCCTGGGTTCCAGGTCACAGTGGGGTACGCAGCAGCCTCCGGGCCCCAGGGAAGCAGGAATCCGGGCGGCGGAGCTCCCGATTGCGCTCGTCGTCCTATCCTCGGCAGCGAAAACACCAGATGCGCCGGGCGCTGACCTGCGGGGGAGTCCCGAGTCCTCCAAGTGCCCCCGGGGGTGGGGGAGCGGCCTTGGCCGCGCTCTCGGCTCGGGCAGCGCAACGCGGAAGTACCACCTTCGTCGCCGCTTCACTCCATCGCGCCCTGACGTTGGGTGCAAGTTCAGGGGAGGGGAGTGGGCGAGACAACAACACGCCTCCACCGCCTCCTCCTCGGCGTCGACGTCGTCCTCCTGTGGTGGCGGCGACACACCGCAGGCGCCTCGGAAGTGGCCTGGGCCTGACAACAACTCCCGGCCTAGGGCCTCGCGCACTCTGCGGCCCGCGGGGCTGGGCAGCGGGGCGGGGCGAGGCGGGGGCGACCGGGCTGCGGCTCTCGGTTGGGGCAGCGACTGTGCGGGGCTGGGCGGGGGGCTATTTCCGGGGAGATGGGGGCAGGGGCGTTTCTGAGTCTGTGGCGGTAGGTACGGGCCCTGACTTTCTTCTTCTTTCGCCGCCGCCGCCGCCGCCAGCAGAGGTGGCGGAGCTACCCCTTTCCTCCGCTCCCCCCCTCCACGAGGAGGCTCCTGGTGTGCGCGGCCTGCCCCGGCTCGCTCCTCCCCTTCCCTCTCCGCTCCTCGTCAGGAGGAGGGAGAGCAACGGGACTTGCTGGTTGGGCCCTAACCTCCACAACCCCTCCTTCTCGCCTCGCTCTTTCGGCTTTTCCCCTCAGCCCTGACGTACGACCGGGAGCGCGCCCGCAATTCACGCTCAGAGAAAGCCGAAGATGAGAGGTGGCCGGGGCAAGAGAGGCGGGAACAAAGTTACCGCGCACTGGCGTGCTCGCTCCCGCCAGGGGCCGGCAGGCCGCACCGGAAGTGGCATGATGTAGAAACCGCTCGGCTTCCGGCGAGGGTGGGACTCCGTGTGAAGAAGGGTTAAAGAAAGGAGAGGATTCGTGTGCCGCCCACTGCTGTTGCTTGAGACTCTGCCCGTGGTGGCGCGCCTGTCGTGCTTGTTGCTTGCGTCCAGCGCGCAGTGCCGGTTCCGGCTCTGCAGACGCCGCACTGCCTGCCTGTTGAGCGAAAGGTCACAGTGAGAACAAGTGTTTCTGGAGACTGCGAGGGAAATAATGCTGTTGGTGGCCTTCTGGAGTAGGCAGTTACCCCCCGTGTACCTTCAGTCAAGCCCTGGGAGTGGAACAGCTGCGAAAGGAGAGAAAACACCCCGCAAAACAGGGTGGAGATGGCGTTGGTTTAACTTGTCTCACGTACGCCAAAGTTCGAGGCCCCATTTTTTTTTTTTTTTTTTTTGAGACTGAGTTTCGCTCTCGTTGCCCAGGCTGGAGTGCAATGGTGCGATCTCGGCTCACCGCAACTTCCGCGAGGCCCCTTCTTATCCTAAAAAACACACTTGGGAATCACAGCTCAAGCTTCGGTAACACTATTTACTTTAAAATAAAAATTTTTAAAGCTTTAAATCAATACAGGAAATAAGTGGAATGTTAAAAGGAACTACTGAAAATTCCAAATTCTCAGGAGGCTTGAAATAAAAACATCTTGTGCGAATGAGGACTGCCCTCTTAGTACTTCACCCACTTTCACCTTCATATCTAAACCTTTGGGGTTGCCAAACATAGCCATATAGTGACCTCACATCTCATTTCTTGCCTTAGAATTGCCCTTCAGTTACAGACTAAGCACTCGGGATAATTAGATTAAAATGTAAATGGCTTATTGGCTTTTAGAATGGTTGGAAACGCAAGCTAACCCTGTGCAGTGGCACACGCCTGTAGTCCCAGCTACTCCGGAGGCTGAGGCAGGAGGATCTCTGGAGCTCAAGAGTTCGAGGCTGGAGTGAGCCATGACCGTGCCACAGCACCCCAGCCTGGCCAATCAGCAGGGCGAGGCCCTGCCTCTAATAAAAGAAAAAGCTAAGCCGTCTGTTCAATGACTAAATGTAGTAACCCCTTTGAAAATTCATTTGTTCAGATCATCAGTTGGTTTAGTTCTTAAACACTTGGTATCTATCCATCGTTAATACCTTAGTGTAAATTATTTTAATCAGTTTGACATCACAGTATCACAGACTGGCCTGATTTAAGCTAAGATCAGACTTCACTGACCGAGTACAAAGGATGTTGGTTTGCTGAAGGATAAAGGAGGAGGCAAAGGAATAGGTAATCTTAAAGTCAGAGCATTTCCCAGGAGGGCAGGCCTGGGTGGGCAACACCATGGGATGGGCATTGGGAAACTGAATAGAAAAATAGGGGGCAGGGTTCCTAAAACAAATTTCTGGTTGACAGTATTGTTGAGTGAAGGTCCTGTAGCCAGCCTCCTACCAAAGACTGTTTAGCAAGTGGCTTTTTCAGAAACATGTAGGATCAACTTGTTCCATCGTCCTACGTTAGATAGACTGGAATAACAGAACAAAGAGAGCAAATAAGAGGTTTAGCTTGCAGCTCCCCTCGTGTACAACCAGTTCCACTTGAGAATGTCATCTTCTATCATATATTTTCAAAGAAAACTTGATCCATAGTAAATGGATAATTCCCATGTGTAAGTGTATTAAATGGAGAAGAAGGGAAAAAAAGTAAATGGATAGTTCCCAATCCAGGGTGCAAACAAAAAACATGTACTAAAATATTTTTACTGTGGTTCTACCACCCACGTTTCCTCAAAGATTCTACCTTTGGTGGGGGAGGTTGAATGAACATTTTGAGCTCAAGATACCTGCCCACGTGGTTGGAAACACTAATAACTAATAGGATTCAAACTCCAAAAAATGGGAAGGACCTTTGAATTAGAAGCCGTCTGTTTCTATAAGCCTGTCTGCTTGCCTGAATATTAAAGAGATTTGAAATTCCCATTTACGACTATATTTTTGTTTATTACTGCTTGTGTGTGGGGGGGTGGGGAGTTCGTGTTTTGTTTTGTTTTTGTTTTTGTTTTTTTTGAGACAGAGTTTTGCTCTTGTCGCCTAGGCTGGAGTGCAGGGGTGCAATCTTGGCTTACTGCAACCTCCGCCCCCCAGGTTCAAGCGATTCTCCTGCCTCAGCCTCCCGTGTAGCTGGGATTACAGTTGCCCGCCACCATGCCGAGCTAATTTTTTTGTATTTTTAGTAGAAACGGGGTTTTGTCATGTTGAGCAGGCTGGTCTCAAACTCCTGACCTCAGGTGATCCGCCCGCCTCGGCCTCCCAAAGTGCTGGGATGACAGGCGTGAGCCACTGCACCAGGCCCCAGACTCATCTTTTATGCAGTTCAGAGGCCCACAGTGTTAGCACTTTTTTTTCAGAAGTGCAATATTGCTTCTATGTGCTGGGGAGTGGGAATTCTTGCTGGTTCAGTAAAGCTGAGGGATACGTATTTATAAAACAGTAATGGTGGAGTAAACTTCTAGCTGTCTTCCTAAATGGATTTTCCCTTGATTACCTAAGTAACAGTATCCTGGGTTTGATGGGGGTAAATGTGCCTAGCTAAAAACTACATCTCCCAGTATTCCTTGCAGATAAGACGTGATCATTGGCTCCTGCCAATGAAGTGAAGTGGAAGTTGTTGGGCGAAGCTTATGGAAATGATTCTTAAAAAATGGAAGGTCAGGGCCGGGCCCGGTGGCTCACGCCTATAATTCCAGCACTTTGGGAGGTCGAGGCGGGCAGATCACCTGAAGTCGGGAGTTCAAGACCAGCCATGACCAACATGGAGAAACCCCGTCTCTACTAAAAATGCAAAATTAGCCCAGTGTGGTGGCGCATGCCTGTAATCCCAGCTACTCGGGAGGCTGAGGCAGGAGAATCGCTTGAACCCGGGAGGCAGAGGTTGCAGAGGCTGCGGTGAGCCCAGAGTGCACCATTGCACTCCACCCTGGGCAACGAGAGCGAAACTCCATCTCAAAAAAAAAAAGGAAGGTCAGTTTCGCTGACCTGTACCTTCTGCCCCTCACTCTTACTTCTTACTTTTCTCTACATCTGGAACTCAAATGCAATACTGGAGTTTGAGCAGCTGTCCCATGACAACAAAGGAATAAGCACAGGCTAAGGATGGTGAAGTGAAAGGAAAATAGAAAGACGTGACTCCTCGGGGGCATTATGGATCCTTCAAACCAACCCTAGACTAAAAAAGGAATAATTTGTTTAAGCCACTGCTATTTTCAATTATATTACAGCCAAATTAAGTTGCTAAATATTACCATGTGACCCCATGTCCTCATTCCATTCCATGGTAGGTATCATTAATTAATGGCAGCACTCCTTCCTGCTCACCCTAAATGTAGCCTCAGAATCCCTCAGACACGGTGATGCAGTCATCCATTACCAATAGATCAGGGATGGTACTAGCATTAAACTTATTTTTCATGTTGTCCTAAAATAATTTTCGTGATTTTTGGGGAGTTGGTTTTTCCAAAAACTTAAGATTCATGTCCTGGCCCCAAACTACATTTTTTTTTTTCATACGGGGTGTCTCTGTTGCCCAAGCTGGAGTACAGTGGTGTGATCTCAGCTCACTGCAACCTCCACCTCCCAGGTTCAAGCAATTCTTTTGCCTCAGCCACCCAAGTAGCTGGGATTACAGATGTGCGCCATCACGCCTGGCTAATTTTTGTTTTAGAGACGGGGTTTCACCCTGTTGGTCAGGCTGGTCTTGAATTCCTGACCTCAAGTGATCCACCTGCCTCGGCCTCCCAAAGTGCTGGGATTACAGGCGTCAGCCACCGCACCTGGCCAAATATTTTTTATTCTTTAATTTTACAAGAATGTGTAGGTCCTCTTAGGAGATAAATATTCATGAATATTTGGAAGTTCAACTAGATAACAAGAGTATTTCAAGTTACTAATTACATGAACAAATTTGAGAGAAACAAACATGAACAATTCATCTGTGTTTTGTTAAAATTTCTCATAAGTAGAATCATTAGCATCTTAAAATATAATGCTGATGACGATATAGGTCACAGGAAATCTTTTCTACCAGAACTTTTTTTTTTTTTATTTTTGAGACAAAGTCTTGCTCTTGTCCCCCAGGCTGGAGTGCGATGGCATGATCTCGGCTCACTGCAACCTCCGTCTCCCAGCTTCAAGCGATTGTCCTGCCTCAGCTCCCCCGAGTAGCTGGGATTACAGCCGCCTGCCACCACGCCTGACTAGTTTTGGTATTTTTAGTAGAGACAGGGTTTCACCATGTTGACCAGGCTGGTTTCAAACTCCTGACCTCAGGTGATCCACCCGCCTCGGCCTTCCGAAGTGCCGGGATTACAGGTGTGAGCCACCGCGCCCGGCCCATTTCTACCAGAACTTTTTAACTGGCAATATAAGTCTTATTTTGTTTACAGAACATTACAAAAAAAGGATAAAAATCAGCATTTAAGAATTGATTCACTCACATTTATGGTCTGTTGATTTTCAACGAGGTGCCAAGACAATACAATGGGGAAGAATAGACTTTTCTTCAACAAATGATACAGGGACAACTGGATATCCACATGCAAAAGAAAAAAGCTGGATGCCAACCTCATACCATATTAAAAAAAATCGAAATGAGCCAAAAGCACATGTGACAAAAGGAAAAATAGATAAACTGGATTTCATCCAAATTAAAATTCAAGACAGGCAGATTGCTTGAGCCCAGGAGTTGGAGACCAAACTGGATAAATGGCCAAACCCCATCTCTACTAAATACAAAATTTAACCAGGTGTGGTGGCTCACACCTGTAATCCCAGCTACTCTGGAGACTGAGGCAGGAGAATCACTTGAATCCAGGAGGTGGAGGTTGCAGTGAGCCAAGATCCCACCACTGTACTCCAGCCTGGGTGACAGAGTGAGACACTGTCTCAAAAACAACAACAAAGAAAAACTGATCCTGTACTTCACATTTGCCAAGAGGATAGATCTTAAGTGTTATCAGAAAAAGAAAAAAAATTTGGCCGGGCGCAATGGCTCATGCCTGTAATCCCAGCACTTTGAGAGGCAGAGACGGGTGATCAACTGAGGTCAGAAGTTCAAGACCAGCCTGGTGAAACTCTGTCTCTACTACTAATACAAAAATTAGCCAGGTGTGGTGGCACACACCTGTAATCCCAGTTACTCGGGAGGCTGAGGAACAAGAATCACTGGAACTCGGGAGGCGGAGATTGCAGTGAGCAGAGATGGCACCACTGCACTCCAGCCTGGGTGACAGAGCGAGACTCTGTCTCAAAAAAAAAAAAAAAAAAAGTTTAAAGGACCTAAACAGACATTTTTCCAAAGAAGCTATACAAGTGACCAAAAAGCACATGAAAAGATGCTCAGTGTCATTATCCACTAGGGAAATTCGAATCAAAACCACAGGAGAAACCATTTCAAACACCAGAACCAGCCTGGGCAACATGGTAAAACCTCAGCTCTAGAAAAATACAAAAATTAGTTGGGTGTGGTGGTGCACACTTGTAGTCCCAGCTACTTGAGAGGCTGAGGTATGAGAATCGCTTGAACCTGGGAGGCGGAGGTTGCAGTGAGCCAAGATCGTGCCACTGTACTCCAGCCTGGGTGACAGAGCGAGACCCTGTCTCAAATATAGATAAATAAACAAAACAAAATTTAAAAAAAGTATGACTATAATCAATAGACAAGTTTTGTTGAGGATGTGGAGAAATTGGAACTTTCACACACTGCTGGTGGAAGTGTAAAAATGGGGCAGCCACTTTTTAAAAATTTAAATGTTTATTTATTATTGCTTAATAATCAACTTTTGTTGATTAAATATTATGAGAAAATCTTCTCTCAAAATGTCTTTTGTGCTTTTTGTTTTGTTTTATTCATTTATTTATTTTGAGACCGAGTCTCGCTCTATTGCCCAGACTAGAGTGCAGTGGGGCAATCTTGACTCACTGCAACCTCTGCTTCCCAGGTTCAAACGATTCTCCCACCTCAGCCTCCTGAGTAGCTAGGATCACAGGCGTTCCACCAAACCCAGCTAATTTTTGTATTTTTGGTAAGGATGGGGTTTCACCACGTTGGCCAGGCTGGTCTCAAACTCTTGACCTCAAGTGATCCATCCACCTTGGCTTCCCAAAGTGCTGGGATTACAGCTGTGAGCCACCACGCCGGGCTGGATGTAGTCCCTTTGGAAAATAATTTGGCAGTTCCTCTAAATGCTAAACATATAATTACCATATGACCCAGCAATCTCACTCCTAGGCATATCACCCAAAAGGTATGAAAACGTATGTTCGCACAACATTTCATGATAGGTAAAAAAATGGAAACAACCCAAACTTTTATCAACTGATGAACAGATAAGCAAAATGTGGCATATCCATACAATGGAATATTATTCAGCAATAAAAAGGAATGAATTTCTAATACATGCTACAACATGGATGAACCTTGAAGACATTATGCTAAGTGAAAGAAGCCTTAGTTTCTCTCTCATAATCATCACCTGAAGTACAAAATAGATGATATTATTATCATTTAACAGATGAGAAAAGTAAAGATCAAAGAGACTGAGTTGCCTATAGCCACATAAACAATAATGTGAAACAAATTTTAATCTCAAAACATATTCTAAACACAAATAAAACTATTTTTTTAAAGTGTCTGATACAGTTTTGCTGTGTCCCCATTCAAATATCAACTTGAATTCTATCTCCCAGAATTCCCACATGTTATGGGAGGTACCCAGGGGGAGATAATTGAATCATGGGGTCCAGTCTTTCCCATGCTATTCTCTTGATAGTGAATAAGTTTCACAAGATCTAATGGGTATATTACAGATTTCTGTTTCTCCTCTTCTTCATTTGCTCTTGCCACCGCCATGTAAGAAGTGTCTTTTGCCTCCTGCCGTGATTCTGAGGCCTCCCCAGCCATGTGGAACTGTAAGTCCAATTAAACCTTTTTTTCTTCCCAGTCTCAGGCATGTCTTTATCAGCAGCATGAAAACAGACTAATACAGGGTCAAAGTCTTGATCTACAGCTCTTTTCCTTTGTGGTGTCCTCAGTAACCACACAGATGCTTTTCATCTTTCCTTTTCCCTCTCTTTGTTCCTGGCCTTCTTCTTATTGTCCTGAGCATAGCTAAAAATTGCCAGTGGAATTCAAGGGATTTAAAAATTAAAAATCTTAGGTCAGGCACAGTGGCTCACACCTCTAATCTCAGCACTTTGGGAGGTCAATCTCAGCACTTTGGGAGACCAAGGTGGGTGAATCACTTGAGCCCAGGAGTTCGAGACCAGCTTAGGCAACATGGCAAAACCCCTATCTCTACAAAAAAAAAAAAAAAAAAAAAATTACCTGGGCATGTTGGCTCACACCTGTATTCCCAGCTACTCAGGAGGCTGAAGTGGGAGGATCACCTGAGGCCCAGGAGGCAGAGGTTGCAGTGGACTGAGATTGTGCCACTGCACGCCAGCCTGGGTGACAGAGTCAGACCCTATCTCAAAATAAAATAAAATAAAATAAAATCTTAAAAATTAGCTTAATCCCCCCACACTCACTTTTTATGATGTAAACTGAGATTTACACAAATCAAATGTCTTATCCAAGATCCTACTGCTACTTGTAAAAGAAGCCTGGTTTATTTTGCCTTCCATCTAGATCCATGATTTTCAAATTCAGTAGTGGTACTCAAAGATGTTCTAAGGAATAAATAGGTTGGGAAAGTTTTAAGGAAGTGAGTTTTTAGATCCTCAACTTCTATACTTCTAAAATTGATCTAGGCCGGGCACAGTGGCTCACAGCTATAATCCCAACACTTTGAGAGGCAGAGGCGAGAGAATTGCTTGAGGCCAGGAGTTTCAGACCAGCAAGACCTTATCTCTACAAAAAATAAAACAAGTAACATGGCGCGGTGGCACATGCCTGTAGTCCCAGCTACCCAGGAGGCTGATGTGGGAGGATTACTTGAGCTCAGCAGTTCAAGGCTGCAGTAAGCCATGATTGCACCACTGCACTCCAACAGGGTCACAGAGGAAGACCACATATCTAAAATAAAATTAAAATTTTAAATAAATACATAAAATTGATCTGCCGGTGGTCAAGGTGTTTTTGTTTTGTTTTGTTTTGAGACAGAGTCTCTGTCACCCAGCTGGAGTGCAATGGCACAATCTCGGCTCATTGCAACCTCCGCCTCCCGGGTTCAAGCGATTCTCGTGCCTCAGCCTTCTGAGTAGCTAGGATTACAGGCACCCGCCACCACACCTGGCTAATCTTTGTATTTTTAGTAGAGACAGGCTTTCACCATGTTGGTCAGGCTATTCTTGAACTCCTGACCTCAAGTGATCCACCCTCCTCAGCTTCCCAAAGTGCTGGGATTACAGGCATGAGCCACCGTGCCCGGCCTCAAGGTGTCTTGCTGGGTCTCTTTCCCTCACTTTACCAAAAAAAGACATATTTTCTTTCTTTCTTTTTTTTTTTTGTTCTTTTGAGAGAGGGGTCTTGCTTTGTCACCCAGGCTGCAGTGCAGTGGCATGATCATGGATCACTGTAGCCTCAATCTCCCAAGGCTCAGGTGATCTCCTGCCTCAGCCCCAAGAAGCTGAAACTACAGGTGTGTGCCATGCTACCTGGCTAATTTTTGCATTTTTAGTAGAGACAGGGGTTTTGTTGCCCAGGCTGGTTTCAAACTCCTCCTGGACTCGAACTCCTGGGCTCAAGAATCCACCCACCTAAGCCTCCCAAAATGCTGGGATTACAGGCATGAGCCACTTGCAGCTGATGCCACTTTCACTCATTCTCTAATCATAATGGTGCATTGCCCAAAGGTGTAAGAACAAAGACAAACAAAGCAAGCCACAATTCAAAGCATTGATATGAGGAAGCCTTTTTTAATCAAGGCAATCTGTCTCATTGTAGCAGTAAGTACTAATCTTCTATGGACATATGAGCTAATGGTGCATGGCACGTTAACTAATGTTTAAAAATTATTTATCAAATTATAAAATATATTTGCTGGTTTTTTTTTTTTTTTTGAGACGGAGTTTCACTCTTATTGCCCAGGCTGGAGGGCAATGGCACGACCTCAGCTCACCACAACATCCGCCTCCTGGGTTCAAGTGATTCTCCTGCCTCGGCCTCCCGAGTAGCTGGGATTACAGGCATGTGCCACCATGCTCGGCTAATTTTGTATTTTTAGTAGAGACGGGGTTTCTCCATGTTGATTAGGCTGGTCTCGAACTCCCAACCTCAGGCAATCCGCCCACCTATTTGCTGTTTTAATCAATATTAGTGATAATTAAAATTAAGGCTTAATCTAGAATAAAAAATTTTTTCTTGCTGGGTGCGGTGGCTCACACCTGTAATGCCAGCACTTTGGGAGGCCGAAGCAGGCAGATCACGAGGTCAGGAGATCGAGACCATTCTGGCTAACACAGTGAAACCCCGTCTCTACTAAAAATACAAAAAAAAATCAGCCAGGCGTGGTGGCGGGCACCTGCAGTCCCAGCTACTCAGGAGGCTGAGGCAGGAGAATGGCGTGAACCCGGGAGGCGGAGTTTGCAGTGAGGCGAGACTCTGTCTCAAAAAAAAAAAAAAAAAAAATTTCTCCAGCCATAGAAAATAGGGAAAAGAAAAAAAATTTTTTTAATGCATAAGTTTCAATTTAATACACATTTTTATAGCAGGATGTATGATAGGGTAATCAGTAAAAGAGTTGGAAGCCAAAAAGTAATTAACATATTATATTATGGTAAAATTATGTAAGGGAAGTAGAATGGAAATAAGAAGTCAAAGAAAAAGAGGAACAATGTAAAATTCTACTTACTAAAGATGATGCATTATTTCTAAAAGAATGATAGTGGATATCAAATTGCTAGAGCTTGAATCTTTTCCATACATAAACGCAAGTGATTTAGTTTTACTTATACAATGACAGAAAATTGTATCATTTGTAACTATTTAAATTTATAATAAAAAAATCTTAAATGTCAACTTAAAATGTACAAAAATACAGGCTTCCAAGATTATTTTAGGAAATACAAGAAAAAAATCTGAAGGCCACTCTCGTAGGTAGTCCTCTGTGAAACATTGGTAAATCATAGTAAATCCATTTCCATTATAGAAAAAATTCTCAATAAACGTGTCTACTAATTTTTTTTTTTTGAGACAGAGTCTCTCTCTTGTTGCTCAGGCTGGCATGTGCCCAGGTGGCACGATTTTGGCTCACTGCAACCTCCGCTTCCCGGGTTCAGGCGATTCTCCTGCCTCAGCCTCCTGAGTAGCTGGGATTACAGGCCTGCACCATCACGTCTGGCTGATTTTTGTATTTTTAGTAGAGACGGGGTTTCACCATATTGGCCAGGCTGATCTTGAACTCCTGACCTCAAGTGATCTGCCTGCCTCAGCCTCCCAAAGTGATGGGATTACAGATGTGAGCCACTGTGCCTGGCTTGCTATTTATTTATTTATTTATTTATTTATTTATTTATTTAGAGACAAGAGTCTGTTCTGTTGCCCAGGCTGGAGTGCAGTGGCGCAATCTCGGCTCACTGCAACCTCTGCTTCCCGGGTTTAAGCGATTCTCCTGCCTCAGCCTCCCAAGTAGCTGGGATTACAGGCATGCGCCTTCATGCCCAGCTAATTTTTGTATTTTCAGTAGAGACATGGTTTCCCTGTGTTGGCCAGGTTAGTCTCGAACTCCTGACCTCAGGTGATCTGCCAGCCTCAACCTCCCAAAGTGCTGGGATTACAGGTGTGAACCACTGTACCTGACCTGTCTGCTAATTTTTAACCCAGTATTATCATTTTCACACATAAAGGAAAGCACATTATCATTGTTCTTAAAAAATAAAATCAATGATTTTGGCTGGGCGTGGTGGCTCACACCTGTAATCCCAGCACTTTGGGAGGCTGCAACGGGAGGATTCATTGAACCCAGGAGTTTGAGAGCAACCTGGACAACATAGAGAGATCCTGTCTCTGTAAAAAACAAGATAAAATTTTTAGAAAAATCAATAGGACAGACACAGTGGCTCATGCCTATAATCCCAGCACTTTGGGAGGCCGAAGCAAGTGGATCTCTTGAGGTCAGGAGTTCGAGACCAGCCTGGCCAACATGGTGAAACCCCATCTCTACTAAAAATACAAAAAAAATTAGCTGGGCATAGTGGTGTGCACCTGTGATCCCAGCTCCTCGGGAGGCTGAGGCAGCAGAATCACTTGAACGCAGGAGGCAGAGGTTGCAGTGAGCCAAGATGGTGCCACTGCACTCCAGCCTGGGCAATAGAGTGAGACTCCATCTAAGAAAAAAAAAAAAAATTAATGACTTTGAAGTCATGACAGATCAGAGATTTTTGCTCCCACTCCTGAATTTCAAATCTTTTCTTACACAATTTCCCCAGGCCCCCAGGTACCAGATAGCTGCCTACTAAGGCTCCTGCTTGAAGGCCTTCATTGCTTCTAACTGCTTATAGGAAAAAGTGCTAACAAACTTATGTGACTCACAATACTTGGCATAATCTGAGTCCCACTTATCGCTCCAGATTCAAGTCTCTACCTGCCTATATTTACTCTGTACTTCAGAAATACAGAACTTCTTTCTCATTTTTGAAAGGTACTGCATTTCTCAACTCTGGGCCATCACATGGCATTTTCCCTCTATTTGGAATTCTCACTCCCACCTCCTACCTCACAGCTAGGTGTCATTTTTATATATTTTCAAATCTTAATTTAGATATTACTTGAAGCTTTATCTGACACACACACCCCCCGTCACTATCATCATTAAGGCTGGAATAAATGCTCCTTCTTTGTGTTTCTGGTGAATAGCATCCTTCTCCATCATGCCTGTATTTCAATCATGTCCTTCCTTGTCTGTATCTTCCAATAGACTGTGGGTTCCAAGACAGTAGAAATAGTGTCTATTACTCACCATCATATTCTTAGTCACCATCATATTCTACTTAATCACCATCATATTCTTAAGTTCTACCATAATATACAGTAGGTGTTTAATGAATATTAGGAGAATTAATGAATGGATTGATTTTAATTATCAAAGTATTTCCATGAAATACTTTTATGGAAAGTAAATGGCTACTCTAAACAATCTTAAGGATGAAAATGAATTTATTGGAAGGGTATTATCAAGGGCTAACAAACTGACAGGAATCTATAATACTAGGCTTGAAAAATGGATAGAGACCCAGGTGGTTCCAGACAGCCAAGAAGCTACAAGACTTTAGCAATAGCCTGGGAAGGACACAGCCACCTTCATTGTAGGACACTTTTAGGATTAATCCTCAGTGCCCTTGGAGATAATCTCCCTACTGCTGTGAATTAAATGTCATCTCTCCTTTGTCTTTGTGTTACTTGGTCAAGAATCAACGTTCTGGAAAAACGATCATTGGCTAAGCCTAGATCACATGCCCGTGCACAGGCTGCTGGAGGTGGGGAGCCTCAGGATATGTCCTCTAATGCCTCCAGAGTGGGAACAAGGGGATTATCAAGACAGTGGGGAATTCTCTTACATAGGAAGGAAGGGTTGGACTTAGTGCAGCTAAGAAGGTACAGCTGTTAGTTACAGCTGTCTAGAACTAAAGCAAAATATGTGTCCCCACACAGAAGCAGTTTGTTTTGGTGCCATGTGTATATATGCAGGGCTTCTAGAATGGCTCAAAAAGTAGTAAAAAACACAGTGTAATGGTTTTGGAGATGCTTTTTCTTTTTTTTTTTTTTTTTTGAGATGGAGTCTTGCTCTGTTGCCCAGGCTGGAGTGCAGTGGCACAATCTCGGCTCACTGCAAGCTCTGCCTCCTGGGTTCACACCATTCTCCTGCCTCAGCCTCCCGAGTAGCTGGGACTGCAGATGCCCGCCACCACGCCCAGCTAATTTTTTGTATTTTTAGTAGAGACGGGGTTTCACCGTGTTAGCCAGGATGGTATCAATCTCCTGACCTTGTGATCCGCCCACCTCGGCCTCCCAAAGTGCTGGGATTACAGGCGTGAGCCACCGCGCCCGGCCCAGAGATGCTCTTAACGAAGCATAATTTTCATTCTGTCATCAAAAGGAACACTCAGTAATTCAGATATAGTGATAAATGTCTATATTTAACTTAATGAAGTGTTCAGTTAAAGATAGAGAAATTACAAAATAGACTTTAAAGTATTAACTGAAAAGAGGCTAAGATACTTTGGGTTGCATTATGGAAAAGTTATTTAGTGCTCCAATCTCAATTATAGCACACCATTTCATCTTTGTGTGGAAATGGCCAAGAGCCTAGAAACTCAAGGGACTTTGAGAATCACTCAACAAATGTTTAAATGTTTGTATTAATTTTGAGGAAACTTTCTTGTAATCAATATTTGATGAGAATCTAATAAGAATTCAGGCTTCTAAAAACAAGATTAAGGGTTTTTCTCAGGTATGGAAGAAATGAACCATATAAGAAAAAAAAATACCCAGTGTAAACCTGAAGAACCAGGAATGAAAAAGAAGTATTTATCCACATAAAACCTTGAATGTAAATGTTTATAGCAGCTTTATTCATAAGTGCCGACATTTGGAAGCAACCAAGATGTCCTTCAGAAAAGTGATAAACTGTGGCACATCCATGCAGTGAAATATTATTCAGTGATAAAAAGAATTGAGTTATCAAGCCACAAAAAGATATGGAGGGCAGGGCACTGTGGCTCACGCCTATAATCTCAGCACTTTGGGAGGATGAGGCGGGCGGATCACTTGAGGTCAGGAGGTCAAGATCAGCCTGGCTAACATGGTGAAACCCTGTCTCTACTAAAAACACAGGAGAAAAAAAGAAGATGGAGGAACCTCATGTGCATATTGCTAAGTAAAAGAAGCCAGTTTGAAAAGTCTACATACTGTGTGATTCCAATGATATGACATTCTGGAAAAGGCAAAACCATGGAGGCAGTAAAAAGATCAGAGATTGCAGAGGTTCAGGGAGGAAGGAAGGAAGGATGGATGGGTAGAGAAAGAGATATGTTTAAGGAAGCAAAACTGTTCTATATGATACTATGAAGATGAACACCTGTTACCATACCACTGCCAACACCCATAGAATGTAAGACACAAAGAATGACCCCTAATGTAAACTATGGGCTTTAGTTAGTAACTATGTATCAATATTGGCTCATCAATTGTACCAAATGCAGCACACTCATGCAAGATAGCTATAGGAGAAACTGGGAGTGGGGTAGGGAGGGGACATGGGAATGCAACACTTCCCACTTATTTTTCTTTAAAACTAAAACTGCTTTTAAAAGTCTGTTAATTTAAAATAGAGTATATACAAATGTAATTTTATCTTATTTATTTTATTTTATTTTATTTTTTTGAGACAGACTCTCACTCTGTCACCCAGGCTGGAGTGCAATGGCGCGATCTCGGCTCACTGCAACATCTGCCTCCCAGGTTCAAGCAATTCTCCTGCCTCAGCCTCCTGAGTAGCTGGGATTACAGGCACGCACCACCACACCTGGCTAATTTTTGTATTTTTGGTAGAGATGGGGTTTTGCCATGTTGGCCAGGCTGGTCTCGAACTCCTGACCTCAGGTGATCTGCCTGCCTTGGCCTCCCAAAGTACTGGGATTATAGGTGTGAGCCACTGCGCCCAGCCTACAAATGTAATTTTAAAATACTATAAACTTCTTGGTTATGTTTATAATATATAGTATCTGTGATTGGTATTTTCTTCACAAGCGGCAGATGAAAGACTTGCTGCGGAATAAAAATGAAGTAGATGAATATAGACACACAAGTAAGTATTTACTGACTGTATTTGCCAGCCTCTCAGATAGCCTCCAATGGTCCTTGTCCCCTTTTTGTTGTTCTTTTAAGCCCCTAAAGTCTGAAGCATTTGTTACACTGCAGTAGATAACTGATAACTAATATACTGCTTTTTAGTTAGGATTAAGTCAGTGAATGCATATCAATAAATAAAAACCTTGAGAACAAATTAACAACTTTGGATTTGCAGGAATTTAGAGAGGTTCTGGACTTGGATATTGAAAGTATTACAGAAAGAAAGAGGGAGAAGTGAGGCCGAAACAGAATGGTTTAAAGGTGGACAGGGAACAGACTGACTCTGACCTGAGCCCTGAAGCACAGAATAGTTTGCAGCCAGGGTGGATGGTGGTGAAGGTTGAAAAGGGCAGGTGTCTCAATCATTCAGGCTGCTATGACAAAATGCCATAGACTGGATGGCTTATAAACCACAGAAATGTATTTCTTACAATTCTGGAGCCTGGAAAGTCCAAGATCAAGACACCAGCAGATGCAGTGTCTGGTGAGGGCCTGCATTCATTCATAGACATTGTCTTCTCATTGTGTCTTCACATGGCAAAAGAGGCAAAAGAGGTCTCTGGGGTCTCTTTTATAAGAACATTAATCCCATTCATGAGGGGTCAACTCTCATGACCTAATCACCTCCCAAAAGCCAGACACAACCACACTGGGGATTAGGTTTCAACATATAAATTTCAGAAGGACACAAATACTTAGTCTATACGAGCAGGAGAATTCCTCTCAAAAGAACTGCATAGAGAGAACTAGGGATACCAGGGAAGAGTTGGAATAACAGAGAAAATCTCTCCGTTCTGATATGTGGGAAGCTTCCAGCATAAAAGCCAGTCCTTGACCTGTATTCTCAAGGGATACTTGTCATTGAGAATCTCATCTTTTGTGCACAAATCAGTCTTGATGTTGTCTTCTTTTTTAAAAAAGTCAACTTTATAGATGCATAGTTTATGCATAATATATTGGCAAATATATATAGCATATAATTACCACACAATCAAAGTAAAGAATATTTCATTTACAAAAATAAAAATAAAAAGTTGGCTCCAGCCTCTCTGCCATCAATGCCCACCACCACCACCCTGCCCAGGCAACTAACTGTAGATCTGTTTTCATATTCTAGAGTTTCTTATAAACTGAATCACAGAGTATGTGGTTCCAGTTTCTTTTGCTCAGCATAATGTTTTTCAGATTCCTCGTGTCATAGCTCGTATCAGTTCATTGCTCTTTATTGCTGAGCAGTACCTCACAGTATACAGTGGATATACAGTACCGCAATTTGCTTATCTATTCACCTGTGATTGAACATTTGAGTTTTTTCTAGGTTGGGGCTATCAGTTCACGTCAGCCATGAACATTCGTGTATCACCATTATAGCATCAAACAGAATAATTTCAGTGCCCTAAAAAAATCCCATTTCCCATATTTAACCCTTTTCGTTTTTATTATATCTAATAAAAATACCTTTCCAAACTAAAGACAAAATAAAAACTTTTTCATACAAACAAAAGCTGAGCAAATTTGTCTCCAGAAGACCTGCACTACAAGAAATATAAAGAATATTTTTCAGGCTGAAGGAAATGACTGCAGAAAACCTTAGATTTATACAAAGAAATAATAAACTTCAGAACTGATAAATATACAGGTAATATAAAAGCCTTTTTTTATTTTTTTTTCTCTTTTGAAACGAGTCTCACTCTGTCGCCCAGGCTGGAGTGCAGTGGTGCAACCTGGGCTCACTGCAACCTCCACCTCCCAGGTTCAAGAAATTTTCCTGCCTCAGCCTTCCGGGTAGCTGGGACTACAGGTGCCTGCCACCAGGCCCAGCTAATTTTTGTATTTTTAGTAGAAACAGGGTTTTGCCATGATGGCCAGGCTGGTCTCGAGCTCCTGACCTCAGGTGATCCACCTGCCTCAGCCTCCCAAAGTCCTGGGATTGCAGGAGTAAGCCACCGCACCCAGCCTATTTCTTTCAATGTAGACAATTTCTACTGCTGTGTCTTCAAGTTCACTGATCTCTTCATTTGCAGTATCTGAACTGTTATTAAGCTCATCCAGTGAAATTTTCTTTCTTTTTTTAAAAATTAATTTATGTACACACAAAAGCCGACCAGTGAAGTTTTCATTTCACATATCGTATTGTTTACCTCTAGAGGTTCCATCTGATTCTTTTAAAAAATCTTTCATTTCATTATTTTTATTATTATTATTAGAGATAGGGCCTCACTCTGGCACCCAGGCTAGAGTGCAGTGGCATGATCATAGCTTACTGCAGTTCAAACTCTTGGGCTCAAGTGATCCTCCTGCCTTAGCCTACTGAGTAGCTAAGACTACAGGCATGTGCCACCATGCCTGGCTGATTTTTAAATTTTTTTTGTAGAGCGGGGTCTGACCCAGGCTATTCTTGGATTCCTGGCCTCAAGCAATCCCCCTGCCTCAGCCTTACAAAGCACTGGGTTTACAGGTGTGAGCCACCACACCCAGTCTCATTATTATTTTTATGTTTTCCTTTAAAACGTTAAACATACTTATAATAGCTATTTTAAAGTCTTTGTTAATTCTATTAATATTATGTTTATCATTTCTGAGTATTTTTCTATTGGCTAATTTTTCCCCTCATTAGGGGTCATATTTTCATCTTGTTAGCAAATTTTCACTAGATGTTGAACATTGTGAATATTATAGTGTGGAGTATTTGGATTTTGTTGTCTTCTTTTAATGAATGTTGAATTTGTTTGGCGGGTAATTTAGTTACTTGGATATCAGCTTGATCATTTCAAGACCTACTTTCAAACTTTGTTAAGGCAAATCTAAAGTAGTTTTAATTCTAAGACATATTTAGCTCTACCACTAAGACATAACAATTGTTGGTTCTGTGCTGAATGCCCAGGTTTTTGTTTTTTGTTTGTTTGTTTTTTTTTGAGACGGAGTCTCACTCTGTCACCCAGGCTAGAATGCAGTGGCACAATCTTGGCTCATTGCAACCTCCACCTCCTGGGTTTAAGGGATTCTTCTGCCTCAGCCTCCTGAGTAGCTGGGATTACAGGCATGCGCCACCATGCCCGGCTAATTTTTGTATTTTTAGTAAAGATGGGGTTTCACCATGTTGGCCAGGCTGGTCTTCGAACTCCTGACCTCAGGTGATCCGCCCGCCTGGGCCTCCTAAAGTGCTAGGATTACAGGCGTGCCACTGTGCCCGGCCTGAAAGCCCAGGTTTTTCTGAAGTTCTTTTCACTCTGGCAAGGAGATCAAACGTCTCTTAGCCCTGTGTGACCTCTAGGACTTGTTTAGCTTAGAGCTCCCAGACTTTGTTCTCCGCTCAGCCTTGTGTCATTTCACCTCACATAGTACACATTAGATTCTGCCAAATAATGAAGGTGATGCAAACTTTTGGATCTCTTTCTCTGCATATCTCCCTCTTTGGAACTCTGCCCCACAAATTCCAGCCACCTCAGCTTCCCCAAGTTGTTTTTTTTTAAATGTCTAGAGCAGGTAAAATATACCATGTTTTTATCTCTACTTCATTAACTCAGTGAGATCTCTCAGTGATGTTTGTGCTTCTTTTCTCTGTGCCATAGCCAGGAATTGCCTTTAGGAAGGAAGCCGCAACAATCAAAAGACACACCTTATTGATTTCCTTTCTTTCAGTGGCTAAAAATAAATGGTTTAGGGCTGGGGGTGGTGGCTCACACCTGTAATCCCAGCACTTTGGGAGGCGGAGGCAGGAGGATCGCTTAAGTTCAGGAATTTGACACCAGCCTGGGCAACAAAGTGAGATTCTGTCTCTACCAAAATAAAATAAATAAATAAATAAATAAATAAATAAAAATAAATTAGCTGGGTGTGGTGGTCTGTGCCTGTAGTCCCAACTACTCAGAAAGCTGAGGCAGGAGGATCCCCTGAGCCTAGGAGTTCAAGGTTGCAGTGAGCTATGATCACCCTACTGCACTCCAGCCTGGGTGACAGAGTGAGACCTTGTCTAAAAAGACAAAGAAAGAAAGAAACCCAGGCGTGGTGGGTCACACCTGTAATCCTAACACTTTGGGAGGCTGAGGCAGGTGGATCACTTGAGGCCAAGAGTTTGAGACCAGCCTGGCCAACATGGTGAAACTCCATCTCTACTAAAAATACAAAAAAAAAAAAAAAAGAAAGAAAAAAATTAGCCAGGTGTGGTGATGTGTGCCTGTAATCCCAGCTGCTTGGGAGGCTGAGACATGAGAATCGCTTGAACCTGGGAGGTGGAGGTTGCAGCAAGCTGAGATCGCACCACTGCTCTCCAGCCTGGGTGACAGAGCAATACTCTGTCTCAAAAAAAAAAAAGAAAGAGCTTAAAACACTGATTTCACACATTTTGTTTTCTGTATTCTATGGCAGCACAGTAAGCTCCATACTGACACCACTCCATAAGTGGAAGCAGAATTCTACTGACTCAGTCTTAAATATGAATGGATAACCCAGGATCAGCAGACATTTGAGGATGGTAGAACACAAGAGTTACTTAAATTTTCACAACACAGTCCAGGAGCGGTGGCTCAGATCTGTAATCCCAGCACTTTGGGAGGCTGAGGCAGGTGGATCACCTGAGGTCAGGAGTTCAAGACCAGCCTGACCAATATGGTGAAACCCCGTCTCTACTAAAAATACAAAAATTAGCTGGGCGTGGTGGCACACACCTGTAGTCCCAGCTACTCAGGAGGCTGAGGAAGAAGAATGGCTTGAACCCGGGAGGCAGAGGTTGCAGTGAGCCAAGATCATGACACTGCACTCCAGCCTGAGTGACAGAGCGAGACTCCTTCTCAAAAAAAAAAAAAAAAAAAATTTCACAACACAATATAGATGTTATAACATTGAACACACATAGATGTATCAGTTTGCTAGGGCTGCTAAAACAAAGTAACATAAAAGGGCCTTAAACAACAGAAATTTTTTGTGTCATAGTTCTGGAGGCTAGAAGACTGAGACAAAGATGCCATCAGGGTTGGTTCTGTCTGAAGACTGTGAGGGAGAATCTGTTCATGCCTCTCTCTCAAGTTCAATGCAATCTTTGGCATTCCTTGACTCCTGCTGCTTCAGTCTTTGCCTTCATCTTTACATGTCTTTCTCTCTTGTGTACGATTGTCTCCGAATCTCCCCCTTTTTAAGGATGTCATTCATGTTGCATTAGGGGCTCATTTTAACTACATCTACAAGGACCTTATTTCCAAATAAGGCCAGATTCTGAAGTAGCGGGAGTTAGAACATCAACATATGAATTCTGAGGGGACACAATTCAACCCACAACAATAATTAGAGGTGTTGCTAACAAAATTTGTGAGATGGAAAGGAAATAGAAAATTTGTGAGAAGAGATAGAGGAAAAAGTGGGAAAATCTAATGTCCTGGTCTTACAAAAACAGGAAGAGAGTCATGAAATATTGACAAAAGTCTAAATAGGAGGCCAGGCGTCATGGCTCACGCCTGTAATCCCAGCACTTTAGGAGGCTGAGGTGGGTGGATCACTTGAAGTCTGGAGTTCAAGACCAGCCTGACCAACATGGTGAAACCCTGTCTCTACTAAAAATACAAAAATTAGCTGGACGTGGTGGTGCACGCTTGTAATCCCAGCTACTCAGGAGGCTGAGGCAGGAGAATTGCTTGAACCCCGGAGGCGGAGGTTGCAGTGAGCCAAGATCACGCCATTGTACTCCAGCCTGGGCGACAAGAATGAAACTCCATCTCAAAAAAAAAAAAAAAAAAGAAAGAAAGAAAGAAATAGGAGTTTTGGTATATTATTTAATGTTATAACGGTAACCAATTAGCATGGTAAACAAATTGAAATGCTTATAGGAGCAAAGCAAGTAATATAAATAAGAAACAGGGCTCAAGCATGGGTGTGTGTGTTTACCTCTTGGGTGTGTTGAGAACTTTGGCATACCAGCTGGCACCTGCCACATCTGGAGAGTACAGCCACTTGATCATTAATTTTAATGGGATTAATTTTTGGGATAAGGGCTATATTTTTCATGTACTGGTTATCCCCCCACAAATTTCATGTCCAACTGGGACCTCATAAGGTTATCTCATTTGGAAATAAGGTCTTTGCTCATGTAATTCGTTAAAATGAAGTCATACTGGATTAGGATGTACCCTAACTTCAAAGGCTAATGTCCTGACAAGAAGGGGAGATTTGGAAACACACACACACACACACACACACACACACACACACACATGAGAAAGCCAAGAGAAGACAGAGACAGAAATTTGAGTAATAACAACTACAAGCCAACAAATGCCACGGATTGCTTGCAAAAGCTAAGAAGAAGCAAGAAAACATCTTTCTAAGGGAGCACAGCTCTGCCAACATTTTGATTCTGGACTTCTATCCTCCAAAACTGTGAGAGAATATATTTCTACTATTTTAAGTTATCCAGCTTGTGGTACTTTGTTATAGCAATGCTAGGAAACTCATATGTGCTACAACTGACTTTTTGTGAAAAGTTAAACATTTTCTTTCTTTTTTTTTTTTTTTTGAGACAAGGTCTCGCTCTATTGCCCAGGCTAGAGTGCAGTGGCGCAATCACAGCTCACTGAAGCCTGGACCTCCTGGGCTCAAGTAATCCCCCCGCTTCAGCCTCCTATGAGTAGCTGGGCCCACAGGCACACACCACCACCTCTAGCTAATGTTTCCTATTTTTTTTTTTTTTGTAGAGATGGGTTCCCACTATGTTGCCTAGGCTGGTCTTGAATTCTTGGGCTCAAGTGATCCTCCTGCCTCAGCCTCCCAAAGTGCTGGGATTATAGGTGTTAGCCACCACGCTGGGCCAACATTTGGATTAAAAAAATAATAAATCTAATAATTTTTCAATGTTGGCTTTAAAAAAAATTACTACAATCCAAACCAAATATACCTACAGTCAAGTCTAGCCTGCAGACCATCTGTTTGCAACCTCTGCGGTAGAGAAAGTACTAATAAATACTGAATTGGCTATGACTAACAGAATTGAGAAGAGAGGTAAGTGAGCTGAGGTGTGGTATAAGTGTGCTGAATTTTCTTTTTTCTTTTTTTTTTTTTTTGAGATGGAGTCTTTCTCTGTTGCCCCAGCTGGAGTGCAGTGGCGCCATCTCGGCTCACTGCAAGCTCCGCCTCCCGGGTTCACGCCATTCTCCTGCCTCAGCCTCCTGAGTAGCTGGGACTACAGGTGCCCGCCACCACGCCTGGCTAATTTTTTGTATTTTTAGTAGAGACGGGGTTTCACCATGTTAGCCAGGATGGTCTCAATCTCCTGACCTCGTGATCCACCCGCCTCCGCCTCCCAAAGTGCTGGGATTACAGGCGTGAGCCATCGTGCCCGGCAAGTGTGCTGAATTTTCAACTCATAGCAGGAAGTAAAAAGATGTCTAAACTTGATTAATTAAGAAATAGCAACAAAATGATTCAAAGTAGTTGCTTCTGGAAAATGGCGTAAGGGGTGGGGCAGGTGACTGTTGCTTTCCATTATGAGTTATTTTTTATTCCTTGAGCTTGAAAGACAGGTAGGTATTATTAGGCATGCCAGGAACTTACTCTGAAAGTAAGGATAACTGCATTTTTTGCCAGCAATAACAGAAGAGGCCAATAGCTGGAAAAATTTGGAAGAGTTCAAAAGACATTATCTCTCCCTGAAGGAAAATAGGTCTTAGCAGATTTGGAAGAACCGACAAAATGCACTTTTATGTCCCTCAGAATTTATCTTTATGAAGGTCATGAGAGTCTTTAATTTTTTTTTTTTTTTTTTTTTTTTTGAGACAGAGTTTCACTCTTGTTGCCCAGGCTGGAGTGCAAAGGCGCCATCTCAGCTCACTGCAACCTCTACCTCCCGGGTTGAAGTGATTCTCCTGCCTCAGCCTCCTGAGTAGCTGGGATTACAGGCATGCGCCACCACACTTGGCTAATTTTGTATTTTTAGTAGAGATGGGGTTTCTCCATGTTGGTCAGGCTGGTCTCAAACCCCCAACCTCAGGTGATCAGCCTGCCTCGGCCTCCCAAAGTGCTGGGTTTACAGGTGTGAGCCACTGCACCCAGCCACAGAGTCTTTAATCTTCAGTATGCTTTAAACTGTGGAAATGAAACAATTGAGTAAGGTAATCTGTTAAGTTTTACAATATGGAGGAACCAAAAAATTAAGAATCCATTCAGGTCATGTCATTTTGAAATCATCTATGAGAAAACTCATAAGTGCCACCCATATTTCATGGAGCTATTTTGTGCTTTTCATAAAGGAAGTATAGATTCTTTAATTATACAATTGTTCATGACATATGGCATGACTAATTATTTCAAATGATAAATCCAAAGGAATCAGCCCATAGAGATTGCACAAGGGGAAAATCATCTCTGGAACAACACCCAGATTATCTAGAAATTCTTGTTTTTATAAAAACCTACCACCACAGTAGCAGTATATAGTTACATGATGTTTGCAAGTTGAATTGATATAGTTAAGTAGTATAATTACTAAAGATCTCTACTAAAGATGTTTCTGAGAGCAATATTAAGAAATTAAAATTAGATTAAACTTTAGAAATAGGTTTATTATATGTCACTTTCTTCCCTTTATGACACTTATGAAAACTAGACAAATAGCCAGATTATATTCCTCAATCTGTTCTCCACACTAGTCCTGAGGGACCTTGCTCAAAGGCAAATCTGCTTAAGGCCTTCCCCTAATAAATCCTTTACTGGATCCCCATTGTCTTCAATACAGGGTTGTCATTTGTTTTTCCTAGAGATGTAATCTCACTATGTTGCTCAGGCTGATTTGGAACTCCTGCTGCTCTTTTTTTATTATTATTATTTTTTTTGAGACGGACTTTTCACTCTTGTTTCCCAGGCGGGAGTGCAGTGGTATGATCTCGGCTCACTGCAACCTCTGCCTCTTGGGTTCAAGTGATTCTCCTGCCTCAGCTTCCCAAGTAGCTGCGATTTCAGGCACCATCACGCCCAGCTAATCTTTTTTTTTTTTTTTTTTTTTTTTGTATTTTTAGTAGAGACGGGGTTTCACCATCTTAACCAGGCTGGTCTCAAACTCCTGACCTCAGGTGATCCACCCGCCTCAGCCTCCCAAAGTGCTGGGATTACAGGCATGAGCCACCACACCCAGCCTTGGTCTTGAACTCCTAAACTCAAGTAATCCTCTCGCCTTGGCCTCCCAGAGTGCTGGGCTGGGATTCCAGGGATGGAATCCCATGCCCAGCTGCATTAAGTCTTTCTGGATCTGATCTCAGATCACTTTGTGGCCTCTTTTCTCAACTCTCTAATCAACACAAATGTGGTGCTTGCTTGTCCTTGAACCTGAGCTCCTGGGTGTGTTGTTCCTTCCTTTTCCAGTCCTCTTTCCCATGGCCAACTTCTACTTATCCATGAAAACTCAGCTTAGGTCTCCTCTCTCCAGGAAGGGACGCCGTTCACCCTTTCAAGGCTGAGTTGTATATCACCTTGGGTATTTCCACAGCACCTTCTTGGATAACTCATCATAGTTTGGCTTCTTCACCTATTATCATCTGGCACTAATGTCACTAGAGGATTTATAACTTTATGACCATAAAAGTTGCATTTTCTTACTGAGAAAGTTTCTTCTCTGTTTCTTTTTTTTTTTTTTTTTTTGAGATGGAGTCTTGCTCTGTTGCCCAGCTTGGAGTGCAATGGCGCGATCTCGGCTCACTGCAACCTCTGCCTCCCGGGTTCAAACGATTCTCCTGCCTCAGGCTGCCGAGTAGCTGGGATTACAAGTGCCACCATGCCCGGCTGATTTTTGTATTTTTAGTAGAGATGGGGTTTCACCATTTTGGTCAGGCTAGTCTTGAACTCCTGATCTCTGGTGATCCAACCTCCTCGGCCTCCAAAAGTGCTGGGATTACTGGTGTGAGCCACCATGCCCGGCCTTATTTCTTTTTTCTTTTTTTTTTTTTTTGAGACAGGGTCTCACTGTCATCCAGGCTGGAGTACAGTGGTATGATCACAGCTCACTGCAACCTCTATCTCCTGGGCTCAAGGGATCCTCCCACCTCAGCCTCCTGAGTAGCTGGGACTACAAGCATGCCACCACCATGCCTGACTAGTTTTGGTATTTTTTGTAAAGATGGGGTTTTGCCATATTGGCCAGGTTGATCTCAAGCTCCTGGTTTCAAGCTATCCTCTCGCCTTGGCCTCCCAAAGTGCTGGGATTACAAGTGTGAGCCACTGCGCCTTCTTTTGTTTCTAAATAATGACTTTAGTTCTCAGCTCATTTATAAAATAGGCAAATCCCAAGCCTGATGAATAATCAAGTTCTTCCTACCCTTAGATCCCTTTACAATTCAATTGCCCTCTTCCCCACTTCCCACAGGGGGTGTCCTAGACCTTAACACCAGAACTACACAAAACAAAACAAAAAAGAACAAAGTTCTACCAAGGAAAGAGGATTGTTTTCTCATAGAACACTGTACTCATAATCAACTCTCCTAACTTTTCTTTTGAACAACTTGAATATAAGTTTCCCAAAAACATGAATTATTTTCCCATTGCTCAGCATGTTGTGTAAAGTAGTAGGCATTCACAGACTATTTCTTCATGCTCATGATTTTTAAAAAGACTTGATTTCCAAGTTCGTCTCTGTACATACCAGCAGAAACTTATTGCAAGAGCTTTTTTTGTGAAAAATTTTAATTGAGAATGAGAGGATTTATGAAAGTTTAACAGTATGCCCCATTTTACAAGAAAATTATAAAAGAAATGATAAGAATCTATCAATTGAGACAGATAAAAACCAGAAATGCTGTGAAATTTTTTTTCCTGATAAGTTTTTGTATTTCTCTGAAAAAAATCTAGATTTATAAAGGTCGTTGATTTAAATGAAATCCTTCACAAATGAAAGAAAATTCAAACTGACCAGAAAAAGGAGACTGACCTAAATCTGAGAAAAATGTTTTGGGTACCAAGTCACTCACCTTCTTTTAAAATATTTTTCAAAATATGGACTATTTTCTGCTCCTTTCCCTTTTCCTTAAAAAAAATTATAATATCACCAGTAAAGCTTAACTGCCATTTTTGCATATTTTTAAAATCCGATAATCCTATGAATAGCTACAGTACACTGAGAATTCGGCTGAAAACATTCACAGGCAATAACTCATTTACTTTTCAAAACACCCCTGTGAGGTAGGTATCATTATTATCATTCCTATTTCACAGATGTGGAAATAAAATTTAAGGAAATTATTCACTTTTCTCAACATCATACAACTAGCAAGGAATAGAAACTTAAGCAGTATTTGTAAATGCTTGAGAATGGAGATGGGATGAAATGGGAAAAATAGTCTAAAGAACACACAATTGTTTTGAGACATTTTTTTCACAGCTGTTTGGGAAAGGACAGCTGGGTTAACGCCTCATGAGATAATGTAAAGTCAAAGCATGTATGTTTTCATTCCCTAGCCATTACTTCAGAAAGCCCAGGACAATTTTTCTTTTTTTAATCAAGCCCCCCCTGCCCCCACTTTGTTTGGGGTAGAGACAGAGAGGTCTAACTATATTGTCCAGGATCTTGCTATATTGCCCAAGCTGGTCTCAAACTCCTGGCCTCAAGCAACCTCCCACCCTGGCCTCCCAAAGTGCTGGGATTACAGGTATGAACAACCACACTGGGCCAGATCAAGACTTTTCATTATCAACATTGATGACAAAGATTTGTTGAGTCCTACTGTGTGTATGGAGGGGACTACTCTGGGCACAAAAACATAAAAACATAAAGCAGACTTGTTTCCTTTCTGACAGCACAGTTTTTATCTCTTTGGGGGGAAGGTTTATGTATCTAGAGACAGGGTCTCTCTCTGTTGCCCAGACTGGAGTGCAGTGGTGCAATCACAGTTCACTGCAGCCTTGACCTCTCAGGCTCGAGCAATCTTTCCACTCAACCTCCCCAGTATCTGGGGTCACAGGTGTATACCACCACACCCGACTAATTTTTTGGTTTTTTAGAGACTGCTTCTGCCTACGTTGCCCAGGTTGGTCTTGAATCCTGAGCTCAAGTGATCCTCCTGCCTCAGCCTCCCAAAGTGCTGGGATTACAGGCATAAGCCCTTGTGCCCAACCTGCAAAGTTTATTTGAAATGTGTTTCTATAGCATACCATCATCACAGGGTATATTATATTTTAGATTCTTCTTCCCTAAAACAAAAACATGTCCTTGCCTGACAAAGAAACAATTAAAAGAAAAATGTCCTTAGAGACAATTCATATAAGTGTTTACATCAGTAGTAGACCACCAGTTAACTCCCCATGAAAGAAAACAATATTGATGATCATTGTACCTTTTGGCCCTGCCCCACGGTCTGAGTTAAGGTGAAGGGAGTCATACTGTAAAGGCAGCACTCCTTCCATTCAGTGGGTCCAATTAAAAAAGAAAAAAAAAGACAGCACTCCCATTTGTCCTCTTGCATGATGAGGAGGCTCCGGACGTCCAGGACACCTGACTCAATCTAACATTTGGGTGACCTTTTCTTCCCTTCCAGCATTGGTTTCTCAGTGTAACGACTCCATTTGCAGGTGCCAGTTTGTTTCCACAGCCTGAAGTTCATAAAGTTCACAGGACAAGTCTTCAGTCATGAGCTGGCTCATCATTACACTGTGCTTTTGGGAATGGAGGCTTCTTCAAGAGCCCTGCCTACCTCTAGCACATTAGCGTCACTCCCATATCGTCTTACTCAGAGAGTTGAAGGCTGGCAAGTAATAACCCTATTTTTAAAAGACTTTTGAAATCTCTCTGTATTTGCATAAAGTGCAAACATTTAACAGTTCACAGCTCATTGTAATTATTGAGTTCTACTCAGAGGAGTGTGGAGGGTCTTTGCTTTTAATCCCTTCATTCCATTGTCATTTCCTTGCAACACTCAGATCTGAAAGAGGCTTGCTGTGCATGGGAGCTACGTGGCTCAGGCTCTGACAGTCTGAAGGGCAGCTGGATCCAAGGGATTAGAGGTTATGATAGCTGAGCCTGTTACTTGGCGGGACGAAGACACAAGAAGTAACTCTTGACAAGTCAGAGCAAGTGTGATCTCAACGATAGCAGCTCTCCTGTTGCACTTTCCTAACAAATGAGATTGGGGCCCCTAAACATTTTTTGGAAGAATAAGTCTTCTGTTTTATGTTTTAACCAGTCACTGCAATTCAACAGAAATAAATGAATTCAAATCAAAGATGTTTTTGGGTACTTCAAAAAATATACTTGTAAACCGCTTTCAAAGTACTTCTTTTTTTTTAATTTAGAAACACAAGCTGGTCACTTTTTTTATAATCCCAGCACTTTGGGAGGCTGAGGTGGGAGGATCGCTTGAGCCCAGGAGTTTGAGACCAGCCTGGGCAACATAAGGAGATCTTGTCTCTACAGAAATTTTTTTAAAATTAGCCAGGCGTGGTGGCACATGCCTGTTCTAGCTACTCAGAAGGCTGAGGTTGGAGGATCGCTTGAGCCCAGGAATTTGAGGCTGCGGTGAAGTATGATTGCATCAGCACACCCCAGCCTGGGCAACAGAGTGAGGCTTTGTCTCTAATCTTTTATTTTTATTTTTAGAAGTGGAGTCTTGTTTTGTCGCCCAGGCCGGTGTGATCATAGCACACCATAACCTCGAACTCTTGAGCTCAAGCGATCATCCTGCTTCAACCTCCCAAGTGGCTGAGACTACGGGTACATGCCATCATCAAAGTACATTTTACTTTATAAAATAAATTAAGAAATTTTAGAATTGCACGTTGGTGGACACACATTTTATCCTTTATAATAGCTGCAGCCAAGTATAATTTTTTTTTGAGACAGGATCTCTCTGTTACCCAGGCTGGAGGGCAGTGGTACAATCTCAGCTCACTGCAACCTCTGCCCCCAGACTCAAGCCATTTTCTCACTTCAGCCTCCCAAGTAGCTGGGACTACAGGCACATGCCACTATGCCCAGCTAATTTTTTGTATTTTTGCAGAGACAAGATTTCCCCATGTTGCCCAGGCTGGTCTCAAACCTCTGACCTCAAAGGATCCACCCACCTCGGCCGTAAACCACTGTGTACAGCCCCAAGTGTAATTTTTTTTTCTTTTTTTTTTTTTTGAGACAGAGTTTCACTCTTGTTGTCCAGGCTGGAGTGCAATGGCGTGATCTTGGCTCACTGCAACCTCCGCCTACCAGGTTCAAGCGATTCTCCTGCCTCAGCCTCCTGAGTAGCTGGGATTACAGGCATGTGCCACCATGCCTGGCTAACTTTATATTTTTAGTAGAGATGGGGTTTTACCTTGTTGGCCAGGCTGGTCTCAAACTCCCGACTTCAGGTGATCCCCCTGCCTCGGCCTCCCAAAGTGCTGGGATTATAGGCATGAACCACTGTGCCCGGCCCCCAAGTATAATTTTTAACTCTCTTTTATGCCTCACTATGTGTCTCTTAAGTTCTGAAATTCAGTCCACTGATGAAAGCTCAAGGGGAAGTGTGGTATGGTGGAAGGAGTAAAAGGCTAAGAGTCAGATGAAGCTCTGGCTCTGCCATTTGTAAGTCATATTCATTTAATCTCTCTTTGGTTCGGTTTCCACAGCTGTGAAATGGCAAGAATGATAGCTGCCTCGCTTATTTTTACAAAGTTCTTGTAAAAATACTGGATAACATAAATGAATAATCTGAGCCAGTATATGAAGTAGGTACTAATATTACCCATTTTACAGAAGAGGTAACTAAAGGTTGAAGGGCTTAAGTGACTTGCTCAACATCACTCACAATATACCTGACTGAGTTTGTGCCCCATCCAGACTCACTTGGCCCCACTCTGCCCTACCCTTGGACCTTGGCCTCTTGCTCGGTGGAGCTCGTCTGGTCTCCTAACACCACAGCTGACCCACAGTTGACTCACACTCCCCTGGGGTGAGTGCCTGGCTTTGGCCTGACCTCCCTGATGCCCATGGCAGCACTGGGTTTGTTTCTCTTTCTTCCTTTTTTCCATTACTCTTTGCTTCCCTGGGATTACACCTCCCAATAAAGCAGCTGACATGCTCATACTCTAGTCCTGTGCTCTCCAATTCAGTAGCCACTAGCCATGTGTGGCTATTTAAATGTATTTGTTGTTTGTTTGTTTGTTTTGAGACAGAGTCTTGCTATGTTGCCCAGCCTGGAATGCAGTGGTACGATCTTGGCTTACTACAACCTCCACCTCCTGGGTTCAAGCAATCCTCCCACCTCAGCCTCCTGAGTAACTGGGACCACCACACTTGGCTAATTTTTATATTTTTTTTTGGTAGAGACAGGGTTTCACCATGTTGCCCAGGCTAGTCTCAAACTCCTGACCTCAAGCGATCCCCCTGCCTCAGTCTCCCAAAGTGCTGGGATTACAGGTGTGAGCCACCGCACCTGGACTTTAAATTTAAATTAACTAAAATTACATAAAATTAAAAATTTCATTTCTCACTCATGCTAGCCACATTTCAAATGATCAGTAGCTCCATGCAGCTAGTAACTACTGTATTTGATAGCACAGATAAAGAATATTTCCATCATTATAGAAAGTTGTATTGGCCAGGGCTGCTCAAAACCTTACCATAACCAATAACTTTTATTTTCATCAATTCCATTCTCGATGGGCACCTTCTGTCTTTCCAGTTTACTCTAGTATCCCCACTTAGATACCTTCCTTTCCACCTAGAGCTGTAGGATCCTGTGTCTTTCTCATCACTTTCTTGCCACATCCTCACCACCCCCCTTATCCAGCTTAATTTTCCCATCTTTCAATTTCTTCTTTGTTCTCTGTTCTTCCTTGATTACATTCATCTGCTGTGCAGGACATCATCTATTTGCCCCTCCAGATCCACTCTCCACCCTACTCTATGCCCTCGGAGGGTGACAGATGGTCTACAATCATTGGTGAACTTTTTTCTCTCTGGTTTCTGTTTGAGTTCAGTCCATGGCAAACCCAGAAGGAGACCAGAGAGAGGGGGGAAAGTGAGATTGAGATATTTATTCCTCCAATGTCCTCTCTAAGAAGTCATCATGGGCTAGCTTTGTCCCTTATTGGAGGGACTCAGCTCCTGAAAGAACTTTAACTATTCTCTATTTGAAAACCAAAACCAAAAAATACCCTCCTAGATTATTACTGGGCTCTGACAGACACCTATGACCCAGACTGGCCATCCTGAACTGGGTATTATATGCTCCACTAAAACCTAAAAATTGCACACAGCAGGTTTCTTTTACTTTCTTTCTTTTTTTTTTTTCTTTCTTTTCTTTTTTGAGACACAGTTTACTCACTCTATTGCTCAGGGTGGAGTACAGTGGTGCAATCTTGGCTCACTGCAACCTCCACCTCCTGGGTTCAAGCGATTCTCATGTCTCAGCCTCCTGAGTAGCTGGGTTTACAGGTGTGCACCACCACACCTGGCTAATTTTTGCATTTTTAGTAGAGACGGGGTTCCACCCTGTTGGCCAGGCTGGTCTCGAACTCCTGGCCTCAAGTGATCGCCTGGCTCAGCCTCCCAAAGTGCTGAGATTACAGGTATGAGCCACTGTGCCCGGCCAACAGCAGGTTTCTTATAAAATGGAAATGTTATGATCTGCTTGGTAAGCAGGTCTGGAAGACACAGCACCCTGCATGAGCAGGCAGCACAGACTCCCATGCTACCACTCCTACTGCTTTGTTGCCTCTTTCTCAATTCACACCAGTCCCTTTTGAGGAGTTTCATACAGCCACTTAATAGAGGAAGAAGAAACACATAGGCCAGTTCTGTTGATGGCTCTGCCTTTAGGCCATCCCCAGCTGGAAGTGTGTGGCTGCTACACCATCTCTCCACTGAAGGGTGGCTTAGAGAGACAACAGTGAAGGGAAATCCCTATGGGCAGAGTGCTAGATGTTGCATCTAGTTGTCCACTACATGTGGAAGAAGCGGTAGCCTGAGGGACAGAACTGTAGTAACACATGGACAGTGACCCAGTTGGTCAGGGACTTAGAAGGATTAATTTTGGAAAACCAGTGGGAAGGAGATCTGGGGAAGATGCATGTGGGTGAAGCTCTTGGAATGAGCACAAAGTGTGAAAATATTCATGTTCCATGTAAATGCCCACCAGAGGGTATCTACTAACAAAGAGGCTCTTAATGATCAGATGGACAAGATGCCTTGGCCTATGAATGTCAGTGAGTTTCTTTCCCCAGCCACTCATGGAGTTTGTGGACCTATGTACAGACAGGAATGAAAGCTGCGCATGGGCTCAACAACATGGGCTTTCCCTCATTAGGGCTACCACCAATGCTGAGTGCCCAATCTTCCAATAGCACAGGACAATTCTAAGCCCTTGACATGGCATCATTTCCTGGGGCAGACCAGAGAGCCAAATAGCGTTAGGTTTAGGGTAGACACATAAACTGAGTGTAGATTTATCTTCCCTATCCTCAGTGCTTCTGCCAGCTCCACCAGTTTTTGGACTCTCAGAATACTTTATCCACCACCCTCATATCCCGTGCAACACTGCCTAAGACGAGGGCATGAATTTTATGGCAAAGGAAGTGGAACAATGAACCCAACATCTGTGAACTTCACTTATCTTACCACAGACCTCACTACACAAAAGTAGTTGGTTTGATAGAACAGTAGAATGAATGCTCTGCTGAAATCCTAATGTCAGCTGGGAGAAAATACCCTGTAAGGGTGGGCTTCTGACCTACAAATTGAGGTATGCTTATAACCCAGTGACCAGCACATGATGTCCTCATTTTCCTAGCCTGAATGCATGAGCCTAGGAACCAAGGTTGGAGATGGCAGTGATCCCTCTCACTATGGCACCATAACCTTGAAGAATTTTTGCTTTTTGTCCCTGTGACATTGGCTTCTGTGTATTTACAGGTCCTAGTGCCCAAGGGAGGAATGCAGAAAATGGGGTTACTGTGTTGACTGGAGTAATCAATCCTGACTACCAGGGAAAAATTGAGTTGCTGCGACCCAGAGAAGACAGACAGCTATGTCTGAAACCCAGAGGATTCACTGCGCTGCCTCTTAGCACTCACTTGGCCAATTGTCTTAGTCAATGAAAAACCATAGTAGCACACAAGAAAAAGGTCACTAAGGACTCAAATCCTGTAGGAATAAAGGTCCGAGTCACCCTGTCAGGTAAAGAACCCCATTTAGCTAAGGTGCTATCAAAGGGTAAGGGAACATGAAATGAGTTGTAGAAGACAGCAGTTGGCCGGGCGCAGTGGCTCACGCCTGTAATCCCAGCACTTCGGGAGGCCGAGGCGGGTGGATCACGAGGTCAGGAGATCGAGACTATCCTGGCTAACACGGTGAAACCCCGTCTCTACTAAAAATACAAAAAAAAAATTAGCCGGGCTCAGTGGCAGGCGCCTGTAGTCCCAGCTACTCAGGAGACTGAGGCAGGAGAATGGCGTGAACCCAGGAGGCAGAGCTTGCAGTGAGCCGAGATCTCACCACTGCACTCCAGCCGGGTGACAGAGCGGGACTCTGTCTCAAAAAAAAAAATGAGCGAAGCTCTGTCTCAAAAAAAAGAAGACAGCAGTTATGGTTATCACCTGCTTAGACTTCATGACCTGTCTCAGAAGCAGGGATGGTAATAGCTATGTGTTACATGCTTTCATTTCATAAGAAACTGTGAAACTGGCCAGACACGGTGACTCATGCCTGTAATACCAGCACTTTGGGAGGCCAAGGCGGGTGGATCACCTGAGATAAGGAGTTTGAGACCAGCCTGGCCAATATGGTGAAACCCCATCTCTACTAAAAATACAAAAAAGTAGCTGGGCATGGTGGCGGGCGCCTGTAATCCCAGCTACTTGGGGGGCTGAGGTAGGAGAATCACTGGAACCCAGGAGGCAGAAGTTGCAGTGAGCTGAGATTGTGCCATTGCACTCCAGCCTAGGCAATAATAGCAAAACTACATCAAAAAGAAAGAAAGAGAGAGAAAGAGAAAGAAAGAAAGAAAGAAAGAAGAAAGAAAGAAAGAAAAAGAAAGAAAGAAAGAAAGAAAGAGAGAGAGAGAGAAAGAAAAGGAAAGAAAGAGAAAGAAAGAGGAAAGGAGGAAAGGAGGGAGGGAGGGAAGGAAGGAAGGAAGGAAGGAAGGAAGGAAGGAAGGAAGGAAGGAAGGAAGGAAGGAAGGAAAGTGTGAAACTGCCTTCCAATGTGGTTGTGTCGTTTTGCATATCAGTTGCAATGTCTCCATTTTCATTTCTAATTGAGCTTATTTAAGTCTTCTCTCTTCTTGGTTAATCTAGCTAATGGACTATCAATTTTGTTTATCTTTTCAAAGAACCAGCTTTTACATTTCATTGATGTTTTGTATTTTTTGGTTTCAATTTCATTTAGTTCTGCTCTGATCTTTGTTATTCTTTTTCTTCTGCTAGTTTTGGATTGGTTTGTTCTTGGTTTTATTTTTCCTTAGGATGGTTTGTTTCTTAATCAGTTTGTTATTGTTTTTCTATTTCCTTGAGGTGTCATGTTAGGTTTTAAGTTTGTGGTCTTTTACTTTGTTTTTTTTGTTTTTGTTTTTGAGACAGAGTCTTGCTCTGTCACCCAGGCTGCAGTGCAGAGGCATGACCTTGGATCACTGCAGGCTCTGCCTCCCAGGTTCAAGCAATTCTCTTGCCTCAGCCTCCTGGGTAGATGGGACTACAGGCATGCACCATTATGCCCAGCTAATTTTTGTATTTTTAGTAGAGATGGGGTTTTGCCATGTTGGCCAGGCTGACCTCAAGTGATTTACCTGCCTTGGCCTCCCAAAGTGCTGGGATCACAAGCATAAGCCACCATACTTGGCCCATCTTTTACATTTATTTATTTATTTACTTTTTTGGAGACGGAGTTTCGCTCTTATTGCCCAGGCTGGAGTGCAATGGTGTGATCTCAGCTCACTGCAACCTCGGCCTCCCGGGTTCAAGCAATTCTCCTGCCTCAGCCTCCTGAGTAGCTGTGATTACAGGCATGTGCCACCATGCCTGGTGAATTTTTTGTTTTTAGTGGAGTCGAGGTTTCACTGTGTTGGTCAGGATGGTCTCAAACTTCTGACCTCAGATGATCCTCTCGCTTTGGCCTCCCAAAGTGCTGGGATTACAGGCGTGAGCCACTGTACCCAGCCTACGTTTTTTAATGTAGGCATTTTGTACTATAAACTTTCCTTTTAGCACTGGTTTTACTGTATCCCAGAGATTTTGATCACTTGTGTCATTGTTATCATTACTTTTTTTTTAAAACAGAGTCTCACTTTGTCACCCTGGCTGGAGTACAGTGGCACAATCTCAGCTCACTGCAACCTCCACCTCCTGGGTTCAAGTAAGTCTCGTGCCTCAGCTGCTCGAGTAGCTGAGACCACAGGCATGCACCGCCATGACTGGTTAATTTTCTGTATTTTTAGTAGAGACAGGGTTTTACCATGTTGGCCAGACTGGTCGCAAACTCCTGGGCTCAAGTGATCTGCCCACCTTGGCCTCCTGAAGTGCTGGGATTACAGGCATGAGCCACCATGCCCAGCTGTTAACAATTTTGAAGAATTTTCAAATTTTCATCTTGAGGCTGGGCATAGTGGTTCACACCTATAATCACAGCACTTTGGAAGGCCAAAGTGGGAGGATCGCTTCAGCCCCAGAGTTTGAGACTAGCCGGGGCAGATAGTGAGACCTTGTCTCTATAAAAAATTAACAGCTTAGCCAAGCATGGTGGTGTGTGCCTGTAGTACCGGCTACTTAGGAGGCTGAGGTGGGAGGATTACCTAAGCCCAGAAGTTTGGGGCTGAAGTGAGCCAAGATTGCGCCACTGCACACCAGCCTGAGTGACAGAGTGAGACCCTATCACAAACAAACAAACAAACAAACAAAATCTTTCATCTTGATTTCATTGTTAACCTAAAAATTATTCAGGAGCAGATAGGTTAATTTCCATGTATTCGTATAGTTTTGAGTGTTCCTTTTGGAATTGATTTCTAGTTGTATTCTGCTATGGTCTGAGAAGTTACTTGATATGATTTCAATTTTTAATAATTTATTGAGACTTGTTTTTTGGCCATATGGTCTGTCTTTGAGAGTGTTTCATGTGGTGATAAGAAGAATGTATATTCTGCAGTTCTTGGCTAGAATGTTCTGTAAATGTCTGTTAGGTCCATTTTTTTCTAGAGGGAAGTTTAAGTTCAGTGTCTCTCTGTTGACTTTCTTCCTCAATGATCTATCTAGTGCTGACAGTGGTGTGTTGAAGTTCTCCACTATTATTGTGTAGCTGTCTATCTCTTCTTACCTCTAGTAGTGATTGTTTTATGAATTGGGAGCTCCAGAGTTAGGAGCATATATATTTAGGTTTAAAGTCTGTCTTATTTAAGAATAGCTACTCCTGCCCACTTTTGGTTTCCATTTGCATGGTATCTCTTTTTCCACCCCTTTATGTTGAGTTGAAAGAATACTTAAATGTTAAGTGAGTCTCTTGAAGATAGATATTTGGTTTGTGACTTTTTATCCATTTTACCAATCTGTATCTTTTAAGTGGAGCATATGGACCATTTACATTCAATGTTAATATTGAGATGTGAGCTATTGTTCTTCTCATTGTGTTACCTACTTTGTTTCTTCCTTGTTATTGCTTTATATGCCCTATGAATTTTATGCTTTCAAAAGTTTTTTTTTTTTTTTTTTGAGATGTAGTCTTACTCTATTGCCCAGGCTGGAGTACACTGGGAGAATCTCAATTGACTGCAACCTCTGCCTCCCAGGTTCAAGCGAATCTCATGCCTCAGCTTCCCAAGTAGCTGAGATTACAGATATGTGCCACCATGCCAGGCTAATTTTTGTATTTTTAGTAGAGATGGGGTTTCACCATGTTGGCCTGACTGGTGTTGAATTCCTGACCTCAGATGATCTGCCCACCTCGGCCTCCCAAAGTGCTAGGATTACAGGTGTGAGCCACCATGCCTGGCCCAAAAGTTTCTATTCCAGGGAGCATTGACCTTTTGTTTCAAAATTTAGAACTCCTTTTACCATTTCTTGTAGTAACAAATTCCCTCAGCATTTGCTTATCTGAGAAAGATGTTACTTCTCCTTCATTTATGTAACTTAGTTTTGCTGGATATATAATTCTTGCCTGATGGTTATTCTGCTTAAAGAGACTAAAGATAGGACCCCAGTCCTTCCTGGCTTAAAAATTTTCTGCTGAGAAGCCTACCATTAGTGTGATAGGTTTTCCTTTATAGGTTACCTGATGCTTTTGTCTCACTGCTCTTACAATTCTTTCCTTCACATTGACTTTAGATAGCCTGATACTATATGCCTTGATGATGTCCTTTTGCAATGATTCTCCCAGGAGTTCTTTGTGCTTTTTGTATCTGGATGTCTAAAGGTCAGGGAAGTTTTCCTCAATTATTCCTTCAAATATATTTTCCAAACTCTGCTTTTTCTTCTCCTCAGGAACACCAATGATTCTTGCGTTTGGATGTTTTAACATAATCTGACTTTTTTTGAGACTTCGTTCATTTTTTCAAGTTAAAAAAACTTAAAAAATTATTTTGTCTGATTGGGCTAATTCAAAAGCCTTTTCTTGAAGCTCTGAAATTCTTTCTTCTACTTGGTCTACTCTATTGTTAAATTTCCATTGCATTTTGTAATTCCCTAGATGTGTCATTTATTTCCAGAAGTTCAGATTAGTTTTTCTTTAAAATGTCTATCTCTTTAGAAAATTTTTCTTTCATATCCTGAATTGTTTTAAAAATGTCTTTATCTTGTTTTTCACCTTTCTCTTGTATCTGCTTGAGTAACCTAATAATCAATCCTTTGAATTCTTTATCTGGTATTTCAAAGATTTCATCTTGGTTTGGATCCATTGCTAGAGAGTTAGTGTGATCTTTTGGTGGTGTTATGGAGCCCTGTTTTTTATATTGCTACAGTTATTTTTCTGGGTCCTTCTCATTTGGGCAGACTATTTCTTATAATTATTTTTTCAATTTATTTTTGATTTAACTGTGTTTTTGCCTTATTTCTTTTTTTTCCCCTCTTGAGAATGTGACTTTAATGTTAACAGTTTATTGCAACCTAATTTGGCTGTATGTGCTTTCAGTGGAGAAGATGCTGTATGAGTTCCTTGGTCACAGAGAGTCTTTGTGTGATGCCTTTCTCAGATGCTAGTTGTAGTAGCAATGTGTTCAGTGTGTGAGTAGGTTCACTGTCTCCTGAAGGGCTGGAATGGCAGAGGTCTCATGAGGCTTATCTTGTTCCCCAGTGGTATGCACTTTATTTATTTATTTACTTTCCCCAGTGTATTATTCATTGAGTTAAGCAGTTCAGGCTTTAGGCCTGTAGGAGATGTCCATGAGTAAAAACCAGCTGTGGCTAAAGCAGGTGGGTAAATGTAATACCTAATGGTGGGCAGAGGTCCCAGTCTTGACAGAGGTGACTGAGGGAGCTCTCAGCAAAACGCACTGAGGTCAGGGGGAAGGGAGGGAGCCACCTCAGCTTCCCTACCACCCCAGCCGGGAAGCAGTTTACCTACTAGTCACACTCCTGGCTCAGTGTTCCAGCTATTTAGGTTAGATACGCCCCTCTGTTCATCTGCAAAAAAATGCTGATGTTCTATGTAGAAGTGGATTGTGACTCTACCCCTCATGCAAGGCTAAACCTGGAGGGCACTCCTCCTGTGGGGATGCAGTCACCCTGAAGAGTTCCAGGACTATCTACAGGTATACCCATGCCGAGGTTCCATGGGAGAAACCTCAGCTACGTGTGCAGTGATGGCTGAGGGGGAGAAGAAGTGTCCTTTTCCAAGACTCTTCATGCACACTAGGGCTGCCTGACTATTGGGGTAGAGCTACAGACTTTCCTCACTGAGCCCAGCACTGCACCTACGCCTCTGCACCTGTGCCCAGCACTGCACCTTCCCACAAGCAGAAAGTTCTGTGACTCAAGGCCTGCAGTCTGAATTATTTTGTCCCATGAGGTGTTCCCTTGTCGTAGTGCACTTCCCCTTTCCATAGGAGTAGAAGTCCCTGAGGGTCGGACTACTGTGAATTTTGGTGCTCTTCCACTCTACGAGGCTGCCACACTCCAGGCTGGTGCTGGGAAGTGTCTGCAAGGGATCTAGTAATATGGCTTGTCATCTAGTCTCCCAGCAGTAAGAACCAGTATCAGCTCTGATGGGGGTGGCAGGGGAGAGATGTAGACTCTGTGAGATTTCCCTGGTTATAAATAGCCTTAATGTGTTGGCTTTCTCAAATTCCAGCTGTAGTAGTAATGTGCTGGCCATGTGGACAGATGCAAGGCCTCCTGGTTAGCAAGAATGATGAAGGCAGTGGTGATACCTAAGGTTGGACAAAAGTTTTCTCCTTCCTGGCTGTTGTCTTATTGTGTCTGCAGATGCTGAAATGGACTGTGTTGGTTGGCCTCCAGCCAGGAGGTGGCACTTGCGAAAGAGTGCAAGCTGCGGTAGTAGTGGTGGGATTTGTGCTTGCCTTATGTTACCCAGGGGAGGTACTCTGGTATCTTAGGCAATGCGTGGGACCATGGAGCTTCCAAAAGTCCCTGTCCTTTGTGTTAAGCTACCAGGGCAGGTGGAGGAGAAAAGCCAGATGGGGGGTTGGGTCAGACAAGTCTGTGCTCTAGCTCTCCATGTGTGGGTGCAAGCAGCAGCCACAGTGGAAATCGGAGTACAGTTCTGGGGCCACTGGGTTAATGTTCCAGGGAGTAGCGCAACTACCTCTGCTGCACAGAAGAATCCACATGGGGACTGAGGGGTTGCAGGCAGCAGTAAGCCCTGCCCAGCTCCCATGCACTTAGCAAGGCAAGTCTCACACCCACTGTGTTCTAGTAGCAGCAGCTACCTGGGTTCAAGACAGCCTGTGCTCAGAACTCAGTACTGCCCCAGGTCATAAGCCTTCCCCACTGGAACAGAAACCTTGGCTTTCTGGTCATGCCTCTCCCAGTCTGCCCTGGTGAAGCAGGGGCACCCAGCTCCTGCACCCATGGCTATGGCAAACTTCCCACTTGTCCCTCAGTTCTGGCCAAAGGGTTTCATCCCTGCTCAAGATTATATCACAGCTGGGTGCAGTGGCTCACCCCTGCAATCCCAGCACTTTGGGAGGCTGAGGCAGGTGGATAACCTGAGGTCAGGAGTTCGAGACCAGCCTGGACAACATGGTGAAACCCCATCTCTAATAAAAATACAAGAATTAGCGGGGCATAGTGGCAGATGCCTGTAATCCCAGCTACTCAGGAGGCTGAGGCAGGAAAATCACTTAAACCCAGGAGGCAGAGGTTTCAAGTGAGCCTAGATCGTGCCACTGCACTCCAGCCTAGGTGACGGAGCGAGACTCCATCACAAAAAAAAAAAAAAGAGATTATATTGCAAATCTCATTTGCGAGCTTCTCTCAACCTGTGAATGCTGCCTGAGATAGCTGGCTGACTTCCATGAGGTCCCCTATGAGCTAGGATCAGGAATGGCTTCCCACCGTCTCCACTGGAGTCTGGGAGTGCACACAAAGCACATCCTAATGCCTCTCCTTCTCACATACTCCCCACAGCTCACTAAATCAGCTCCAGCACTGGGTAGAGTTAAGGCCTTGCCCCAGGGCCTGGATTGCCGGGTTGCCCAGTGGGAGTGAACATCACAGAGGCAGTCTCTCCTTCTCTCACTCTTGGAGATTCAGTTTTCTGCCTGCCTAATGATGTAGGCTGCTGCTCACTGCTTCCTTCACAGGGTAATTGGTTTCTTTCAGTTTTCCTTGTTAAGTTTCTGTGTTGCTTCTTGGAAAAAAATTCACAGTGTAAATCTGTATGCACTATTCTTTTTTTGTCTGTTTTTGTTTTTTTTTTTTGTTTTTTGAGACTGAGTCTTGCTCTGTCACCCAGGCTGGAGTGCAGTGGCGCAATCTTGGCTCACTGCAACCTCTGCCTCCCAGGTTCAAGTGATTCTCCTGCCTCAGCCTCCCGAGTAGCTGGGACTACAGGTGCACACCACCACACCCAGCTAATTTTTGTATTTTTAGTAGAGATAGTGTTTCACCATATTGTCCAGGCTGGTCTCTGTTACCTCAGGTGATCCGCCCACCTCAGCCTCCAAAAATGCTGGGATTACAAGTGAGGGCCACCGCACCTGGCCTGTATGCACTATTCTGTCTTTCCAAGTGAGAGAGGCATGCTAACAATGCCTCCAATCCACCATCTTGGAAACTAGATTTTTCCCCTATGTTTTCTTCTAGTAGTCTTATTTATACTTTTGGGTTTTAATTTAAATATTTTTGTGTGTATGTGACAGAGTCTCACTCCATTACCCAGGCTGGAGCGCAGTGGCGCAATCTTGATTCACTGCAGCCTCCACCTCCCAGGTTCAAGCAATTCTCGTGCCTCAGCCTCTCAAGCTGGAATTACAGGCATGCACCAGCACGCCCAGCTAAATTTTGTATTTTTCAGTAGAGACAGGGTTTTGCAATGTTGGCCAGGCTGGTTTCAAACCCCTGACCTCAAGTGATCTGCCCTCCTTGGCCTACCAAAGTGTTAGGATTACAGGCATGAGCCACCACACCCAACCTTTAATGTAGGTCTTTAATACATTTTGAGTTGATTTGTGTATAGGGTGGGAGGTGGGGGGCTAGTTTCATTCTTCTACATATGGATGTCCAGTTTTCCCAGAACTATTTATTGAAGAGACTGTCCTTTCCCCAATGAGTGTTCTTGACATCTTTGTCAAAATTTAGTTGACTGTAGATATCTGGATTACTTTCTGGGTTCTCTATTATGTTCCATTGGTCTCTGTGTCTGTTTTTATGACAGCATCATGCTGTTTCAGTTACTACAGCTTTGTAGTATGTTTTGAAGTGAGATAGTGGGAGGCTTCCAGCTTTGTTCTTGTTGCTCAAGATTACTTTGGCTATTCAGTATCTTTTGTTATTCCAAACAAATTTTAAGGGTTTTTTTTTCTGTTTTTGTGAAAAATGTTATTGGTATATTGGTAGGGATTGCATTGAATCTGTAGATTGCTTTGAGTAATGCAATCATTTTAACAATAATTATTCTTCTGATCCCTGGCCACAGCTAACAAATCCTACTTTGTTGGGAGACTTTTTATTACTGCTTCAATCTCGTTACTTGCTATTGATCTATTCAGGCTTTCTATTTCTTCCTGGTTCAATTTTGGCTGGTTGCATGTACAGGAATTTATCCACCCCCTCTAAGTTTTCAAATGTATTGGTGTATAGTTGTTCATAATAGTCCATAATGATCCTTTGTATTTCTGTGGTATTGGTAGTGATGTCTCCTTTTTTGCTTTTGATTTTATTTGGGTTTTATCTCTTTTTTTCTTAGTTGGCTTGTCAATTTTGTTTATTATTTCCATCCATTTACTTTTAATCTATATGTCTTTATATCTAAAGTGGATTTTTGTAGACAACAAACAGTTGGATCTTTATATATATATAAAGATATATAAAATTTTTGAGAGACACAGTATCTCTCTGTCACCCAGGCTAGACTGCAGTGGCACAATCTTGGCCCACTACAACCTCTGCCTCCCAGGTTCAAGTGATTCTTGTACCTCAGCCTCCCAAGTAGCTGGGATTACAGGCATGTGTCACCATGCCTAATTTTTGGGTTGTTTTGTTGTTGTTGTTTTACTTTTCTTATGAGACAGAGTCTCGTTCTGTCACCCAGGCTACAGTGCAGTGGCATGATCTCAGCTCACTGCAAACTCTGCTTCCCAGGTTCAAGCGATTCTCCTGCCTCAGCCTCCTGAGTAGCTGGGATTACATGAGTGCACCACCACACCTAGCTAATTTTTGTATTTTTAGTAGAGACAAGGCTTCGCCATGTTGTCCAGGTTAGTCTCAGGTGATCTGCCCACCTAAGCCTTCCAAAGTGCTGGGATTATAGATGTGAGCCACTGTGCCTGGCCTTTACCTTACTTTTTGATCCACTCTGACAATCTGTCTTTTAATTGGTGTGTTTAGACCATCGATGTTTAAGTAATTATTGACATTGGGTTAATATATATCATATTTGTTACTGTTTTTTATTTGTTGTCCTTGTTCTTTTTGTCTTCCATGCTTGTCCTGAGTTTCATGGCAGGAGTGGTAGCATTTTATAGAATTCATTTTTTAATCTCAGCTTATCAGTTATGCTACCTTTTTAACTTCTTTTTAGTGGTTGCTTTAGAATTTGCAATATACCTTCCTCGAAACAGGCAGTGAAAAATAAAAAAAAAAGAGTTTGCAATATACATTTATAACTAATCCAAGTCCACTTTCAAATAACACTATAGTGCTTCACAGGTAGTACAAGTACCTTATAATGACAAAATAATTCTAATTCCTCCCTCCTATCACTTGTATAATAGCTTTCATTCATTTCACTTATACATAAGCATATACATGTGTTTATATTTGCTTATATATGTTACATAAATGTATATATGTTTATGTGTGTGTATATATCTATCTGTTAGATCAATTAGAAATATAAATTTGAAGTTTTATTTTACCTTCACTTATTCCTTCTTTGACGTTCTTCCTTTATGTAGATCTGAGTTTTTGACTTATATTGTTTTCCTTCTCTCTAAAGAAATTTTAAAAACATTTTTTGCAAGAGCAACAGATTCCCTTAATTTTCATTTATCTGAGAAAGTCTTTGTTTCTTCTTCACTTTTGAAGAATAATTTTGCAGGGTACAGAATTCTACGTTAGGGTTTTTTTCTCTCAAATCTTAAATATTTCATTCCATTCTCTTCTTATTTGTATGGTTTCTGAGATAAATTGGATGTAATTTGTATCTTTGCTCCTCTATATCTAAGGTTTTCTTCCCCCTCCTAACTTCTTTCAGGATTTGTTTTCTCTTTGATTTTTTTCCATTCAAATATGATATGCCAGCTGTAGTATTTTTTTGGCATTTATCCTGCTAAGTGTTCTCTGAGCTTCCTGAATCTGTGGTTTGGTATCTGACATTAATTTGATGAAATTCTAGGGCCGGGCACAGTGGCTCACGCCTGTAATCCCAGGACTTTGGGAGACTGAGGCAGAAGGATCACCTGGGTCAGGAGTTTGAGACTGGCCTGGCCAACAAGGTGAAACCCCGTTTCTACCAAAAATACAAAAATTAGCCTGGCATGGTGGTGGGTGCCTGTAATCCCAGCTACTTGGGAGGCTGAGGCAGGAGAATTGCTTGAACCAGAGGCCAAAGTTGCAGTGAGCTGAGATCGCATCATTGCACTCCAGCCTGGGTGACAAGAGCAAAACTCCATCTCAACAACAACAACAAAAAATTAATTTGATGAAATTCTCAGCCTTTATTATGTCATAATATTGCTTCTTTTCTTTTCTCTTTCTCTTCTTCTTCTGGATTTCCCATTACATGCTGTTATACCTTTTTTAGTTGTCATACAGTTCTTGGGTGTTCTGCACTGGTTTTTCCTTAGTCTTTTTTATCTTTGCTTTTCAATTATGACAATTTCTTTTCTTTTCTTCTTTTTTTTTTTTTTTTGAGTGGAGTTTCACTTTGTTGTCCAGGCTAGAGTGCAGTGGCATGATCTCAGCTCAGTGCAATCTCGACCTCTTGGGTTCAAGCAATTCTCCTCCCTCAGCCTCCTGAGTAGTTAGGACTACAAGCGCACACCACCATGCCCGGCTAATTTTTGTATTTTTAGTAGAGACAGGGTTTCACTATATTGGCCAGGCTGGTCTGGAACTCCTGACCTCAAGTGATTCACCTGCCTCAGCCTCCTAAAGTGCTGGGATTATAGATGTGAACCACCATGCCTGGCCACTTTTTTCTTTTCTTTAAGACACTCTGTCACCCAGGCTGGAGTGCAGTGGTGCAATCTCAGCTTATGGCCACCTCAACCTCCCAGATTCAAGTGGTCCTCCCACCTCAGCCTCCTGGGACTACAGGTGCATGCCACCATGGCCAGGTAATTTTTTTTTTTAAGTCTTTTTGTAGAGATGGGTTTTCCCTATGTCGCCCATGGCTGTTTTTGAACTTCTGGGCTCAAGTGATCCACATGCCTCTGCCTCCCAAAGTGTTGGGATTACAGGTGTGAGTTGCTGTACCTGGCCCAGTTTTGGCAATGTCTTTGAGAAATTCTTAAGCTCAGAAATTCTTTCCTTAGACCTGCTGAATCTCCTAACAAGTGCATCAGAGTTATTGTTCATTTCTGTTAGTTTTTAATGTCCAGCATTTCTTTTTTGATTCTTTCTCAGAATTTCCATCTCCCTTCTTACATTGCCCACATGTGTTTGCAATCTGTCTACTTTATCCATTAGAATTCTTAGCATATTAATCATAGTTGTTTTAAATTCTTGGTCTGATAATCCCAACATCCCTGCCATGTATGAGTCTGTTTCTAATGCTTGCTCTGTCTCTTCAAACTGTGTTTTTTGCCTTTCAGTATGCCTTGTAATTTTTTATTAATAGCCAGACATGAGCGACTAGATAAAAAGAACTGCTATAAATAGGCCATTAGTAATGTGGTGGTAGTGCATGGGAGTTCTCATGAGAGAAAGCGTCCTTTAATCCTAGGATGAGGTCTCAGTCTTTCAGTGAGCCTGTGCCTTTGGACTGTGAACTTTACTCATGATGCTCAATTTTGTTCCTCCCCCTTAGGTGGCATGAGGATAATTCATGAGCTTACTCCAGTGACATGGTTTGGCTCTGTCCCCACCAAACCTCAACTTGAATTGTATCTCCCAGAATTCCCACATGTTGTGGGTGGGACCCAGGGGAAGGTAATTAAATCATGGGGGCCTGTATTTCCCGTGTTATTCTTGTGATAGTAAGTCTCACGAAATCTGATGGGTTTATCAGGGGTTTTCGCTTTTGCTTCTTCCTCATTTTCTCTTGCTGCCGCCATATAAGAAGTGCACCATTAGCTTCCCCAGCCATGTGGAACTGTAAGTCCAATTAAACCTCTTTTTCTTCCCTGTCTTGGGTATGTCTTTATCAGCAGCGTGAAAACAGACTAATACACTCCAGCTAGACTGGGCTGGGGTTGGGTATTTCCCTTCCCCCAGGTCAGTTAGGCTCTGATAAAACCCCAGCAGATAATACTCTGGTAAGTTTCTCCTGAGGGCAGACCTGTTAAAAAGAACAGAATGCTTTGGTATTTTTCTACTTTTTTTTTTGAGACGGAGTCTCACTCTGTCGCCCAGGCTGGAGTGCAGAGTACAATTGTGCGATCTCGGCTCACTGCAACCTCTGCCTCCCAGATTCAAGCAATTCTCCTGCCTCAGACTCCAAGTAGCTGGGATTACAGGCGCGCACCACCATACCAGGCTAATTTTTGTATTTTTATTGGAGACGGTGTTTCACCATGTTGGCCAGGCTGGTCTTGAACTCCTGACCTCAAGTGATCTGCCTGCCTCGGCCTCCCTAAGTGCTGGGATTACAGGCGTGAACCACTGAGCCGCGCTGCTTTGGTATTTTTCAAAATGGTTCCTTTTCCCCTCCCACTGCCAGAAGCACAAGGGAATTTTTTTTTTTCTAATATTCACCTTAAGTCCTGTTTTAGCTCCTGGGAATAAAACTCACAAAACTATATGAACCCCCTACCACTGGGTCCCCTGAAGCTTTTGACTCTGAGACTTGACCACTCCCGAAATTCATCAATTACAATTTATGTTTTCCTACCCTGGCACTGGTTCCCATGGAGGAATCTGTATACCGGTTTCTGCTTTGGGAAATTATGACTCTCTGTCTCTCTCCAGTTTTTAGGGCAGCAGTTTACCTTGTGACCCCACTTCTCTTATGGATCTAAAAAGAGTTGTTGATTTTTTTTTGTTTGTTTTTTGAGACGGAGTCTCGCTCTGTCACCCAGGCTGGAGTGCAGTAGCACGATCTTGACTCACTGCAAGCTCCGCCTCCCGGGTTCACGCCATTCTCCTGCCTCAGCCTCCCGAGTAGCTGGGACTACAGGCGCCCGCCACCACGCCCAGCTAATTTTTTGTATTTTTTAGTAGAGACGGGGTTTCACCGTGTTAGCCAGGATGGTCTCGATCTCCTGACCTCATGATCTGCCCGCCTCGGCCTCCCAAAATGCTGGGATTACAGGCCTGAGCCACCGCTCCCGGCCCTGCTGATCTAATTTCGAATAATTTTACATAATAATTTTTATAACAAGTACTTCCTCGGGTTCCTCTTCATGAAATAGTTTTTTTTTTTTTAAGACTGAGTTTTGCTCGTCGCCCAGGCTGGAGTGCAATGGGACGATCTCTGCTCACTGCAACCTCCGCCTCCTGGGTTCAGGCAATTCTCCTACCTCAGCCTCCTGAGTAGCTGGGATTACAGGCACCCACCACCACACCCAGCTAAGTTTTGTATTTTTAGTAGAGACAGGGTTTCACTATGTTGGTCAGGCTGGACTCCAACTCCTGACCTCACGTGATCCGCCTGCCTCGGCCTCCCAAAGTGCTGGGATTATAGGCGTGAGCCACTGTGCCCAGCTGAAATAGTCATTTTTAAAATAAAACTAAAAAAAAATTTTTTTTTGAGACGGAGTCTCTCTCTGTCACCCAGTCAGGAGTGCAGTGGCACGATCTTGGCTCACTGCAACCCCTGCCTCCCAGGTTCACGCGATTCACCTGCCTCAGCCTCCCAAGTAGCTGGGACTACAGGTGCCCGCCACCACACCTGGCTAATTTTTTGTATTTTTAGTAGAGATGGGGTTTCACCATGTTAGCCAGGATGGTCTCGATCTCCTGACCTCGGAATCCACCCACCTCGGCCTCCTAAAGTGCTGGGATTACAGGCGTGAGCCACTGCACCCAGCCAAAACTAAAAAATAAATTTTGACACTGTGGTAGAGACTAAAAGGGCTTATCATTGGGCACAGTGGCTCACACCTGTAATCTCAGCACTTTGGGAGGCTGAGGTGGGAAGATCGCTTGAGACCAGGAGTTCAGGATCAGCCCAGGCAACACAGTGAGACTCTGTCTCTACATATATAAAAATAACAATAAAATTAGCCAGATGTGGGGCACACACTTATAGTCTCAGCTACTCAGGAGGCTGAAATGGGAGGATCACCTGAGGTCAGGAGGTTGAGGCTGCAGTGAGCTGTGATTGTGCCACTGCACTTCAGCCTGGGTGACAGAGTGAGATCCTGTCTCAAAAATCTAATAGCAAAGTTAAAAAATAAATAAATGATAAAGCTTATCATATGTGGCTCACCTCTCCTTTGTAGGAATAAGGGGAGACTACAGTTCCCAGCTGTCTAGTCATTAGGCAAGACACGTGTCTGCTTCTTGCCAGTGAAATGTGAACGTAAGAGATGTGTGTCTCTTCTAGATGGACATGTTTAAGAACTGGTGTGTTAACTCCATGTGCTTTGTTCCCTGCCATGGTGACCCTGAAAGCCCTATATTGAAAGGGCACCATTTCTAGATAGAAGAAGCCTGGATTCCTGAGTCACCAGATGGAGGAGAACTCTGGCTCACCAACATCGAATTTTGATGTTGGTGAGCCAGACGTCAAAATTTGGTATTGGGAATTTGATATTGTATCATATCCTATGCTATCTTAACTAAAACATTTACGTACCATTTGATTTCTGTTGGAAAAGAGAACTGAAGAGTAGCTGATTCCAAAATATCCCTTTAAGGTCACCTCATTCCTATTTCAGACCCTTAGTGAAAAATTGATCTTCACCCATCAAACAAAATATACAAAAATATCTCAGAGCTGTAAGGAAAGTAACAAATGGTTGCAAGGCACATTCTTCCTTTTCTGTGGATGTATCTTTTGGATGTTTTAAGAACAAGTATCAGAAAGTCTAAATTGAATTGGCTTAAAAATAAGATAATGCATTATCATACATTACTAAAATCCCCAACTAGACTAGGAAGTGCTTCAGGATTGGTCAACTCAACAATTCAACAACTCAATGTGCTATCAGGAACCTGGATTCCAGGCCAGGTGTGGTGGCTCACGCCTGTAATCGCAACACTTTGGGAGGCCAAAGCAGGTGAAGTTCGAGACCAGCCTGGCCAACATGGTGAAGCCCCGTCTGTACCAAAAAATACAAAAATTAGCTGGGGGTGGTGGCGCATGCCTGTAATTCCAGCTATTTGGGAGGCTGAGGGAAGAGAATCACCTAAACCTGGGAGATGGAGGTCCAGTGAGCTGAGATCGTGCCATTGCACTTCAGCCTGAGTGACAACGTGAGACTCTGTCTCAAAAAAAGGATCTGGATTCCTTCCATCATTCTTCTGATGTTTTTGTTGTCAGCTTCATCCTCAAGCTCATAACAAGATGGCAGCAGTAATTGGCGTATTCACATTCTGACAGGGCAATGTCAAGAGGAATAAGGACGGTTTCTCCTATAGCTCTCTTTTAGGATTGGGGGAGGTTTTCCCAGAAGCTTCCTAATAAATTCTCCTCCTGTCTCATTGGCCAGAACCCAGTTACAGGACCACGCATAGCTGATCATTGACAAGGGTCAGTGGGATTGTCTGTGGAAGAATCAGGCCTATCTTTACAAGTAGGGGTATTGTGGCTGTGAGAAGGATGGGTTTTCTTGTGAACAAAATCTGGGTGCTGTTAGGAAGGAGAAGTGTGACTGAAAGTTGCAGAGGAGCTGACAGCATGGCTCATGGTAGGGAATGATGGAATGAGACTCACTCATGGCCAACTCTAAGATGTACTTTATTTATTAAGAGCCATGTATAGGACTGACAAGGAGAAAACAGAGAGTTAAGGAATCTCTGGTCATGCCCCTTCCCCCTTCTTGGTGCCTAATTTTAGATCATCCAAAGCTTACCTGATTAATTAGGCTATTCATAGACTAACAAAGGGATTAGAAAGTTGAGGATTATATGTAGTCATTTTAGGAATTATAATGGGAACTGAAGAACTGTATCAGCTAGTATGGTTTAGTTCCAAATTAAAATATTCAGTCTTGACTTAAACTGGCTTAACGAGGAGGAAATGTGTTATTTGATGTAGCAATGGAACAAGAATCAGGGTTGGTGGCTCAGCGGCTTCTTGATGCCTTAGTTCCAAGCTTTTTTTCCATCTCTCCATTCTCCCAGCACTAGTATTGGCTTTATTTTCAGGTTGATGGCAAGATGCCGTCAGCACTTCCATACATAGTATTTTGAAATGATAATATCCAAAAGATAAAGGGAGGAGGCATCTGCTCTGTGGCTTTTCTTTGGATAGAGGAAAATGTCTCAGAACTGTCTTCCTGAGAGCAGGATTCCCTCATGTTTTATTAACCAGGTTTTCATTACAAGCTCATCCACGAACCAAACACTAGCAAGAAGTATTGAATTTCCAGGATTGGGTTATGCTAATTATCTGGAGTCAAATGACATTTGGGGGTTAACTTTATAACTGGGAAGCTGAGGCCAAAATGAGGTTTAAAACTTTTTTTAAACCTTTAAAGGATTCCTTTAAAACTTGAAGACCATATTTTCTCACAGCTAGGTCACTAACAAAGTCACCTGGAGCAAGATAATCATTTGTTTATTCAACATTTATTGAACACTGGGAAAAAATGCAGAAGATAAAAATGAATGGTCTGTGGTCTCTTCCCTCAAGGAGCACATACTCTAGTAGGGAAGTTATAACTGACTGTTCTAAGAGCTATAAATAGAGGTGTGAGCTTAGCCCTATGGCTCAGAGATGATGGAGGAGGAGGAGAAGTAGGAGGAGGGTGGAGGCATTGGCAGGGCAGAATCACAGGTGCCTGAGCTAAGTGCCGAATGTGCATGAGTTTGTCAGACAAATGATAAGGATGGGCATTCCAGGCAAAGAGATCAGCATAGACAGAGATAGTGAGGCACAAAACGATATGGCAGAGTAAAATAACTTGAAGATGTTTGGTGTGGCTGGCTTATTAGCGTTGTCAGAGTTAAGGCTGGTAAAGTAGGCTTTGCATTGAAAGGTCTCATTAGCCATGACAAGAAGACTGGGATCTTCCAAACTAGTAAGGAGCCACCGAAGGATTTTAAGCAGAAGGGTGACCTTGTTACATCTGTATTTTTCAGTGTTTACTATGGCAGTGGATGGAAGACAATGTAGGAATGAGACCCAAATCAGACACATTTTTAGGGAGGCAAATTGAGTGGGCCTCAGTTTTCTTATTGAAAAAAGGGTAGTGGAGTGGCATAGGATTAAATTAGGCATCACAAATGCAACTGCTACCAGGGCTGGACAGGTCCTGTCTATGCATCAGGTGCACTGGGGGTGGTTGGGAGCTGCATTAAATGAATAGAACACACTCCATCTAAAATGGGAGCCATTCTTGAAAGAAGACCAAGAAGAATAAATACACTAATAAAATAGAATGCAAGAGGGGCAGCAACTAGTCAGCCCAGGCTATTTTCTGTAGCTATTTTCTAGTTTTTTTCCCCAAACAGCCCCTGAATCACTTTTTGTGAAGTCTCCTAATTTTTCTATGTTGGTAACTAATTCCAAAGTAACAGTCAACATCAGCAGCAACAAGATTATGCATGGTAAATAAGTATACTCTGCTAGCGTTCACTGGTTTGGGACTTTGGGATATGATAAGCTCTAGGGCCTCTTCCAGCTCTAACAGGAAAAGACTCCTCCGTATCCCGCTAGCATTTGTGCTACATTGTCATTGATGGTTCACAGTAAGCCAGTCACATGGATGAAAGTCTCTAGGACTATTCAAACAGGCATAACCAGATATTTCTGGGGTTGGCATTTATTCATTGATATTTTTGTGTATTAATTTGTTCATTCAACAAGCATTTGTATAGTGTCAATTACATGCAAAGCATTGTTGAACAGAAATGGAGAGATGAATGAGAAAAATGAAACTTGGGGTTGAGGAGGAGAGATTGGGACTTCCTTACAAGGAGAAATCTGTCATTTCTTACCTGTTACCTCTGCCAACAGATCTTAGAGGAGAGACTTCTGCAGCTCGGCCCAGGGCCTTCGTGTTCAGCCTTTCCTGCTCACAAAACACAGATGTGAGCAAGCTTGTTCCTCAGGGTCCCCAGGACTCTCAGGATCTGACTTCCTACTATTCCATCTGGAGGAAAAGACAAATGACAAGAAAGGAAAAGAAGGCAATGAAAATAACTTACTGCTTAAGAAATTGGGTTATTGTCACCATTATGAGGCTTAAGTAACAGGTGACATGTGTTAAGAAGAGTTTTTTTTTTTTTTAAGTCAATCTAGGATTTTTTTTAAAAAAAAGAACAAATATGAAAATGCAAGGAGTAGAAAAATGTGTATTGTGTGGAAAATGCATAGAATACCTCTGGAAGGATATATGCACACAGAAACTGGCAATTGAATTCTATTTAGTTTAATTCCATTTAACTAATTTTATTTTGTTCCATTTAATCAATAGAGAGCTTGAAACAAAATCGAGTTATAAACTAAGAAAGTTAAATATACCATGAAAGCAAAGAAAAACAATAATTTACCATTTTAAACCAATTTTAATGTAACATTTTAAACACAATGGTTATTTTATAAGAACTGCAGAGAGTTTTAAAATTATAATATCCAGCGTTGTCCATATAATTGAGAATAGTGTCAGAAGCTTTAAAGATATGTACAGTACAGTATACCTTTTGTTGTTGTTTGAGAGAGTCTCGCTCTGTTGCACGGGCTGGAGTGCAGTGACACAATCTCAGCTCACTGTAACCTCCATCTCCTGGTTACAGGCTGTGAGCCACCGCACCCAGCCAAGTATACCTTTTAACCCAGCAATTATAGTAATAAGAACTTATCCAAAGGAAATCATTTAACATGTGTATAAAGATTTAACTCGGCCAGGCGCAGTGGCTCACGCCTATAATCCCAACACTTTGGGAGGCTGAGGCAGGCGGATCACCTGAGGTCAGGAGTTCGATATCAGACTGGCCAACATGGTGAAACCCTGTCTCTACTAAAAATACAAAAAATTAGCCGGGCGTGGTGGCAGGTGCCTGTAATCCCAGCTACTAGGGAGGCTGAGGCAGGAGAATCGCTTGAACCTGGGAGGTGTAGGTTGCAGTGAGCCGAGATCGCGCCACTGCACTCCAGCCTGGGCGACAGAGCAAGACTCTCTCTCAAAAAAAAGTAAACAAAGACAGGAAAGCATCTGAGACCCAGGAAATGGAGTTTAAATTGCAAAAGAGCCAGCCTGGTGCCGAAGATTGGGAATGGGAATTCAATACGCTTCTGCGAAATTCCCGTGTGGTGCTGCCACCCACTGGACAATTAGGAAATTAAACTGAAACTTTGCCATAAAGCTAGTTTTTCCATTAGAATAATATTTTGTAAAAGAGCTGACACTTGCTGTATTTCTATCATAATACTTTTTTCCTAATGCATTTGCTTGTGCTTCCTAGCTCAATGATAATCATTGGAGACATATGAGGGGGACAGGTATGAAGAGACAAGAAAATGTCAGTTACTGAGAAATTAAATCAAAGACTTGTGTATTCTAGACTCAGCCTTTATGAGTGTGAAAGATCTGTAAATCTAGAACTCGATATGCACTTGCTACATAGTCACTTACTCACAAAACATATGCTGAATTAAAACAATAGCAAACATTTGTTGAGTGTTTACTGTATGTTGTATCCATACTTAATGTGGATAGAGTATTTTATGGATAAAACATGAATATAGTGCTTTATGGACACACACTTTATGTGGATTAATTTATTTAAGTCTCACTACAACCCCCAAAAGTAGGTGCCATTTTTGTCCTCATTTTACATTTAAAGAAACTGAGGCATGAGGATATTGAGTAACTTGCCCATGGTCATGAAGCAAACGAATAGTGAATTGGGAGTCCAGCCCATGGAGTCTGATCTGGAAGTTTGTCCTCTTAACCTCAAGGCTAGTGGTTCTCAAAGTGTGGCTCCTAGACCAATGTCATCATCATCCCCTGGAAACTTGATAGAACTGCAAGTTCTCAGGCCCCTTTAGAGACCTGAATCAGAAACTTGGGATGGAGCTGGATGCTGCGGTGTATACAGTGCAGTCCCAGCTACTTGGGAGGCTGAGGCAGGAGGATAGCTTGAGGCCGGAAGTTTGAGGCTGCAGCGCACTATGGTTGCACTTGTGAATAGCCACTGTACTCTAACCTAGGCAACATAGCCAGACCTTGTCTCAATAAAAGAAAAACAAAAAAAGAAAATCAAAATGTGAATCAGAGGATTCCAGGTGATTCTGCCACAGGCAAAAGTTTGACAACCACTGACTTAGATTATGCCATCACCAAGTGTTAAAGTATTTAAATAAAAGTAACTGGTTCTAGACTTATCCTACAGATCAAGAATAAACAGTGTGGTAGACATAACTACACTGTCATTTATGTGACATCCCTGGTGACTGTCAGGGATTCTCTGTTCATCATAACTGTGTTTGATTGGGATAATGACCCCTCTGGGGAGGAGAGTCCAAGGATAGAAAGGTGTGGGTGGTTCTGAAGAGAAGCAAAGGCACCCACCCAGGTGTCCATACTAGAAGTTGGCAGCAGGGAATACATCCACCGTGGCACTAAAACAGAGAACAAAGCAAACATGAAAGCAAAGAAATTCCCTGGGCAGGAGGCTTGTTTTCTTCAGTTTGACTTCCAGGGAAAGAATGGAGGGGATTCCCCAGCAAGAGCAGGGCGTCCTATCCCAAGTGTGTGGCCTGGGCTTGCAGCAGTTGAGCTAAGCTGGAACAATGTCTCCCAGCATCCCCTTCCCTGCATAGTTCCAGGCTGGCATGGCCCACAAGAGACATCTTGGGTGGAATTTGGAAGACAGAGGTGAAACAGCAGCTGTATCCCTTCTGTGCTCAGCTGACTGGCTCAGGCTCCAGCTACCATCCCAGCACATGCTCGTGTTGTTGCTTTTCTGTTGGCTCACCTTGTTGGTGGCAGCCCGTGGCTCACAGCTCCTCCATATTTTGCTGGAGCCTCTTTCAGCTTCTCTGACTCTTGGGCCAGATGTATGTTTGGTTCCATAGTGGAAGGCTCTAGCTTTCCCTATAGGACACCTACTTCCTTGAAATTGGAAGCTTTCTAAAAGACCTATGTGGGCTCCAATCTGTCCTCTGGCTCCAGCTTTGGGCTCAAGAGTCCCAGTTTATCCTTGCTTTCCTCCACTTCATATCCATCCTCATCCTCATCCCCAGAGGACCTGCCCTGCAGACTTCAGGCCCCAGAACCAGCCATCTACAGACTGTTCAATGTTGACAAAAAAAAGTCAAGTCCTGTAAAATATTTGAAGAGATTTATTCTGGCCCAAATGAGGGTGACCATGGCCCGTGACACAGCCCTCAGGAGACCCTGAGAACATGTGCCCAAAGTGGTTGGGGCACAGCCTAGTTTTATACATTTTAGGGAGACATAAGACATCAAATACATGTAAGATGTACATTGGTTTGGTCTGGAAAGGTGGGACAACTGGAAGGAGGCAGGTGGGGGAGGTCCAGGTTATAGGTAGATTTAAACATTTTCTGAATGGCAGTTGGTTGACAGAGTTAACTTATTAAGCTATTATCTAAAGACCTGGAATATACAGAAAGGAATGTCTGGGTTATGATGATAAGGGGTTGGGGAGACCAGAGTTTTATCATGCAGGTGAAAGCTCCAGGTAGCAGCCTTCAGGGATAATAGACTGAAAGTGTTTCTTTTTTTGTTTTCTTTTTGAGATAGGGTCTCACTCTGTCACCTAGGCTGGAGTACAGTGGTGTGATCTTGGCTCACTGCAACCTCTGCCTCCCGAGCTCAAGTGATCCTTCTGCCTCAGCCTCCAGAGTAGCTGTTATTACAGGTGTGCACCACCACGCCTGGCTAATTTTTGTATTTTTAGTAGAGACGGGGTTTCGCCATGTTGACCAGGCTGGTCTTGAACTCCTGACCTCAAGTGATCCACCCGCCTCGGCCTCCCAAAGTGCTGGGATTACAGGCATGAGCCACTACGCCCGGCCCGTAAGTTTTTCTTATCAGACTTAAGGTCTGTGTTGATGTTAACGCTTGTCAGCTTTTGCTGAAATCCAAAAGAGAGGAGGGTATAATGAGGTATGTCCAACCCTCCCTTCCTGTCATGGCCTGAACCAGTTTTTCAGGTTAACTTTGGAATGTCCTGGCAGAGAGGATGGGTCCATTCAGGTGGTTCGCGGACCTTAGCATTTTATTTATTATTATTATTAACTTCATACATTTTTTTGTTGAGATGAGCTTTTGCCATGTTGCCCAAGCTGGTCTTGAACTCCTGGGTTCAAGAAATCCACCTGCCTCAGGTTTCCAAAGTGCTGGGATGAAGGCTGAGGCAGGTGGATCACTTGAGGTCAGGAGTTTCAGAACAGCCTGGCCAACAAGGTGAAACCCTGTCTCTACTAAAAATACAAAACTTAGCTGGATGTGGTGGCACATGCTTGTAATTCCAGCTACTTGGGTGGCTGAGGCAGGAGAATTGCTTGAACCCCGGAGGTGGAGGTTGCAGTGAGCCGAGATCATGCCACTGCACTCCAGCCTAGGTGACAGGGCGAGACTCCATCTCAAAAACAACAACAACAACAAAAAACCAAAGTGCTGAGATTACAGGTGTGAGCCACTGTGGCTATCCCAGAATTGTTTTTAGTTTGCATTAACCAGCTTCCAAAATTGTTTAGGTCCTCTCAAATCTCCCTAGTATACATCACTCTGAGTGGGTTTTTCTGGATGGACCCTTGGCTGATACACTGGCACAGAGAGAGGACACCCCATCTGGAGCAGACAAGGCACAAGCCAAGAGGGATCACAGAACTAGACCTGAGGGAGGAAAAAAAGTGTCAGAGAATCAAGGTATCCTGGCCAGGTAAACCCAGGGGACTGTTAGGGTGACCCAGTTTTCAGAAGAAAGATCCATCAAAATGCAGGAATCTTAACTCTTTGTACCATTCTCAACACTCAGCTACAGAGTGATGATTTCCAGAATTGGTGGAGAGATGCTGGAACAAGCTTGTCTGATCTGAGTCCCAGCTCCAACCCTTACCAGCTGGACAACCTTGGACTAGTTGCTTAACCTCTCTTTGCCTCAGTTTATTCACATGCAAAATGGAGATAATAATAGCACTTATGTCACAGGTTGTTGAGAAGTTTACAGGAGTTAATATTTGTAAAGCTTCCAGAATAAGCCTTGGGACATAGCAAGTACTATTTACATTTCTTCTATTTATTTGGAGGTATTCACATTTACAGATGACTCAAGTTTCACCTATGTCCCTTGGAGAGTACCTCTCCCTTACTTTCCCCCCAGGATTTGCCCCAGGAATTCCCCTTTTGCCTCCCCTGTAAGCATTCTTCTCATCTCCTCTCTCTCTTCTACCCAAAGCCCTGTAACCACCCAGCAGGTTCACCTTGCCCGCTGCCTAGACAGAGCCAATTTATCAAGACAGGAGAATTGCAATGGAGAAAGAGTAATTCATGCAGAGCAGGCTATGCGGGAGACCAGAGTTTTATTACTACTCAAATCAGTCTCCTTGAGCATTTGGAGAATTTTTAAAGATAATTTGAGGGGTGGAGTCTCAGGAAGTACGGGGTGCTGATTTGCCAGTTTGGAGATGGGATTTTAGGGGGTCATAGTGAGGTTTTCTTGCTGTCTTCTGTTCCTGGGTGGGATCACAGAACTGGTTGAGCCAGATTACCCTTCTGGGTAGTGTCAGCTACCAGTGCAAGGTCTGCAAAATGTCTCAAGCACTGATCTTAGGCTTTACAATGGTGATGTTATCCCCAGAAGCAATTTGGGGAGGTTCAGACTCTTGCAGCCAGAGGCTGCATGACCTCTAAACCATAATTTCTAATCTTGTAGCTAATTTGTGAGTCCTACAAAGATAGACTGGTCCCCAGGCAAGAAGTGGGTCTTTGTGGGGAAAGGGCTATTATCAATTTTGTTTCAGAGCAAAACTGTGAACTAAATTCCTTCCCAAGGTTAGTTCAGCCTATGCCCAGGAGTGAACAAGGACAGCTTAAAGGTTAGAAGCCAGATGGAGTCGGTTAGGTTTGATCTCTTTCACTGTCATAATTTCCTCTGTTATAATTTTTGCAAAGGTGGTTTCAGCCCTGCCATCAGCCCTTTTGGAAGGAGTCTTTTGGGCAGCATGCCAGCCCTCTCCTGGATCTTCTCTGCCCTGATCTCACCTTACAGAAACCAGTTATCAGCATCTGAAATCCAAGGTGCAAATTATCCTGTGAGGTATCAGTGGTCATGGCAGTGGACGTGGCTGAGGCAGTGATTGGAGCCTTTTCTTGCCCTTATCTCTTTTTCTTTTTTTTGACAGTCTTGCTTTGTCACCCAGGCTGAAGTGCGGTGGCGCAATCTCGGCTCACTGCAACCTCTGCCTTCCAGATTCAGGCGATTCTCAGCCTCCTGAGTAGCTGAGATTACAGGTGTGCGCCACCATGCCTGGCAATTTTTTTATTTGTAGTAGAGATGGGATTTCGCCATGTTGGCCTGGCTGGTCTCGAATTCCTGACCTCAGGTGATCCACCTGCCTCGACCTCCCAAAGTGCTGGGATTACAGGCGTGAGCCACTGCACCCGGCCATGTGTCTTACTTATTGAACATCTGCTGTATATCATGCAGTTCACTAGGTGCATAACATATAATAATGCTTCATTCAGTCTTCCCCACAGCCTGTTGGGCAATACCATCTTTGTTTCACAGGAGAGGCAGTTGAAGCTGAGAGAGGTTAGGTAGCTGCCCCAGATCACACAGCCAAAGAGCCATGGGGTCAGATTAGGAAACCAGGCCCCTATGGGCTGCACAACCCTAGCCAGCACTTTCCACTACAAAACCTGCCCTTGAATTTCCTAGTCACTGTCAGAAAATCTCGAAAGGGATGTGCACTGCTTTAGGGACAGGGGAGAAGGGTGGGGGACTAGGTGAGGCTTAGTTCTCTAGGGGCTAAGAGAAGCAGAGGAGCATGAGAAGTGTCTAGGAGAATGCCCACAGCTGGCTCACTTCCATCCCTTCATCTTCCCTCATGCCCTATTTTGACCTTGGGCAAATGCCACCAAGTTCCAACAGTGCAATACCTATTGTCCAGGGCAGCAGAAGGGCAGGTGGTTGCTCCATGTTCCTGAGCCCGACTGCCTTCCCGTTCGAGCTGGACTTACCCTCTGGATTGCGGTTTTCAGAACTTTCTCAACCAGTGTGGAGAAACCATAGAAACCACACAGAAGGTAATTTGAGTGAGTACTCTTCTCAGTTCTTCCAAGAATGTTGCATCCCATGCTGCAGTTCCCTGCAAGATGCATAAGAGTGGAGTTAATTCATTACAGAATATGCCCTAGGACAATAGGACTGAATTCTCTCAGAAAGAAAGGTTATTTTTTGTTACATAAACAGAAAGAGTAGTACAATATATGCTATAACAAACCCCTATATACACACACACACATCATCCATCTTCAACAATTAATGACAACGTGTCCATTTTGTTTCATCTATCCACTCCCTCCAGTACTTTTCGGGGAGTGGTGGGGATGAGCATTTTATTTTGTTTGTTTGTTTAGACAGTTTTGCTGTCACCCAGGCTGGAGTGCAGTGGTGCCATCTCGGCTCACTGCAACTTCCACCTCCCAGGTTCAAGCGATTCTTGTACCTCAGCCTCCCAAGTAGCTGGGACTACAGGCGTGTGCCACAGCCCCTGGCTGATTTATTTACTTACTTATTTATTTATTTATTTTAGATTTTTAGTAGAGATGGAGGTTTCACCATGTTGACCAGGCTGGTCTCAAACTCCTGGCCTCAAATGACCCACCCACCTCGGCCTCCCACAGTGCTGGACTACAGGCGTGAGCCACCGTGTCTGGCCAGGATGAGCATTTTAAAGCAAGCTCCAGACGTCATGAAATTTTACCCACAAATACCTCAGTATGCATATTTTGCTGGTAAAAACCTTTTATATTTCTTTCTACTTATTTTTTTTTCCTTCTTTTAAAAAAATGTATTGGTTATTTTTTTAGATCAACATCTCACGATGTTGCTCAGGCTGATCTGAAACTCCTGGGCTCAAGCAATCCTCCCCCTTCAGCCTCCCAAAGTGCTGGAATTACAGGCATGAGCCACTGCACCTGGCCAAACCCTTTTAAAATATGATCACTATGCCGTTATTGAACAACAATGTAATAACACTGCACCTTGCACCAACAAATATAATTAGTAACATCTAAAACAATAATATAAAATTTATAATAAATAAATAACATCCACTACCCAAACCATATTCAAATTTCATTGATTATCTCAAAAATGGCCTTTTTATAGGATTCAAACAAAACCTACACGTTGATTTAGTTCTCATGGCTGTTAAGTCTTCAAGCAAATCTTTAATCTCTATAAACCTCAGTTTCTTCATCTGTAAAATGAGAATTAATAACCATCTCATGGAGTGTGTTGGTTTCCTTGGGCTGCCTTAACAAGTTCCACAAATTCAGTGGCTTAAAACAACAGAAATTTATTCTCTGGCAGTTTTGGAGGCCAGAAGTCCAAAATCAAGGCATCAGCAGGGCCATACTCCTTGAAGGCTCTCGGGAAGCATCTTTCCTCACCTTTTCCAGCTTCTGGTGGCTGCTGGCCACCCTTGGTGTTTCTTGGCTTGTACCTGCGTCACTCAAGTCCTCACCTATTGTAAGGACAGTCACCTTAGAGCACACCCTAATCCAGTGTGTCCTCATCTTAACGTAATTACATCTGCAGAAACCTTATTTCCAAATAAGGTTACATTCATAGGCACTAAGGGTTAGGATTTGAACAGATTTTTTAGGGGGTCACAGTTGAACCTATCACACATGATATTTGCATGGGGAAAATACAATACTGCTGTGGCAAGTAAGAATCACTTAATAAAAATGATGGCAATGTTCAGTATTACTACTATAACAATAGATGACCACAGCTCCACTCCAATTAGAACAGTTGAGGAATATGACATGACAAAAACAAATAGAGGCCAGGCAACTGTAGGAAACAGAAAGTTGTACAGAGGACCCGGCATTTTCCAACATTAATGAGAGGCCTGTGAGGAAAGGGAATTTGGCTTGGAGTGATAAGTTTAGTTCCCTCTCTCTCTCTCTCTATTCTTAGAGATAGGATCTCACTATGTCATCCAGGCTGGAGTGCAATGCCTATTCACAGTCACAATCCCACTACTGATCAGCACAGGAGTTTTGACCTGTTCAGTTTCTGCCTGGACTGGTTCACCCATCCTTAGGCAACCTGGTGGTCCCCCACTCCCAGGAGGTCACCATACTGATGCTGAACTTAGTGCAGACACCCGATTGGCATCGTGTACTATAGTCCAGGACTTCTTGGGCTCAAGTGATCTTCCCACCTCAGGAGTAGCTGGGACTACAGGCATGCACTGCTGTGCCTACAGGAGTCAAAAGTTTAAGTGCTGCAACTTCCTCATGGGGAAGCTGTTTAGCCAGAAAGACTACATCCCAGAGCTATTTATTTATTTATTTATTATTTTTATCTTTTCTGTTCTCTTAGATGGCTGGATGAGATAATCCCTGTATTCCTTTCCAGCTCTATTTTTCTGTGATTTGTTCATTACCTGTTTCAGATTACCCCAATTTTGTCAGAAGAAACTCAGAATTTTGAAATATTAGAGGCTTTTGCAAATGGAAAGTTGAATTGGAAGAGCAATCAAGATATCTTTGTAGGCCAGGTGTGGTGGCTCACACCTGTAATCCCAGCACTTTGGGAGGCTGAGGCAGGCAGATCACTTGAGGTCAGGAGTTCGAGAGCAGCCTGACCAACATGGAGAAACCACGTCTCTACTAAAAATACAAAATTAGCCAAGCTTGGTGGCACATGCCTGTAATTCCAGGTACTCGGGAGGCTGAGGCAGGAGAATCACTTGAACCCAGGAGGTGGAGGTTGCGGTGAGCCAAGGTCACGCCATTGCACTCCAGCCTGGACAACAAGAGCGAAACTCCGTCTCAAAAAAAAAAAGAAAACAAAGATATCTTTGTAGATTTTTACTAAATTAAGAAGCAGTAAGCAATGAGTTTTAAAAAAGAAAAAATCTTTTACATTCTAAAATGCATTTCTGAGTCAAAGCTGTAGAACAGTATGGGGGAAATGTAGAAGTCTCCCATTGTCTAATAATCCTTGATTCACATTGGCTTTCAAACAGTGAATCTATAGCTATAGCCCCAATTATAATTTGTGACACAACTTCTTGCATATGTATTAGGTTGGTGCAAAAGTTATTGCACTTTTTGCCATTAAAATGGCAAACCTGCAGTTACTTTTGCACCAACCTAATAGAGTTGAAGAACCAATCCAGACCTTCAGTCTTCATTTGTGCAATTCTAGTTCTGTATGTTTGTTTTCCATAAGGAAAATACGTAGTAGTCATTAAATGCTGTTCACTAAATATTTGCAGCTCTCTACCTTTGGGGCACCTGGTAGGATTTGGGTTATGTAGCTCTTTTTGGTCAATGAAATTTGAGCAGGAATGACATGTGACCCTTCTGGGTAGAAAGCAGTGCGTAATTCACCATGTTCACCTTCCCAATGTCCTGATGATCAAGGAAGCCACTGCTGAGAGGACACTACTGGCAGCCTGGGCCCTGAGTGGTGGCAGCAGCAAAGAGGCCCTGCAGCCCCACCTTGGACATGTAGCAAAAGTAAGAAATAAATGTGATTGCTGCAATTTGGGGGTTGGTTGTTACTGTGGCATAGGCCATTCTATCCTGGCTGACACAACATTTTTTTTAATACTAAAAAGAAGCTGGGCCACGCACAGTGAATCGTGCCTGTAATCCCAACACTTTGGGAGGCCAGGATAGGGAGACTGCTTGAGGCCAGGAGTTCGAAACCAGCCTGGGTGACAACAGTGAGATGCTGTCTCTACAAAAAATAAAAAATATTAGCCAGGCTCCAGGCGCAGTGGCTCATGCCTGAAATCTCAGCGTTTTGGGAGGCCAAGGCAGATGGATCACGAGGTCAAGAGTTCGAGAGCAGCCTGAGCAACATGGTGAAACCCCATCTCTTCTAAAAATACAAAAATTAGCCGGGCGTGGTGGCACATGCCTGTAATCCGAGCTACTAAGGAGGCTGAGGCAGGAGAATCATTTGAACCCGGGAGGCAGAGGTTCAGTGAGCCGAGATTGCGCCACTGCACTCCAGCCTGAGTGACAGAGTGAGACTCCATGTCAAAAAAAAAAAAAAAAATTAGCCAGGCACGGTGGCACATGTCTATAGTCCCAGATACTTGGGAGGCTGAGGTGAGAGGATTACTTGAGCTCCGGAGGTGGAGGCTGCAGCATGCTGTGATGGAACCACTGCACTCCAGCCTAGGTCACAGAGCAAGACCCTGTCTAAGAAATAAATAAATAAATAAATAAGAGGTTTCAAAAAAGTCAATTCTCTAGCAAACCAGGGCATTTCTAAACTTTAGGAGCAAAAGGATTGTGATTTTTGGCCAGCAATTTAATTTCCCTTGCTTAACTTTGTAATTATCTCACATGCTCCCTGAAGCCTTGAAGTCAGATCTCTGCCTACCCTTCATTCACATCCCCAAACCAGTTAGAGCAGAAACCAAGTTCCCACCTGCCCTGGCCTTCCAAAGTGCTGAGATTACAGGAGTGAGCGGCCACTCCTGGCCCCCAACTTTCTTTTTTTTGTTTTATTTTTTTGAGATGGAGTTCCGCTCTTGTTACACAGGCTGGAGTGCAATGGGTCAATCTTGGCTCACTGCAACCTCTACCTCCCCAGCTCAAGCGATTCTCCTGCCTCAGCCTCCCAAGTAGTTGGGATTAGAGGCATGCACCACCACGCCCGGCTAATTTTGTATTTTTAGTAGAGACAGAGTTTCTCCATGTTGGTCAGGCTGGTCTCGAACTCCCGACCTCAGATGATCCGCCTGCCTGGGCCACCCAAAGTGCTGGGATTACAGGCGTGAGCCACTGCGCCTGGCCCTTTTTTTAGACGGAGTCTCGCTCTGTCGCCAGGCTGAAGTGCAGTGGCGCAATCTTGGCTCACTGCAATCTCTGCCTCCCAGGTTCAAGCAATTCCCCTGCGTCAGCCTCCCAAGTAGCTGGGACTACAGGCACCTTGCCACCACGCCCGGCTAATTTTTTGTATTTTAGTAGAGACGGGGTTTCACCATGTTGGCCAGGATGGTCTTGGTCCCTGACCTCGTGATCCACCTGCCTCAGCCTCCCAAAGTGCTGAGATTACAGGCGTGAGCCACCACGCCCGGCCCCCAAACTTTCTTTAGGAGTCAACCGAACTCACACCAAGCTGTGTGAAAAGCCACAGCTTTGTCTAGTTTAGACACAAATCCAGGCAGAGTTTCTGGTTATGACAAAACACAATCTCTGTCCTCCTCCTCCTCCCTCTTCCCTCATTCATTCAACGATATCTATTGACTGCCTACTACTGTGTGCCAGGCCCTGTGCAAGGTCCTAGAGAAAGGGCCCTTAAAAGCCACAGATCCTGCCTCCATGACCAACTGGCCACCTGTGCCCTTCCCTGATCCCTGCCCCTGCCTCCTGCTCTCCTACCCCAGCCCTCATTATTTTCCTATCAATTTTCTTTTTCTTTTCTTTTCTTTCTTTTTTTTTTTTTTTAGATGGGAGTCTCGCTGTGTTACCCAAGCTGGAGTGCAGTGGCGAGATCTCAGCTCACTGCAACCTCTGCCTCCTGGGCTCAAATGATCCTCCCACCTCAGTTTCCTGAGTAGCTGGGATCACAGGCATGTGCTACCACACCCAGCTTATGTTTGTATTTTTGGTAGAGATGGGGTTTCACCATGTTGCCCAGGCTGGTCTGAAACTCCTGACTTCAAGTGATCTGCCTGCCTCACCCTCCTAAAGTGCTGGGATTACAGGTGTGAGCCACCATGCCCAGGCCCCAACTTTCTTTAGGAGTCAATTGAGCTCAAACCAGAAACTTCTGTTGCTAGATTATTAAATCTCAGGGTCTTTAGACAACTTCTGTGTAGTACAATACTTCTCAAACTGGTTTCTCTATTGATATTCTTGGGCAGCTAAGAGTGTTCAGGTTGGGAAAACACTACCTCAAGAAATTAAAGATAATCTATAAAGCTTTTGGCTATGTAGTATTACTAACTATATAACATACCTTTATAACATAAAATAATTCAACCAAAGTAAAAATCACAAATGCAGGGTGATTGTGTTATTTTGACATTAGGTGCAATATTTCTTAAAATGAGGTCAGCAGATCCCAGGGCACAGGGAGTGGGGTGGGTTCTCTGGACATATTTTTGGGGGATGTGCGTTCTCCAGTTTAAGAAGCACCAACACAGGGTAGTAGATCCCAAAGCTGGCTTTATATTGGAGACATTGGAGAATTTCTTTTTTCTTTTATTTTCTTTCTTTCTTCTTTCTTTTTCCTTCCTTCCTTTCTCTTTCTTTCTTTGTCTCTTTCTCTCTCTCTTCCTGTCTTTCTTTCTTTTTTTTTTTTTTTTTGAGACAGGGTCTCATTATGTTGCCTAGGCTGGTCTTGAGCTCCTGAGCTCAAGTGATCTGCCTGCCTCGTCCTCCCAAAGTGCTGGGATTACAAAAATGAGCCACCACGCCTGGCCTGATTTTCTCCTAAGGTTTCTACATAAATATGTCTTAGAGTTTTGTTTATTTATTTGCAGAAATTTGCATAAGTCTTAGAGTTAAAAAAAAAATTTCCCCTCAGGATTTATACATTTTTCATTTACTTTTGATGATGTATTTGTTTACTCTAGCTGTTCTCCAGCCAAGCTATGTAAGTCTGTCTTACAGCAAGTGTTTTTGTCCACATAACTCTTTTTCCTACACTTACGGTAAAATACACGTAACACAAATCTACCATCTTAAACATTTTTAAATTTACAGCTCAGTGGCATTAGGTTCATTAACATCACCATCACCACCATCCACTCTCAGAATTCTTTTTTCTTGCAAAATGGAAACTCTGTATCTACTAAACACTAATTCCCCATTCTCCCCTCCTCCAACCCCCTGGCAACCACTTTTCTACTTTTTGCCTCTGGGAATTTGGCTACCGTAGGTAACTCATATAAGTAGAATCATACCATATTTGTCATTTTGTGATTGATTTATTTCATTTAGCAGAATACCCTTAAAGTTCATCGTTGTAGCATGTGTCAGAATTTCCTTTTTTTTTTTTTTTTTTTTTTGAGATGGAGTCTCGCTCTGTCGCCCAGGCTGGAGTGTAGTGGTGCGATCTCAGCTCACTGCAAGCTCCGCTTCCCGGGTTCAGGCCATTCTCCTGCCTCAGCCTCCCCAGTAGCTGGGACTACAGGCGCCTGCAACCACGCCTGGCTAATTTTTTGTATTTTTAGTAGAGACAGGGTTTCACCGTGTTAGCCAGGACCATCTCAATCTCCTGACCTTGTGATCCACCCGCCTCAGCCTCCCAAAGTGCTGGGATTACTGGCGTGAGCCACCGCGCCTGGCCAATTTCCTTCCTTTTTTAAATTTTTTTTTTTTTTTTTTTTTTGAGATGGAGTCTCACTCTGTCGCCCAGGTCGGAGTGTAGTGGCGCAATCTCAGCTCACTGCAACCTCAGCCTCCGGAGATCAAGCAATTCTCCTGCCTCAGCCTCCCAAGTAGCTGGGATTACAGGTGCGTGCCACCACACCCAGCTAATTTTCATATTTTTAGTAGAGATGGGGTTTCACGATGTTGGCCAAACTGGCCTTAAACTCCTGACCTCAGGTGATCTGCCCACCTTGGCATCCCAAAGTGCTGGGATTACAGGCGTGAGCCTGTTCCCAGCTGAACTTGGAAATCCCGAGTGGGCACCAATGACTTACTGATTACTCAGTAACCGTGCAGTCCTTTTTTACCTTCATTTTCAGGGGGTCCTTCGTGCTTCCTTTGTAGTGATCCTCACACAGGGCACCAGCTGCAGGGGTCCATCCTGCAGACCCTGACCCAACAACAGATGAATAAATACCCTGATACAGATATTATTCTGAGAGTTCAGGCGATTTACAGACTCCCAAGAGAGTGTTGTAAAGACTTGCAACCATGGCCCCCACTCGCTGGCCCTCTGTCACTTATATGGCACACATTAAATGACAAAATTCTCAAGTAAACACCACTAGAAGGTAATTACCATGTAGAGAGCAATCATGCACCTGCAGATGGTCAAAGGTTAGTCTTAGGACCACATGAGTCAACAAGCTATTTAGACAGACTCCTCTACATTCCTATGTTAATTACCCTTGCTATAGCTCAAGGAGGATTAGGCTGCTGTCAGCCATAACTCTATCCTGAGGCTTTTGCAAAAACCTTCCAGCTTTCCAAGAAGGTTTGTGTTTATTTTACAATTTTTCCCACCATCCTAACTGAACCCCTACACCCTATCCCACTCGGTGTGCTCTTGTGATCATGACTGGTGCAAGCTACACCCTTCTGCAGAAGTAAATTTGCCTTGCTGAGAAAATTTCTGTTCGAGTGCTATTTCTTTTGCGGCACCAAAAGTTGTTTCTAATGTGAGTGCTGTTAAGTGTAAGCAGAAATTAACACCAGCTGGTTGTTAATCTTTAGCCAAGACAAACCCCAATTCAGTTACTTACCTAGGAATGGGTCTCAGGCTGAAGTGTAAGCAAATTAACACCAGCTGGTTGTTAATCTTTAGCCACGACAAACCCCAATTCAGTTACTTACCTAGGGATGGGTCTCAGGCTAAATAAAGACTGCTGTCTACTATCCTAGAAGCAGGGGAAAAAAAACTCATCTTTCCTGCTGGAATTGAACTGGTTCGCTTCCATCATCATGGAAGCAGGAAAAACTTGCCTTCCTTGTGTTGGAAGCAAGTAAAACTCAAAAAAAAAAAAAAAAAAAAGGAGTTGTTAGATCTCGACCAAATTTTGGGAGATCAGGGATTCTCTGGGGGGGGTGCTCTCAGACCTCAGCAAATTATCCTATTGGTTTGAGCCATAAAGTTAGCTCATGCTAACTTTGATTTAAAGCTTGTCAAAGGTCAGGGGTATCTCCACTCAGAAACCCCTTCTGGTTACCAAAATGTAAACCCAGAAAATCTGAGAGTTCTCAGTTAATTTTGAAAGTTTAGGCCAGGCACAGTGGCTCACACCTATAATCCCAGCACTTTGGGAGGCTGAGGTGGGTGGATCACGAGGTCAGGTGTTCAAGACCAGCCTAGCCAAGATGATGAAACCCTGTCTCTACTAAAAATACAAAAATTAGCTGGGCTTCTGTAATGGCAGCTACTCGGGAGGCTGAGGCAGGAGAATTGCTTGAACCTGTGAGGCAGAGGTTGCAGTGAGCCGAGATCATGCCACTGCACTCCAGCCTGGGCAACAGAGCAAAACTCTTGTCTCAAAAAAAAAAAAAAAAAAAAAAAAGAAAGAAAGTTAGTTTACTTTGTCAAGGTCGAGGATGTGCACCCAAGACACAGTCTCAGGAAGTCCTGACAACATGTGCCCAAGGTGGTTGTGGCACAGCTTGGTTTTATACATTTTAGGGAGACATGAGACATCAATCAATACATGTAAGAAGTACATTAGTTCAGTCTGGAAAGGCTGGACAACTCGAAGTGAAGGTGAGAAGACCTGAAGCAGGAGGGGGCTTCCAGGTCACAGATAAGTGAGAGACAAACAATTGCATTCTTCTGAGTTTCTGATTAGCCTTTCCAAAGGAGGCAATCAGATACTATACGCATCTATCTCAATGAGCAGAGGGACAACTGAATAGAATGGGAGGCAGGTTTGCTCTAAGCCGTTCCCAGCTGCTTTTTCCCTTTAGCTTAGTGATTTTGGAGGCCCAAGATATTTCCCTTTCACAATGCCAAAATAAAGTTTGCTGAAGAAGAAAAGGGGAAAGTAGGAAGTAGAGAAGGAAGAGGAGGAGAAGAAAGAGGGACAGGGAGGACAAAGAAGAAAGTAGCTGTTGGCAGCCATCTTGAAACCACCCTGGAAAAGACTGTCTCAGGATACAGTGAAACCAGAAGAGCTAAGAGGTGGACCCACGTGACTTTGAGCACTACTTTATGCTTTAAATCTCCTAAACTTTCCAGCTTATATGAGTCACATTATCCTTTCTTACAAGACTTGGTTGTGAAATACATATTTTACCAGATTCCAGCTGGAAGCAACTACATTTCTTTTGCTTTCTTTCATTTTTTTTTTGTTGTTGTTTGTTGTTACTCCTAAATGAATACTGAAACTACCCAAGAGAGGTCTAAGAAGCTACACACTTGGTGACAAAATATAAAGCATTAAAGGAAGGAAGAGGAGGGCAGAAATTAGAGAAACACAATCACCAAGAGTTACTTGGGCAATTTAACAACAACAATAACAACAAAAACAACCTGATTAAAAAATGGGCAAAGCCCATTAGAGCCCGTCTAATTTTGTATTTTTAGTACAGATGGCGTTTCTCCATGTTGGTCAGGCTGGTCTCGAACCCCCGACCTAGATATCTGCCTGCCTCGGCCTCCCAAAGTGCTGGCATTATAGGCATGAGCCACTGCACCCAGCGTATTTTAAGTATTTTTATCTTCCACTTTTTAATTTATCTGGGTCCAACGAATTCCAAATTTAACAAAGCAGACTAAGAGAAACAATTCATTTAAAAAAATAATATTTGGCCAGGCACAGTGGCTCATGCCTGTAATCCCAGCACTTTTGGAGGCCAAGGCGGGTGGATCAGGAGGTCAGAAGTTCAAGACCAGCCTGGCCAAGATCGTGATACCCTGTCTCTACCGAAAATACAAAAATCAGCCAGGCATGGTGGCTGGTGCCTGTAATTCCAGCTGCTCAGGACCAGGGAGGCAGAGGTTGCGGTGAGCCAAGATCGTGCCACTGCACTCCAGCCTGGGTGACAGAGCAAGGCTCTGTCTCAAAAAAAAAAAAAAAAAATTCTTAAGGGAGTTACAAACACAAAAATGAAGGAAACAATAGCTGCTATCACAAAACCAGATTTAAGTCCATAGCCCACAGATCCTACACAGCAATTACACAATGGAGAACACAGAGCAACCAGCTAACAATATCGCAACAGGATCAAAATCTCATACAGCAGTGTTAATCTCAAATTAAATGGTCTAAATGCTCCACTCAGAAGTCAGGGTGGTAAGTTGAATACAAAAACGAAAACCAACCACTGCTTGTCTTCAAAACCCATCTCACATGTAATACCATGCAAAGGCTCAGTGTAAAGGAATGAGGAAGGATCCATCATGCAAATAAAATGGAAAAGAAGAGTAAAGGTTGCCATTCTTCTTTCTTTCTTTCTTTTTTCTGAGATGCAGTCTTGCTCTGTCGCCCAGGCTGGAGTGTAGTGGCATGATCTCGGCTCACTGTAAGCTCTGCCTCCGGGTTCAAGTGATTCTCCTGCCTCAGCCTCCCAAGTAGCTAATTTTTGTATTTTTAGTAGAGACGGGGTTTCACTGTGTTATCCAGGATGGTCTCAATCTCCTGACCTCATGATCTGCCCACCTCGGCCTCCCAAAGTGCTGGGATTACAGGCGTGAGCCACTGAGCCCAGCCGCTATTCTTATATCAGATAAAACAGACTTTAAATCAACAACAGTAAAAAAAGACAAAGACGAGCATTACATAATGATAAAAGGCTCAATTCATAATGATAAAAGGCTCAATTCAACAGGAAGACTTCATTATCTTAAATATATACACACTCAACATTGGAGCACTCAGATTCATAAAATAGTACTTCTATTTTATGTCTATGAAAAAGTCTAGACAGCCACATAATAATAGGGGACTTCAACACCTCACTGACAGCATTAGACAAACCACTGAGACAAAACCTACAAAGAAATTCTGGACTTAAATTTGACTCTTGATCAATTAGGCCTAACAGACATCTATAGAATACTCTATCCCAAAATCACAGAACATACTTTCTTCTCATGTGCACATGGAACATACTCTAAGGTCAACCACATGCTTGGCCATAAGCAAGTCTCCATAAATTTAAAAATAAAATAAAATCATATCAAGCACACTCTTGGATTACACTGCAATAAAAACATATCAATACTGAGATATCTCAAAACTACAGAATTACATGGAAGTTAAAAAACATGCTCCTGAATGACTTTTGGGTAAACAATGAAATTAAATCAGAAACAAAAAATCTTCAAAATAAATAAAAACAGAGACACAACATATCAAAACCTCTGGGATATTGCAAAAGCAGTGTTAAGAGGAAAGTTTACAGTGCTAAGTGCACGTGCCAATAAGTTAGAACGATCTGAAATTAACAATCTGACATTACACTTGGAGGAACCAAAAAACAAGAAAATAACCCCAAAGCTAGCAGAGGAAAAGAATTAACTAAAATGAGAGCAGAACTGAATGACATTGAAACCCCAAAACCCACATAAAGGATAAACAAAAATTGATTCCTTGAAAGAATAAAAAAGATTGATAGACTTCTAATTGGATTAACCAAAAGTGAGAATATTTAAATAAGCACCATCAGATATGACACAGATGACATTACAACCGATCCAACAGAAATAAAATAGATCCTCAGAGACTATTATGAACACCTCCATACACACAAATTAGAATTTCTACAGGAAAACAGATAAATTCCTGGAAACACAAAAATTTTCAAGACTGAACCAGGAAGAAACTGAAATCGTGAACAGACCAGTAACAAGTTCTGAAATTGAAGCAATAATAAAAAACCTACTAACCGAAATAAGGCCTGGACCAGATGGATTCACAGCTGAATCAGAACCAAAGCTGTTCTCAATCCTACAGAAACTCTTCCAAAATATTGACGAGGAGGGACCCCTCCCTAATTCAGGAGTTTGAGACCACCTGGACAACATGGCAAAACCCTGTCTCTACAAAAAATACAAAAATTAGCTAGGCGTGCTGGCATACACATGTTGTCCCAGCTACTTGGGGGGCTGAGGCAGGAGGATCACTTGAGCCCAAGAGGTTGAGGCTGCAGTGAGTTGTGTTTGCACCACTGCAGTCTAGCCTGAGAAACAAAGACCCTGTCTCAAAAAACAAAACAAAACACAAAGCTAAAATTGACAAATGGAACTTAATTAAAGAGCTTCTGTACATCAAAAGAAACTATCAACAGAATAAAAAGACAACCTACAGAATGGGAGATTTTTGCAAACTATGCATCTGACAAAGGACTAATATCCAGCATCTATAAGGAACAAACAAATTTACAAGAAAAAAACAAACAACCCCGTAAAACAGTGGGCCAAGGACATGAACAGATATTCCTCAAAAGAAGACATACATGCATCCAGTAAGCACATTTTTAAAAAAGATTCCTATCATTAATCATTAGAGAAATGCAAATCAAAACCACGAGAGACTAACCCACACCAGTTGGAATGGCAATTAGTCAAAAATATTTAATAACAGATGCTGGTGAGGTTGTACAGGAAAGGGAACACTTATACACTGCTGGTGGGAATGTAAATTAGTTCAGCCATTGTGAAAAGACGTTTGGTGATTTCCCAAACAACTTAAAACTGAACTACCATTCTACCCAGAAATCCCAATATTGGGTATATACCCAAAGGAATATATATCATTCTACCAAAAAGACACATGCACTTGTATGTTTATCGCCACACTATTCACAATAGCAAAGACATGGAGTCAACCAGGAGCCCATCAAAGGTGGATTGGATAAAGGAAACATGGTACATTCACACCATGTTACACTATATAGCCATAAAAAGAACAAAATCATGTACTTCGCAGCAACATGGATTTAGCTGGAAGCCATTATCCTAAGCAAACTAATGCAGGAACAGAAAACCAAATACTACATGTTCTCACTTAGAACTGGGAACCAACCACTGGGTACACATGGACACAAAGATGAGAACAGCAGACACTGAAGACTACAAGAAGGGGAAGGATGGGAGGCGAACCAGTGTCAAAAATGACCTATTGAGTAGTAAATACTCACTGCCTGGGTGACAGGGTCAATCATACCCCAAACCTCAGCATTATGCAATACACCTTTGTAAAAACATCTGCACATGTACCCCCTGAATCTAAAATAAAAGAAAGAAAAAGAATAAACAAAATGCTTTTTAAAACTTGCCAAAGAAGCCGGGCGCAGTGGCTCACTCCTGTAATCCCAGCACTTTGGGAGACGGGGCGGGCGGATCACGAGGTCAGGACATTGAGGCCATCCTGTCTCTAATAAAAATACAAAAAAGTTAGCCAGGAGTGGTGGCGGGCGCCTGTAGTCCCAACTACTCGGGAGGCTGAGGCAGGAGAATGGCGTGAACCCGGGGGTGGAGCTTGCAGTCAGTGAGCAGAGATCGCGCCACTGCACTCCAGCCCGGGTGACAGAGCGAGACTCCCTCTCAACAACAACAACAACAACAACAACAACAAATTACCAGGTACAGTGACTAAAACATGGATTGTTATAAAAACAGATACACAGACCAATGGAACAGAATAGAGAACCCAGAAATAAATCTACATATTTACAGGCACATGATTTTTGACAAAGGTGTCAAAGGTGTCAACAACATAACATTGGGAAAGAACACTCTCTTCAACAAATTGGGCTGGGGAAACTGGATATCAGTAGGATGAAGAATGAAAGCAGATCCTTATCTTTCACCATAAAATCAACTCAAAATCCATTAAAGACTTAAAAATAAGACCCCAAATTATGAAACTACTAGAAGAAAATATATAGAGAAAATACTTCAAGACATTGGTCTAGGCAATGATTTTATGGCTAAGACATCAAAAAAAAAACAGGTAAAAAATAAAAACAAAGATCAAAAATAGATAAATGAGACTATATTAAAAGTTTCATTACAGCAAGGAAAACCACCAATGGAGTGAAGAAAATCCATAGAATGAGAGAAAATACTTGAAAGCTGTTCACCTGACAAAGGTCTAAATCCAGAATATATGGGAAAGCAAACACCTTAACAGTGAAAAAGTTAGTAGTCCAACTAATAAGTGGGTAAAGGCTCTGAGTAGATTATTTTTCAAAGGAAGACACACAAATGGCCAATATATGAAACAGTACTCAATATCATCTCACCACAGTTAGAATGGCTACTATCAGGAAGACAAAAAGTAAAAAATGCTAGTGAGGTTGGGGAGAAAAAGGGAACTCTTATGCACTGGTGTAGGAAATAGCAAATTACTATAACCGTTATGAAAAACAGTGTGGAGGCTTCTGTAAAAACTAAAAATAGAACTGTGGTGTGATCCAGCAATCCTACTATTGAGTATTTATCCAAAAGAAAGAAAATCAATGTATCAAAGGACACCAGCACCCCCATGTTTATTGCAGCACTATTCACAATAACTAAGATGTGGAATTAACCTTAATGTTTATCAACAGATGATTGTGGTTGATGAATAAAGAAAATAGGGCATACATACACAATGGAATACTGTTTAGCCAAAAAATAAATTAATGTCATTTGCAACAACATGAATGAGCCTGGAGGACATTATGTTAAGTGAAATAAGGCACAAAACCATAAGTACTGCATGTTCTCACTTATGGGAACTAAAGTAAAAAATTTGAGGTCATGGAAGTAGAGAGTAGAACTGTGGGTATTACAGGGTGGGAAAGGTAGGGGGAGTGGAGGATGGGGAGAGGTTGGTTAATGGATACAAAATTATAGCTACATAGGAGGAATTAACTCTAGTGTTCCGTGGCACTGTAGGGTCACTATGATTATGATTTATAGTGTATTTTTAAAAAGGTAGAGGAGAGGATTTTCAATGTTCAAAGCACAAAGAAATAGTAAATGTTTAAGGTGATGGCTTTGCTAATAGCCTGATTTGACCATTATACAGTGGCTACACTTATCAAAATATCACTGTGAATCCCATAAATATGTACAATTATACATGTCCACAAAAATAAAAAGGAAATTGGGTATGATGTAATACACCTGTAGTCCCAGCTATTCACGAGGCTGAGGCAGGAGGACCCCTTGAGCCCAGGAGTACAAGGCCAGCATGGGCAATGTAGTGAGTGAGACACTATCAATCAATCAAAAATAAACAAACAAACAAACAAACAATTCATCCTATAAATAGACTATGGGCCACACTTAGTGACTTGCTTCTAATGAATAGAATGTGGTACAAGTGATACCGTGTGGCCTCCAACATTAGGTTAGAAGAGGCTCTCTACCTCAGACTGCTTGCCCTTAGAACCGAGCCCCCATGTTGTGAGGAAGCTCAGGTCACAAAGACACACAGGAGTTCCAGTGCAAGTATTTGGGCTGCCTGCCCCAACTAAAGTTCCAATCAACAGCCACTGTCAACAACCAGACATATCAGTGACCAGACCTTCAGATGATTCCAGTCCCCCAACATTTGATTGACTGCAAGTGAAGCTGAGGGGAGCAGAGAAGGTTGTCCTGGACAAGGATTTTCCAAACCACAGATTGGTGAACTAAATACATGTTGCTGTTAAGCCACTCACCTTTGGGTAGCTTGTTAGGGAAAAATAAACAGGAAAACAGACTTAAACAAAAAACAGTAAGAAATATAATAGCTTACACAGTAGTAACTAGTCTCCTTTAAAATAGGATCTACTAAATGTTGAGGTTAATTTATTAATGACAAACAATGCTAATGAGAAGCAGCAGACAACCAGGAGACAGACGTATGAACTATTGAGGAGGACGTTTAGAAGAAGTTCCCTTCAGTTACAAATTCTCATAACTAAGCAAATGAGGCTCTTTAGCATTTGCCCCTCAAGTTATGGGATAAGGAAGATGAGGAAGGAAGGATGTATAATCTGAAGTATGAAAGTTGACAAAAAACAGAAGTATTTGATATAATAACACAAATCAGACATTTTACCTGATTTCAGTGAACTGAAATTCTAAAAGTGATAAGCAGCTGAGTAATTATTAATCAATCTAGTATTTGATCTTCATTTTCATTTCCTCAATGAGAAAATAAAGAGAATACTAGGAAATCAGTTTTAATCTTCTCTGTAGCAAAACAAATGTAGTGTCCTTTACATGTTAAAAAATTAAATACAATTTCCCTTCAAGCTGAGAAGGTAAGACCATCTCATCTTTACATTGTACCAAAATGCTGCTCCATATCGTACAAATTGGCTCTGAAATTTTGAGATTCATAAAACTAATTTGACTATTTGTCTCTGATAAATACCTGGACATCACCTAATTTTTAGGTGCTGCATTCCTGAAAATTTTTATTTGAATGGGTTGAACTACTAATTTGATTATGTACTGAGCTATAAAGCATAGCTAGGCACCTCTGTTAAGTAAAAGCAGTTAAATACAGAAAACTGTAATTTCTGAGAATGTAGGATCTGTGCCAAGAAAAGGATCAGCTCCAGTGTTATCCAAAGAACCAGGCACCAGGTCAACAGAGGATCTATTTGTGAGCTGTAAGATGATGAATTAGCTCAATTTCCAAAGAGGAAAGCAACAGCCCAGACTTAATCTTCTCCTTCCTACATGGCAAAAATCTACACAATTCTATGACTTATTATGAGTTAGTAAATATAATGCAGTAAATACAGACTGAGTCAGCAGATCCTCTAACCAAGATTTGATGAAAATGGGAGTGAAGAGGTAGGGCCTGAGTGAGAGAAAAACGGTTTGAATGGAGAAAAAGAAATGAATACGCTCTTGTCTTTGTAAGCCTGACTTCCCATTGTGTCACAGGAGTCAGCAAGGTATTAATATAAGCTAGCCACATGTTCCTTCAGGAAGCAAACAGTGAAATTAAAGGCATCCTAGTACTTGAATTTCTATTCTTACTTAGGACAATTGGGAATAATAAGCAACATGACTGAAAAATAATTATCCTAAAATTAGATTCGGTACTGGCATGATGATAGACATAGATCAACATATTAGAATTGAGAATCCCAAAATAAACCCACATATTTATGGTCAATTGATTTTCAACAAGGGTAAAAAAACAACAAATGAGACTATTAATTTGTTAAAAAGAATAGCCTTTTCAACAAATGGTAATGGGGCAACTGGATATCCACATGCAAAAGAATAAAGATGGACTCCTAACATATGCCACATCTAAAATTAACTCAAAATAGGACTGCTAAATATAAGAGCTAAAACTATAAAATTCTTTATTAAAATTTGAAATGTCTGCACTTGAACAGACATCATCAAGAAAGTAAAAATAAAAGCCATTGAGTGAAATAAAATATTTGAAAATCATATCTGTTAAGGGTCTTACACCTAAGATCTACAAAAAACTTAAAATTCAGAAAAAAAAGGGAAGGTGATTTTTAAATGGGCATAGCATTTAAATAGACATTTTCCCAAAGATACACAAGTGGCTCATAAGCACATAAAAAGATGCTTAACATCATTACTCATTAGGGAAACGCAAATCAAAACAAAAATGAGGTATCACTTTGCGGGGCGCGGTGGCTCACACCTGCAATCCCAGCACTTTGGGAGGCCAAGGCGGGTGGATCACGAGGCCAGGAGATCAAGACCACCCTGGCTAACACGGTGAAACCCCATCTCTATAAAGATACAAAAAATTAGTCGGGCATGGTGGTGGGTGCCTGTAATCCCAGCTACCTGGGAGGCTGAGGCAGGAGAATGACTTGAACCCGGTGCAAGGGAGGTTGCATGAGCCGAGATTGTGCCACTGCACTCCAGCCTGGGCGACAGAGCAAGACTCCATCTCAAAAAAAAAAATAAAATCAGGTATCACTTCACACCACTAGGATGGAATCTTCAATCAAAAATGTGAAAAATGTTGGGAAGATACAGAGAAATTAGAATCCCCATACAATTCTGACGGAAATGTAAAATGGTGCAGCCACTTTGGAAAACAGACTGACAGCTCCTCAAATTCCACTTGTAAGTATACACCAGCAATTCCACTTCTAAGTATACACCCATGAGAAATGAAAACATATGCAAACACAAAAACTTGTACATAAAACTTCATAGCAGTATGATTAATAGCCAAAACATGGTAACAACCCAAAGGTCCATAACTGATGAATGGGTAAATAAAATGACTGGTATATCCACAGAGTGGAATGTTACTCAGCAATTAGAGGAAGTTGAGTACTGATACATGTTACAATGCGGATGAGCCTTAAAAATGTTATGCTAAGTGAAAGAAGCCAATCACGAAAGACCACCAAACGTTTTGTGATTCAATTGATACGAAATGTCCAGAATGGGCAACTCTATAGAAACAAAGTAGACTGGTGGTTCCCTAGAGCTGAGGAAGGGCAAACTGGTGGATGATGGCTAAATGATGCAGGGTTTCTTTTCAGGGTCGTGAAGATGTTCTCAAATTGATGTTGCTGATGACTACACAACTCCATGAATATACTAAGAGACTTGTACATTTTCAATGGGTGAACTGTATGTTATGCAAATTATATATCAACACAGTTGCTTTAAAAAATCCAGTGGCAGGATCTAGATACATTTCTTAATTCTCTACTTTGGATGTATATACTCTACACGATCTGAGTATTTCCATGCTTTTACAATATACTTAAAATGAAATGAAAATGAAGGAAATGCCTAACATTTCAAGTACTTTGTAAATTAATCTAAAACATTTGCATTTTGGAGAAGAGTTTAATGGCCTTTCCATACAAGTTATCCTGAAATTCATGCAATAAACAGACACACATTCTATACCCATTCATGAAAGTAAAGACAAGAAATAAGACACTTCTTTGGAACACTATATTAAACATTATCCTCTGATTTAATCTGGCTTGCCTTACCATGACAGTAGAGAACTAGCTAAGAAATAATGGTTTGCAGAAAAAACTCTCTCAACTGCTGTGAGGAATGAGGTATAATTCCCAACTTTCATAAGGGTAAATATTATTTTTAAAATGTATATACTTATGAGAAAAACATGACAGAATGAAAGTCAGAGGTTAAGAAATAACTGCATGATAAAGATAATAAAATTAATTATAATAAAAATAAAAAACTATCCAATGCAATTAGTATCCTAAAACATTAGATATTATTCCACTACCTATAGATTAACCATTGACATGTTATGTTTCATATGTACTTGACTTCCAATTTTACCTAATTCCTTCTTTGAATCTTGGGTCTCTTCTAAATTAATAAGACAATGTGGTGTAGCCTCTAGGTAAGGCTCTGACATAGGTTGTATTTTTAGGGTATCAGCCAGTTCTTCTTGAAGTTGTCTCATAACTACCTGTTCAGATATTTTTGTTACTGATTTTACATGTTACCTTATCAGTAAATCATGGTAATAAGACTTAACATGTACTTTGAAAAATAGCACCACATACATGAATTTACGTTCTTTTCCTATGTGTATACATGCTTATTACTGAATTCAGTTAAGGACACAGAAGGTATTATTTTCCTGCCAAGTCAGTATTCTGCTTAGATTCAGTTTACTATTCACTCACCCGATACATTTGCAATGCTTAACTTCCTACTTAAGTCACAAAAACAAATCCGTATGTGGGTGGGACTGGTGGTAGAAAATGCAACATTGTAAAATGTTTTTCCTCTTTTTTATTAGAAGCTCAAAGAAACCCCACCACTCCTGACATCCTCAATTGCCTGCTCAGATCCTTCCAATAGATTTCTATCTCAGAATACAAGTAAAATTTCAATTGCCTTCCAGGCCCTGGGTAACCACCGGCCTTCACCTCCCTCCCTGACCTCAGCTCCTACAAATCTCTTCTCTACTCACTGCTTTCTCACTGTATGTGAATCCTGCCACCTCCCACTAGATTGAAAATGGGAACCTAATGTCAAACAAAGCAATCGCAGATAGCCACAATTATCTTTGTGTGAAACAAAGTCATATCCAAATGATAGCCATTGAGCCTTGAAATAAAAATTATGGGCAAATTATTTTTAAGAACATTCAAAGTATAAATACCAGTGGTAAGATTAATCAAATATGGTTTTGCTGGAAATTCACATCTGTCCCAAATTATGATTTAATAAAAAGTAAATGCTTTTAAATAATTGAGATGTCATAACAATACTGTGATATTGAAATAGTCTCAGATTAAAGTCAAATTGATACAAATAAAAATAAAATTACACAAACGTAAATACATAAAAAGCCCCTGAAGGAAAAGTATTATGAGATACAACAGTATACTTCAGTTCACCTGGGAAATCTTGAATTAACAGTCAAAGTAACCCACCTAATCGAATCTTAATTTCAAAAGATTTATTTCAGATATAAGGCATTTCTGTTTATCTGCTTCATCATGGTCTTAAAATGTGGCCACATACAAATATTAAAATTATTTTAGCAGTATGTCTACATCATAAATATTAGTCTATATCTACTAACAACTTGTAACTTAACCTCTTAAAATTTCAAAGGTGATATAATTTCTTTACTCAAAGTAAAGTGTACTTCAGCTCTTTCTTTTGCTGGTATGTTTCTAGGCTAACACAGCAAATACACTTTTATTCTAAGTATATTTGTACATACTTTTTTATTTTTTTGAGACGGAGTTTAGCTTTTGTTGCCCAAGTTGGAGTGTAATGGCGCGATCTCGGCTCAATGCAACCTCCGCCTCCCGGGTTCAAGCGATTCTCCTGCCTCAGCCTCCTGAGTAGCTGGGATTACAGGTGCCCGCCACTACGCCCAGCTGATTTTGTATTTTTAGTTGAGATGGGGTTTCTCCATGTTGGTCAGGCTGGTCTCGAACTCCCGACCTCAGGTGATCCGCCCGCCTTGGCCTCCCAAAGTGCTGGGATTACAGGCATGAGCCACCGCGCCCAGCCTATTCTACATACTTTTATATTCAACTATATATAACATTTAGCATAACCAAATATTACTTTTTCTTTCAGTTTGAAAAATATCTTTCTTGGTACTTACTTTTTTTTCTTTCTCTTTTTCACATTGATATATTCTTTCTTTCAAATTATTACATACATTGATTAAGTCCTTGTTTTTCTCTTCTAGCAGAAGACTGTGCATTTCACTCCCAGCTAGATTTTTTTACAACAGCATGGATTTGATCTTGGATAGTACTGATTGTCTTTTCTTGATTGTCAGCTTTCTTGTGGGCATCATCCAGTTGCTGTCGAAGCAACCTATTTTCACTTTGTAGTTGAGCACATCTGTCCTCTATAGATTCCTGCTTCTTCCGCGTATTTATTTACTTTACTTTGTTCATTTTTATACATTCGTTCAATTTCTTTCTTTTGACACTGTGTTTGGCCTAGGTCTCTTTGGAAACATTCTAAAACTGATGTCTTTTCTCTGAGTGTTTCTCTTGCTGATGAAACTTAATTTTTAGGCTGTTAATTTTACTGTCAGCATTAGAGAGTTTTTCAGAAAGAATCTAACTGTTATCTTTTAGGTTAGACATATCAGAATTCATTTTCTCCTGTAAATGAACCCATTCATGTCCTGTTCTCTGGAAAGCAAGCTCTAGGTTTTCTTATGCTGTCTGACTTTGATCACAATCATGTACGGCAGCAGCCAGCCTGCATCGATATGGCTGAATTTCCATTTCCAGTCTTTCCATGTTGTGTTTTACATTCTCAAGTTGAGAACTGAGAGTTTTATTCTCAGCTGTCAAAATGCTAAGCTGTCCACTGTACTGAAATACTATTTTTGTTGATGTTTCCTCATTCAGTTTTATCATATTTTGAAGGTTGTCATTCTTTTATTTCACACTTTCAACATCCTTCAAATATTTCTTTTCTTTCAGCTGGTTCTGATGTTTTATTGTGTCTAGTTCCAGTCTTAGCATGGCAATTTCTTCCTGCAACATACTATTTTTATGCAACAGGTCTTTTTCTTTCTTATGGCTTTGAGAAATCTAAGTAAACAAAGGAAACTTAGCACTCAATAGAATGACATATCATGGTTTCTTCTGAAATTAAAGAATAACCTGTATATTTGTACAATGAAAGGATTCCCGTAAGTGGATATTTAACTGGAAAAAATGTTAAATCAAAATTTCAAACCTCAGAGTGTAAATTCCCAAAAGTTAAAAAAATCTATTTGAAGACAATGAATCAATAAAAGTAAAAAATAAACCACTAGAGGATTTTTAAGACTCTCAGAATTGACAAAGCCTTTCTCTGAATTTCAAAAAACCCAGCGGCATAAAATATGAGATTGATACATTTGACTAAATTTTTAAAATTTAAAAATTTTAAAATCTGATATCTAACCTATACACCACCCTATTGTAAGACTCTTAGTTCTGCATTTATTTGGACTGAAGAAATTCCTCAAAGTTCTCTAAGTTCCTTTTTCCTGATAATGTTCTATAAATATTCTACTTTTCTAACAATTTTATTGTAAGTTATAAAGATTACACTTATTCATAAATGTTAAATCTAAGCATTGTACATTTCTACATTTTACACTTCTACATCTAAGCATTGCACTTTTACATACATTACTGAACTCATTTAAGGTCTCAATTCTGAAGAGGAGAGATTGAAATATATGCAAGATGCAGGATTTTCCCTAGGTCTTCTGATTCTACTTCTAGTCCTCCTCCATCAAATTGCAGTTACTTCTGTGGTGTAAATATATAAATACAAAAGAAGCCTCTTATTTAAAAATACCAATGGTAAAATTTATAGAGATCTTCTTAAAAAATCATGAGATTTGCTATTGTAATAACTTTTATTTCCTCTTTATAATGTTTGAAACAGTAATAAGTGTGAAATAGGGGGAAATACACTGAACTATTTTTCTAGAAACAAAACACTTACCAATAAATTATCACTAAATGTATATTATTCTACATCATTGTTTTCAAAGCCCTTTGCATTGAAATTAGATACTACTTGGAGAAAACTTTTAAGTTCTTCAAAAGTAAGAAGAATGACATCCACAATATGGCCTCTAAACTGGCTATACATTTCCTCCTTATCTATCAATGAAAATAATAAACTGACTTCTCCACTAATATTTTGAGAAGATAAAACAATGTCCGAAAACTAGAACGTCTGTTGTTAGTACCAAAAATTTTGAGATTATGGAAAGATCATCAATTCTTATAAAAAATATCAAATGCTTCTTCTTTGGATTGAGGCCATTGTGAATGTCACTACTTGACTGCTGCAGACTAATGGAGCTGAATTAAGAATATGACTTTATCCTACACACACACACACACACACACACACGTGTATATTCTATATATAGATACACAAACACATAGGATGTGTGTGTGTGTGTGTGTGTGTGTATATATATATATATATATATATATATATAATTTAAAAATCCTTTATATTTTCCAAGGTACACAGAGTTGGTTTTTCAAATATATACACATACAAAAACATATTTGAAAATGACTAAAGAAAATACCTCAGAATTCATTTTCTTTTGAGCCCCTTCAACCTCCTTTTGCTTACTGGTCAGAATCTCATCTTGTAATATTCTGGCATTCTGCTCTTCAGAAAGTTGCTTGTGGGTATCGCTTCGCTTCTGCACAACCTAGACATACATTACATTTTTGGTCTAATAGCATTGAAAAAGAAAATCTAAAGAACAGAACCGTTTTTGTAAAACTGTTAAAAAAAAAAAGTAGCCTATTAAAACACAAGGACTTTTATCCCTCAGGAATTACTCAAACTTTAATTGCATACATGACAGCTAAATTTCTCAAAGAGGAAAAACAGTTCTTACCTACAGAAAAATACAGTATCGTGTAATAAAATTTCTTTCAAAACATTTAACTAGCTTTGTTATAGTCTCAAAGCTATAGAGCCTATATTTTAACATAAAAATACACAAATATTTATGTGATTAAACTCAATTTATCCTCCATTCCTTCATTCAGAAAACATAAGAGATAGTTTGAGCATCTAAGACTGAACATCACAGACAGAGATGCCAAGGTTTACAATAAATAGCTATAAATGTCATACTTCCTTTTTAAGATTAAATAACAGTCTTGGTATGTTTTGAAACTAAATTATATACATTACATCAAAGGATGTAAAAAATACAAAGGATGTAATTATATAAAGTTAGAAATATAAAGTTTTCACCAAAAATTAATTTACCTGATCCAAATTCTTTCCTTATGTCCTCAATTCTGTGACCAGTGATTTCAGAGTCTGTTTGAGTTGTTTCAACTTCTTTCCCGCATTCCTTTTCTTTTCTTTTTAACTGTTCACTATCTTTTTTAGGCAACATATCATCATTTCTTCTCTTTTCTTCTTCTTTTAAGGTCATTCTACAGTAAAACATATTAAAATTTGTTTTGTTAGAAAATAAAAAGTTTATTTTGTTATCTGGCTCTTCCTACGCAGTGTTTATTATTCAAATAAAATTTCTATGTTCTTGACTATTTTTCCTTTCTAGTTCTCATGTTTTTAATTTCTCACTTCAGTCTCTTCCAAGGGATAAATATACTTGAAAGGTAGTGAAGAAAAAACATCCTGCTAATTGGTGAGTTTCTGTTACTAGCAATTCTGATAAATGTTATGGAAAAGAATATTAGAAATTATTTAGTATAGTTACACGTTGAAAATTACTTCTTTTTGGCAGGGCGCCGTGGCTCACGCCTGTAATCCCAGCACTTTGGGAGGCCGAGGTGGGCGGATCACAGGGTCAGGAGATTGGGACCATCCTGGCTAACACAGTGAAACCTCATCTCTACTAAAAATACAAAAAAAAATTAGCTGGGTGTGGTGGAGTGTGCCTGTGATCCCAGCTACTCGGCAGGCTGAGGCAGGAGAATGGCGTGAACCTGGGAGGCGGAGCTTGCAGTGAGCTGAGATCGCACCAATGCACTCCAGCCTGGACGACAGACAGAGCGAGACTCCCTCTCAAAAAAAAAAACAAAGAAAGAGAAAATTACCTCTTTTTCACACAGTCATAAGAACTCAATTAGGACAGATCATTTCAAATTAACTAATTAAAAAGAACATACTACTTATAAACAACTTTGTAAATTCACTAGAAATAAATTTTAATTTTCATGAAATACTGCAGGTATTCCTAAAATAATTTACAGTGCAAGATGGCTCCATCGGGCCGGGCACAGTGGCTCAAGCCTGTAATCCCAGCACTTTGGGAAGCCAAGGTGGGTAGATCACCCAAGGTCAGGAGTTCGAGACCAGCCTGACCAACAAGGTGAAACCCCATCATTACTAAAAATACAAAAATTTGCCAGGCCTGGTGGCAGGCATCTGTAGTCACAGTTACTTGGGAGGCTGAGACAGGTGAATTGCTTGAACCTGGGAGGTGGAGGTTGCAGTGAGCCGAGATCAGGCTGCTGCACTCAGGAAGCCTGGGTGACTGAGTGAGACTCTGTCTCAAAAAAAAAAAAAAAAAAAAGATGGCACCATCGGATGTCAGTCACACAATATATATCTGCAGATTACTATAATCCAATACAAGGCAATGGGGTCTAATATCTGTTAATCCAGCTGTCCCTGGTCTTTTTGGCACCAGGGACTGATTTTGTGGAAGACAATTTTTCCATGAACCTGGGGGAGAGGGGGCTGGTTTAGGGATGATTCAAGCACATCACATTTATTGTGCACTTTATTTATATTATTATTACTTTGTAATATATAATGAAATAATTAATTATATAACTCACATGATGTAGAATCAGTGAAAGTCCTGAGCTTGTTTTCCTTCAACTAGACAGCTCCCTCTGGGGGTGATGGGAGACAGGGACATATCATCAGGCATTAGATTCTCATAAGGAGAGCACAACCTAGATCTCCAATGTGTGCAGCTTACAGTAGGATTTGGTTCACACTCCTATGAGAATCTAATGGTGCTGCTGACCTAAAAGGAGGCAGAGATCAGGTGGTAATGTAAGTGATGGGGGGCGGCTGTAAATACAGATGAAGCTTTGCTTGCTCACTTGCCGCTCACCTCCTGCTGTGTGGTCTGGTTCCTAATAGGCCATGGACTGGTACTGGTCCGTGGCCTGGGGGTTGGGGACCCTTGTGTTAACCAATACTTTTTATGTTTATTTTTTGGTAACACTTTCCACTTATCTTCTTGATTCTTGTGTATTTTATAAACAATTTTAAAATTCCTTTTGGAACAAGATAGGATCTAACATTTAAACAATAAAGAATAACATGTGGTTTTTTTTTTAGTTTTTTTTTTTTTTGAGACTGAGTCTCCCTCTGTCGCCCAGGCTGGAGTGCAGTGGCGCGATCTCAGCTCGCTGCAAGCTCCGCCTCCCGGGTTCACGCCATTCTCCTGCCTCAGCCTCCCGAGTAGCTGGGACCACAGGCGCCTGCCACCATGCCCGGCTAATTTTTTATATTTTTAGTAGAGACAGGGTTTCACCGTGTTAGCCAGGATGGTCTCAATCTCCTGACCTCGTGATCCGCCCACCTTGGCCTCCCAAAGTGCTGGGATTACAGGCGTGAGCCACCGTGCCCGGCCAACATGTGTTTTCAACATAGAACTTTGAATTAATTGTATCTGTATAGGAGAGAGAGATGTGAAATAAACTAATCATTATTCACTTTCCATTTTAGTTTTTATTTCATGTATATTAATAAAACTGGGAAGTCCCGGCTGGGCACGGTGGCTCACGCCTGTAATCCCAGCACTCTGGGAGGCTGAGGAGGGTAGATCGCCAGGTCAGGAGACCGAGACCATCCTGGCTAACACGGTGAAACCCCATCTCTACTAAAAAAAAATACAAAAAATTAGCCAGGCGTGGTGGCACACAGCTGTGTCCCCAGCTGCTAGGGAGGCTGAGGCAGGAGAATCGCTTGAACCCAGAAGGTGGAGGTTGCAGTGAGCCACGATCACGCCACTGCACTCCAGCCTGGGTGACACAGTGAGGCTCCATCTCAAAAATAATAATAATAATAAAATAAAATAAAAAATAAAACTTGGAAATCCTAGGCAGAGCAATTGGGCAAGAGAAATAAAGGACTTCCAAATTGGAAAGGAGAAAGTTAAACTATGTCTGCCAATGACACGATCTTATACCTAGAAAGCCCTAAAAATGCCTATAAAACACTCCTAGATTTGATAAATGAATGCAGTGAAGTCTGAGGTTACAAAATCAATGAATCCAAATCAGTAGCACCCATATACACCAACTATGACCAAGCTGAGAGTCAAATCAAGAACCCAATCCCTTTACAATGGCTACAAAAATGTAAAATACCTAGAAATATACTTAATGAAGGAGGTGAATGATCTATATAAGGATAACTAGAAAACACTGCTGAAGGAAATCACAGATGACACGAAGGGAAATACATCCTATGATCATGGACTGCAAGAATTGATATTGTGAAAATGACCCTAATGCCCAAAGGAGCCTACAGATTCAATGCATTTCCCATCATAATACCGATGTCACTCTTTACAGAATTAGAAAAAAAAAATGCTGAAATTCATGTAAAACCACAAAAGAGCCTGAAGAGCAAAAGACATACTAAGCAAAACAACAACAACAACAACAACAACCACAAAAAGTCTGGAGGCACCAAATTACCTGACTGCAAATTATACTATAAGGCCACAGTAACAAAAACAGCATGGTACTAGTATAGAGTAGATACATACATCAATGGAACAGTATAGACAACCCACAGATAAAGCCATTTACAACCAAATATTCTTTGACAAAGTATATAAAAACACGAACTGGAGAAAGGACACCTTATTCAATAAATGGTGCTGGGAAAATAGGATAGCCACATGCAGAAGAATGAAACTAGATCCCTATCTCTCACCATATATAAAATAAAAATTAATTCAAGATGGACTAAAGGCCTAAATCTGATGCCTGAAAACATTGGCCTAAGCAAAAGATTTACGATGAAGAACCTAAAAGCAAATGTGACAAATAACTTAACTAATTAATAACTAAACTTTTAATTAAACTGAAAAGTTTCTGCACAGCAAAAGAAATAATCATCTGAGTAAACTAACAACCTATAGAATGGGGGGAAATATTTGCAAATCATGAATTAGATAAAGGACTAATATCTAGAATCTACAAGAAACTCAAATAAGCAGGAAAATACAAATAATTCCATTAAAAAGTGGGCAAATGACATGAATAGACATTTCTCAAAAGAAGATGTACAAATGGTCAACAAGCATATAAAAATATGGCCAATATCACTAATCATCAGGGAAATGCAAAATAAAACAACAATGATATATCACCTCACTGCAGCCAGAATGGCCATTATTAAAAATCAGAAGCAATAGATGTTGGTGTGGATGTGGTGAAAAGAGAACACTTATACAGTGGTGGTGAGAATGCAAATTAGTACAACCTCTATGGAAAACAGTATGGAGATTTCTCAAAGAACTAAAAGTAGATCCTACTATTCAATTCAGCATTCCCACTTCTGGGTATCTACTCAAAGGAAAAGAAATCATTATGTCAAAAAAACACCTGCATGCATATGTTTATTGCAGGACAATTCACAATACGCAAAGATGTGGAAGCAACCTGTGTGCATTAGCTGATGAGTGGAATATATATATATATCACAGAATATTACTCAGCCACAAAAAAGAATGAAATAATGTCTTTTGCAGCAACTTGATGGAGCTGGAGGCCATTATTCTAAGTGAAGTAACTCAGGAATGGAACAACAAATACCACATGTTCTCACTTACAAGTGGGAGCTATGCTACCCATATGTGAAAGCTGACACTGTGGTATAATGACATTGGAGGCTCAGAAGGGAGAAAAGCGTAAGGGCATTGAGAGACAAAAACTACCTATTGCGCTACAATGTATACTATTTGGGTGATGGGTACACTAAAATCCCAGACTTCACCACTACACAATTCATCCATGTAACCAAAAACCACTTGTACTCCTAAAGGTATTGAAATAAAAAAAATTAGAGAGAGAGTAAAAAGAAGAATAAAACTGTATAGCGTTTTTAAAAAGTATTCTGGGTTGAGACAAGTGGCCATTTCATGCTCTGTTGGTTGAACTGTAAAATAACACAAACATCCTTGAGGACAATTTAGAAATATTAATCCAAGGCCTTTTATAAAAAAGTTCTTGTATTTTAACCAAAATAGTCTGTATTGAAGACTTGATTCAAAGTAAATAATTAGAAATGTAGAAAGTGACTTAGATAAAAGACGTTCTGGGCTGTGTATCATGGCTCACGCCTGTAATCCCAATGTTTTGGGAGGCCGAAGCAGGAGGATTGTTTGAAGCCATGACTTAGAGATCATCCTGGACAAGATAGTGAGACCTTGTCTCAATGAAAAACTTAAAAAGTTAGTAGGGCATGGGGGCATGTGCCTGTAGTGCCAGCTACTTAGGAGGTTGAGGCAGGATCCCTTGAGCACAAAAGTTCGAAGTTGCAGTGAGCTATGATCACACTACTGCACTCCAGCCTCAGCGACAGAGCAAAACCCTGTGTCTAAAAATAGTAAGAATAAAAGATGTTCCTCACAGCATTAATTCTAATACAAAATAATTTCAAACCCCAAATTCAATTTGTTAAATATTGAGGTTCCCATATGGTAGACTTCCATACAGCCATTAAAATCACGATTTAAAATATACAATTATTAGAAGAATTCAGTTAAAAATTTGTTACCTTATTTCCAAGAATTTCATATTCCACAAGTACAAGACATTTTCTTCCCATTAAGCCCCAGAGAGTCAACAATTGCAAAAATTCTTACATATCTTTAGTATAGACAGTTAAAATATTTATTTAAAACTCAAACGTCATACCTCAAACTGTAGCGTTCTTGTTCTTGTTCCCATTGACCTTTTTCATGCTCTAACTGTAATTGTGTTTCTTTTGCTTCAGATAGCTCCTTTTGTAGTACACCAACCATATTTTCCATTTGTTTAATATTTACTGTAAGTTGTTCACAATGATTATTCTTAAGTTCTAATAAGTGTTCCCATGAAAGAACTGCATCTTGCATTTTCAATAGGCTAACAGAATCCACATGAGGGAGAAAACAAGGTGGAAATAAAATATGAGTAATTTTTGCATATAAAGGACTGTGCATTTTAACATTCACCCAACCATACACCTAACAAATATGGACTAAGTTCCTAACATGTGGTCTGCTGAGCTTTGCAGATACAACAGACAGTACCTCTGCTCTTGCTTAGCTTTCAGTGTAGTGAAGAACAAAGACAATAAAAGTGAAAATTACAAATTCAGATAGATACTGGAAGAAAACAGTTCTATGGTACATACAATCTGATGTATACTGGGCTCAGGGAAGATTTCCTTGATGAAAAGATGGCTACACTGAGAAATAAAGGATGAGAAGGAAGCAGTTAAGTAAAGGGGGTAGAAGAGCATTCTAGCCAGTCTGTGGTAAGTGCTGAAGCTCTCCTGTAATCTGCTTCTGGCCATGATGGAGAAACAGGTACTGATTTACCTTCTTGTCTGAAACAATCAAAACCAAAAAAGACAAAATACATTATACGATGATTTTCAAGACAGTGGAGTTCAGGTACACTTTGGAAGGCCGAGGCAGGCGGATCACCTGAGGTCAGGAGTTCGAGACTACCCTGGCCAACATGGTGAAACCCCATATCTACTAAAAATACAAAAATTAGCTGGGTGTAGTGGCGCAAACCCATAGTCCCAGCTGATCGGGAGGCTGAGGCAGAAGGACCACTTCAACTCAGGAGGTGAAGGTTGTAGTGAGCTGAGATCGTGCCACTGCACTCCAGCCTGGGCAACAGAGCAAGACTCTCCAGAAAAAAAGAAAGTGACTTCAGGTAACAAAGACAATGATCCCTGTAAGACAAAACAAATGAAGTAAGCCTTACAAACAACCCAGCTCCCTGACTTGACAAAGTTTCCATGCCATGACACAGGGAGAAAAAAAACTGAGGTAGAGTCCACCAGATTCTCTGAGTTGGAATGATGAAGCACAAAAAACCAATAGCAGAGTGATGAACGGTACATGTGTGCTAGGAAACTACCTGAGACCAGGGGAAAAAAATCTTTAAAAAATTAGAAACAGTGAAAAATAGTGCCTGTTGCTCACAATGTGTAAGGAAGAGTGTCCATTCCTATGAGCAATACTGGAAAAACTTGGGATTCACAGGGCAATGAATAGAGTTATTAGAAACACCTTGCCTCAGAAGTGGAAAACTAGACCAAACCATAAAGCAAGACCAGAAATATCAAGCTGTGTATAAGTAACTCAACTGTGTCCCAAAATAAATCTCAAGCAGAGACATGGGAGATATTTTTTGAAAGCAAACTGTATGTGTAGAGATTCAAATTAAAATGTCAGAAATGAAAACTATACTGGATGGAAATAAATACAGACTAAACATTACAAAAGAGAAGATTCATAAATTTGAGACATCAGAGAACTACGAGAAAACTTTAAGCAGTAATATACAGGTCCCCAAAGAGAAAGGGAGAGAGACAGACAAAATATAGAGAGCAGATGGCCAGAAATTTTCTAAACTTAATGAAAACTATAATCCCACAAATCCAGGAAGGATCTGGCTGGGAAAGAGGAAATGAAATTATACTATTCTAATTTCCTTATGCCATATATGATATGGTATAATACTGCCTGAAGGTGATAAGATAAAATCATATAGTACAAATTGTAATGAAATCACAAAGATGGCAAAAACAGACTTATAGCTAATAAGCCAAAAGACAGAGATAAAACAATCATAAAATTACATGACTGGCCAGGTGCAGTGGCTCACGCCTGTAATCCCAGCACTTTGGGAGGCCAAGTGGGGGCAGATCACCTGAGGTCAGGCGTTCGAGACCAGCCTGGCCAATGTGGTGAAAACCCATCTCTACTAAAAATACAAAAAATTAGCCAGGTGTGGTGACAGGCGTCTGTAAATACATCTACTTGGGAGGCTGAGGCAGGAGAATCACTTGAACCCAGGAGGCCGAGGTCGCAGTGAACAGAGATCATGCCGTTGCACTGCAGCCTGGGTGGCAGAGTGAAGCTGCATCTCAAAAAAAAAAAAAAATGGCTAATTGAAAAGAAAGCAGAAAAAGAAGAAAAGAAAACAAAGAACAGCTGGGACTAATGGAAATCAAACAGTATGATAACAGATAAACTTAACTATATCAGTAATCACATTATAAATGAAACCAGCCTAATAACCTAAATTAAAAGGCAGATTGTCAAACTGTATAAAAAAGCAAGATCCTACTCCCTGCTACCTCTAAGAAATACTTTAAATGTAGGCCAGGTGCAGTGGCTCACGCCTGTAATCCCAGCACTTTGGGAGGCCGAGGCGGACGGATCACGAGGTCAGGAGATTGAGATCATCCTGACTAACATGGTGAAACCCCGTCTCTACTGAAAATACAAAAAATTAGCTGGGCGTGGTGGCAGGTGCCTGTAGTCCCAGCTACTCGGGAGGCTGAGGCAGGAGAATGGCGTGAACCCAGGAGGCAGAGCTTCCAATGAGCCAAGATCCCGCCACTGCACTCAAGCCTGGGTGACAGAGCGAGACTCCATCTCAAAAAAAAAAAAAAACTTTAAATGTAAAGATGCAAATTAGTTAAAAGGATGGAAAAATATATACCATGCTAACAGTTAACAAATAAAGCCTAGCAGAAATGGTTATATTAATACCAAAGTAGATTTCAGAGCAAAAAATATTACTAGCTATCAACAAAATTATTTCATAATGATAAATGGTTCAATTAATCAAGAGCACATAATCCTAAATGTTTATGTACCTAGTAACATAACAGCTTCAAAATACATGAGGCAAAAACTGATAGAAGAAATTGACAAATTCACAGGTATAGTCTGAGATTTCAATATCGCTTACTCAATATGACAGAACAAGGAGGCAGAAAATCAGTAAGACTAGAGTAGACTTGAAGAGCACTATGCTTCTCAAGGACCCATGGAACACTTAGCAAAACAGATCATATTCTAGGCCATACAGTAAATCTTCATAAAAGAATTAAGTCAAAAGGATTTAAGTCATACAAACTATGGTCCCTGACCACAGAGCAATCAAATTAGAAATCAGTAACAAAATATCTCATCAAAATACTAAAAAATTTGGAAACAAAGTAACACATATCTAAATAACGCTAGGCCAAAGAGGTGATGCAAAGAAATATTAGAAACTATTTTGAACTGAAATAAAATAAAACTACAACATGTCAGAATTTATGGAATGTAGCTACAACAGTAGTTAAATAAAAAGTTTCAGTACTGAATGTCTATACTGGAAGACTCTCAAATCAATGACCTTGACTTCTATCTTAAGAAAGTAAAAAAGAAGAAACTAAGGAGAAAAGAGCAAATTAAACCCAAAGGAACCAGAGGAAATGATATAATAGACGTCTGCTATGGTCTGAACATTTGTCCTCTCAAAACTCATATGCTGAAACTTGATCACAGAGGTGATATTACTAGAAACTGAGGCTTTGTGGGGGCAATTAGCTCATGGAATCCAAGCCCTCATGAATGGGATGAGTGCCCTTGTATAAGAGACACCAGAGAGCTCATTCACCCATTCTGCCATATGAAGCACACAGGGGAAAACATGGAACCTAGGAACCGGGAATTGGTCCCTCACTAGACACCAAATCTTGCAGCACCTTGATCTTGGACTTTTCAGCCTCCAGGTGTGAGAAGTTAGTTTCTGTTGTTTATAAGCTACACAGTCTATAGTATTTTGTGACAGCAGGCCAAACAAACCATGACATCAAAGATGAAACCAATAAAACAGAAAAGCAATAGGAAAATCAATAAAGCCGAACACTTTGAGGAAGAGAATGAAAGTGATAAACCTCCATCTAGCCAGGCTAATCATAAAAAAGAGAAGATACAAATTACTAATTTCAGAAATAAGTAATGTGACATTTTTCTAGATTCACAGATACTAAAAGAATAGCAAGATAATAGTGTGAGCTTTATGTAACTAAACATGACAACTTAAATGAACACAGCCTTTGAAACACAAAAATAACCAAAGCTCAATCAAGAAATAGATAACCCAATCACTCTATATCTACCAAAGAAAATAAAGTTGTAGGTAAAATCTTCCCACAAAGAAAACTCCCAGCCCAGCTAGCTCTGCTGGTGAATGTTACCAAACATTTTAGGAAGATGGAACATAATTTTACACAACTTCTCCCCTGCAAAATAAAGAGGAGAAACACAACACAACTAATTCTATCATGCTAGCATTACCCTGAACCAAACAATGATATTACAAAAAAGAAAACTCCATCATGAATGTTGACATAAAAATTTAACCAATTTCTGAGGCAACTAAGATATGCTGCAACAGGTGAATGAACAACCTCTGGTACAGTCATATAATAAACTAGTATTCAATGTTAAAAAGAAATGAGCTATCAAGTCATAAGAAGACATGAAGGAACCATAAATGCATACTACCAAGTGAAAGCTGCCAATCTGAAGGGTACGTACTGTATGATTCCAACTATATGACATTCTAGAAAAGGCAAAACTATGACTACAGTAAAAAGTTCAGCAGTTGCCTGGGGTATGGAAGGGCAGGAAAGGACAGACAGGTGAAACAAAAAGGAATTTTAGGCTCGTAGCCCACAGCCCACTGCCGGCGGCTGGGCGCTGCCGAGGCTCGGGGCGCGCGCAGTTGGCGTCTGCCAGTGCCAAGACTGTGCCGCCCCCACAGCCGAGGCGCGAAAGGGGGACGCCCGGCCTCTGGGCCGCTGCCTTCGCTTTCTCTTCGTTGTTGCGAACGCCGTCCGCTCAGGAGGCGCCCCGCGACCGGCGCGATGAGTGCCAACGAGGACCAGGAGATGGAACTAGAAGCATTACGCTCTATTTATGGAGGAGATGAAAGTTTCCGGGAATTAAGTCCAGTTTCTTTTCAACATAGGGTGAAAATGGTGATCCCAAAGCCTTCTTAATAGAGATTTCCTGGACAGAAACATATCCCCAAACACCTCCAATTCTATCTATGAACGCTTTTTTTAACAACACCATATCATCAGCTGTAAAGCAGAGTATATTAGCCAAGCTACAGGAAGCAGCAGAAGCTAATCTTGGAACCGCTATGACCTATACATTGTTTGAATATGCCAAAGACAATAAAGAGCAGTTCATGGAGAATCACAATCCCATCAATTCCGCAACATCGATAAGCAATATCATCTCAATTGAAACTCCTAATACAGCCCCATCAAGTAAGAAAAAAGACAAGAAAGAACAACTTTCAAAAGCCCAGAAGCGTAAGCTGGCAGACAAAACAGATCACAAAGGAGAACTTCCTCGAGGCTGGAACTGGGTTGATGTTGTGAAGCATTTAAGCAAAACTGGCTCTAAGGATGATGAGTAGCACTTGGAATTTGAGACAAGGAAAGAGCATTCTTTAAAGAGTAAAACTGGGTTCAAAATCTTTCATTACTATTTTCTGGTATTGAGGCAACTTTTTATAAAACACAATTTTTTGTATGTTTCTTACATTAAAAAGGTTGTAAGTTGAAAGTTCATGAAGAGATCTTGTTGTATTAAATTATTTTCACAAACTTGCCTTAATAAAAGGTGAAAATGTTACTGTTTAGTATACTTTATGAAGCCCCTTGAGCTTTATAAATGGACAGGCATGGGGAATAAGAATCAGTGTTAATTTAAATGATCTTATCCTGGTGGATGTGCTATTTTCTTAAAGGAGTATGAAGCCCTTTTCAAACTATCATCCCAGTGGAGCGGAGTACTCAGTGAACAGTCACTCCATAGTGCAATCCATATTAATAGCCTTCTTATCTTAAGTCTTCATCTCTTCTTTTGCTTAATTACTGAACCATAAATTACTTCAGAGAAATTTAAATGCTGGTATTTGAACTTTATACATGATACTTTTTGTAGTTTCTTTTAATTTTTGAAAGATGAACTGCTTCCTTTTAATAAATTAATATCTATTTATACTTTTCTCTTGATTTGGGTCAAGATGTTTGATCATGAGTGCTTTGAGTGGTATGTGGAATAGGAGAATATAAAAACAAATCTGCCAAATACACTAGAAAGCATTTTAGTAAGAAATGCTGGCCCTTTCTTAAAACATTTCTCTTGCATATACCAGGATGGGAGTAAAAGATGCCTTAATATTTAGTTTTTGTATTGTTGGAGACATTGATTTTAATAAAATCCTATTTATCTGCTGTTGTGTGCTTTTAGTTGTTGGATAACTGAGGTCTCCTAAATGGTTCAACATAAAACCACATTTCAAGTCTTGTTTCTTTTTGGAGTGTCTTTTCAAGTATTCAAATGTATTTCTCAACCTGAGCATCTTTTTAATCATATACATGGGAGTCTTTTAAATGCTGAACTGTTACACATGCTTGATTTAAAAATAATAATAATAGAGGAAACTATTGGTCTAGTTGTGCCAAGAAAAGTTTCTGATGTTTATGTGTGATGTACAGTGATTTTGTATATGCGCCCAGCTTTAAGAACACATAAAACTATTACGTCTGGTAGGAAGATTGTTAGTGCCTCAAGTTACACCTGTGCAGCTTGGGTCTGAGTTTTGATAGAACAGTAAACATTTAAAGAAGTTAAGAGCAGTTTGAGCTGTATCCGCGGTTTTTACTCGTTAACTGACTTCAGCTAAATAGTTTGAATTATAGAGTAAGTATAATTACAGCAAAGGAGTTAATCTCATTTTCAAAGCTGTTTCTCATTTTATTTCTTGAATTAATGTAGAGCAAAACATGTTAAAATTCAGGACCACTGGAATATGGCAACTTATGTTTCAGGGTTGTGGGTGGGTAGTATTTGTGGTTGTATTGGTTTGTTTTTTGTTTTTGGAGAAACATCTGCTAGTGGAATAAAATACTTTGTTTTGCTCTGAAGAGACTGAAATTGTTCAGGCTTATTATGGCTCATAGATTACAGAGAATGATGCTAGTTACATGCCAATGAACTATTTTTACTCTTTTTATATGAAATGTACAAATTTGTAGGGGTTCTGGTGACGGTGGTACCTCTTATTACCTTATGTAAAACACTTGAACAGCCTCATCAATATTGCCGTCATCTGTTTAACACTCCCAGTATATTTTCTCAATGTCTGTTTACTTAAAATTTTGTGGAGTGACATAATTAATAAGCAATAAAGTCTGAATTATACACAAAAAAAAACCAAAAAAAAAAGGAATTTTAAAGCAGAGAAAATATTTTGTAAAATACTATGATGATGAATACAGGTCTTTGTCCAAACCCACAGAATGTACAACACCAAGAATGAACACTAATATAAACTATGAACTTCGGATGATTATGACATGTCATTTGTGGTTCATCAATCATATCAAATGTACCACTATGGTGAGGCATACTGATAATGAGGGAGGCTATACATGTCTGGGGGCAGAGAGTACCTGGTCGATCTCTGCACCTGACTCTCGATTTTGCTGTGAACTTAAAACTACACTAAAAATGCTTTAAAAATTTTCTAATTGTACTCAATTTATATATATATATATATATATATATATAAAAACTACATATGTAACTCAATTTATATGTACATATAAATTATATATATAATTATTTTTGTAAATAGAAATAGGATGTTGCTTTGTTGCCCAGGCTGGTCTCGAACACCTGCTTCAAGCAATCCTCCTGCCTTGGCCTCTCAAAGTGCTGAGATTACAGGCGTGAGCCACCGTATCTGGCTCCAGTGACATTTTAAAAGGAGACTACATCATAAACAAATTGAGTTTCTCCTAAAATGCAAGGTTTAACATTAAAATATCAGAGTAGAACCATATGATATTTGAGTAAAGGCATTTGATAAAATTTAACATTAATTCTTGATTTAAGAAAAAAAACCTCTCAGCAACCTAAGAATACAAACAAATTTCATCAGCATGATATAAAGCACCTATGATAAACCTACAACTAATGTGTCATGATGAAAAATGTGTCACGATGAAAAACTGAATGCTTTCCCCATATCAGGAACAACACGGGAATGTCTGCTTTCACAACTTTAGTAAATAAACCTTGTGCTGAAGATTCCAGCCAGTGAAGTCAGACAAGAAAAAGAAATAAAAGGCATCCAGGTTGGAAGGAAGAAGTAAAACTGTGTTTATTCACAAGCATGATCACATAATAGGGGTGGGTAAACTCCAACCAATGGGCCAGCTTCTTGTTTTTGTAAATAAAGTTTTATTGGAAGACAGTTGTGTTCATTAATGTATGTATCCTCCCTGGCTGCTCTCATACTACAATGGAAAGTTGATTAGCTGCAGCAGAGACTGTTTTGTGACAAGTCTAAAAAAGATTTCCTATCTTTAGTAAGACAATAGTTTGAGAATGAAAAGTTTTGATAACCTTTGGTGTACACAGAAAATCTGATCAAATCTACCAAAAAAGCTACTAGAACTAATACATGAGTTTAGCAAGATTGGAGGATACAAAAATCAACATACAAAAGCCAATTATATTCCCATATACTAGCAATAAGCAATCAACTGGAATTTTAAAAATATCATGTACAACTTCACCAAAAAAATTGAGATACAGATGAATCTGATAAAATATGGAAAAACCAAGGGCAGGTGCAGTGGCTCATACCTGTAATCCCAGCACTTTGGGTGGCTGAGGCAGGTGGGTCACTTGAGGTCAGAAGTTCAAGACCAGCCTGGCCAACATGGTGAAATCCCCATCTCTACTAAAAATACAAAAATTGGTCGGGCATGGTGGCTCATGCCTGTAATACCAGCTACTTGGATAGCTGGGGCCAGAAAATCATTTGAACCCGTGAAGTGGAGGTTGCAGTGAGCCACAATCACACCACTGCACCCCAGCCTGGGTGACAAAGTGAGTCTCTGTCTCAAAAAAAAAAAAAAAAAAAAAAAAAAAAAAAATATATATATATATATATATATATATATATATATATGTAAAGACATACAAAAAAACTAAAAAATGTTACTGAGAAAATTAAATTTGACCTATATAAATGGAGAGAAACAACTCTACAGGAGTGGAAAGATACATTATTGTTAAAGTGTCAATCCTCCCCCAATTAATCTATAGATTGAACACAATCTTGGTGTAATTCCCAACATAGCAGGCTTTTTAAAAACATTAACAATCTAATTCTAAAATTCATGTGGAAATGCAAAAGATCCAGAATTGTCAAAACAACCCTTAAAAAGGAAGAAAACTGAAGGGCTGATTTCAAGATTTAGTATAAATTTACAGTAATCAAAACAGTGTGATACTGCTGTAGGTGGAGTATCTCTCAAAGTGCTTGGGACCAAAGTGTTTTGAGTTTTTGAATATTTGCATATATATAATGAGATATCTTGGGGATGGAACCCAAGTCTAAACACAAAACACATACATGTTACATACATCTTATACGCAGAGCTTGAAGGCAATTTTATGGAGTACTTTTAGTAAATTTTCAAATGAAAGTTTGTGTACATGAGGTCTAGTGTGAAATTTTCCACTTGTGACATCATGTTGGCACCCAAAAAGTTTTGGATTTTGGAGCATTTCTGATTTTGGAATTTTGGATTAGGGATGCTAGACCTACATAAAGAAAGCCAGATACAGAAGGACCCCAAATTAAGATGGTTCTACTTGCAATTTTTCAACTGTATGATGGGTTTACTGGGGTACTAAATAGATTTTCAACTTAAGATCAGTTTATCAGGGTAACTCATGGAGAATCTGTAGAACGATGGAACACAGCAAACAGTCCAGAAATAGACCCACACACATATAGTCAACTTATTTTTCACAAAGGCACAATGGCAATGTAGGACAATGAAAGGACAGCCTTTTCAACATATGCTGCTGGAACAATTAGATATCCACATCCATAAAATGAACCTGCATCCACACTTCACTCCGTATGTAAAAATAAATGCAATGTGGATTACAGATCTAAATGTGAGACCTAAAACTATAAAAATTCTACAGGCCGGGCACAGTGGCTCACACCTGTAATCCCAGCACTTTGGGAGGCCAAGGCGGGCAGATCACGAGGTTAGGAGATTGAGACTATCCTGGCTAACATGGTGAAACCCCATCTCTACTAAAAATACAAAAAATTTGCCAGGCATGGTGCCGCACACCTGTAGTCCCAGCTACTCGGGAGGCTGAGGCAGGAGAATCGCTTGAATCCAGGAGGTGGAGTTTGCAGTAAGCCGAGGTTGCGCCACTGCACTCCAGCCTGAGTGACAGAGCAAGACCCCTTCTCAAAAAAAAAAAATAAATAAAATAAAAAATAAAAATAAATAAATAAATATTCTACAAGAAAGCAGAGGAGAAAATCTTTGAGACCTTGTGCTGGGCAAAGATATTTTAGATACGAGACAAAAAGCAAAATCCATAAATAAACAGATAAATTGGACTTCACCAAAATTAAAATCTTCTGTGTTTAAAATATGCTATTAAAAAACACAAAAAAGCCAACCCAAAGACTGGGGAAAAATCCCTGCAAAAAACATAGTTAATAAAGGAATAATATCCAGAATCTATAAAGAACTCCCCCCTCTTTTCTTTTTTTTTGAGATGGAGTCTCACTCTGTCACCCAGGCTGGAGTGCAATGGCATGATCTCGGCTCACTGCAACTTCCATCTCCTTGGTTCAAGCAATTCTTCTGCCTCAGTCTCTCAAGTAGCTGGGATTACAGGCACCTGCCATCATGCCCAGCTAATTTTTGTAGACGGGGTTTCACCATGTTGGCCAGGCTAGTCTTGAACTCCTGACCTCAGATGATCCATGCTCCTCAGCCTCCTAAAGTGCTGGGATTACAGGCATGAGCCACCGGCCCCGGTCAAAAAACTCTTAAAAGTTAACAAATAACACAAACTATCTAACTTTTAAATGTTTGTAAGCTACCAAGATTAGAAAAGACAGTTCACTAAAGAAGATGTAATACAGGTGGCAAATAAGCAAATAAGCACACGGGACAAAGCTCAACTTTGTTAGTCCTTAGGGTAACGCATATCAACACCATAATGACACGCACAATACACACCCATCAAGATGGCTAAAAATATAAACCAAAAAACAATATTAAGAGCTTGTGATGATATAGAACAATGAGACCTGTCATACTGCTAATAGGAATGGAAAATAGTACAAATATTTTGGAAAACAATTTGGCATTTTCTTTTGTTTTTCTTGTCTTTTTTTTTTTTTTTGAGACTGACTCTCGCTCTGTTGCCAGGCTGGAGTGCAGTGGCACAATCTCGGCTCACTGCAACCTCTACCTCCTGGGTTCAAGGGATTCTCCTGCCTCAGCCTCCCGAGTAGCTGGGACTACAGGTACACACCACCACACCCAGCTAATTTTTGTATTTTTAGTAGTGACGGGGTTTCACCATGTTGGCCTGGATGGTCTCGATCTCTTGACCTCGTGATCCACCCACCTCGGCCTCCCAAAATGCTGGGATTACAGGCATGAGCTACCCCACCCAGCCGGCAGTTTCTTTTTCTTTCTCTTTTTTTTTTTTTTTTTTTTGAGACGGAGTCTCACACTGTTGCCCTGGCTGGTGTGCAATGGCGTGATCTCAGCTCACTGCAACCTCCACCTCCTGGGTTCAAGCGATTCTCCTGCCTCAGCCTCCCAAGTAGCTAGGATCACAAGCGCCCGCCACCACGCCTGGCTATTTTTTTTTATTTTTAGTAGAGACCAGGTTTCACTATGTTGGCCAGGCTGTTCTCGAGCTCCTGACCTTATGATCCGACCTCCTCGGCCTCCCAAAGTGCTGGGATTACAGGCGTGAGCCACCACGCCCGCTGGCCAGCAGTTTCTTAATAAGGGAACACAAAGGGACAGGAAGAGATTCTATGGATGATGGATATGTTACCTCTCTTGACTCTGGTGATAGTTTCAAGTATGCATAAATATGCCAAGACTTACCAAATTGTACATTTTATATACATACAGTCTATCATATATCAGTTATACCTCACTAAAGCTATTGATTGCAGGAGTAAATATCTAAGACAGTGACTAGGACACAGGAAAAAAGGGTTGAAATGATGCAGGATAAAACTAGAGAATTCAGATCTTTAACCTTATAGCAACGGCAGGTGGTAAGCTGAGTTATAATCAAGGGAGCAACATGATCAGATCTGAATTTTTAAAAATATATAATTGTATTTTCCTAGTAGACCATGGTCTCAGGAAGTGGGGTAGCAGGAAAAACAGTTCTAACATTATTGCAGTATTCCGAGTGGGAGAGAATGGCTACCTGATCTGGAGGGAAGGCATAGGAGAGAAGAAGAATCAGCAAGAGGGCTAGGACTGCCCTTCACACTGAGAAAAGTACAGTGGAGTTATCATAGCTCTTTGGTGTACAATATACATTATTTCTCAGTCTATTTTAACAATGAGCATATTTCTGAGATGAGCAACACTGTCACATATCAGTGCTCTGTGGTGCAATGCTAAGCAGTGTGTGCACACATTACTGTAGGATACATGAAAAGGCCTTGTATTTATGCAATGGTCCTCCCGTTACAATATATTCCAAGTTGCTCATGAGCAACATAAAAGTCTCATAATTAGAGTAAAGCAACTCACAATCCTCGGAGGATGTTTCAGATAGCCAAGTTAAGTCGTCGAGGTCATTCACAGAATATATTTGTCTTTTAACCTGTAAGATAAATAATTCTACTTCAAAAGGTCCTCAAAATATTTATAGCATGTATTAGATGTACAGAAGTGGTGTTTATTCATCTTTTATATGAGCAAAACCACAGGAACTTCTTAAAACAGATTCTTTAAAAAGGTACTGTTATCAATGGCTACTGTTTCTTAATCACCTTTTTCTAAGTAAATGTCTTTATAACAAAAGATTCTCTGTTTTTTCACACTACCTTTTATAATGTAGTTTTTTTTAAACAATAATGCTTCAGATAATGTACTTTTTACAATAACTTGTTCTTCTCATCAGATGTTTTCATTGGAGGCCTAAAAAAATTTAGTTTTTTTTTTAGACAAATTCCTTTTAGACAAATAGTAAATACACAAAATACAAATCATATCTAAAATTATTGTTTAGTTATATAAAATATCTGCATTTATAAGTTATTTATTCTATTCATTCAGTGTTCAGGTCTTTTTTTTTACAGGCAATGTAAAACATAATAATTTTTCACAAGGGGGATTAAGCTATAAACAAAGAGTAACATTAAGGGAGAAAGAAAATACAGTAATAATAATATCATTACAAACAACTGAATTTAGATCAAGCTTTCTGACATCAAGGCAAAAGGAAAAATATGTTACTTGCATTATGTGATAGAAAGAAATACACCAGGACTTCTCATTATTGCCCTTTTCAATAAAAACTAACTGGCACTAAAATCTATTTGGAAAATGTTATTTATGTTCTCATTCGAGGGGAACCCTTTTTTAATGATGGTATTAGCTTTTTCAGGACTTCCTATGCAGGCACTATGCATTGTTCTAAGCACTGTGCATGTGTCCAGCTCATTTTAATCATCATAACAATTCTGTGAGGTAGGTAACATATTAAGGATTCTATAAAGAGAGAAACTAGGCACAGAAAGGCCATATAACCTTCCCCATCCCATGCAGCTGGTCAGTAGTATACACAGAATTCAAACCCAAGAATTCTGCCTCCAAAATATGTGTTTCACAATATGCTGTGAAGGTAGTATTTATTTTCAAGTGTTTTTAAGAGATATTATAGCAGATGAATCCACATTATCATTTTATTTCTGGCTGTAATTATAACTAATAATTTCTGAATCTTGCATTTTTTAAATAAAAATAGTTTTTACAGAGACAAGTTTGAAAACCTACTTTCAAAAAACTAAAAATTTAGTTTTTAAAAGAAATCCACCAACAGGCATTCATTCATTCATCTATTCAACTGTTTATTCATGGATTCAACAAATACTCACTGAGCACACAATGCGTGCTGATGACACTGTTGGCCCAGGGAAACATGGTTTTGACACTTTAGAACTTTATAATCCTGAAGTAATAATCTGTGAGAGACTGTCAGTAGTTTGCTTTTCTAAAGTAAATGAACAAAATCGTTTCCTTCTCCCCAGAATCTAAACAACTGTAAAGTTGATACACCTGATATTTTAGAGTAATTACCTTGCAAATCATGGCTATTCATGATGCTACTGTCAAAGGTAGTGCAATATGTACAATTATGAAGGAACATTTTAATTCTATTTAGTATGGCCTAAGTGTGTGCATGTTATTAAATTATTTTTAAAAATCTGTGTATGACAGTTTAAGTAATCATCTGCATGTTCAGTCACACTAATATGTTACATTTCTGAATAAGCTCTGAAGGAAAAAACTCTAAACATAAAACTATACATAAACAGAAGTTCTAAGGACAATTAGTTTGCTAAAAATGTATAAAAGATAATAAATCAAGCTAATGCTTAGACGTGCAGACAAAATTACATTTCATAAACATGTTTTTCTCTTATGAATCATTCCCAAAAGCAAACAAACGTACTCTATAAACTTCTGTTTTAAAATATAAAAAGAGAGAAAACTTCCTAGTATCTCACATTTTTCTTCAGTTATTACTCATTTCTTTATTGCCTTTCCCAGTAAAGTTTCTCTCAAGAGTTGACTATGTTCATCCACTACAGTCAGCATTCCATGGCTACTATTTATTGAAACCACTCCTAGTCAAAGTCACTAATCCTTATCGTAATCAATCTTTCAACAGCATTGACATAGTTGAGTCTTCTCCAGCTTTGGCAGACTACACTATTCTATTTCCAGAAAAAGTAATCATTATTAACATTCCTTTTCAGAGATTTCTTAGAAAGGACTTATAAATTTTACTTTTCTTCATCCTCACCTATTTCACTTAAATTGCTATCATCATTTACTTGTAGCAGACCATTAGCTAGTAAATTGGCCTGCCTTCTCTAACATGGGTGTAATCACAGATTATTTTGAGGTCCACTTTTTATTTTTATGTTTCTTTACTTTCTTCATACACAAGGCAAAAACCACTACTTTTAAAACTCTATAAAAAGCCAATGTTTTCTAATAACTCGAATGACAATGAACAAAAATCCCAATTTTTGTAAAACCACACCTCTTCCCCATCTCAATTTATTAATTTAAAAAACAGGTATGAAGTACAAGCAACATAAAAGGAAATGTGCATTCCATGCTTCAAAAACAAGGTAATATACAATTATGATACAATGTGTTAAGACAGAGTTGATAATATAAAAAGTTATATTTTAGCACAAGGAATGCTTTAGAGAAGAGGCAAAATTTAAGAGGAGCTCATAGGGAAATCCAGTGAGAGAAAATCATTCCAGTTAAAGAATAGAAAGTGAGCACAAAGATTAGGCACATGAAGTCCAGGTGTTTCCTAGAAACTTGAAAGGAAAAGTGTAAAATACTTGGAAGCTAAGAATAGGAGATGAATGCCACACTACACTTGAATGCTACACTAAAAAGCTGGAGTCCACTGCATACAAGCAATGACTATATTACATGAAAGTCATAATTAGATTTCTGCTATATTTCTGATTTTGTTGTTAAATATAATAATGCTTGCCTTCAAATGAAGTTCTGAAAATAGCATGAGGCACATATAACATGAAAGATGAAATCAGGAAAATGTCTTGAGGGGGAGTGTATTAGTCTGTTTTCACACTGCTATAAAGAAATATCTGAGACTGGGTAATCTATAAAGAAAAGAGGTTTAATTGACTAACAGTTCTGCATGGCTGGGGAGACCTCAGGAAACTTACAATCATGGCAGAAGCCGAAGGGGAAGGAGGGACCTTCTTCACAAGGTGTCAGGAGAGAGAGAAGTAAAGGAGGAAGAGCCCCTTATAAAACCATCAAATCTCATGTGAGAACTCACTATCATGAGAACAGAATGGCGGAACCAATTCTATGATCCAATCACCTCCAACTAGGTCGCTCCCTCAACACCTTACAATTTGAGATGAGATTTGGGTGGAGGCACAAAGTCAAAGCCTAACAATATCATTCCACCCATGGACCCTCCCAAATCTCAAGTCCCCATATTTCAAAACCAATCATGACTTCCCAAAGTGCTAACTCATTCCAGCATTAACCCAAAAGTCCAAGTCCAAAGTCTCATCTGAGACAAGGCAAGTCCCTTCCATCTATGAGCCTGTAAAATCAAAAACAAGTTAGTTACTTCCAAGATATGATGGAGGTACAGGCATTGAATAAATGCTCCCATTACCAAATGTGAGAAATTGGCCAAAACAAAGGGGCTATAGGCCCCATGAAAGTCTGAAATACAGCAAGGCAGTAACTAAATGTTAAAGCTCCAAAATCTTCTTTGACTCCATGTCTTTCATCCAGGGCATGCTGATGCAAGGGGTGGGCTCCCATGGCCTTGGGCAGCTCCCTCATGAGCTGGTGTTGAGTGTCTATGGGTTTTCCAGGTGTACAGTGCAAGCTGTTGGTGGATCTATCATTCTGGGGCCCGGAGGACAGTGGCCCTCTTCTCACAGCTCCACTAGACAGTGCCCCAGTGGGGACTCTGTGTGGGAGCTCCAACCCCACATTTCCCTTCTGCACTGCCCTAGCAGAGGTTCTCCATGAGGGATCTGCCTTTGCAGCAGACTTCTGCCTAGACATCCAGGCATTTCCATACATCCTCTGAAAGCTAGGTGGAGGTTCGCAAACCTCAATTCTTGACTTCTGTGCACCCACAAGCCCAACACCACGTGGAAGCCACCAAGGCCTGGGGCTTGCACCCTCTGAAGCAACAGCCTGAGCTGTACATTGGCCCCTTTGAGCCATAGCTGGAGCTGGAGTGGCTGGGATGCAAGACACCAAGTCCTGACACTGCATATAGCAGTAGGGCCCTGGAACCAGCCCATGAAACCATTTTTCCTTCCTAGGCCTCTGGACCTCTGATGAGACAGGCTGCCATGAAGATCTCTGACACGCCCTGGAGACATTTTCTCCATTGTCTTGGCAATTAACATTTGGCTACTCGTTACTTACGTAAATTTCTGTATCCAGCTTGCATTCCACCCCCAGAAAATGGGACTTGCTTTTCTACCCTATGGTCAGGCTGCAAATTTTCCAAATTTATGCTCTGCTACCCTTTTAAACAAAAGTTCCAATTTCAAACCATCTCTTTGTGAACACATAAAACTGAATACTTTCAGAATCAACAGGTCACATCTTGAATGCTTTGCTGCTTAGAAACTTCTTCCACCAGATACCCTAAATCATCTCTCTCAAGTTCAAAGTTCCACAGATCTCTAGGGCAGGGGCAAAATTCTGTTAGTCTCTTTACTAAAGCATAGCACGAATAACCTTTATTCCAGTTCCCAACAAGTTCCTCATCTCCATCTAAGACCACCTCAGCCTGGACTTCATTGTCCGTATCAATATTAGCATTTTGGTCAAAACCATTCAACGAGTCTCTAGGAAGTTCCAAACTTTCCCACATCTTCCTGTTTTCTTCTGAGCCCTCCAGACTATTCCAGCCTCTGCCCATTACCCAGTTCTAAAGTTGCTTACATGTTTTCAGTTTATCTTTGTAGCAGTACTCCGCTATACCGGAACCAATTTGCTGTATTAATCTGTTTTCACACTGCTATGATGAAATACTGGAGAATGGGTAATTTATAAAGGAAAGAGGTTTAATTGACTCACAGTTTAGCATGGCTAGGGAAGCCTCAGAAAACTTACAATCATGGCAGAAAGTGAAGGGGAAGCAGGCACCTTCTTCACAAGGTGGCAGGACAGACAGAAGTGAAGGGGTATGAGTCCCTCATAAAACCATCAGATCTCATGAGAACTCACTACCATGAGAACGGCATCAGGGAAACAGCCCCCATGATCCAACCACCTCTCACCAGGTCCCTCCCTCAATACCCAGAGATTAAAATTCAAGATGAGATTTAGGTGGAGACACAAAGACAAACCATATTGAGAGGAATCCTTAATTTAAAATATCTAAATGTCATGATTGATAGATAGATAGATAGATAGATAGATAGACAGATAGATAGATAGATAGATGCAGTACAAAACAGCAATTTTTATTAGTTATGATTTTGTTTGAAAATAAAATGTTCTGGGCCGGGCGCAGTGGCTCAAGCCTGTAATCCTAGCATTTTGGGAGGGCCGAGGCAGGCGGATCACGAGGTCAGGAGATCAAGACCATCCTGGCTAACACAGTGAAACCCCGTCTCTATTAAAAAATACAAAAAATTAGCCAGGTGTGGTGGCGGGCGCCTGTAGTCCCAGCTACTCAGGAGGCTGAGGCAGGAGAATGGCGTGAACCCAGGAGGCGGAGCTTGCAGGGATCCCAGATCGCGCCACTGCACTCCAGCCTGGGGGACAGAGTGAGACTCCGTCTCAAAGAAAAAAAAGAAAAGAAAAGAAAATGTTCTGGTGATTTTTCTTCACTTTTAGCCTAATATTTAGTCCTAATATAAAAAGCTGGATTTGCCAGCAGAAAATTGTAATTACATTTTTATGAAGTAAACACACATAAGAATATCACTATTATTGCAAGCAACAGAAAGTGAACAAAATAAGGAAAGAAGACAGAATATCACTATCATATACATACAAAAATTGACAAAGAGACTAAAGTCTCCCACTGAAGATTATGTTAGCACTGGAGCAGAAGCCTCTAAGAATACCAAAAACAGAAACAAAACTTACAATTATTTTTAAAAAATAATTTATGTAGCAAACTCTTCTGGTTGAGACTAAGTATCAAAAAAGAATCTTCCTGAAAGATCTCTAAAGATGAATTAAATGATTCATCTTGACTAAAACTTTAAAATCAAGTCTACAATTCTGGAATATGAAAGAGTTTTCATTTTGAACATAGTTGATGAAAGGCAACTTTTTTTTTTTTTTTTGTGACGGAGTTTCACTCTTGTTGCCCAGGCTGGAGTGCAATGGCACAATCTCAGCTCGCTGCAACCTCTGCCTCCAGGGTTCAAGCTATTCTCCTGCCTCAGCCTCCCAAGTAGCTGGGATTACAGGTATGCGCCACCACGCCCGGCTAATTTTGTATTTTTTAAGTAGAGACAGGGTTTCTCCATGTTGGTCAGACTGTGTCGAACTTCCAACTTCAAGTGATTTGCCCGCCTTAGCCTCCCAAACTGCCAGGATTACAAGCGTGAGCCACTGCACTGGGCCAAAAGGCAACTTTTAAACAGAAAATTTCTGGTCAAAGTTTCCTGAAACTTAGGAAAGAACTGACCTGTAGTCATAGTAACAAGCAGCCACCCAGAGCTAGTTCTAAATCTAGTCAATCGATCAATCAATCACCACTGGCCTCGCTCACCAACCAGCATCAGTGTGAGCAGCTTGCTTCTGAAAGACAGCCAATCAGACACAAAATCAATCCACAGGCTAGGAAGTGCTAACCAATCCCCAGCGGTCTCACTCAGATAACCATGTTGCTCCAGATGATGCCAACCCACTTGGATCCGGGAATCGGCCAATCCTTCAAGTCCAGTCCTCTCAAAACCCTATGTAAGATCAGCAGCTGCTCCATCAGAATAGATAGTGCCTGCCTGACCAGCATAGCTCTTACTACAGGAAGCAAAAAATTCCAACTCTGTCTTTTCATTTCAAATACAGAAGGTTCATAATCCCCTGGAAACAATTTTTGAGTCTATTAAATTTACCACCCTAATTTTTATTTTGTAAATAAAATACCAGTAAAGTTTACAATTACTTTGATTCACTTTACTGTAATTACAACTATCATGATTACCAGTGAAAGAATAAATAGTGAGTAACCACAACATTGGACTTTTCTCCCTAAGTGAAAAATGATTAACATAAAGAATGTAGCTTATTATAAAGCTAGACCTGTTCACGTAGACCTAACAAGATTTGCAACTAGATTAGATGTGAGGAGTCAGAGAGAGAAAGAGAGATGAGTCAAGAATGATGCTGAGTTTTTTGGGAGAGCAACTGGAAGAGTTGCCATTCACCCAAGTAGGAAAGACTACAAGAGGAGCAGATGTGAGGACAGATGTCAGTAGTCCAATGTTGGACCTGACAAGTGTGTGATACCCAATAGCTAACCAAAGAGAGATGTCAAGTAGGCAGGTTGACAGGAGGTCTGGAATTAAGAAGAGAAATCTGAGCTGGAGACATACATTTGGAAATCACTAGCATACACACAGTAGAAAAAGTCATGAGAAAGAAGATCGAGGACAGAGCCCTGGGAAACAACAATGTGCAAAAAGTGAAAGATGAGGAGGAGCAAGAAAAACAGACCATAATGGATGGACTAGAAAGGCAGGTGGAAAAGCCAGATGAGGGAGTGAGGTCCTGAAAGCCGAGTGAAGACACTGTCGTGGAGGAGAGTGTCCTCCATTAGGTTGTTGACAGGTTAAATAAAATATTTATTTAATAAAATAAAATAAATATTGCTGACAGGTTAAATAAAATAAGGTGTAAGAAAAAAATGCCTAGATTTATTAGAGAGAAGACTAGCGATAACCTTGAGAAAACAACTTTGGAGGAGTGCTGGGATTGAAGACTACTGGCATGAAATCAAAAATGAATGGAAAAAAAATTGAGTCCGTGAGTGTAGACAGTTCTTTCAGGGACATCACGAGTATGGATTATCTAATTTTCTTCTTGTTTACCTGTAGTTTTCAAATTTTATATAACAATTACATACTTTATTAAATATTTTTAAGGTTTTAAAAATATATAATAATTTTAAACAATTATGTTTTCAAGGTTTTTAAAACTATACATATATGGCATTTAAAAATGCCAGACTGAAATATATTAAATAATAAATTCATAAAATTATAGCACTAAAAGTCCCCCTGAACATTTCTAGATTGCATAAATTGATTATCATTTTGTTCATGCCTATACATAAAAACCAAGGAATACTAAAAGTTTCAAGGGGAGTATTTCTTGCTTGATAAATATAAGCCAATTCTAAAACAGTTGATACTCATCAAATATATAAAGTAACTGGTCACAGTAAAATACTATTTTATTAACGGGAATAAAAGGGGACAAATCCAGAAAATAATCTTATTTTATAAAAAAATTTTTTTAAATCATATGAAGTCACTGTTGAAAAATATGGTGAGATGCATACTGAAATATATTCTCTTTTCAAAGGAAGGATAATGGCATACATGCAGTGTACTTTTACAAAGAGGATTCACTGCATTAGCAGCACCCTCCTTTTAGCACAAGGGTCAGCAATTCAGCACTGTTGGCCAAATCCAGCCCACTTCCTGTTTTTATAAGTACAGTTTCTTGGAACACAGCCACGCTTATTCACGTTGTAGTCCATAAAGCCAATTAGCCGGGTGTGATGGTGCACACCTGTGGTCCCAGCTAGTAGACAGGCTGAGGTGGGAGGATCCCTGGAGCCCAGAAAGTCAAGGCTGCAGTGAGCCATGATCATGCCACTGGACTCCAGCCTGGCCAATAGAGTGAGACCCTACCTCAAAAAGATAAACATGGTCCATAGAGCCTAAAATATTTACTAACTGGCTCTTTGAGGAAAAAGCTGGCCAACTCCTGCTTTAGTAGATCAAAAATCCTTTGATGTATTTTAACAAGTTTTACCCAATACACTAAAATGTTTCTATGGAATATAGATCCTCATGTGTAATCCCTTGGGAATATTCAGATTCAGGGTCCAATATTTCAGGACTCAGGCACTGAGAACAAAAAGCCAAAATTTAATAACTAACAATCTTGTTGTTAACAAGGTTCAGTGTCTATGTGGCATGTAGCCTCCATTTGCAACACAGCAGATATTACAAGAATTCTAACAAAATTGTCTTCAGATGTGTCGTCAAACTAAATGCTTTAAATACATTTTAATTGTGAAATAATCAGTACACTCTAGATCTAACCTCATTTTTTAAAAAATGGTTGCATACTCCATTATTTTCTGGGTATGAAAACTGAGCTATTTCCTATTGATAAGGATTTAGACTAGCTCCAACTTTTTGATGTAATAATGCTATAATAAATGTCCTTATTTACAAGTATATATGTAACATATCTATACAAATATCCTTAACATACAAATATATCCTTAATATGTTATATATATATGTGTGTGCTTGTGTATTAGCCTTGAGTGTTATGTAGTATAGGTAGTAAGTGTCCTTAACATGTTTGTGTGTGTACACAAGTCATGTTCCTGTAGAGTCTAGCCCTAGAAGTGAAGTTCTTAGGTTAAAGGAATGACATATCTGAAATTTTGATACATGCTACTAAATTAACGTTCAAAATGTATGTACCGACAGTCTATGAAAATGTCTTTTTCAATGAGATCATATCCTTTGAAGCAACATGGATGGAGCTGGAGGCCATTATTTTAAGGAAACTAACACAGGAACAGAAATTCGCATACTGCATATTCTCACTCATTAGTGGTGGCTAAACAATGAGAACACAGGGACACAAAGTGGAGAACACAGGGACACAAAGTGGAGAACAACAAACACTGGGGCCTACTTGAGGGTGGAGGGTGGGAGGAGGGAGAGGACCAAAAAACTACCTATCAGGTATTATGCCTATTATCTGGTTGATGAAGTCATCTGTACCCCAAATCCCCATGATACAGTTTACCTATCTAACAAAACTGCACATATAACCCTGAAGTCAGATGGGGCATGAAATGACATGGCAAAAAAAATAAATGTTCACAAGAAAAGAAAAGAAAATGCCTTTTCCCTCACATTTGCCAATACTGGTTATTATTTTTCAAATAAATTATCAATGATTGGAAAAAGTGGTAACTCATTGTTTGCTGATTGGCATTTTTCTGATTCCAGGCAAGACTGAATATCCCAGTAAAAGTATGAAATTTGTTCAACATGAATATTAGCCCAAATTAAGATTAGTTTTATAGCACGTAAGTATCTCCTGTTAAATGTTGCCATAGGCTTACCTTTGATACTTCTCATTCTCTGTCCTAGGAAATTGCTGATTTTCAGGTTTTTCACTCTTTCTTTGTGGAATTAGTTCATCAACACCATTGCCAGCAGCATCAGTCAAGTTTTCTGATAATCCCATGTTGTTACTTCCATGCTTCTTCATTTCTCCTTCAATCTTAAGTGGAAGTTTGGTATTAGGGGTGATTACTACTTTCTAAATTCTGGGCTGAAAATATAAGAAAATAATTCCTTTAGGCATATACAGAGGTGAGAAAGTAAAGTCAAGGCATCGTCTTTTATGTTTTAACATCGCTGAATGCTTGTATTTTGAAATAACAAGAATAATGACAGACGATACCCCAGAATACAAAAGTGATTCTATGTCTCCCTCTTCTTATCCCAATGTGGATGTCGTATCTATAAAATGTTATTCACAGATATATTCATGAGAACATTTATCACTGTGCATTTCATAATAAATACGTATACAAGTCTGTCTCCATTAATGAAAATTTCAATAAAATAAAAGTAATAACAAAAACACTTTCAGAGGGTTGAAGTATAATAGTTTCAGAAAGAAGAAGGTGTTAGAATGAAGAAAGACAGGAAAATTATTTAAAAGAAATAAATATGACATTTGGGACTATCTACTTGAATGGTTTTTAATAACAGCATTTAAGCACAGGAAAATTCTCAGATATTCACTAACTTACCACTTCTACCATCTTTGTGAACAAAACGTAAATTTGACGTTACTGGTTTGCTCTTGTGGAACACTTTCAATAACATCAATATCATTTTGTCTTTTTGCACTTGCTGATTTAGTTGTTTCTTCCTATGAAAAACAAACCAAAAAGCTTTGGAAAACATTGTATTTATTCACCCACCCACTCAATCAGTCAACCAGTAAGACAACAAACATTCACTGTGTCTGCTGAATCATAGGCAATATCCTGGGAGAAGCTGAAAACATATATAGAAGAGACTCTTCCTTAATATTTGAGTAGGGGTAGAGATATATGGAAACAAACAAAAACAAAACAGTATAGTTCACTAGTTCTACAACTGAAGTTAATAATGGACAGTAAGGGCTCAAAGAAAACAATGGTCGGTTATACCTGGGAAGTTCCAGAAATGCTGCAAAGATAGGGCCTATTTTGAAAGAAGGACAAAGTGCAGAGAGTGAGGATGTGAAGGGTTTCTAGACAGGGCAGTATGAGCAAAGGTATGAGGCATGAAATGAGAAACGACATGGCAAATGAGGGGTGTTAAAGTAATGCAGGAAAACTGGAACCTAGTCAGAGGGAGTGAGATGGAGAAATAAAATGGGAGAATCAGGCCAAACCACAAAAGATATGTGCCATGCTAGAATGTGAACTTCCCCATCATGTAATGGGGATCCACTCATAAACAGATGAGTTACAGCATCATAAAATATCTTAGAAAGGCCACCCTGGCAGCATTGTAATGATAACTGAACATGGCATGGGATGGGGGAGGGACAAAACTAGACAAGAGTATTTCAAAATGATGGGTCAAAGTGAATTATAGCAGTGAGATATGAAAAACGGTAAGCAGGTGGAAAAAGTATAACTTGTGAGTGACTGGATTGGTGATTTGAGGGAGTGCTGGAATGCGAGATTTTTCCTGTTTCAATGTTTCAGTTCTATTTACTAGATGTTACTTCCTAGGATGGGAAAATCAGATGACAGAGCAGATTACAAAAAGTCAGGAGAAGGTCAAGGACAATGTCTTCAGTGTGGGACAAGTCAAATTGAGGCACTCAGGGTGTAGGAGTGGGTGACCTTACTTGGGAAAAGCATATGGTGTTAAGAAAAGAAATATTTGTAAAATATACTGCACTGGTAGAATTAACTCATGAAAACCTATATACAAGTCTGAAATTTTGAAAATGGAAAGAAGAGGAGGGAAATAACATGAGATTCAATTTCTCAATTACATATTTCTTTTTTTTTTTTTGAGAGTTTTGTCCTTCATGTTTTATGGAATAAAAAGTTTGGCCTTTTTATTGCATGAAACTAAAATTGGGAAAGGTAGGGGGCGTGGATGGGGTGGGAGGGGGTTTAGGGGAGCAGGGAGATGCCCTCCCCACCAGCTCCTGGATAATAACACCTCACTTCTTGCATAATTTCTGGCGTCTTCCCGCCTGCAATGCCGGCTCTCTCAGCGTCTCGGAGAAGGGGGGATCACACACTCATCGTCATGCTTGGAGAATAATTGTCATTCTGAAAGGAGTGGAGGAAGCTCCCTCCTAGCTCGCCGTCATCTCGAGGGGTGCCTGGAGGATTGCTAATGCCACTTATGTTGTTAGGAGAATTTTTTGGAAGTCCGTCTATGTCGCCTGACCCTAATGATCCATTCATGTGGTGTGGCTCCATGCCACCCATGCCGCCCATCGGACCGTCCGAGCCGGGACCCATCGGGAAGTTGGACCTGCCGCCAGGTCATTGTGTAGATGTTGTCACTGGAATTTGTTGAATCTGCGGGACTGGGCATAATGGGTGTTCCTGGAGGGCCGCCACCACCGGGGGTCCCACATAGGTACCAGGTGATGAGGAGGAATATGGAATTGAGTTAGCACTGTTAGGATTGGGCCAGGGTCTGCCAGCTCCCGGGCCCATGTTAATCCCGGGCATGGCGGGCCGAGGGAGTTGGGTGGTGGTCTCATGCCGCTGCCGTAATTCTGTGGGCCGGGACCCATGGGCCCCATGCCTCGGGGAGGGTTCATTCTCTGCATTGATCCTCCCATGTTGGGGTGGCCTTGTTGTCGTGTGGGATCCATAGAATTGGGCAGCAATGGCTGTGTCCCAAGAACTCCTCCCGGAGGCTGGTTTCCCATTCTGATCGGGGGCCCGGGGCCGCCTACGTATCGCGGTGACATAAAAGGCTGACTGTGGGGTCCCATCATGCTGCTAGGATTGTGAGGTGGAGGCTGTGCGTGCGGCGAGGGCTGTGACCCCGGAGGACCCTGAAAGAAACCTGGCGGGATGGGGCCTCCCGGCATCCCATCGTTGGGGGGAATGTTGCCAAGCACGGGGCTCGGGGCAGCTGCTGCACTATAATCATGAAAGGCTTTTGCTTCACTTGAATGTTCACAAGTGTCTCTCCTTTGAGGAGCTGCACAGTAAAGGTCCCCAAATACACACCACCACGAGTGCAAAAACCCAGGCGGTTCTCCCAACGTGATGTTTTTTTCCCATCGAATCTCCGACAAGAAGGTCTCTGCAGATTTCTGTACTCTTACGTGCAGTAAATATTCGTAGACGTATGAAGCTAACTTTTCCCAAGCCTGCCCATCCGAGGGCACCGCCGAGCCTCTGCCTTTGGCAAACATGGTTTGCAGGGAAGAGGGCGCCGAGCCTCGCCGCCGCCGCCGCTACCGCTCCGGCTCTCCCGCGCTGCTCCTCGCTCCCGGCCCCCTCCCCGGCGCTCGCTCGCTCTCTCGCTCGCTGGCGCTCTCCTCGCCGCGCTCCCCTCCCTCCCCACCAGGCGCTGGCTCCGCGCTCTTTCCAGCTGTCAAAGCGTCAGCCCGGGCCGCGGCCCCATCGCCCTGGAACTCCTTCGGCGCCGGCTCGGCCTGGGGGTGCCGCCGCCGCCCGCACGGCCGCCCGCTCTCCGCTCGCTCGCGCGCCCGCCCGGCTCCGCCTGCGCCGCCCTCTGCGCCTCCAGCGCCGCCGCCGCCGCCGCCGCCCTCTCAATTACATATTTCAACATTTGTTTCAAGGATATAAAATATACTTGTTTTAATATATGCTAATATTTTTGGAATATTATGGTCATATACATTTTATATTGAATGAAAAGATTTCATTCTAAGACCTCAATTCAAAATTCTGCAAGAACACTCCTTTTTAAAAATTAATTTTTAAAGTTTTACATTGTAAGAAAAGCTTTTGTCATTATAGAATTATGAGGCATTTTTAGGTACTACTACGATGTAAGAAAGAAATGTAAATCCTATTTTCAAAATCAAATGGTTTTCTCATTCCCCTGTAAACATACTAATAGTTCTAATTTCCCATTGACACCATATAGAATGGTAGTTAAAAGTTGGAGAAAGGATCTAGTACAAAAAAACAAAGCTATGATTATCCCGATTGATGATTTAAAAGTTTTTATATACATCAATCATTGTCAAGCAGGACCCAAAGGAAAATCATCAAGTATGCTAACGTACATGGGGAAATACAGATATATAACAGAGATTTTTGTTTATAATATATCCCTAATAATACTCTACAATTAGTTTGCTGTAAATATTTCTCTAAGAGCTTAATTTTATACCATAAAACAATACATTCAAGTATTTAAACATGGTCATCTACAACTACCTGAAAGATGGACCATTATTACTATAGAGAGGGAGAGAGAAATGGAAAAAGAAATGTTCCATAAACTTTCCACTTGGAGAAATAATTAGTAATCATAATTCTAAAGTGTAATCTATGGCTTGAAAAGATATATTTAGTAGAACATGGGTTGGGGTTTAAAAAGTTTAAAAATTTTAAATCTCAAATCCTAACCTAAGCTTATAGTTGGACGATACTGCAAAGTATACTGTAACCCTCTTTCCTATTTGATGGCATATTTCTTTCTTATTTATGACATATTTTCCCAATATAACTCATCTGAATTTATACATCCTAAACATTGAAAGGGACTATACATTTAAGCCATACTTTAGAAATGCCATAGATTTAATTATTAGGTATGTATCTCATGTTAATTGTAACATTCCATTATATAGAAATCCTTTTGTCTGTTCAAGTATTCACATTACAAAATATTAAAATGCTTCTTACAGGCAATACTTTATTCTAGCTACTCCAGGATATAAACAGGTGTGTTTCCTAACCTCCAGTAGCTTATACTAATGCAGGGGCTTTAAAGTGATTATTTAAATAACTAAATACAAAGACTTCTTACATTTGGAGTTTTTAAATGTGATACAAAGATTTTGAGTGTAAATCTTTAATAAGTATGATGCAAAAAAATTCTGAAATCAAAGCCTTACCTTATGGTTATTAAGAGTCTCTGCTGCTAGAACTGGTTGGTATTTTGGGCAAAGCATGTCCTAGCCCATTAGTCCAAATTCTTCAATTTGAGGAGTTTTAAGTATGTTCTTAATTAAGTGACTTAGAAAACACAATGGAATCCCTTTATAATGTACATTTGGAGAAAGAAAATTTACATTTCTAAATTTCCACAATTTTTTTTTATATGAGAGAAGCAGTGTTGCTATGTTGGCCAATTTGGTCTCAAATTCCTTGGCTCAAAAAATCCTCCCACCTAAAACCCCCAAGTAGCTGAGATTGCAGGCACGTACCACAATACTCAACTAAATTTTCACAATTTCTAGTATTAGTCTAATTACAGAACCAAGGATAGAAATAGGGAAAGAGTGCTATCCTAAGAAGTATATGATACCAAAATATTAACTGTCCAAAAAAAAAAAAGAAACTATATGCTATCTGCTGTACAGTTTTGGAACTAAAACGCACCAGGGAGAGTCCATGATTACTATGATAAGAATTTATTTAGGCATAAGTATTATAAAAGTCATGTTAGTATGAATTTAAAAGTCACAGAAAGCATACTCATCCAAATAAACCCTGACCACATTTCAAATTTCCTGTATTGTGAGAAAGCTTAGCCAAATATAATTTTTCTGTCACAATATAATCATTTTCCAGCACATTCCTTTTCTCACCCACACACCCTCTTAGTATTTAACAATCTATTATTTACCAAAGTACAATTTTTACAAATTCAATTATTCATATTTCTTTAAAATGCTTTTTTGTAACCAACTTTCCATTACAAACATAAAACAATGACAGGTTGACCACTGCTAAATTTTAAGAGTAAATTATATAGAAAACTAGATTCATAATGAGAAAATTAATTTCACATGTGAGCACTTTACCTTGATATCACAATCACGGTCTTCCTTAGCTGATGTAGGCTGTAAATCATTGATCGCCTGTTTGCCGGAAAGCCTTTAGAGCAAAAATATACAACAAAAATGAGTGTGTTCATTTCTTTAAGAAAGTAATTTGCAGGTCCATACCTGAGTGTCACCTCCAAAAAAACAGAAATAGAAACAAATCTGGTGAGAGACTAGCTATCTGTATATTAATGTTGCTTAAGAAAATTAAAGGCCGGGCGCGGTGGCTCACGCCTGTAATCCCAGCACTTTGGGAGGCCGAGGCGGGCGGATCACGAGGTCAGGAGATCGAGACCATCCCGGCTAAAACGGTGAAACCCCGTCTCTACTAAAAATACAAAAAATTAGCCGGGCGTAGTGGCGGGCGCCTGTAGTCCCAGCTACTTGGGAGGCTGAGGCAGGAGAATGGCGTGAACCCGGGAGGCGGAGCTTGCAGTGAGCCGAGGTCCCGCCACTGCACTCCAGCCTGGGCGACAGAGCGAGACTCCGTCTCAAAAAAAAAAAAAAGAAAAGAAAATTAAAATTTGGCCTCTGTTGTAGATTTTAGTTACTTATTTCTATTTCCACCTCTCCCAACCTATGAAATAGTCAAGACCCACGCATAGTTCCGTAACAAATCATGGCAGCCAATACACTGGCATAGTCTGAGAATAATTTGTCTTCACAAATTGTATGTCCTACAGGCTGAGCTGAAAATCCAATTAATTGCTGACATAATTTTTAATACCTGAACTGGAACAAACCTGATAATCTAAAACAAGGTAGAAAAATATAGAGTCTCCTCTTCTTCATTTATTTCTGGTTCAAAGACTAATCTCTGTCACTCAAAAATGGCAGCCTGGGTTCTTCAGCACGGAAATCACTTAAGAAGGCCTCAGTGCGGGCCAGGTGCGGTGGCTCACGCCTGTAATCCCAGCACCTTGGGAGGCCGAGACGGGTGGATCACGAGGTCAGGAGATCGAGATAAACCCCGTCTCTACTAAAAATACCAAAAAATTAGCTGGGCGTACTCGGGAGGCTGAGGCAGGAGAATGGCGGAGCTTGCAGTGAGTGGAGCTTGCAGTGAGCCGAGATCGCGGCACTGCACTCTAGCCTGGGCGGGAGGCGGAGCTTGCAGTGAGCCGAGATCGCGCCACTGCACTCTAGCCTGGGCGACAGAGTGATACTCCGTCTCCAAAAAAAAAAGAAGGCCTCAGTGCTTACCTTTACCTTGAAACATTTGAAATAATTGAAAGCTAAATATATGAAAGTCAGAGGACAAATGTCTATGTTGTTATTAAAATATTCTTCTCAGAAATATTGAAACATTAAAAATTAGAAAATCCTAGTATTTTCCCTATATAGGTCCTGTCCTATTCAGGTTCACATAAACTAGCAAGCCCTTAACAACCTTTATAGGCACTCAGATACCTAAAGAGAGGGACTGCTGAAAAAACACAGTCCTGGTAGTTGTACAGCTCTATGTCCCTAACTACTATTAAGTACTATCTAAATATCTTCCTTCCTTTTAGATTCCTCTTCTGCAAGATTCTATGGCAGTCTCCAACCTTTAAATCTTCAGCCAATGGAAGCACAAATTCCTAAAAGCATGGGCTCAAATAACCAAGAGTAGGAGCTATTTCCTTGCTCCCGGAAAACAAGCTAAATGCAGTCTGTTATCTGTCCCCAGCAGGTAACAGATTCAACTACCCAGCTGAAGCTCCATGACTGATTTGACAGCCAATCCTACCCCTGCCCTAGTCTGCATGGACATGGGAAAAAGTCAGTAGACTGGAAAAAGAAATAGAGGTGAGGGGACACTTGCCCTGGGCCACAGATCTGTCAAGTACAGCAAACTCTAGTCCCCTGGTACTTGAGGGGCTCTGAGCCACTCCTCTGCAAGTTGCAATGAAAGTAGATGATACGGCAGTCCTATCTGCTATGCAGACTCTTCACAGTGACTCAAATTCTTTTACCATCATTCAATAGAAACTCTGAAGTTTGTCAGCTGCTCCAATTAAACAACCAAAAAAGCAGCCACTCGTTTGCGACTTCCTTGAACCTCTTATTTTAATACGCCTTTCTAGATAACTCCCAACATCCTGTGCCCTTTCTTTCTAAAATCTATCAGACTTGTCATAAACCCCAATATTCTGACCTCTTTTCTAAAATCCTTGTTCCTACCTCAGTGTTCTCTTCAAACTAGGCCTTCCCCTACTCCTTTCATTCCTATCCTCTTCCATTGGGTTCATCAGTTGATTCCATTCTTTTCCTCTTCCACTGTGTTCACTACTCCCACCTTCCCTTTCTATTATTAAAATGCACACTGACAGGATGATGAAGAAGGGAGAGGACTGGGCTTTCAAAGGAGTTCAAATCTCATTTCCGCCACTTCCTGTATCCAAATAAGTCACTTTAACCTCCTTAAGTTTCAGGTTCTCCATCTGAATAACCACTTGACCAGAATGTTAAACACAGGTTTAAGTACTAGAGGTTATTTTGATTAGCCACTAAGATTCCTTAAAGTTCTGAAATTCTATGTGCTTTTGATTCTGTCTACAGAAAAAAAAAAAGGAACACTTAGCTGGCAGAAATGGAAAAAATAATAGAACAAAAGACACCCCAAGAAAAGTGAAGAAGAAAGTTAAAAACTCAAGAGAAGATTATAAAAACTAATGGAAGAAGAAAAAAATCTCTAGGGAAAAAAGCTTCATGGAACTAGGCAGAGTAAACTAATGGGAAAATTAAACCGGGAAGTCTAAGTACAGAAATCACCTAGACATAGCCTGTAAATAGACGATAAATATAATTAACATGACACAGATATGTAAATATGGATATGTAACATAACATGGATATGTAGATATCTTTCACTTAAAATAAAATAATTCTTCCAATAAGTCTCTAAAACTTGCCCGGTCTTGCTTATGTAAAACCTAAGGTTCTGTGGCCGTAGCTAAATGAGATCTGCCCTAAAACCTTCGATGGTAAAAACATGTTGCTGGTTAGCACTGAAATTGCCAAAACTATATAGGACAAACTCTTGCACTAATCAGACTTCTAAAGAAAAGTGTAAATCAGAGTTAATGTATAACTAAATGTGACTTTCTGAATTAATCTGATTTGGACCTGTACCTTGATTCCAGAGATACACAGGTCTATCAGGTCTCTACTCTTGTTCTATGAGTCAGCTAATTGTTAATTATAGGATCAGGGGCCAATTAACCTCTCTGAACCACAGTTGCCTGATTAGTAAAAAGTAGGTTGTAATTGCACAGACACTTTGCAAAGCTGTTGTGATGACTATATGGAATGAGTTAGGTACATAATATGATGTGTCATTTTGAGTGCACAACGGGGTGCAACAATCAACAGTTGTTCGTTTCTTTTCCTTCTATTCCCTTAGTTAACAGATAAATATTTAAAATCTGTAAATCCTACCTGATTACAGAGTCTTCAGAACTCCCATCCACTGTTAAAGAAAAAAGTAAAATACCTTTTAAATCAACAATAGAAACACATAGAATACTTAAAGCATAAAAGTGCCTGGTAGGCTGAGGCTGAAGGATCACTTGAGGAGCCCCGAAGTTTGACAACGGGCTGGACAACAGAGCAAAACTCTACCTTTATTTTTAAAAAACCGTGCACACTTTTCTGCATGCTTTAGACTTTGTTTTTTAAAAAGGCATAAGACTGATGCTTTGTTACAAAGTATTCCTTTGGGACCATACCTGGAGATTATACTAGAATATTAATTATACTACTGGTAGGAAATTAATGCATTAAGAACTCTTACTGCCCCTCCTTTGCATCTATGAAATGCAAGGAAGAATGGGAATTATCAAAATGTGGTCCTTAAAAGGAACTGCTGTGTACAATTATAATCCTAAATCAACCCTATCAGTCTCACTGGTATCAATAACAAAATCTGTATCATAAGCTAACAGTGTCAAACGTAGCATGATTTCTGGACTAATGGACTAGGAGCAGTTAGAAGGCATGCACAGTAACACCCCCTTACCCATTCTATGTGTGGAAAAAAAAATGACCACAATGTATTTTTTCTCTGCTCTCAAAGTACAACAATAACAAACACAGAAGACTTCTGTGACCAAATGAGGGGAAGACTTTTCCACACCAACAAGCAATCAATCAATCCTGCAGCAGACACCAGCTGGGGGTCCTCTAAATCAATTCCTCACAAGTTGGGGGTGCAGTCCCCAAGGCTGCCCCCTCCCCTCACCAGTCACAATTCTGGGCCTCCAGAATGACTAACTTCAAGCTATGGTTCCCATGACCTCTCCTTGGGTTTAATTTGCTAGAGCAGCTCACAGAACTTAGGGAAGCAAAAAAATTTGCATTTCCTGGCTATTACAAAGAATGTTACCAAAAATACAGATAAAGAGTTGCACAGGGCCAGGTTTGGGGAAGGGGTGTAGAGTTTCATAACCTTAGAGGGTGCACCACCTTCCAGAAACCTCCATTTATTCAGGTATCTGGAAGCTCCCTGAACCCAATCCTCTTGGGTTTGTATGAAAGCTTCATTCCACAGGAATGGCTGATTAAATCACTGGTCATCAGTGATCAGCTTAATCTTCAGTTCCTCTCCCCTCCCAGGAGGCTGGAAGTTCCAATCCTCTAATCATGCCTTAATCTTTCCAGTGACCAGCCCCTATCCTGAAGCTGCTTAGCCATCAGTCAATCATTAGCATACAAAAATACATCACTTTGGAGATTCTAAGGATTTTAGGAGTTGTATGCCGTGAAATGGAATTGTTAAAGCGAACTAAATGTGACCTGAGAAGGACTCCTTACTTCTGTATTTGAGTCCTTGTGGATGAACCGGAACCTAGCTTAATAGGTAGACAAGATTAAAAACCTAATTTAGGAGTATGTGCCTGTAACAATAACTGAGTCTTGGCCAATCCCAGCAGCCATACCTCAACCATTCATACACCGATGAGTGTTTGAACTGTGTTCAAACAAGGCAAACACCAACCTGTAACCAATCCAGCTGTTCTGTACTGGACATCGTTTCCTCTTTTTTTTTTTTTTTTTTTTTTTGCCTATAAATCTTCTTCTACCATGTGACTGTGCTGGAGTCTCAGTGAATCTGCCATGATTCTGGGGGCTGCTGGATTCACGAATTGTTCATTGTTCAATTAAATTCCTTTAAATTTAATATAGCTGAAGTTTTTCTTTTAACAGAGTTGAAGACCAAATATGTATTTCACGGTATCACATCTGTGGTTTTGCTTTCTGTGGTTTCAGTTACCCATAGTCAGTCATGATCCATAAATATTAAATGAAAAGTTTGAAAAAAATAAGTTTTAAGTTGCATGCCGTTCTGAGTAGTGTAAAATCTTCAGCCATCTCAATCCATCCCAGCCAGGGCATGAATCATCATTTTGTCTAGTGCATCTACATCGTATATGCTATCTACCCGTTAGTCATTGGCAGGTCTTCTCCTGACATCCAACCATCAGTATTATCAAGGCTTAATAATCCAGGATCACCCAAAGCAGATAGTCCTTCTCCTGAAGGTCAATAGTAGCCTAGCACTACATCACAATACCTATGCCATCTTATTACAGAGGCACTGTATCACCACACATCATCAACAGAATAAGGGTGAGTACAGTGCAAGAAAATATTTCAAGGAACCATATTCACAAAACTTATTATAGTATATTGTTATGATTGTTCTATTTTATTATCTATTGTTAAGTTCATACTGTGCCTAATTTATAAATCAAGCTTTATTATAGACATGTATGTATAGGAAAAAACATTGCACATATAGGGCTTGGTACTATCCACAGTTTCAGGCATTTGCTGGGGGTTTTGGGATGTATCCCCTGTGGATAAGGGAAGACAACTGGACTTATTTTGTTGTGACACAACAAAGCTTCTCCAGTTCTTCAGTTAAAACTGTTCAGTTTAGAATAAAACATCCTGTCACGAGGAAGCTAGGTCCATGGGCACTGTACTATGTTTTATGGCAAAACATAGGAAACAGACCAGGGACAAAGATTCTTGCAAAGACTTTTCAGTTGCCAGTGGAGAAGATCTCAAGGGAGATCACTGTACTCACTATTGCTAATACTCTTCTGGGGAAAATGCTGGTTAAGTTTACTTAGTTCTGGCTATTTTCTCTGCCCTATGTATGCCACAAACAAGGCTCAAATTTGCCTGCCATTTCACTCCTATGGAAAAGAACCACTGGAAAGATCATTCCCTTAAGAGCTTATCCACTCACTCAGAAGCATACCACTTATTCAGAGAGAAGCTTAAGAAGAAACACTGAAGAGGTGGTGGCAAGTTGCCAGTGAGTACTATCTGATGTGAAAAATATATGTGAACAGAACTATCAACTCACTCAAGCTACTAGAATGTGCCAACAGTTGTCACTCTCTCCAGTGGAAGAAAAAAGTTCTTTTGCACTTCATGTAAAGCAAACACTGTGACTCTCTGGGCATTTCTCATGACAGAGAATCTAGTTGTAGGTGAGCCATGTCGTAATAATATAGACTATTTTCAAACTCGTATCTCAAAGGAAGATAATCAGTGAGGAATATATTTATCCACCTGTAGTATTCACTGCCTAGTCTTATTTTCAACTGCAAGGCATGAAGGTTTTATAAAGTATGAACTCTTAAGATTGTCCCTTTTCATTCATAGAAAGTCTATCTGGACCCATCTCATAGAGCAGGATGGTCTGTAGTGCTGCATGATGTCATTTTTGTCAACCCTATTATGTGGCAAGTGTCTATAGAAATCATGCTTTCTCAGTATGGAAAACACATATCATCATATTCTACGACGATGAACAAAACAAAAAGAAAACAAAAGGACAAAAAACATCTTCAATGACTACTGCAATTACCATGGAATTTTAATTTTTTAATATTCAAATAGTTATCCACTTTATTATTCCAATACAGTGGAATTCCAGACTAGTCTGGAAAAAGCAAACTATGGAGACAGCAAAAAGATCAGTGGTTGCCAGGGATTAGTGGGGGGGAGAGAGGAAAAGGCACAGTACAGAGGATTTTTAGGGCCATAAAATGATTGTGTCTAGGATACTTACAAGGGTAGAAACATGTCATTATAGATTTCTCCAAGTCCAGAGAATGTACAACACCAAGAGCGAAACCTAATGTAAACTATGGACTTTGGGTGATGTGTCAATGTAGGCTCATCAATAACTCTAGTGAACTTTGGTGGAGGACATTGATAATGGGGGAGGCTGTGCATATGTGGGGGTCCATGGAGTATTTGGAAAACCTCTACCTTCCTCTCAATTTTGCTGTGAACATCAACTGCTCTAAAAAGTAAAGATTAATTTTAAAAAAGATATTCACTGAATTTGCTATTACTCTATATTATGAAAAGATATAGTCACCCTGAAAATTGCAAATCACTAAAGGTCAAAGAATTAATAACAGAATATGGATATTATCTCCCAAACTGAATTATATAGAGCATGTATAGCTAATAATTTTAACTGTATACTTAAGCAAAAAATAATTGATAAAAATTATTAAATATTTTATCTTATTTTATAATTATAAACAGGGATTTAACACTGAATCAAAACAGGTCCATTCATGTAATTAAAAGACCACTTTTACTGTAATTTAAAATCAGAAATTAGTATGCTTATTTAACAATTTTACTGAAAGGTTAATCAGATAAGAAACACAGATTATGATTATCTAATATTGCCATAGCAATTCATATAAAAATACCTGTAAAATATCCACCAAATGTCAAAACCATAAGCATCATTACAACTTAGTATGAGTGATGCAACTGAAAACAGTACCGTGTTATGTCATTATATTATTATTTGCTATTAAAATAAAATACTAAGAACCCCCCCAAATTACATCACGGCCATAGCTGTTGTATAGTAAAGGTTTCATACAGGAGGCAGGAGACTACCATCCTGAGAAAGGCCAGCTTACAAGACTGGCCCTTGGCTGGTGTTTGGGACCTTGGATTTGGGAGGACCGCCACCATTCCCTAACTAAGAAGAGTGGCTCACTGTGCCTAAATGGCTTGTACAAACAATGTGGTATAATCTGCGCAGTTGCTTTTCTACTGGGAGCCCGGTATTTTGGTACTGTGAAGGAGAGGATGCCTATGTGACTAGGCTCCACTAAAAAACAAAACAAAACAAATCACAATACGTGGATACTTGAGTCTCTAATGAGACTCTGGTACTGGTAGACAACATTGCACATGTGTTGTCAAAATTTGAGGCTGGGGGAATTAGGCACATCCCAGGTGTGCTTTATTCAGGTAACTGGAATAATTGTTGAAAAAATGATACTATTAATATATCTAATATAGTCATTATAGTCATCTAATATAGCCATTAGATAGTATGTTACTGTACTACTAATCACAGAGTTTTTTTTTTTTTTTTTTTTTTTTTTTTGAGACGGAGTCTCACTCTGTCACCCAGGCTGGAGTGTGGAGTGCAGTGGCACGATCTCAGCTCACTACAAGCTCCGCCTCTTGGGTTCACGCCATTCTCCTGCCTCAGCCTCCCGAGTAGCTGGGACTACAGGCGCCTGCCACCACGCCCGGCTAATTTTTTGTATTTTTAGTAGAGACGGGGTTTCACCGTGTTAGCTAGGATGGTCTCGATCTCCTGACCTCGTGATCCACCTGCCTCGGCCTCCCAAAGTGCTGGGATTACAGGTGTGAGCCACTGCGCCCGCCCTAATCATAGAGTTCTATTTGCTTTTGAACTTTTTCTTAATTTCTTATAAAACTAGAAACAAGATTCACCTATTAAAAGCTGTTCTTGATAGAACAAGTCCAAAAGTCAAAAAAATTGCACGCAAAATGTAGGATGAGTTATCCACTGATCCTCCATTAACGATCAACAAAACTTTTAACTTATTTGGGGTGGGGAAGGAAGTTATCTTACATACAGATGGTTAAAAGTGTGCCAATCCAATTGACTACATGTTCTAGTTAAATCACAGATTACCAATTTCTTAAGAAATGTAATACCAGAAAAGCATTTCACATTTAAACTATGTCAGATAAAATTATTTCTATCTGACCATAAAGAGGACACTTAAATCTTGGCAGACCATCATGGGTGACACTGTCATTGTGGTCCACATATAAAGAAGTTTATTTAGCATTACAAATGAATAAATACCAGATATACTTTAGGACAGACAGCCAATTCTTTTAAAAGGAAATAACACATATTTGTCAAACATATATACATTTCTCTTATACTATTAAAAGTGTGTTCTAAGAGTATTTTCTTTAGAGATGAAATTCAAAACAAAGTAGTAAAAGCAGAGATATCACAGGAGGGTAAATGAAAAGGAAATGAAAAGGAAAAGGGAGGAATCAGGTGCTGAATTCCCTACTGATGTCACCAGAATTCCCCAAAACACTGACAACTAATATATTCAGCATATCTTACGTTTTTCTCTGTGATATTGTATTAGTTTTCTGCAATAAAATATTTAAAGATGTCAGTTTCTCCACACTGCTGGTCTGTAAACTATTTCTGATCAAAACTTGAAATTCTGTTGAAACACGGCTGTATTACGATGATTCCATGTCAGAGAAAGGATATGTACATCTGAGAATGGCTTCCAGTCGTTGCTGCTGGATTTTTGTTTGGAAACACATCCAGAAGAGCGTATCAAGAACATGAGTGCTAAAAAATTATTTCCACAAAAACCAGGTGAGAAAGACCACACTTTTCCTGATACATGACCTTTAGGTTTTAAAAATTCTGGAAAAATGTTGGCATGTGAACTCACCAGTCTAGTTACAAAAAAGTTAGGTAGGATCTTGTTAGGTGGATTCTTCCATATTTGAACACCAGAAGTACCAATCATATAAATAGTAGACCTTACAACTCTAAAATTGTTCATTTGATAAAGGTACCATCAAGAGATTTTAAAAGGTCAATTCAATTTACTTTTTAGTAATCTTGTTTGAATCAATATTCCCTCCTTGAAATTCTCACATTTTAAACAATTTTTTGTAACATTTCTCTCCTACTTTTTCTTTCTCTACCCACTGCTCAGTCTTCTTTACTAACTTCTTTTCCTCTGAGAAATGTTCCTATTCCCAGGTGGTTTCTGCTGATTCTACATCTTTCCCATTGTGGACAATCTCCTTCAGACCTATGATTTTGCATAATAATTACAATAAGATTATTCAAAGTCTGCATCTCCACTCTCAAGCTTTATCCAGGTATAAATGCCAATTATCCAATTACCTATTAAAAATATACCATATGGATATTCCATTGAACTTGACATGCATAGAAAAAAATTAGTCATTCCTGCCGACCTGCTGCTCTTTGCTCTTCTGTATTCACCAGAAAATTTCCTACTCCTTCCTCATGTGCAGGTTAAATGCTAGCGTATAACCTGGAAACCTGTGAATCATCAGAGATTTCTCCCTATCTCACAAACTTTTCACATTCAGTAATCACTAAATCATATTGATTATATCTCTCTTTTGCCTCTGCTTTATATTCCCACTGCCACTGGGAATATAAACATTTACAAAATATTTATATTTTATTTTTATATTTCCTAGTTAAACATGGGCTCTTAACTGATGGCTTTTATTTTAAAAACTCCCACCAACTATTAACATTTTTTCTTTTTTTTTTTTTTTTTTGAGACAGAGTCTCGCTCTGTCACCAAGTCTGGGGTACAGTGGCACAATCTTGGCTCACTGCAACTTCTGCCTTCCAGTTTAAGTGATTCTTTCACCTCAGCCTCCCAAGTAGCTGGGACTGCAGGCGTGTGCCACCATGCCCAGCTAATTTTTGTATTTTTAGTAGAGACAGGGTTTTGCTTTGTTGCCCAGGCTGGTCTCAAATTTCTGGGCTCAAGTGATCTGCCCACCTCGGCCTCCCAAAGGGCTGGGATTACAGGCATGAGCCACCACACCCGGCCTGCTTTATCTTACATAAAAAAAATTTAAGCAAAACAAATGAAAGAAGCCTAACACCAAGAAGAAGACCAACATTTTAAAATAACTGAGATTCCCAACTGTATTTCACCAAGAGTGGGTGAAAACCTCATAACAAACTGATACTAGTCCAAGGATATGTGACAAGAAAACTATAGCTGACTACTGCAAAAGCCTCTTTGTCTCCTAGTTTCTTTACAGGGTTACCTTCCATCAGTCCTCTCTGAGGGGTCAGCAAAGTATAGGCCATAGGCCAAATCCAGTGTGCCTTATTGTTTTGTAAATAAAGTTTTATTGGAGCTCAGTCATGCCTGTTTTTTTACATATTATCCATGGTTGCTTTCACACTATGATGGCAGGGTTAAATAGATATGACAGAGACCACATGGTCTAAAATATTTCCCACCTTTTCCTTTACAGAAAAAGCTTGTCAACTCCTGTTTTACATGATAATCAGAATCCCTTAATACTCAAATTTAATCTTATGACTCCCCTGCTCAAAATTCTCCAGTGTGCCCCTACAGCAAACATTGCTGACTCCCTAACCAACAGCCATTCCTTATTCTTCCTTGTAGAAGAAACACAAGTCTGTTTGGATATTTATCATCCCAATCCCCCTTTCCCCAGCTTCAAAAAGAGAAATGATTATTCTAAACTAATCACATAATTACATTTGCTTTCCCAGTGCCTGGTTTAGGGATGAGCATGTGGTATGACCCAGCCAATACAATGTTACAGAAGGTCTACTGCTTGCTTCTAAGTTTTCTCCCTATTTAAAAGAAACATGTGAAGGAAAACAGCTCTTGTGATGTTGTGTTATGAGAACAAGATGTTTGGAGCTGTTGTGGATTAGCCAACCATGAAAGGAAACATGGATAAAACACTGCCAACAGCACAGCTGAAAGAGGGACAAGTGGGATTCTAGGATATAATTGAACAACCAAAACAACTCTGGTTCCTACTCTTTTAGCCACTGGTCTTCTAGTATTTGCAGTTTAAAGTATTCCTGCTGGTAAAATGCCTATGGCCCACAGGATAAGATCTACTCATTTCTATAGAATCAAAAAGTCTGTCATAAACTTGCCTCAGCAAAGTAGTCACCTTATTCCCAACCTCTCACATCTCACACTATTTGTACTAGCAAAAGTAAACTGCTCATAAACCCTGCAAAGTTCACTCAAGGGTCTTACTTTCTTCACTTGCCCCTTCTCCTGCTAAACACGCAATCTAGTTATCTGTTCCTTCTGCCAAACACATAATCTTGTTAGATGTTCCTCCTGCCAAACATCATTCTTCTGTTCTTTTAATTAGAAAAATTCTATTCCCACTGCATGCTTACCTTAAATCCTTCCTACTTTCTTAAAGCTTTCATTCCTCATCACATACTTAAAGTGTCTGGCACATATTTAATATAATAAATTTAAATCATAATTATAAGCTTCCAGTGGGTATCTATCACAAAGTAAGCACTGAATAAATTAGCAAAATAATAAAAATGATAATGATAATAGACGATAACAAGCTCCTGACTGTATTTTTAATTGTTTGGGTTCTGAGGCATTAGAAAAATGCTTAGCATCTAAAAGATGTGATAGTTATCTGTTAAGTGGACAAGTGAGAAAGTGAATAAAAGGTTTTCTTTGAAAATTCTGTTGAAACAACACAAAAATTAACTAGAGAGAGCTCTAGTCCATTATGAGCAACTTAATGATCAAAACTATGTCTATTCCACCTCTGTCTCCTGAAACTTACAAAACCTAACTTACAGAAGCTCTTTGATAAATACGTACTAAATCAAAGGTGTCCTCATACAGTTTGGATTGTACAATGTATTAGATGTCCATATCCAGGTAGCATAGTAGCATTTTTGTCCTTGTAAAACATTTTTGTACTTTTATTATAATCTGCTGAGCCTAGAGTTGGGCAATTTGCCTATTTATTATGATAATCTTTTGGCTAATAGTAGCAGAGCATCTTGTTCTAACAAAATTACTGTTATGACAATTAACCGGCAGGTAGAAAACACATCTTTTTCCAACAAAATCAATATATCTCCTTCAACTTCAAATTAGAAGGAATGAAGTCAATAATAGTGAGACCTTGTTGGTATAAGGATATGTAACATGACTTGTGCTTCTCAACAAGAAATTGCTTTCCTGGCTTCTGCACTCAGCAAGTATCTTGAAAAAATAATTTCCTATTGGTATTGGTGCACACTGGCTAAGCCTGGCAATTCTTATTGCCATTTGCTTAAGGTACTAGAAAGGTATTGGTGTTTCCAGTTTGTTACTTTCCCACTTCATCACCACCTATTCACTGCCAATCAGGCTCCTCAGAAGCCTCCTAAAATTGATCTAAGCAGTTTACAACTCACTAACTCCCTTCCCCAAACTAAAATCCTCAAACTGAAGAGAACCTTGTCTAAACATACAAACTGGGAAAAAATGAATGAACAACAACAAAAAACACACACAGAGAATCTCTTCAAGGCCTTTTCCCTCAATTATCTAATTTCCAAATTAGTCTCGATATTTCTGATTGCTCTCCTTTTCCTGTTCCATTTCTGCCTTAAGAGCAATCAGAAATATCTTAAGCCTCGTCACTGAGAGATACATCACTTTCATATCTATTACTTAATATAAGGAACTTGTTAAAGCATCAAGATTTTTATTCATTATAAAATGCATTCATTTTCTTGGAGTTTTAATGTAAAACCTATTTCCAGGGCAAATTCTGTCATTTTACATTGGTTAGGAAAAAAAATTCTGGGAGGAAAAAATTGGAAAAAAACTATTACCTTTTATAAATTGAATGTTTACCACAAGTGCATAAAAAAGGTGTACCCCATAATGCTTCTTTAAAGGTAACAATATTTAAAACAAAATCATAGATAATAAAGTCATTTCAAAATATTTTCATTCAGGTTATGCTTGAGCTTCCAAATATGGAAAACTGACCCTTACACAGGTCATTGTAAAAACAAATGCATTTCAGTATTTTGAAAATAAAATTGGTGGATCTATACCTTGTTTTTTGATTCAATATTTGCGTTGTATGAAAGCAGTTTTGGGGCCACTGATTTATCCTCATTTTACACAGCGTACCATACACATCCGGAAGATTTGGATCAGTGCCATGCTCTAGCAAAATTGTCGCACATTCCTCTTCCAGGCATTGTACAGACTGTTGGTATTAGACCAAGAAATAGATTTTAAATCCTAGGAATTCAAAATAAACATTCCACACATTTCACCAACTAGTTATAATAAGAAAACTCATTTTTATTCTATCTATTGAAATCAAATCTATCTCATGCCGACAGAGTTGGCTACTGTATACCCTTATCAGATCTGTCCTCTTTTTGCTGTCAAAGGCACGAAATTGACATTTTCTGTCCAGCAGGAGTTTTACTACTTCTGAATTCCCATGACACAGGCCAAATGTAGAGCAGTCCTATGAGAGTGAGAAGACTTTTTAGGAAATTGTAGTGCACTATCTGCAGCCATATCAACGATTCATGTAATTGCAAACACTGAATAGCCTGCTATTACTCTGTCTTCAAAACATTTAATTTTCCTTTGAAGAAAGCACACTGTTTATTACCTCTCGTTACTCACTGTATTAATGAAAGAGCAGCCTATTTGAATAGAAAGAGCATAGCCCTTGGATTACATTCAACTTGGGCTGGAATCCTACTTTAAGCTCTGTCACTTCCTAGCTGTTGCTTAGCCTTTTTGTGTCTCAATTTCCTCATTAATAAAATGGGAATGAAAATAGCAGCTTTCTCACAGGAAACCACTGTAATGCTTAAATGAGACTCTACACAAAAGATATAGAATAGTTCCTAACACAAATAACAGCTCGCAACAAGGGAACCAAATAACCCAAAATTAAATGCAGTGAACACATGCTTTTTTTTTTTCCTCCAAAAGCACAACTGTTGAGACAACTGGGTATTCACATGCAAAGGATTGAACTAAACCCTTACATTGCACAAGACACAAAAAACAACACAAAATCCGCTGAACACCTAAGTCTAATCCTGAAACCCAAACACTTCAAGGAAAATGCATAGGGTGAGTGTCTATTTTGGGGAAACCTGAATCCGTGCACCTAAACTGCAAACAGAAAAGGAAGACACAGGAGACAAATAAACATAGACAACACAATGGCTTTGCCACCTTGCTTTTCTTCTCGATGGGACACAGAAATCACTGCTAACAAAAGCAAACATAACCATGTGAAGCTAAGAAAAACTTCACAGCTTCGGCACTGCAGAGAAAACAGTGAACCCAAACAGAAGGCATCCCACTGACTGGGAGAAAATTATGGAAAATTATGAATCTGGAAAAGCTTGCTATCTAACACATACAAGAAACTAATGGTCCTAAGTGGGCAGAAACATAAAAATCAATACACATGCTAAAAATGCCCAAAAGACCATCATAGACATTTCTGAAAAAAGACCTGAAACTCACGAGTAATACAAAAGTTTGTCCACATCAGTAATCCCAACCACACTCAGATACTATTAAATCCCCCAGAGAACAGGTATGACCAGAAACAGCAATAAAACTTTTTGAAGGCAGGGGCCAGAGGATCCTCTGCAGACAGAGGATCACTTATGCACTATTGGTGGAAATGTAAATTAATATACACACTGAGAGAAACAGCTGGGGGTTCCTGAAACAACAATACAACTACCAGTTCGATCTAGCCATCCCAACACTGGGTATACCCATAAAGCCAACGAAACCCATACCTTAAGGAAATACCTGCCTTCCCATGTTTCATGAAGCAATATGGACAATAACCAAAGTATGCAGTCAACCTACCTGCCCATTCACAGATGAAGAAATGCAGAAACTGAAGTATATATGAACAATGGAACAGTATTAAGCCATCAAACTTCTGGACGTCAGGTCACTTCCAGCATTAGGTTAAATGAAATGAGCCAGGCAGAGGAAGACAAGACTTAGGACAATTTTGGGGGATTGTGTGCCCTGCATGTAGCAAGTCTGGAAATGTCAAATGTCTCTCTATACCGTGGAGAGCAGAGTATGTATGGAAATCTGGGAGCTGCAAAGAAAGCAGTCTTCTTCTTATAATTGTCCCTGTCACTGAGTTTGTAACAATAGTTTGTCCCAGGGTTGGAGAAATTACATTTGATTAATTTTTTGCTTCTTTACATAGCAATGTAAAAGTTATCCTTAAAGCATTAATAGTTAAAGCAATGTTGCTGCTTGTATTCCCTTTTGGTAAATGTGTGATTTAACATGTTTATGGCTTTACTGGGCTGGAACCACAGCAAGAACCCAGGTTTTAATTTTCCTGTTCTATGGCTTGACCAGTTTCCACCATGAATGCATGGGGAGACAGTTGAGGTTGAAACTGCTGAGGAGAACTCTTGTTTTATTTCCCAGCCAATTTTAAGATGGAAGGGTTGTAGTGCTTCTAAGCATAACCCATAGAAGTTATCCTCCAAAAAGTCAAGTAAGTATAAATACATATATCCTAAAAAACTAAAAAGGTTGTAGCGAAGTTCTTCAGTGTCCCTTTAGCAAAAAAATTTGAGTATATACCACCAAATATTCACATCTATGTGGATGGATGTTTATATGTATAAATTAGTAAGTTACATACATGTATTGCTATAATTATTATGAAACATTAATGACATACAGCCAAAAATGCTTTGAGATAAAATAAATAGATAGAAGTATAAATACTCACCATATGAAACACTGGATTATCTCAGGAATATCTTCTCTGGAGATAATTGCCTACAGTGGCAAACAATTCTACACATTGGTGAGAATCATTAAAAAGCATCAATATCCCCTGAAGAATAATCTAGGGCATTTTGTGTGAGACCTGAAAGGCTGTACTGGAAGAGACATTTCATTGAGATAGCAGGATTGGATGGCAGCCTTCAGAAAAACGCTTTTTCAGAAACATTTTGTAGATGGATTCCAGATGTAGAAAGTGTTTCCATCCATAGATGCCACAAGGAAAAAAAACAGACATGGAATAATATCAATTTTTCAGAAAGATAAATCTTTCACTTAAAGTTCATTATTGTTCTTTTTTCCTGAGATTATGTCAATACCAACTTTTTGGTGCTAAACTGGAAGCATGCTGATAGTAGTTGTGTTGTAGAATGCATCATTACATTGCAGTACTAAATTTGGACATCCCTGTGTGATTTTCTAAAATGTAGAAACATTTTCTTTGTACGTAAAATTCAGAACATCGGGACTCAGGCTATTTAAAAGAGGACCCAAGGAAACTAATGTTCTAGAACCTGGGCATACTCGAAGAATGAGCACATGTGTAGCCCCAAAGCAGGTCTCCTGGGAGGCAGAGTTTGCAGTGAGGCCGAGATCACGCCACTGTCCTCCAGCCTGGGTGACAGAGACACCATCTCAAAAAAAAAAATGTTTCTAAAAGGCAGCATGATCTCCAAAAGCATATGGGCCAGGCATAATGTTCACACCTGTAGTCCCAGCTACTCGGGAAGCAGAGGTGAGAGGATAGCTTGAGCCCAGAAGTTGGAGGCAGCAGTGCCACTGATGAGGCAACAATGCCTCCAAATAGCCATGCACTCCAGTCTGAGAAACACAGCAAGACATGGTCTCTAAAAAAATAAAAATAGGCTGAGCACCGTGGCTCATGTCTGTAATCCCAGCAATTTAGGAGCCTGAGGTGGGAGGATCACTTGAGCTCAGAAGTTGAGACCAGCCTGGGCAACACAGTGAGACCTTGTCTCTACAAAACATAAAAAAATAAAAAATTAGTGGGGCATAGTAAGGTGTGGCAGCATACACCTGTAGTCCTAGCTACTTGGGAGGCTGAGGTGGAAGGACCCCTTGAGCCCATGAGTTTGAGGCTGCAGTCACACCACTGCACTCCAGCCTGGGCAACAGAGCGTGACCCTGTCTCAATAAGTAAATAAATAAATAGATAAATAAATAAATAAATACCTTGGAGTATATCTGGAGAGAAAAAAATATGATTCAAATAAATGTTTGAGCCATTCAGGGTAGATAATGCTCTCTTTTCTTTTTGATGATTTATAAAGAATCTAAAATCTCTTTCTTTGGCCCACTCCAGTATCCAGATCAGAATTTCTTTTTTCTGTTCAAAAAGAGTCCCTTTCTGGTGTCCTAATTATCTCTCACTTCATTAGTGCTTGGTGGATAAGGCAAACAGAACAATGTCATTGTAGGAATTAAACTTGGATTTTTTTAGATGCTGAAAGTAATACTCTTTTTTTTTTTTTTTTTTTTTTTTGAGACAGAGTCTCTCTCTGTCACCCAGGCTGGAGTGCAGTGTGGCGCGATCTCCGCTTACTGCAAGCTCCGCCTCCCGGGTTCACGCCATTCTCCTGCCTCAGCCTCCGGACTAGCTGGGACTACAGACTCCTGCCACCACTCCCGGCTAATTTTTTTTTTTTTTTTTTTTTTTTTTTTTTTTTTTTTTTTTTTTTTTTTTTTTTTTTTGGTAGAGACGGGGTTTCACCGTGTTAGCCAGGATGGACTCGATCTCCTCACCTCGTGATCCACCGGCCTCGGCCTCCCAAAGTGCTGGGATTACAGGCGTGAGCCACCGCGCCCAGCCAGTAATACTCTCTTTTAATCTGGTTGGAATGAAAACACAATTGTGAAATCACCCCCATCTCTCTCTCTCTTCCTTTTGCTTTGCTTTTCCCTTCATTGACAAAACTTTTTAAGAATTAAAACGTTCACAGGCGAAGCTAGCTGTTTTCTTGAAAAATTACAGCAAGCTTCTCTTAAAACGATTTTCATCCTTTCTTTCCTTCTTTCTTTTCTTTCTTTCTTTCTTTCTGACGGAGTCGCGCTCTGTCACCCAGGCTGGAGTGCAGTGGCACGATCTCAGCTCACTGCAAGCTCTGCCTCCCAGGTTCACGTCATTCTCCTGCCTCAGCCTCCCCAGCAGCTGGGACTACAGGCGCATGCCGCCAAGCCCGGCTAATTTTTTGTATTTTTAGTAGAGAGGGGGTTTCACCCTGTTAGCCAGGATGGTCTTGATTTCCTGACCTCGTGATCCACCCCTCTGGGCCTCCCAAAGAGCTGGGATTACAGGCCTGAGCCACTGTGCCCAGCGGAAAAGATTTTCTTTTCTTTCTTTTTTTCCTTCGTCTCCCCTCCCTCCTTCTCTCCCTCCCTGCCCCACAACCCCGCTACCTCTCTCTATCCCCTCCCCTCCCTTCCCTTCCTTCCTCCCTTCCCCTCTTCCTCCCTTCCTTCCTTCCTGAGAAGCAAGGTTCAATGCTCTCCTTCTACAAATTGTTCTTCCATGGTTGTGTGTGTGTGTTGCTTAGTCCACATGAGGGGTGTGAGTGTGTGTGTGTTGCTTAATATGATTCCTATTTCTAGAAACATCCATTTACAACTACAGAATGCCAGAAAGCATCAACCACCATAACCAGTCCCCTATCTACCAGTGAATCAGACTTCCCCCTTTGCATTCTGAAAAATTAAACAGTATTTGTTTCTCCCCACTCCCAGACACTCTGGCAGTCATCCAACTTGTCAGCGGGTCATGATTTACAACTGGGGAGTCTCCAGGGATGCTCATGGGAAGCTTGTGGACTACCAGATCACACTTTTCAGATGCTGCCTCTGGAGAGCCTGGGGACAAGACTGTTGATGTTTGTACTCTTCAGCTATGCCCAGAGCTCTGGAGGTGCAGAGGCAACTCAGAAGTGATGCCAGTCATGCACTTGCAAAGAGTTTGCCAGGCACTGCCATTCCAGCTAGAAGTACTCACCCCAGAGCTGCAGTTGTTGGCAAGAAGACAAAAGTAAACATAACTATGACAATATATTTGCAGCAGCCATTTGAGAAGAAGACAAAGTGAAATAGAAATACTTCTGCCTGAATTATGGGTCTCTGTCACTATTGGTGTAGCATTATTCTCTGTTGGGAGCAGGACTCCCAAAATCTGACCATATACTGCCCCCAGAACTGGCCATAAACAAAACCTCTGCAGCACTGTAACATGTTCATAATTGCCCTAACGCCCACACTGGAAGGTTGTGGGTTTACCGGAATGAGGGCAAAGAAAACCTGGCCATCCCAGGGCGGAAAATTGCTTAAAGGCATTCTTAAGCCACAGACAATAGCATGAGTGATCTGTGCCTTAGGGACATCCTCCTGCTGCAGTTAACTAGTCTAACCTATTCCTTTAATTCGACCCATCCCTTCCTTTCCCATAAGGGATACTTTTAGTTAATTTAATATCTATAGAAACAATGTTAATGACTGGTTTGCTGTTAATGAATATGTGAGTAAATCTCTGTTCGGGGCTTTCGGCTCTGAAGGCTGTGAGACCCCTGATTTCCCACTTCACACCTCCATATTTCTGTGTGTGTGTCTAATTCCTCTAGCGCCGCTGGGTTAGAGTCTCCCTGACCGAGCTGGTCTCGGCAATTCTCTGTAGATTTCCTTGCACCACGCAGACTGCAACACCTCGCTCCACCTGTTGGACAAGACTTATTACCTCAGCTCCTTTTCTTGCAATTTCTTATCGCACCAGCCCTTTCCAGCCTCAAAGCTCATCTCTGCTCTGCCGAGCTGTGCTGTGTTATCTGGCCCATGTGCTGCCTAAGATATCATGTATGGTGGAAGGCAGTGGGGCTTTGAAGGAAGTGGCATGTTCTTGTCAGTGACAGTGATAACGTGTGGGTCCAGGGACTTGTTCCAGTCCTTGACCAGTGCCTTCTATGTGTGCTACTGAATCCAGGAGACCTCTTGAGTTTAGATCCCAAAGCAAAGCAAATTCCAGAATGTCTGCGCTGGTAGTTCAACTATAATAGTATATATATATATGTGTATGTGTGTGTGTGTGTGTGTGTGTGTGTGTGTGTATAAACTGGACATAAATTTCTCTTCCTAATGGTAGACTGGGTTCACATTCACCAGCTGTGTGACCTTGAACAAGGTTTCTGTGTTTTAGTTTCCTCTTCTGTAAAATGAAGATAGTCATAATATATGCTTAATAGTGTTGTTGCTCTTTAGTCCAAGCTAGGAATGAGTTAATAATGTATGTAAAATTACTGAGAATATCCAGAATGTAGTAAGCACTTAATAAATGTTAGCTTTTAATGTTTTTAAAATTATTTTTAGTTCACTTCTGATACTCCTAAATTTCTCAGAATTCTAGGTTCAAAGGACTAAACTCGGTATCCTCAGTACTCAGTGTGATAATGGGAAAACAATAAATTCCTCTTCAAGTCTATGCTTAAAGGATGGTGTTTTCCTGAGACAACAACTTTTTTCACAGTTTGGTCAGGAAAACATTATTATCCGTTAGGACTCATGAGCAAAGCCTCCCAAAGACAAGAATACAACTTTGCATTTCTTTCTTTTCTTTTTTTTTTTGTTTTGAGATGGAGTTTCACTCTGTTGCCCAGGCTGGAGTGCAGTGGCCTGATCTGGGCTCACTGCAACTTCTGCCTTCCAGGTTCAAGCGATTCTCCTGCCTTAGCTTCCCGAGTAGCTGGGACTACAGGCGCCTGCCACCACACCTAGCTAATTTTTTGTATTTTTAGTAGAGATGGGGTTTCACTATGTTAGCCAGGATGGTCTCGATCTCCTGACCTCATAATCTGCCTGCCTGGGCCTCCCAAAGTGCTGGGATTACAGGCCTGAGACACCACTCTCGGCCACAACTTTGCATTTCTTCACCGTACCTTGTATTTGTGAAAGTACATCACTTAGGTGCTTGGTCTCCAAAGCATTTACTTCCTGTGTCAGTCTTTTTCTTTGTTTTTCCTTCCCTGTCCAAAGAAGGTTTGAATTCTATCAACAGAGATTTTGGTTACATATTGCCCAAATATGGGATAAACAGAAATTTTCCTTTGAAATGAAAACACCCTTGCAAGCAGTAACACAAATCAGGAAGCATTATGTGAATGAGTTTACCGGATCTCTGTGTGTGTGTGTGTGTGTGTGTGCGTGCGTGCGTGCGTGTGTGTGTGTGTGTGTGTGTGTGTAGCAGAATGAGGAGAGAAGGGAGATGGAATTGGGGAGGAGGCTACAATAAGGCAAAAGATCACAAAATAAACAATGAAGGGCACCAAGGCAACAGCACTAGCCTGATTTCAAGACATGGCAAACCTTCTCATTTTGTGTCTTTTTCAACAGTGGCTCCCCCGGAGGGTATGACTGGATGATTTTTTTTTTTTTTTTTTTTTTTTTTTTTTTGAGACGGAGTCTCGCTCTGTCGCCCAGGCTGGAGTGCAGTGGCGCGATCTCGGCTCACTGCAAGCTCCGCCTCCCGGGTTCACGCCATTCTCCTGCCTCAGCCTCCCGAGTAGCTGGGACTACAGGCGCCCGCCACCACGCCCGGCTAATTTTTTGTATTTTTAGTAGAGACGGGGTTTCACCGTGTTAGCCAGGATGGTCTCGATCTCCTGACCTCGTGATCCGCCCGCCTCGGCCTCCCAAAGTGCTGGGATTACAGGCGTGAGCCACCGCGCCCGGCCGACTGGATGATTTTTTAAAATTAGAAGCAGAATATGAATGCTTTGGGGACCTCTCTGCCTTACCAGACTTGGGAGTAATACAATGGTGGTCCTAGCATAAGTTGCAGGTTCTAGGGCAGATGGAGGTTCTTTGGGTTCTATCTCTGACATTTTTCTACTCTTGTGCAGTCCTGTGCAGTAAAACACAATGGACAAGAGCACGAAGGACTGGCATATGAGCTGCAGGTCCAGGAAGCTGTTCTCAGTTTATATTCCCATATGCTAATTATGGAAGTGTTTCTTTCCCTCCAAGTCTTGCTAATAGTGGATAGCATCATCTAAGCCTGTTTTTATTAACTTGTAAGGGGAGATCGTTTACTGTTTTCACTAGGATTTCTTAAAGTCTTTGCAAGAGTGAACAGTTTCAGTATGTTTATTTGTCATTTTTATTTATTCTGATTTGTCAGTCCATATGTTTAATCCATTTTTCTACCAGCATGTCATATTTTTATGCCAAAATAAGACTTGCTTGGTAAAACCTTGGTAGTCTTCTGCATGTTAAATGTGAACTTCCACTCCCACCAAAAGCTCTGTCTTTTGTTAGAAAAATTATCCAACAATTGAAAAGAGGCCTCAAATTACATGGTGTTTTTCAGAACAGTGGTGCATGTGACCTTCTGTTGATTTTCTATTTTACAACTCTGTAGCAGCAAAGGTTACCATGAAAATTTTTATTCAATAGAATGCAAATAACTCCTATCTGGTAGAACATAAAACCCAAAGGCTTATGGACCAGATACACATTAACCAGTTCTGTATCTAATCCATCAATCAATTAAATTGCCTATATACATTCAGCTTCTCAAATGACCCTAGGACCAGTGTTTAGATCTTACTGGTTCCCTCATCAGTTAATGAGTTAAATAAAATATTTGACACTTGTTCATTGTCTATTGGCCTGAAATTAATAACTTTCCTTACCAAAAATCATACTTTAACTCTGTTGGCTTTGAAGATTTCTCTGCCGGAAGGAGCTGAGAAAAGCACCTAACTTACCCTAGGAGGGGGCATCAGGACATGCTTATATTACAAGGTAGAGCTAGAACTGAGTCTTGGCAGACAAATCGGAGTGAACTGGAGAAGAGGATAAGGACATTCCAGATAAAGATAAGCATCCTGAATGGCACAGAGGTGTCAGAGCATATGGGACATGCAGGAGCTATGTGTAAATCAGAACAGCTGAAAGGGGGTACGTGGGGATGCCACACATGGGTGAGTCTGGAAAGTTACAGAGAGATCAGAGCTGAAGGCCCTTATTAGTCATAAAGAGGGGCTTTAATTATATGTATTCTCATAGCAGCGAGAGGAGCCATTGAAGGATTTTAATTAGGGGAATGAAACAATTCTATTTACTTCTAGGTAAAATCATTTCACTGTAAATGGATAATGCTTTTGCTAGTGGTTTTGTGGGGTTGGGGAGAGGGAGTGGAATGTGAGACTGTGTGAGCATTTAGGAAGAAAGTTACAGAAATCCTGGTGAGAAACTCTGAGAGTAATGTCCTTCTCAAGTTAGCAAGAATCCCATTCACAATGACCTTTGTTTTGGATGTGGAAACAGAAGGAATTTAGTTTCTCTTTCTTTTTTATTATTATTTAATGTAGGTTGTAGCCCTTCCTGGGATTCTCCTGTCTCAGCCTTCCAAGTAGCTGGGATTACCCAGCGCGCCACCACTCCCAGCTAATTTTATATTTTTAGTACCGACAGGGTTTCACCATCTTAGCCAGGCTGGTCTTGAATTCCCACCTCAGATGATCTACCCACCTCAGTCTCCCAAAGCGCTGGGATTAAAGGTGTGAGCCACCTGGCCTAGCCGCAGCTAACTTTTTGTATTTTCTATAGAGACAGGGTTTCACGATGTTGCCCAGGCTGGTCTTAAACTCTTAATCTCAAGCAATCCACCCATGTTGGCCTCCCAAAGTGCTGGGATTATAGGTGTGAGCCACCACACTGGCATTATTCTTTAAAAAATATATTATGGCCGGGCGCGGTGGCTCACGCCTGTAATCCCAACACTTTGGGAGGGTGAGGCGAGTGGATCACAAGGTCAGGAGTTTGAGACCAGCCTGGCCAGCATGGCGAAACCCCATCTCTACTTAAAAATACAAAAAATTAGCTGGGCATGGTGATACATGCCTGTGGTCCCAGCTGCTTGGGGGGCTGAGGCAGGAGAATTGCTTGAACCCGGGTGGCAGAGGTTGCAGTGAACCAAGATCACGCCATTGAACTCCAGCCTGGGCGACAGAGCAAGACTCCGTCTCAAAAAATATAGATACAGATATAGATATATTATGACCAGGCACTGTGCATAACAAAACAAAACAAATGCATGTACATATGAAAAAACGGCAGTTGCTGCCACTGCACCTGACCCTTTTTCCTTTAATTAAAAAAATAACTTTTTCAGTCAGGGCCTCACTATGTTCCCCACCCAGGCTGGTCTGGAACACCTGGCCTCAAGTAGTTCTCTCAAAGAACTAGAGGTGTGAGCCACCGCACCCGACCTCAAACTCTTTTTAAAACAAAAATGGGGCTGGGCGCAGTGGCTCATGCCTGTAATCCCAGCACTTTGGGAGGTTAAGGATGGGCAGATCATTTGAGTTCGGGAGTTTGAGACCAGCCTGGCCAACACAGCAAAACTCCATCTCTACTAAAAATATACAAATTAGCCAGGTGTGGTGGCACACGACTGTAATCCTGGCTATTTGGGAGGCTGAGGCAGGAGAATCACTTGAACCCAGGAGGTGGAGGTTGCAGTGAGCCAAGATCACACCACTGTACTCCAGCCTGGGTGACAGAGCAAGACTCCGTCTCAAACAAACAAACAAAAAAACTGCATACCCTTCTGTCACTTGCTTTTTTATTTACTACCTCAAAATTTTGAGGTTCATTCATCCAACAAATGTTTAGTTAGCCCTTAAATGTGTACTCAGAAGCAGCCAGGCACAGTGGCTCACGCCTGTAATCCCAGCAATTTAGGAGGCCGAGGCGGGTGGATCACGAGGTCAGGAGATCAAGACCATCCTGGCTAATATGGTGAAACCCTGTCTCTACTAAAAATACAAAAATTAGCTGGGTGTGGTGGCGGATGCGCCTGTAGTCCCAGAGGCTGAGGCAGGAGAATGGTGTGAACCCGGGAGGTAGAGCTTGCAGTGAGCCGAGATAGTGCCACTGCACTCCAGCTTGGGCGACAGAGTGAGACTTAATCTCTAAAAAAAAAAAAGTTAAATATGTACTCAGAAGCTAGGGACCCAGCAATGTCCTTGCCTTCAAAGGATTTTCATTGCAGTGGAGGGGACAGATGGTAGACAACAAGCAAGTAGTAATGAAAGACAAGAGAGAAATGACAGGTCACAGGTTAATAGGGCCCGGGTGCAGTGGCTCACACCTATAATCCCAGCACTTTGGGAGGCCAAGGCAGGCAGATCACCTGAGGTCAGGAGTTCAAGGCCAGCCTGGCCAACATAGTGAAACCCTGTCTCAACTAAAAGTACAAAAATTAGGTGTGGTAGTGTGTGCCTGTAATCCCAGCTACTTGGGAGGCTGAGGCAGAAGAATCGCTTGAACCAGGGAGGCGGTGAGGTTGCAGTGAGCTGAGATTGAGACACTGCACTCTAGCCTGGGCGACAGAACCAGATTTCATCTCAAAAATAAAAACAAACAGAAAAACAGTTAATGGGAAGACAGCCTGTATGGTCTGGTGTCATTTTTTAGTAATTCCGTGAAGTACAATGGAGTTTCCAGGTTTTCTCTGTGACAAAGGGATGCTGCTTTGTCACTTTTTTTTTCCTTTTGAGACGGGGTCTTACTCTGTAGCTCAGACTGGCGTGCAGTGATGCGATCACAGCTCACTGCAGCCTCGAACTCTTAGGCTCAGCAGATCTTCCCACCTTCTGAGTAGCTGAGACTACAGGTACATGCCACCGAACCTGGCTAATTTTTGTATTTTTTGTAGAGACAGAGTCTCACTAATGTTCCCCAGGCTGGTCTGGAACTCCTGGGCTCAAATAATCCTCCTGCCTTGGTCACCCAAAATGTTGGGATTACAGGCATGAGCCACTGTGCCCAGCTGAGACTTGATATTTAAATAGTGGTCTGGGGACCAGCAGCACTGACATCTCCTGGGGGCTTGTTAGGATTGCAGAATTTCAGGTCCTACTTCAGACCTGTTGATTGAGCATTTTCATATTAACAAGATTCACAGGTGATTTGTATGCACATTTTAGTTTGAGAAGGACTGATTTAGAATGGAAGATAAAAAACGGCAGAGAAAGAGTTAAATACCTCCAGTTCAATTAGGGATTGATGAGAGATGGTGTGATCTAAAACATTCTTCTGGGTTGAATTTGGCCTTGTTGCCTGGACTATCAATATTGTGGTGTTTATCCTCTTAGGGAGAGAACTCCAAACTCCAGATCATTTCCTTAATCTGCTTCTCTAACCAGGTGTGGGAATCCAGATTGCCTCAAAATCTCGAGCTGCTAAGGCTGGGAAGAGCCTGAGATGTCATCAGTTCAGCTCAATCCTTAGTTGCTGCCCTGCCCACTTCTGCCCACCCCCATTTCACAGGCGAGTCTCTGGGAAGGGCAGTGGTTTGCTCAAACTACATATCAGCCCAGGGCTGGCCAAAGTCCTGAGTCCCAGCCAGTACTTATCTTTTCTCTAAGTTTTGGTCCATTATTTTTTTCTTTTATGGATTCAGCCTATCTTTTTAGAAAAATGAATTTTAAAAACATATATTCATTCATATTATAAAAGTATCATAGGCTTATTGTAAAAAAAAATCAAACAGCGTTGGGTACAGTGGCTCATACCTGTAATCCCAGCACTTTGGGAGGCCAAGACGGGTGGTTCACAAGGTCAGGAGTTCGAGACCAGCCTGAGCAACAGGGCAAAACCCCATCTTTACAAAAAATTTTAAAAATTAGCCAGGTGTGGTGGTGCATGCTTGGAGTCCCAGCTACTCGGGAGGCTGAGGTAGGAAGGCTGCTTGAGCCCAGGAGATTATCAAAGCTGTAGTGAGCCGTGTTTGCATCACTGTACTCAAGCCGAGGCAACAGAGTGAGATCCTGTTTCAAAAAAAAAAAAAAGGCAGAGCTCAAGACATTAAAGTTTATTTTTCAGTTGTACTTTGGCACCTGTGTTACATGATCGGTTCTGGAACATTCTAGAATGTGGATTTCTGAAGTGGGTCTGTAGTGGAGGCCTATAGAGTTTTCACTGGACCTGCTTTGATCCTGTCTCTGCTGTGCAGCCTCGTGCAGTTATACTAGCTCTCTGATGAGCAGCTTCCTCCTCTTTGAGGATGTCAATATTGATACTTCATATATTATTTTGTTACCTAAACTACATTAAAGTTAGGAGAACATTTCTTGGAAAATGTCCTTAGTCCCTGCAATTCTTACTTATCAGCCCAGCCTCCTCCCTCCCCTCTCCCCATCCCGGTCCCCTCAGCTCTCCATTCAATTCCCCATTTCCACCATTTATCTCTCTAGCAGGGTAGGGAGGGGCTTGGGTTGCCCTGGAGGGGCTGGCCTGTGCTGGGTGAAGTTCACACCTGGGTGTGCCCTCAGGAAAGGGGCCTCTGGGGACAGGGTAACCATCAGAAAGGCTCAGGGCTCCCCAGTGTGCCATGCTGTCCTTTGTCCCATCTCTGATTCTGTGCTTACTGTGCCCAAGTATGGAATTGCAGGGTAGCAGCATGGGGACTTCCAGGTGGGCCCCTCCTAGCAGTGGGGGTTGCAGCCAATGAAGAATTCAGTCTCCTGACATAGGTCTCCCTCCAAAAGGGCATGTCTCCAGGACAGCTGCAGCAATTCCACATCCATATCACTCACTTTCTAGTTTTTTTGTTTTGTTTTGTTTTTGAGTCAGGGTCTTGCTCTGTGGCCCAGGCTGGAGTGCAGTGGCCTGGTGCGATCTCAGCTCACTGCAACCTCTGCATCCCGGGCTCAGGTGATCCTTCCACCTCAGTTTCTCAAGTAGCTGGGACCACAGGTGCCCACCACACCCAGCTAATTTTTCTATTTTTAGTAGAGACGGAGTTTCTCCAGGTTGCCCAGGCTGGATACTTTCTTTCTTTCTTTTCTTTTTTTTTTTTGACAGAGTCTTTCTCTGAGATGAAGTCTAGCTCTGTCCCCCAGGCTGGAGTGAAGTGGCATGATCTTGGCAAACTGCAACCTCTGTCTCCTGGGTTCAAGCGATTCTCCTGTGTCAGCCTCCTGAGTGGCTGGGATTACAGGCGTGTACTACCACACCTGGTTAATGGCTAATTTTTGTATTTTTAGTAGAGGTGGGATTTCACCATGTTGGCAAGGCTGGACTCAAACTCCTGACCTCAAGTGATCTGCCTGCCTTGGCTTCCCGAAGTGCTGGGATTACAGATGTGAACCACCGCGCCCAGCCTGCCATCCTTTTTAAGGCTGAAGAATCTTCCATTGTCTAGATAGACCACATCTTGTCATTCATTCTTCTGTTGATGGACACTTGGTTCCTTCCCCCTTTTGGCTATTGTGAGTAATGCTGCTATGAACATGGGTGCACAAATATCTTTTTGAATCTAGTGAATATATTTTATCTCTGCCAGTGAGTCTATCCAAAGAAAAGGGAAATCATCTTTGCCCGGAGTGTTCTGATTGTGCCTACACTTGGCAGGCACCCTCCAAGTGAGAGCAGAGAAAAGGAAGAAAAGAGGAATGAAAATTGGTTGGGAGGGTTGGGGTGGAGGAGGTGAATAAACACTACTGAGTGCTCCCCTTATGGAAAGATTTATACACGGGCAGCCCAAAAAGCAGAGGCATCTCCCAGAGTTTCATCCAGGTAACACCCCTCCAAACACATCCAAACAGAAGCATGCTAGGACATGAGGAATTACAACGAGGCCATATATATATATATATATATAGTCTTTTTTTTTTTTTGAGATGGAGTTTTGCTCTTGTTGCCCAGGCTGGGGTGCAATGGCATGATCTTGGCAACCTCCACCTCCCAGGTTGAAGCATTTCTCCTGCCTCAGCCTCCAGAATAGCTGGGACTACAGGTGCACACCACCACACCCGGCTAATTTTGTATTTTTAGTAGAGACAAGGTTTCGCCACGTTAGCCAGGCTGGTCTCAAACTTCTGACCTCAGGAGATCCACCCGCTTCTGCCTCCCAAAGTGCTTGGGATTACAGGCATGGCCCACCATGCCCCGCCAATAAAAAATTTTAAAAAATTGCTCCAGATGAGAACATCAAGGCTGAGGGTTACTAACTTGTTCACGCTATTGAGTACAGAGATAGGTCTGAGATCTGGGTGGCCTGTTCCCAAGCCAGTGCTCTTTCAGGCCACAAACTTTCTCTTGGCCTGTGCCCACGAAGGGAGCCCAGGGGTCAGTGTGCAAGCTTGCAGAGGGAGAGCAGCCTGGTTACATGTAGGGAGCATGCCCTGGGAGTGAGTGTTCTTTTTTTTTTTGAGACAGGGTGTCACTGTGTCACCCAGGCTGGAGTGCAGTGATGTGATCTCAGCTCACTGCAACCTCTGCCTCCCAGATTCAAGGAATTCTCCTGCCTCAACCTCCCAAGTAGCTGGGACTAGAGGCATGCGCCACCATGCCCAGCTAATTTTTGTATTTTTAGCAGAGGCGGGGTTTCGCCATGTTGGCCAGGATGGTCTGAAACTCCTGGCCTCAAGTGACCCCCCCACCTCAGCCTCTCAAAGTGCTGGGATTACAGGCTTTGGCCACCACATCTGGCCTGAGTGTTAATTCTTTTTTTTCGAGACGGAGTTTCCCTCTGTCGCTCAGGCTGGAGTGTAATGGTATGATCTAGGCTCACTGCAACCTCCACCTCCTGGGTTCAAGTAATTCTCCTGCCCCAGCCTCCTGAGCAGCTGGGATTATAGGCATGCACCACCATGCTCAGCTAATTTTGTATTTTTAGTAGAGAAGGGGTTTCTCCATGTTGGTGAGGCTGGTCTTGAACTCCCAAGCTCAGGTGATCCGCCCGCCTTGGCCTCCCAAAGTGCTGGAATTACAGGCATTGGCCACCACGCCCAGCCTGAGTGTTAATTCTTGAAGCATTTGGCTGCCCTAGTGAGGCCCCTGCAGCCAACCCCGTCAGTGGTGGCCCTTGTCCAGAAGAGGCACACCTGTGAGTTGGCCAGCATCAGTCTCTGGTGTTGGGCATGAGGCAGGAAACGAGCCCCTCTGTCTGCTGAGCTGAGCCCCAGCACTCTTTGGACACCCCCGCCATAGTGAGCAGATGCCCAGCAAACATCTTTCCAGGGCTACTACCAAAGGCCAGGGTTTACCTGTGTGAGAGCTTATATGAAACACGGAAGAGCTTCTACCAGTTATGCATTTATTTTCATGTGTAAGAAGGAAAACATAACTAGCCTGTGAACATGACTGCATGGATACATGGGCTCGGCACAAGGAGAAAGCCAGGAGTGAGTGAAAACAAAATAACATGTTGATTTAAGTGAAATAATAGAACAGGATGCCTTTGGTTATAACAGTTCTGGAGGTGGTCTGTGAATGCAGAAGTTCGGGACTCCCTCCCTGCTCTAGGCTTAGGGCTAGATGCTGTGTTCTGGGCTGAAGCCCCTGGGTTCTACAGAGAAGCTCGACCAGTGCATGGCCCCTGTGGCATTCTCCCAGGAGCCTGTGGGACAGCGAGACCTCAGGGAGGAAAGCACATTCTGTTTAACTTGTCCATGCCCTACAAAATGTCTTAGAAGAGATGAAGCAACAACGATGATTCTCCCTCAAAGGGAAGAAGAATCTGCCAGGTGTCGCTTTGAGGAGGCAGTGGTTACAAGACAGGCTGGGCTGCAGAGCCCAAGTGGGAGGCTGCAGTGAGCCAAGACCACGCCATTGCACCCTGGCCTGGGTGACAGAGCAAGACTCCATCTCGAAAAAAAAGAGAGAGAAAAGAAAGCCATCGAGACACCATTAGGCAATCCACTGTCATGTGAGTTTGAGAAGGAAAGTAGAGATAGGAGAAGGAAGTTTATTTAAAGAAAGGATGGCTGAAACTGCCTAAATCATGGGAAAGATTTAGACATCCAAGTGCATGAAGCTTAAAGATTCCTAAAGAGGTTAAAACCAAATATATATAATCACAATATAATCAAATAGTCAAAAGTCAAAGATTTTTTAAAATGTTGAAGAGGCAAGAGACAAGTGGCATGACACCAACAAGAGAATCTTCATTAAACTATCAGCAGATTTCTCAGAAGAAACTTTGAAGGTCAGGAGAGAATTGAAGAATATATTCAAAGTGCTGAAAGAAAAAAACTGCCAGCAACTAATACTATATTTGACAAAGCTATCCTTCAGAAAGAAAGAATAAATAACATGTTCCCTAGACAAACAAAGCTGAGGTAATTCAGGAGCACTAGGTCTACTTTAAAAGAAATGCTTAACGGAGTTTTTCAAGTAAAAATGAAAGAAAGCAGCTGGGTGTGGTGGCTCATGCCTGTAATCCCAGCATTTTGGGAGGCCGAGGAGAGTGGATCACTTGAGGTCAGGAGGTCAAGACCAGCCAGGCCAACATGGCAAAAACCCATGCCTTCTAAAAATACAAAAAATTAGCCAGGTATGGTGGCGGGTGCCTGTAATCCCAACTACTCAGGGGGCTGAGGCAGGAGAATCAATTAAACCATGAGGCGGAGGTTGCAGTGAGCCGAGATCACACCACTGCCCTCCAGCCTGGGCAACAGAGCAACACTCTGTCTCAAAAAGAAAAAAAAAAGAATGCTAATTAATCACATGAAAGCATAAGAAAATATATAATATTCAGCAGTAAAGGTGCATATACTTGGGAGGCTGAGGCCGGAGAATTGCTTGAACCCAGGAAGTGGAGGTTTCAGTGAGCTGAGATCGCACCACTGCACTCCAGACTGCCAAACTGCACCTCCAAAAAAAAACAAAAAAACAAAAAACAAAAAACAAAACTTGAGGCCTGGTCTCGTGCTCCCCTCCCATCCCCCCTTCCGTGGGTCCAAGCTGCCTTGGCTGAGGAGGGGGCTGAGGAGGTGTGAGCCCCTGCCAGGAACCCCCTGCCCAGACCATGTACTTGGCCCACAGGCCCCTGATGTCTGCGTCCAGCGAGGCCTCCGGTGGCGTCAGCATGTTTGTGTGGAGGAACGTGGAACCTTGCTCTGTGGCTGTGTTCTCCTGGTACTCTGTCCCCTTCCTGACCCCTCCCTGCAGCCACGTGAGGCCTAGCAACCTGCCAGTCACTCAGTGGCCTCCAACCAGAGCAAAGAACCTGCCAAGTCAGCAGCTGTTGCTCACGAGTGTCCACCAGGTGGGACAGGGAGTGCTGACCTTCGGCAGCCCCCTGGATCCACCTGCCCTGAAAGCCCAGGGCCCGGAACCCCACACACTTTGGGGGTAGTGGAACCTGGTAAAAGCCCACCTCCCACCATGAAGGAGGAGCCCTGGGCCCCTCAGGGAAGTCCCTGCTGGACAGTGAGACAGAGAATGACCATGATGATGCTTTCCTCTCCGTTATGTCTCCTGACACCCAGTTGCCTCTACCACTCAGATGATGTCAGGCCCAGTCCCTCAGTGCCCTGCACAAGGAACAGGACTCATCTTCTGAGAAGGATGGATGCAGCCCCAACAAATGGGACAAGGACCACATCCGGTGGCCCATGAGTGGCGGTCATGATCTTCAGCAAGTGGCACCAGATCCTGGCAGGGCGCACCAGGGTCACCCCAACCAGGATAACCGGACCGTCAGCCAGATCCTGAGCGAGCGGTGGTACACCCTGGGGCCCAATGAGACGCAGAAGTACCACGACCTGGCCTTCCAGGTGAAGGTGGCCCACTTGCAACAAGGACCGAAAGAAGTCCAGCTCAGAGGCCAAGCCCACAAGCCAGGGGCTAGCAGGAGTGTACAAGGGCTCGTGGGAGCAGAGCATATCACAGACGGGCACTGCCACTGCCCCTGGGGTGTCCTCTGAACTCCTGTCAGTTGCAGCCCAGACACTCCAGAGCTCGGATACCAAGGAGCAGCTTCTGTGGGGCAGAACGGCTGCACACAGTCAGGGAACCTGGCTCAGCCTGGCCCAAGCCTTCTCCCACAGGGGGGTACACAGCCTGGATGGCAGGGAAATAGACCATCGGGCACTACAGGAACTGACACAGGTGGTGTCTGGCACTGCATCATACTCTGGCCCAAAGCCTTCTACTCAGTATGGAGCTCCAGGCCACTTTGCAGCCCCTGGTGAGGGAGGTGACCAGTGGGCAGCCCTGCTGCTGCCCACCTAAGCTGCTCATTCCCAGCACATGGCCAGCGAGGTCATAGCGAGTGACGAGGAGCACATGGTCATCCATGAGGAGGAGGGGGTGATGATGTCATTGCTGATGACGGCTTTAGCACCACTGACACTGATCTCAAGTTCAAGGAGTGGGTGACCGACTGAGAGTGGGGACAGCTCTGGGGAGGAGCCAGAGGGCAACAAGGGCTTTGGTGGGAAGGTATTTGCACCTGTCATTCCTTCTTCCTTTACTCCTGCCGCCCCTTGCTGGATCCTGAGTCCCCCGGGTCCCCCGATCCACCTGCAGTTTTTGGCAAAGTCTATGGTCCCACCCCGTCCTCCTCCTACACATACTCGGATGCTTCCTCCTCAACCTTGGCACCCACCTCCTTCTTACTGGGCCCAGGAGCCTTCAAAGCCCAGGAGTCTGGTCAGGGCAGCAGAGCGGGCCCCCTACGGCCCCTACCCCTGGGGATGGGGGCCCAGGGACGCCTTCCAAGGCGACCTGTTTCCTCCCAATGGATCCTGCCACCTTGTGGTGCAAGAGACCTGAAAGTGTGGGCGACCTGGAGCTACCAGGCCCCTCAGTCATCGCAGTCCCTCCCAACACTAAGGCTTTCCTAGGCAGGAGCTGGGCTGAGCCACCCGGGGGGCAGAGCCTGAAGAGGAGAAACTGACTGGGCTTTGGGGGTCGGGGCAGAGGGAACCCCACGGACATGGATCCCGCACTGGAGGACCCCACCATGCCCAAATGCAGGATGAGAAGATGCTCCATCTGCAGCCCAAGTGTGCCATGTGTGATGGGGACAGCTTCCCCTTTGCCTGTACAGGTGAAGAAGCCGAGGACGGGCTCAGGGAACTGGAGACCGAGAAGGCGCTGTCCTCTTCACTGCACGCGCCCTGGACCAGTGCTGGCCCTGATCATGCAGCTCTTCCAGGCCCACTGCTTCTTCCTGTCCACTAGGCCACAGCCGCTCTCCAGGCCCACTATACACACATCTTCCTCTCCAAGGTTTGTTCTGCCCCTGCCCTGATTCCCACCCCTGCGGGGGTCCTGACCCCACCTCACCTGGCTCAGACTCTGAAGCTGCCCTACCACTGCCTCTGCCCGAGAGTCACATGAGGCTGAGAGTAGGGGCAGGGGCAGCAGTGGTGCCAGTTGGGGGGCAGTCCAGTGGGAGGAGCCTCAGCCTCGCGGGCTGCTCCGTGGGACTGATGACTGCATGATCTTCTGGGCACCTCATGGATCTTCCACTGCAGGTGAAACAGATGCTGGTGGTGGGTCCAGGGCTGCTGGGAGCCGCTGCCTGGGTCCCAGAGGCTGGACTGGGGCAGGTGCCAACTGAAGCTGCTGGGGCAGTATGGGCAGGATGTTCTGCACACAAACCTTGAAGAAGAAGATGTGTGCATAGCGGGTCCACTGCTGCTGCCCCTGCCCTGACTCCCAGCCCTGCCTGACCCCACCTCACCCTGCTCAGGCTCTGGCGCAACCCTGGCTGCCCTGCCACTGCCTCTGCCCCAGAGTTGGGGCCTCGACAGCCTGGCTGGAAGGGGCACCCCAGCCCTGCCTCAACACCTGGGTCCCTCCATAACTACCACAGGCAGGTGGGCCACCCCAAAGAAGATCCTAGGACTCACAGTACCCCCTGAGAACATGGACATTATGTGGGGGTAGCAATGGAGGGCAGGATGGTTATCTTCTCCCGGGTAAAGCCATTTAATCCTTTCAGTTTGGGACGGAATAAAGCCTGCTTCTCTTTTTTTTTTTTTTTTTTTTGAGACAGAGTCTTGCTCTGTCACCCAGGCTGGAGTGCAGTGGTGCGATCTTGGCTCACTGCAACCTCTTCCTGCTGGGTTCACGCCATTCTCCTGCCTCAGCCTTCTGGGTAGCTGGGATTACAGGTGCACGCTAACATGTCCAGCTAATTTTTGTATTTTTAGTACAGACGGGGCTTCATCATCTTGGCCAGGCTGATTTCGATCTCCTGACATCGTGATCCGCCTGCCTCCACCTCCCAAAGTGCTGGGATTACAGGCATGAGCCACCACGCCTGGCCAAGGCCTGCTCCTCTTGTATATACCCCCTACCCCTGCTGCTGTGCAGGGGGAAAGCTTGGCAGTTTCCCTCCTCTGAGCCCCTGTACATACCATGAAGTGTGGGACCTTCAGAGCTTTTCACTTTTCGGAAAATAGCTCCTGCTGGGGCTACAAGATGGAGTGTGAAGAGGGCCTTGGGCCACAGGGAGGCGCCTGTGGAATAGGGGGAGTTCATGCACCCCTTCTTTCCCCAGAGGGGCTGGACTCAGGTGAGTATGGGGGTGGGGGCTCCTGCACTTCGACACAGGCAGTGGGAGGGTTTTCTCCCCATTCCCTCTGCACTCCCAACTTAAGCTGTACTTTTTAAGAAAGTGATTCACCCTGCCTTTGCCCCCTTCCCCAGAACAGAACACGTTGATCATGGGCGATATTTTTCATTGTGCCAAAAAGTTGCCATGACCGTCATTAAACCTGTTTAACACCAAATAATAAGGAAAATAAAATAAAAAATTCGGGCTTGGTGCAGAAACTCACTCCAAATAAATTACCTACCAAAATATTTATATAATGGTGGAAATATTCCAAAATTCCATAATTTGGGATTTATACACAAAAGATAAAAAAATTAGAGGCCAAGAGGCTGCCGGAAGGGAAAAACGGGGCCTGGAAAGGCCGTTGTGAGGAATGAGCTGGGCCTAAAGAGGCCACTGGCAGGCAGGAGCTGGGCCTGCCGAAGTGGCCGAAAGGCAGGAGCTTTGGACTGGGGAGGGTGCAGTGAGGCGAGAGCTAGCTGGGCGTGGAGAGTCCGCTGTGAGGCCGAGGCCGGGCCCATGCAGACCTTCGAGAGGCAGGAGGCCGGGCCTGCAAAGGCCGACTGGAGGTCAAGTTCTGGGCCTGAAGAGGCCACCAAAAGTCAAAAGCGGGGCCTGGGAAGACCGCCGAGAGCCATGAGCTGGGCTGGGCCGAAAGAGGCCACTGAGGCAGGAGGAGCTGGGCCTGGAGAGGCTGACTCGAGGAAGTTTTGCACCTGGAGAGGCCGCCGAGAGGACGGAGCTGGGCCCGGGGAGGCCGACTTGCAGCTCTTCCAGGCCCATTTCCAGGCCGACTTGAGGACGACTTAGGCCTGCAGAGGCCGCCGGGAGGCTGGAGCTGGGCCTGGAGAGGCCGACTTCAGGACGATTTGGGCCTGCAGAGGCTGCCGGGAGGCCCAAGCTGGGCCTAGAGGAGCCCACCGACCGGAGGCCGTTTGGGGCCTGGAGACGCTGTCGGAGGGCAGGAGCTGAGCCTGGAGAGGCCACCGTGAGGCCTGAGCTGGGCCTGGGGAGCTTGGCTTCAGGAAGTTGTGGGCCTACCAGGGCCGCTGGAAGCTGCGGGGGAGCTGAGTCCAAAGACCTTGTTGGGAGGCCGGAGTTGGGCCTGGAGACGCAGCCGGGAGGAAGAGCTGGGCCCGGAGAGGACGCCGGGAGGCTGCAAGTGGGTCTGGAGAGGCCAACTTGAGGAGGCCCAGCCTCTGCCTCCCGCATGGCGGCCTCTGCAGGCCCAGCTGTTCCTCCTGGCTGCATCTCCCGGCCCAGCTCCTGCCTCCCAGCAAGCAAGCTCTTTCGGCTCAGCTCTCGCCGGCGTTTGTAGACCCCAAAGTTTCTGCAGCCAAGCTCTTCAGGCCCACATCCTGCCTCCCAGTGGCCTGTACAGTCCCAGCTCTGGCTGGAGAAGAGCGTCTGCAGGCCCTGCTGTTGCCTCCCAGGGGCGTCTCCAGGCCAAGCTCTTGCCCCACCGCGGCCTCCCGGGGCCAAGTCCCTGTCCGCCTTCCGGCAGCCCGCGTGCGGCCCTGCTCCTCCCTCACGGTGGCCTGTTGAGGCAGGGGCTCACGCTGACCTCTGTCAGCGTGGGAGGAGCCGGTGTGAGGCAGGGGCTCACGCCTCTGGGCAGGGTGCCAGAGGCATGAGTTGGGCATCAACAGGCCACCGTGAGGGAGGAGCTGGGCTGCATGCGGGATGCCGGGAGGCAGGCAGGGACTTGGCCCCGGGAGGCCGCTGTGGGGGCGAGAGCTGGGCCTGGAGAGGCCCCTGGGAGGCAAGAGCGGGGCCTGCAGAGGCTGTTCTCCAGCCAGAGCTGGGCCTGTACAGGCCACCGGGAGGCAGGAGGTGGGCCCGAAGAGCTTGGCTGGAGAAAGTTCGGGGCCTACAAAGGCGGTTGGGAGCTGGGCAGGAGCTAAGCCAAAAAAGCTTGCTTACTTGCTGGGAGGCAGGGCCGGGAGAGGCCGACTTCAGGACGACTTGGGCCTGCAGAGGTCGCCGGGAGGCCCAAGCTGGGCGTGGAGGAGCCCACTGGCCGGAGACCATTTGGGGCCTGGAGACACCATCGGAGGGCAGGAGCTGATCCTGGAGAGGCCACCGTGAGGCCTGACCTGGGCCTGGGGAGCTTGGCTTGAGGAAGCTGTGGGCCGACCAAGGCCGCCAGGAGATGGGCAGGCACTGAGTCCAAAGAGGTTGTTGGGAGGCAGGAGTCGGGCCTGGAGACGCAGCCGGGAGGAAGAGCTGGGCCTGGAGAGGACGCCCGGAGGGTGCAAGTGGGTCTGGAGAGGCCAACTTGAGGAGGTTCTGGGCCCGGAGAGGCCGCCGGAAGGGAAAAACGGGGCCTGGAAAGGCCGTTGTGAGGAATGAGCCCCATGGGCCTGAAGAGGCACTGGCAGGCGGGAGCTGGGCCTGCCGAAGCGGCCGAGAGGCAGGAGCTTTGGACTGGGGAGGCCGCAGTGAGGCGAGAGCTAGCTGGGCGTGGAGAGTCTGCTGTGAGGCAGAGGCTGGGCCTGTGCAGGCTTCGGGAGGCAGGAGGCCGGGCCTTGTCGAGGCCTGCAGAGGCCGCCAAAAGTCAAAAGCGGGGCCTGGGAAGGCCGCCCAGAGGCATGAGCTGGGCTGGGCCGAAAGAGGCACTGGGAGGCAGGAGGAGCTGGGCCTGGAGAGGCTGACTCGAGGAACTTTTGCACCCGGAGAGGCCGCCGAGAGGCTGGAGCTGGGCCTGGGGAGGCCAACTTGAGGACGACTTGGGCCTGCAGAGGGCGCCGGGAGGCAGGAGCTGGCCCTGGACAGGCCGACTTGATGACAGTCTGGGCCTGCAGAGGCCGCCGGGAGGAAGAGCTGGGCCTGGAGAGGCTGCCAAGAAGCATGAGCTGGGCCTGGTGACGTCGACTTGAGAAAGTTCAGGGCCTAGAGAGAAGGCTGGGAGGCAGGAGCTGGGTCTAAAGAGGCCATTGTAACGATGGAGCTGTGCCTGTGGAGGCTGTTGTGAGGCAGTAGCCTCATCTGCGGAGACTGCCGTGAGGTAGGGTATGGGCCTAAATAGGCCATTGTGAGTCATGAGCTTGGTCTGTGGAGGCCGACTGGAGAAAGTTCTGGGCCTGGAGAGGCTGCCGGGAGGTAGGAGCTGGGCCAAAAGATTTAAGCAGATTACATTTATTAGGCACTTTATTTCCATTAGTACACTGTAATATATAATAAAATAATTATAGAACTCACCATAATGTAGAATCAGTGGGCGTGTTAAGCTCGTTTTCCTGCAACTGGATGGTCCCACCTGAGCGTGATGGGAGAAAGTGACAGATCAATAGGTATTAGAGTCTCATAAGGACAGCGCAACCTAGATCCCTCACATGCACGGTTCACAACAGGGTGCGTTCTCCTATGAGAATCTAATGCTACTGCTGATGTGAGAAGGTGGAGCTCAGGCGGGAATGTGAGCAAAGGGGAGTGGTTGTAAATACAGACGAAGCTTCCCTCACTCCCTCACTCGACACACTCACCTCCTGCTGTGTGGCTCCTTACGGCTCCATGGCTCAGGGGTTGGGGACCCCTGCTCAAGAGCATCCAAAACGACCCTTCCCACACCAGTCTTCATAGTGGTCAAGTGCAGCAACCACTTAGCTCCCAAGGCATGTGCCTCAGCTGGCATGTCATCACAATCAACAGTAAGTGGTAGCTTGAGTCATTGTGAGGTCACTTCCTGGAAATCACCAGCATCCCATTTCCCACTGGCAAAGAGCTCAGCACTGCCCCCTGGGAAACCAAACCTATGCCCAAATCCCATCTGTGTGGGTTTATCTCCTGGGACCCTTCCTAACATATTAGTCAGAGTCCAATCAGGAAGCATAAACCACTCAAAAGTTTAAAGTGGTAAAATTTAATACAGAGAATTATTCATTATAACAGGTGAGCAGCATAATGAGAGATTGGCTAGCACAAAGTAAAGAGAACTCTAGAGAATATAGGACTAGCCCAGGCCAGGCATGGTGGCTCATGCCTGAAATTCCAGCAATTTGAGAAGCTAATGCAGGAGGATTGCTTAAGGCCAGGAGCTAGAGACCGGTCTGGACAACACAGTGAGACCCTGTCTCTATCCAAAAAAAGAAAAAAATTAGCTGGGAGTGATGGTGCACACTTGTAGTCCCAGCTACTCGGAATGCTAAAGTTTGAGCCTGGGAGGTCAAGGCTGCAGTCAGGCATGATTATGCCACTACAGTCCAGCCTGGTGACAGAGCAAGACCCTGTCTCAAAGAACAAAACAACAACAACCATTTACAGACAGAAAAGAAATAGAGCTAATAAGCTAAGGAAAGATGTTGAAATGTGACAAGCAAAGTAATATGAGGTCTTTTATCTATTTAAAATAATCAAACAAAAAATGACTTAATTATAATACCCTGTGCTGGCAAAGGTGCAGTGAAATGGGCACTTTCTTATACTATGAGGGGTGTTTAAATTGTGTATAAGCCTTCCAGGGTAAAGCTTGTCAATTTTTTAAAATAATAGAGACAGGGTCTCACCATACTGCCATACTGCCTCCTCAAACTCTTGGCCTCAAGCAATCCTCCTGTCTTAGCCTCCCAAAGTGCTAAGATTATAGCTGGGAGGCACCCAAAACCTTGTCAATTTACATCAAGGGTAATGACAATGTCCATTCGCCATGACTCACAGTAATCTTACTTCTGGGGAGACAATTCAGTCTAAACAAAAGGTCATCTGTACAAACACAGTAAAAATCTGGGAGTAACTGAAGACAGAGTTGGTAAGTGAAATAAGAAAGTTATAAGAAATTAAACTATGGTATCAATAGGCACCTGGTAAAAGGTCAGTTGATGTTAGCTGCTACTTTTTTGTTGTTTTGAGACAGGGTCTCACTCTGTCACCCAGGCTGGAATGCAGAGGCCTGATCATGACTCACTGCAGTCTCAGCCTCCCTGGGCTCAAGTGATCCTCCCAGCTCAGCCTCCCAAGTAGCTGGGACTACAGGAACATGCCACCACACTAGGCTAATTCATATATTTTTCTGTAGGGATGGTGACTCCCTTTGTTTCCAAGGCCTATCGCAAACTCTTGGCCTCAAGCCATCCTCCTGCCTCAGCCTCCCAAAGTGTTGCGATTACCAGTGTGAGCCACCACACCTGACCAGCTGCTACTTTTATCAATATTATTATTATTCCACTCAATTAAAAATTATTATTTTCAAGGCTACGCAACAGTATGTATCCTACAGCGTAATTGTAAAAACATATACAGTCCTCCCTCAGTATACAGAATTAGTTCCAGCCCCCCATCTCTGCATATACCAAAATCCATGCTTACTCACGTTTCGCTGTCACCCCTCTGGAATCCACGTATAGGAAAATTCCAAATATTAGTTGGGCATAGTGGCAAGCGCCTGTAGTCTCAGCCACGTGGGAGGTTGAGATGGGAGGATCGCTTCAGCCTGGAAGGTTGAGGCTGCAGTCAGCTGTGATAGCACTACTACACTCCAGCCTTGGACAACAGAGGGAGACCCTGTCTCAGAAAAAAAAAAATAAATAAATAAAACAGGTTAGAAATTGTAATGAGGTCTGTTGGGCAAAATTCCATATAAGCAAAGTATAAATTAATAAAGCAAATGGTGATAAATTAGTACAATTGACTTTCTGGAGTTTCTGACAATAAAAGTAAGGAAAATGCAAAACACAAAGACAGAGAGTAAAAAGAGAAATTAGGAAAGCATTCTACATGTTTAATAGGAAGACACTGGCCATGTTCGTGCAGCAGCAGTATGTCATGATATGACATACCTTGGAGAGAAGTTAACAGATGAGGAAGTTGATAAAAATGATCAGAGAAGCAAAATACTGGTAGCGACACTCAAGTAAACCACGAAATTTCCATAACTTATGTCAGCAAAGTGGGAATATTGTACAGTGTGTGTTGAAGTTCCTATACAACATTGTTTATCTGCCTTTTGTTTGTTTGTAAGGAATGTATATACTAAAAGTTCTTCTTGCTGTCAAAAGAATATGTGTGAATAAGTCATTTTAACTTATTCTGTTTTTCTCTTATCTTCCTGCCATCATCCCACAGCCTTACTTTAGAAATTTTTTTTTTAGAAAATTGAACAAGTGCTCCTTGTGGTGGCACATACCTCTAGGATGGGAGGCAGGGGTGGAAGGGTCACTTGAGGCCATGAGTTTGACACCAGCCTGGCCAACAAAGTGAGACCCCATGTCTACAAAACAATTTAAAAATTAGCCAAGTATCGTCATGTATACCTACAGTCCCAGCTACTCAGGAGGCTCAGGTAGGAGGATCCTTAGCCCAGGAGTTCAAGGCTGCAGTGAGCTGTGATAGCACTACTGTACTCAAGCCTGGGCGACAGGGTGAGACCCCATCTCCTAAAATAAAAAACAAAGAAAAAAAATAGTTCAAGTAGCAAGTTGTATGTGGCTTACTCTGAATATTTCTAAACTAGAAATTCTCAATCTTTTGGGGTCTAACATCCCTTTACATTTTTTAACTTTATTGAAGATCTCTAAGACTATTTCTTTCTGTAAATAATTATATTAAAACTAGAAAATAAGACAAAAATTTTTAAATATTACTCATCACATATTAATAAAGCCATTACATGTTAATATAATAGAAGATTTTAAAAATATTTAATATTCTTTATATATTAATAATAAAACCATTACATGTTGATATAATACTTTTTTTTTCTTTGATACAAAGTCTTGTTCTTTTGCCCAGGCTGGAGTGAAGTGGCGCAATCTCAGCTCATTGCAACCTCCGCCCCGCAGAGGTTCAAGCGATTTTCCTACCTCAGCCTCCCAAGTAGCTGGGATTACAGGCACCCACTACCATATCTGGCTAATTATTGTATTTTCTTAGTAGAGAAGGAGTTTTCTTAGTAGAGAAGGCTGGTCTTGAACTCTTGACCTCAGGTGATCCACCCGCCTGGGTCTCCCTAAGTGCTGGGATTACAGGTGTGAGCCACTGCGCCCACCCCGATTAATATATGTTTTAAAACACTGATTAGTCAGGCAACAACACCGAGCAGGGGTCTCCTCATTCCCAGCGACGCAAACCCCACTGCACGGCTGAGCGATTGCAAGGGCTGCAGAGCCAAAAGGCTCTGACTTGAGATTTCATTATTTTACTTGTATGTTTATTTGTATTTGAGACAGGTCCTGCTCTGTCACCCAGACTGGAGTGCAGCTGTGCACTTACAGCTCACTGCAGCCTCGACCACCTGGGCTCAAGCCATCTTCCTGCCTCAGCTCCCCAGTAGCTGGTAGTACAGCTGAGTGCCACCATGCCTGGTTATTTTTTTAATTTTTTTGTAGAGTGAGGGGTCTTGCTATGTTGCCCAAGCTGGCCTCAAACTCCTGACCTCAAGAGATCTGCCCACTTCAGCCTCCTGAGTAGCTGAAACTACAAGTACACATCACCATGCCTAGCTACATTTATTTAATTTTGAAAAATATTTTTGTAAAGAGCAGATCTTGCTGTGTTGTCCAGGCTGGTCTTGAACACTTGCCCTTAAAAGATACTCCCACCTCTGCTTACCAAACAGCTGGGACTACAGGCATGAGCCACTGCAATGAGCCTGAAGAGATTTCTTTAATCTAGCATCCCATACTTGGTAGGATTGGGAAAGGCAGTAGTGTTTTTTAAAATTACTTAATAATTTTAGTAACAATCAAACTCAACCTTGACCCCTGCCTTCTCTCACACCCCATATCCAGTCTGTCAGGAAATCCTGTTGACTGTCTTCGACATGTACTAAAGATCCCCACCCAGTAACTCCCTGGCCTCCTCCCCTACTTCTCCCCTCTGACCATCTCTCAACACCACCATGGCCCTGGTCAGGATCACCATCATCTCCCGCCTGGATGTTGCCAAAGCTTGGCCCCCATGCTTCTACCCACATCTTCCCACAGTCTTTCTCAACTCAGCAGCCAGAGAATGCTTTTAAATCGGGAGACAGATCATGTCGCCTCTCTGCTCAGAACCTTCCCGCAGTTCCCATCTGAGTCAGAGTAAAAGCCAAAGCCCCAGCAATAACCTCCCAGGGCTTATGTGATCTGTACTGATCCCCACCCAGCAACTCCCTGGCCCCCTCCCCTAATTCTCTCCCTCTCTCCGTCTGCTCCATGGGCCTCCTTCCAGAGCCTCAGACACACCTCAGACATTTTATTCTATTGTTTCTGCCTATGATCCTCTTCCCTCAGCACCTTGGCCAGCTCCTTCCCCTCCTTCAAGTCTTTACTCAATTTTCACTTAGGAGGCCACCCCTGACCATTCTATTTAACATTGCCATCTGTCCCCATGCCCACCATGCTCATTTCTTCTTTCTTTACTTTCTTCTTTCTTTTCTTCAAGATCTCACTGTCACGAAGGCTGGAGTGCAGTGGCGCAATCACAGCTCACTGCAACCTCAAATTTCCAGGCTCAAGTGATCCTCCCACCTCAGCCTCCCAAGTAGCTGGGACTCCAGATTCATGCCATCATGCCTGGCTAAATTTTTTGTATTTTATTTTATTTTATTTTATTTTATTTTATTTTATTTTGAGACAGAGTTTCACTCTTCTTGCCCAGGCTGTAGTGTAATGGTGCGATCCCGGCTCACTGCAACCTCCACCTCCCAGATTCAAGTGATTCTCCTGCCTCAGCCTTCCAAGTAGCTGGGATTACAGGTGCGTGCCACCACGCCCAGCTAATTTTTGTATTTTTAGTAGAGCCGGGGTTTTGCAATGTTGGCCAGGCTGGTCTCGAACTCCTGACCTCAGGTAATCTGCCCGCTTCGGCCTCCCAAAGTGCTGGAATTACAGGCGTGAGCCACCACGCCTGGCCAATTTTTTCATTTTTTGTAGAGACAAGGTCTTACTATATTGCCCAGACTGGTCTTGAACTCCTGGCCTCAAGTGATCCTCCTGCCTAAATTCCTAAAGTGCTGGGATTACCGGCATGAGCCATCATGCCTGGCTTCATGTTCATTTCTTCTTGCTGCTGCAACATAGTTTGCAGTTTCCTACATTTAGTGGCTTAAAACACCACAAATCTACCATCTTACAGTTCTAGGGGCCAGAAACCCAAACTAGGTCTATTAAGGCTAAAGTCAAGGTGTCAGCATGGCTGCATTCCTTCTGGAGACTCTAAAGTGTTCCCTTGGCTTTTCCAGCTTCTAGAAGCCACCCCCATTCCTTGGATCATGGCCCCTGACTCCATCTTCAAAGCCAGAAGTGAAGCATCTTCAAATCTCCCTCTCTTACCTCTGCTTTCATCACCACATCTCCTGCTCCAATTCTGAATCTCCTACCCTCTTTTTTTTTTATATAAAGACCCTTGTGATTGCTGGGCATGGTGGCTCCCACCCAGAATCCCAACACTTTGGGAGGTCAAGGCAGGAGGAACACTTGAGGCCCGAAGTTTGAAACTAGCATGAACAACATAGTGAGACCCCCACCTCTAGAAAAAAATAAAAATAAATATTAGCCCGACATGGTGGTATGCGCCTGTAGTCCCAGCTACTTGAGAGGCTGAGGTGAGACAATCGATTTAGCCCAGGAGTTTGAAATCAGCCTGGACAACATAACTAAATCTCATCTCTACAAGGACGAGGTGGGAGGATCACTTGAGCCCAGGAATTTGTGGCCAGCCTGGGCAACAAAAGAAGACCCCATCTGGCCAACATGGCCAACCTGGCCACCATGGTGAAACTCCGACTCTACAAAAATGAGCTGGGCATGGGTGACATGTATGTGTAGTCCTAGCTACTTGGGAGGTTGAGATGGGAGGATTGCTTGATCTCAGAAGGCCAAAGCTATAGTGAGCTATGATCACAAGACTGCACTCCAGTCTGGATGACACAGGGAGATTCTGTCTCAAAAAAAAGAAAAGAAATATATATTTAATCTCTGTCCCTGGTTCCTGGCACAGAGCTTCTAAAGCTTACAAAGACCTCAGTGATAGATGTGACAGGAACATCTTTTGTTTTAATATTTGGTCTTGGTCCCAGGTTTCTAACACAAGAGCCTCTAAGAACTTTGGGATCTCCAGCATGGTAAGAATGCATTTGGGGATGTTGTTGAGATGACTGGGTGACTGCAAGCTCCTAAATTTCTTCAAGAGGAGGGCTGATTACCATGCAACCACATGGTAAGAGGCTTGGAACTTTCAGCCTCATGCACTGAACTCCAGGAGGAAGAGGGGCTGGAGACTGACTTAATCACCAACAGCCAAAGATTTTATCAATCTTGCTTGCATAATAAAGCCTCCATAAACACCCTGAATGGGGTTTGCAGAACTTTCAGGGTTGCTGGACACAGGAGATGCTGGGAGGGTCGCATGTTCAACAGAGGGCATGGGAGCTCTGTGCCCCTCCGAACTTAACTTGCCCTGGGTATCTTTCTCTTTTTTGAGACAGGATCAGGCTCTTTTGTCCAAGCTAGAGTGCAGTGGCACAATCTCACCTTATGGTAACCTAAGCCTCCCCAGTCCCCAGCTCAAGACATCCTCTCATCTCAGCTTCCCTAGTAGTTGGAACTCTAGGTGCACAACACCACACTGGTTATTATTATTATTTTTTAATTTTTTATAGAGACAGGTTTTCACCATGTTGCCCAGGCTGGTCTCAAACTCCTGAGTTTAAGCAATCCTCCCACCTTGGCCTCCCAAAGTGCTGAGATTACAGGCATGAGCCACTGCATCCAGCATGCACGTCTCTTTCATTGACTGTTTCTGGGATGTATCCTTCACAATGAACCAGTAATAGGAAATGAACTGGCCAGATGTGGTGGCTGACATCTGTAATCCCAGCACTTTCAGAGGCTGAGGTGGGAGGATCACTTGAGACCAGGAATTTGTTGTGGCCAGCCTGGCCAACACAACAAGACCCCATCTATACAAAAAAAAAAAAAAAAAGAAACTAGCCAGATGTGGTGGTGCAGGCATGTAGCCTCAGCTACTAGGGAGGCTGAGGTGGGAGAACCACTGGAGCCCAGACAATCAAGGCTGCAATGAGCTATGACTGCACCATTGCACACCAGCCTGGGCAACCAAATAAGACCCTCTCTCTCAGAAAAAAAGAAAATAAACTGTTTTTCTGAGTTCCGTAAACTGTTCTAGCAAATTATTAAACCCAAGAAGACAGTTATGGGAACCCCCGATTTGTAAGAGGTTGGTCAAAAGTACAGGTGACAACTTAGGACTTGCCATTGGCATCTGAAGTGAGGATGGCCTCGTGGGACTGAGCCCCTAACTTGTGGGGTCTGTGCTAACTCCAGGTAGTGTCAGAATAAAGTCATGGGATACCCAGTTAATATCCAGAGCACTGAAGAATTTGGTGTAGAAACTCCATACATACATTCAGTCGGAAGTGTGTGAGTAGAGACAAACATGGGCTTTTCTGTCACTTGTCTACCTGCTTAACTGCATAGGAGAGGCAATACGTGGTGCTCATGAACAAAGCAAACATTAAAGTCAGACCAGACCCAACATTTGACTCAGTCTTAATATCCAGGTGAGCTTGGGCAAATCATTCATTATTCCTAAGGCTTCATCACTCCATTCATAAAATGGGGATAACTGTGGCACCTACCTGTGATTCTGTGAGAATTAATGAAATATTATGCTTGGGGTTATTGTGATCATTATACCTATTCCAAACTATTTGACAAGGACAGTGATGGATGATGACATCAAAAAATCAGAAACTGCAATGAGGTCTCTTGGGCAAAATTCCATACAAGCAACTTACTGTCTCTACAAAGCATTCCTGCCACACTTAATTCACCGTTCCGTGAACAAAATATGCCATCTTCGTTGTTCAGGTCTGTACAGTGCTGGTTTCCCTTCCCGGGCAGTTTGCTCCATCCCATCCCAGCCCATTCCCCATCCCTCCACCTCCCCCTTTCCTCCCCACTCTCATACAACTCTTCCTCATCTTTCAGGACTTGGCTTCAATGTCACCTTAACTGGAAGCTTCTCTCACTCTCCCGAAGAGCTTCCCATTGCACTTGATGCATGCACTATTATTTGATCATTTTTGAGTTACACTCCAAATCTTTTTGTACCTGAATAACATGTTGCCCAGTCAGTCTCTCTTCCTGGATTCAGAAGTCTTTCATGGTAGATCCAGCTGGAAGTGACAAAAAGGCATCTTTTGACATAAAGGGATGACACAGACAGACATAAGTTCTTAAACGTCTTAAATGTTATGTGAAAATTAAACAGAATTCAAAGACTTGTGGGGAACACTTAGGAGGGAAAGTTACTGGCAATGTCATAAAGGGTTCATTTGTATTTTATTTTATTTTTTGAGACAGTCTCATTCTGTCACCTAGGCTGGAGTGCAGTGGTGCAATCAGGCTCACTGCAGCCTTGACCACATGGGCTCAAGTAATCTCACTTAATTTTTATTTGGTTTAAGAAAGTCTTGGTTGAGGGTGGTGGTTTATGCCTGTAATCTCAGCACTTTGGGAGGCTGAGAGAGGTATATTACTTGAGGCCAGGAGTTTGAGATCAGCCTGGGCAATATATTAAGACCTTGCCTGTACCAAAAAACAGAGTGAATATGTGGAAGGCAATTTTTCCACAGACTGGGAGTGAGGGAATAATTTCAGGATGATTCAAGTGCAATACATATATTGAGCACTTTATTTCTATTATTACTACATAGTAATATATAATGAAATGATTCTACAACTCACTATAACGTAGACTCAGTGGGATCTCTGAGCTTGTTTTCCTGCAACTAGACTGTCCATCTGGGGTGATGGGAAACAGTAACAGAATATCAGGCATTAGATTCTCATAAGGAGTACACAACCTAGATCCCTCGCATGCACACTTCACAACAGAGTTTGTGCTCCTATGAGAATCTAATGCTGCTGCTGATCTGACAGGACATGGAGCTCAGGTGGTCATGCAAGCGACGGGAGGGGCTAGAAATACAGATGAAGTTTCCCTTCACTTGCCTGCTGCTCACCTCCAGCTCTGTGGCCCTGTGGTTGGAGACCGCTGCTCAAGTGCATTCGAAAGGATCCATCCCATGCCATTCTTCAGAATCATCTTTACTGCTGCAGTGGTCAACTTGTAGCACCCCTAAGCTCACAGGACATATGCTTCAACTGGCATTTCACAATGAACAGTATGTGGTAGCTTGAGTCATTGTGAGGTCACTTCCTGGAAATCACCAGCCTCCCATATCCCATTAGCAAGGAGCTCAGCACTGCTCCTTGGATAACCAAACCTATTCCCAAATCCCATCTGTGTGGGTCTATCTCCTGGTACCCTTCCTACCATCAATTCTGTATTTGTAGGAGTCCAATCAGGAGACACAAACCACTCAAAAGTTTAAACTAGAATGAGCAAGGTGGCTCACACCTGTAATCCCAGCACTTTGGGAGGCCAAGGCGGGTGAATTGCTTTGAGCTCAGGAGTTTGAGACCAGTCTGGGAAACATGGCGAAACCCCATCTCTACAAAAAACACAAAATTTAGCTTGGTGTGGTGGCACTTACCTGTAATCCCAGCTACTCGGGAGGCTAAGTCAGGAGAATTGCTTGAGCCTGGCAGGTAGAGGCTGCAGTGAGTAGAGGTTGTGCCACTGTACTGCAGCCTGAGTGAGAGCATGAGACCTGGTATCAAAAAGAAAAAAAATATATATATGTAAATTTAATATAGAAAGTATTAATTTTGGCCAGGCACCATGGCTCATGCCTGTAATCCCAGCACTTTGGGAGGCCAAGGCAGGCGGATCACCTGAGGTCAGGAGTTCAAGACCAGCCTGACCAACATGGAGAAACCCCATCTCTACTAAAAATACAAAATTAGCTAGGCATGGTGGCACATGCTACTCCCAGCTACTCGGAAGGCTGAGGCAGGAGAATCGCTTGAACCCGGCAGGTGGAGGTTGCGGTGAGCCAAGATAGTGCCATTGCACTCTAGCCTGGGCAATCCAGCCTGGGCAACAAGAGTGAAACTCCATCTCAAAAAAAAAGTATTAATTTTAGCAGAGGATCAGCATAATGAGGGACACACTAGCACAAAGTAAAGACAACTCTAGAGAATACAGAACTAGCAGAGGCCAGGCACTGTGGCTCATGCCTGTAATCCCAGCAATTTGGGAAGCCTAGGCAGGAGGATCACTTGAGGCCAGGAGTTGGAGACCTGTCAGCGCAACATAGTGAGACTATATGTCTACCAAAAAAAAGAAAAATATTAGCCAGGTGTGGTGGTGGTGCATACCTGTAATTCCAGCTACTTGGGAGTCTGGGGTGGGAGGATCCCTTGAGGCTGGGAAGTCTACACTACAGTGAGCCAAGATCATGCCACTGCACTCCAGCCTGGGCGACAGAGTGAGACCCTGTCTTAGAAAGAAAAAGAAAAGAAAGTGTTAATCCCCCTAAGGGAATCTCCTCTTCTCCTGCCCTCTCTGGAACCTCACTTGTCAGTTCTTCCTCCCACTTTCCTGTATCTTTAACCTATCTCCCACTTTTAGCGCCTTCCCACCATCATTTAAATTACTCAAACTTCTTCTGTTTTAAAAACCTCTCCCTCAACTCAGTGAGAGGTCTCCTGCACACCCATTGAGCCATCTGCTCTCCCTGGTTCCTTCTCTACAGAAGCCTGAGCCATGTCTCTAATCCATGAATCTCATCATGTTACTTCCCCATTTACATCACTTCTCCTTGCCTTGGGGATTAAGTCCAAACTCCTTAACAGCCCCCGCTCTGCCCTGCCTTGCAAGGCAGCCTCACTGCTTGCCCCTCTCCATTTCACCTGCTATGGAGTCCAACTCAGCCTCATCTGCCCCCTGAATGCACACTCTTTCTCCTCTGGGAGTCTCTGAAGTGGGTGATATCCTCTGCTTATAATATGCTTCCCCTTAAACCTCTACTCTCTTCCTGGCTAGCTTCGGCTCCTCTGTCACTTGTCCGCTTTGGCATCACCTCCTCATGGAAGACTTCCTTGACTCCCCAGATTCTCAGGAGCATGGCAGGTGAGGTGCTCCTCCCATGAATGGATGGAGATTAGGGAGTGTGTGTTATTCATGCTTAATTCACCAGTGGTTAGCTCAGTACCTGGCACAAGTTACTGTGGTGGCCAAAGTAATAACCCCCCACCCTGCCAACTAATTGCTCATGTCCTATGTTACACAGCACAATTACATAGGAAGGGGGAATTAAGAGTGCAGATAAAATTAATGTTGCTCATCATCAGCTGACCTTAAAACAAGATTATCCTGGAGTATCTAGGAGAGCCCATGTAATTACAAGCATTCTTTAAAAGTGGAAGAGGGAGGCAGAAGGTTAAGAACCAGAGACAGTGGGCACAATGGCTCATGCCTGTAATACCAATACTTTGGGAGGCCAAGGCAGGAAAATCCCTTGAGTGCAGGAGTTCAAGGTCAGCCATGGCAACATAGTGCGGCCCCATCTCTACAAAAAAATAAAAACAAAATTCACTGAGTGTCATGGTGCTTACCAGCTACTGGGAAGACTGACGTGGTAGGATTGCTTGAGCCTGGGAGTTTGAGGCTACAATGAGCCATGATTGGACCACTGAACTCCATCCTGAGTGACAGGGCAAGGTCCTGTTTCTAAAGAAAAAAAGGACATTGGAATCAGGGTCCCCTCCATCCTAAGGTGGCTACAAGGCATCTCTCTCTGCAAATGAGTAAACATCATCCTCCAACTCCTCACAGAGTGAAGCAGCAGGAAAACTCCCTTACCTCATTTCTGTGCTGCTTGGGAGGCCTGGACACCCAATAACCAGCACCTTGCTGATGAAGCAATTAGGAAATAGCTCAAGTTGAGCTAAGGAGAATTTGGATCCTTCTTTTGGTTCTCAATAGGCAGGGTAGAGGCCAGGCATGGTGGCTCATACCTGTAATCCTTGCACTGTGGGGGGCCAAGGTGAGAGGACTGCTTGAGGCCAGGAGCTCAAGACCAGCCTGGGCAACATAGAAAGACCTGGGTGGCATACACCTGTGGTCCCTACTACTTGGTAGGATGAGGTGGGAGGATTCATCACTTGATCCCAGGAGTTTCAGGCTGCAGTAAGCCATGATCACACCACTGCACTTCAGCCTGGGTGACAGAGCCAGACCATGTCTCAAAAAGTAAAAAAAAAAAAAAAAAAAAAAAAAACAGAGAGAGAGAGGGAGAGAGACTATAGGCAGGTACCCCCACATTTGGCTAATTTTTAAATATTCTGTAGAGACCAGGTCTTGCTAGGTTGCCCAGGCTGGTCTAAAACTCCTGGCATCAGGCTGGGCATGGTGGCTCATGCTTGCTATCCCAGCACTTTGGGAGGCTGAGGCAGGCAAATCACCTGAAGTCAGGAGTTCGAGACCAGTGTGGCCAACATGGTGAAACTCTGACTCTACTAAAAATATAAAAATAAGCCGGGCAGTAGTGGCATGTACCTGTAGTCTCAGCTACTCAGGAGGCTGAGGCAGAGGTTGCAGTGGGCCAAGATCGCACCACTGCACTCCACCCTGGGCAACAGAGTGAGACTCTATCTTAAAAAAAAAAAACCAAAAACCAAAAAACAAAAAACAAAAAAAAACTCCTGGCATCAAGACATCTTCCTGTCTTAGCTTCCCAATGCCCTGGGATTATATTGTTTCCTATAATTGAAGAAACTCGTTCTTATACTGCTTTAAGGTATAAAGAAAAAAAAACCATAATGACAAATGTTGGTGAAGGCCGGGCATGGTGGCTCAGCCTGTAATTCCAGAACTTTGGGAGGCTGAGGTGGGCAGATCACTTGAGGCCAGGAGTATGAGACCAGCTTGGGCAACATGGTAAAATCCCATCTATAAAAATTAGCCAAGCATGGTGGCATACACCTGTAATTTTCAGCTACTCAGGAGGCTAAGATGAGAGAATCACTTTTGCCTGGGAGGTCAAGGCTGCAATGAACTGTGATGGCATCATTGCGCTGCAGCCTGAGAGACAGAGCAAGCCCCTATCTAGAAAAAAAAAAAAAATGTCAGTGAAGATGTGGAGGAGTTGGAACCCACATACATCACTGGTGGGAACATGAAATCGTGTAACCTCTTTGTTTGGGTAGTTCTGTTCTTGTCATTTTAATTGGATTTTTTTTTTTTTAATCAAGACAGGGTTTCACTATCTTGCCCAGGCTGGACTTGAATTCATGGGCTCAATTCCTCCCAACTGAGCCTCCTGAGTAGCTGGGATTATAGGTGTGAGCCATTGCACCCAACTGGTGTAGCCACTTTAGAAAACAGTGTGGCAGTTTCTCAAAAGGCTAAATGTACAGTCATCATACAATGCAACAATTTCACTCCTAGGCATATATCCCAGAGAAATAAAAATATATATCCACACAAAAACTTGTACAACAGTCTTCATAGCAGCATTATTCATAATGGCCAATACATGGAAACAACCCAAATGTCCACCAACTGATGAACAGATAAACAAAACGCAGTGTGTCTCTACCATGGAATATTGCCATAGAAGGAATGAAATATTGATAGACACTATGACATAAAGGAACTTTGAAAACACTGTGCTAAGAGGGAAAAAAAGCCACAAAAGATCACATATTGTGCAATTCTATTTGTCCAGATTAGGCAAATCTATAGTGACAAAAAATAAATCAATGGCTGCCTAAGGCTGGGGGCCAAGGCATGTTGGGGGAGTAGGAGGTAGTGGCTAAGGGGTATGGATATGGATTTCTCTACAGGGTAATGAAAGGTTCTAAAAGTGACTGTGGTGATCGATGCACAGCTCTGTGAATAATCTAAAACCTACTGAATTGCAGATTTCAATAAATAAAGTGAATGGTATGTGAATCATATTTTAATAAAGCTATTATTTAAAATAATAATAATAGGGGGCTGGGCACAGGTGGTCATGTCTGCCTGTAATCCCAGCACTTTGGGAGGCTGAGGCAGGAGGATCACTTGAAGTCAGGAGTTTTGAGCCCAGTCTGAGCAACCTGGCAAGATCCTGTCTCTGTGATAAAAAATGAAAAAATTAGCTGGACATGGTGGCACATGTCTGTAGTCCCAGCTACTTGGGAGACTGAAGTGGGAGAACTGCTTGAGCCCAGGATTTTCAGGCTACAGTGAACCATGATCATGTCACTGTACTGCAGCCTGAGCAACAGAGCAAGACCCTGTCTCTGAAAAGGAAAGAAAACAAATGCAAGTTTTTATTACTTTGTGAGTATAGCCAAGTTGGAGGAGAAATAGACAATAAAAAAAGAGCACTGAATAACGAGGGTGAGTGGCTGATTAGGCTCAGTTGCTAGCTAAGTGGCTTCTAAAAAATTCATTAGTAAAGTTATAGCTCTGGGGACAGTCATGTAGTCAAAGAATGAATGCTAAATTCCTTACAAAGGTCCGTGGTCTTTCTTTACACGCCTTCTAGTGAAAAATTCCTAAGTGCCTAAATAGCAAGTCTGCAACGATAGCAGCTGTTTATTAAAGACTACAAAAAAGAAATGGAGGCCCGGAGTGGTAGCTCATGTCTGTAATCCCTGCATTTTGGGAGGCTGAGGCAGGCAGATCACTTGAGTTCAGGAGTTCGAGATGAGCCTGGCCAACATGGTGAAACCCCATCTCTACTAAAAATACAAAAATCATCTGGGTGGCGGGCACCTGTAATCCCAGCTACTCGGGAGGCTGAGGCAGGAGAATTGCTTGAACCCAGAAGGCAAGGGTTGCAGTGAGCCAAAATCGCACCACTGCACTCCAGCCTGGGCGACAAGAGCAAGACTCTATCTTAAAAAAAAAAAAAAAAAAATGGCATCTTCTTAAAGAATGACATAGTGTTTCATGATAAAGAAGCTCTAATTTTGCATTTGTTCAAGTATTGATTAGATTTAGCCAATATGACACCAATCTTGGATAAAGTGCAAACAACACAATTTCATTTTCTCATTAAAAACTGATTAGGTAGTCTAATATCAATTCTGACCTTATTAAAAACTGATCAGATTCAAAAAATTATGGAATGATGGAGCCAATAAGATGTTACAACCTGTTCCAAGGGGAATTCCAAAACCCACACATATTTGAGACCATCAAATATGATGAAATATATTTGATTACTATATTGAAAAATAAACTGATTATATAGCCAATAACAATTGGCAGGGGTTTCCTCATCCACAGCCACACAAACCAGATCACACAGCTATGTGGTTGCAAGGCCTACATAGCCTAGAAGGGACTGGTCTGACTTGAGATTTCATTTCATTTGTATTTGTATTTTGAGACAGGGTCCCACTCTGTCACCCAGGATGGAGTGCAGTGGTATAATCATAGCTCACTGCAGCCTTGACCAACTGGGCTCAAGAGATGCTCCTGCCTCAGCTGCCCCAATACCTGGGAATACAGGCAAGTACCACCATGTCAGGCTTTTTTTTTTCTTTCAATTTTTGTAGAGAGAGAAATCTTGATATGTTGCCCAAGCTGGCCTCAAACTCCTAGAATCAAGAGATCTGCCCATCTCAGCCTCCTGAGTAAGTGGGGCCACAGGTACACACCATCATGCTTGGCTATATTTATTTTATTATATTTATTTCTTTTATTTTTGTAGAGCGGTCTTGCTATGTTGCCCAGGCTGCTCTCAAACTCATGGCCTTAAAACATACTCCCATCTCTGCCTCTCAAACTGTTGGAACTATAGGTGTGAGCCACTGCACCTGGCCTGACTTGAGATTTCTTTTATCTAGCATCCTTTACTTGGTAGGATTGGGAAAGGCAGTAGTGTTTTTTAAAATTACTTAATAATTCAATTAGAATCAAACTCAACCTTGACCCCTGCCTTCTCTCACAGCTTTGGGTAATGTCAGGAAATCCTACTGACTGACTTCAACATGTATCCAGGCTCTGACCATCTCTCACCACCACCGTGCACCCGGTCAGGATCACTATCCTCTCCCACCGGGATGTTGCCACAGCTTGGCCCCCATGCTTCTACCCAAATCTTCCCATAGTCTTCTCAACTTGGCAGCCAGGGCGTGCTTTTAAATCAGGAGACAGATCACGTCGCCTCTCGGCTCAGAAGCCCTCGGTGGTTCCCATTTTAGTCAGAGTAAAAGCCAAAGCCCCAGCAACAGTGTCCCAGGGCTTACACGGTCTGTACCGATCCCAGCCCAGCAACTCCCTGGCCTCCTTGCCGACTTCGCTCCCTCTATCTCTTTGCTCCACTGGCCTTCCAGAGCCTCAGACACACCAGGGAATTTCCTCCTAATGCCTTTATCCTGTTGACTCAGCCTACAATGCTTTTCCCTCAGCACTTTGGCCAGCTCCATCACCTGCTTCAAACTTTTGCTCAATATTCACTTATGAGGCCAACCCTGACCACGCTACTTAACATTGCCATCTGTCCCCATTCCCACCATGCTCATTTCTTTCTTTCTTTTTGAAACAAGGTCTTGCTCTATTGCCCAGGCTGCAGTACAGTGGTGCAATCATAGCTCACAGCAACTTCAACCTCCTAGGCTTAAACAATTCTCCCACCTCAGCTTCCCTAGGAACTGAGACTACAGCTGCATGCCACAACACCTGGCTAATTTTTTTTTTTTTTTTTTGAGACATAGTCTCGGTCGCCCAGGCTGAAGTGCAACAGCACGATCTCAGCTCACTGCAATGTCTGCCTTTCAGGTTCAAGTGATTCTCTGCCTCACCCTCCCGAGTAGCTGGGATTACACCTACCACCACACCTGGATAATTTTTGTATTTTTAGTAGAGATGGGGTTTCACCATCTTGGCCATGCTGGTCTTGAACTTCTGACCTCGTGATCCACCCGCCTCCACCTCCCAAAGTGCTGGGATTACAAATGTGAGCCACTGCGCCTGGCCTTTTTAAAAAAATTCTTTTAGACATGAGGTCTCATTATGTTGCCCAGGCTGGTCTTAAGCTCCTGGGCTCAAGCAATCCTCCTACCTCAGCCTCCTAAAGTCCTGGGATTACAGGCATGAGCAACTGTAACATGAAGCCCTGGCTTCATGTTCATTTTTTACTTGCTGCTACAACAAACTACCCTACATTTAGTGGCTTGAAACATCATAAATCTACCACCTTACAGTTCTACGGACCAGAAGCCCAACTAGGTCTATTAAGGCTAAAGTCAAGGTGTCAGAGGGGCTGCATTCCTTCTGGAGACTCTAGAGAGAATGAGCTCCTTTGCCTTTTCCAGCTTCTAGAAGCCACCCCCATTCCTTGACTCACCTTGAAGATGGCCTCTGACTCCATATTCAAGGCCAGAAGTGCAGCATCTTCAAATCTCCCTCTCTGACCTCTTCTTCCTTCACCACATCTCCTTCTCTAATTCTGACTCTCTTACCTCCTTGTTTCTCTTATAAAGATCCTTGTGATTGGTGGGCATGGGGGCTCCCATCTGTAATCCCAACACTTTGGGAGGCCAAAGAGGAAGGATTGCTTGAGGCCAAGAGTTAGAGATCAGCCTGGGGAACATAGGAAGACCCTGCCTTTACAAAATTAAAATTAAAATCAGCTGGACATGGTGATGCAAGCCTGTAGTTCCAGCTACTGGAGAGGCTAAGGTGGGAGGATCACTTTAGCCTAGGAGGTCAAGGCTGCAGTGAGCTATGATCACATCACGGCACTCCAGCCTTGGTGGCAGAGAGAGACTCTGTCTCAAATATAAGAAAAGAAATATACATTTGGTCTCTGCCCCTGGTTCCTGGCATAGAGCTTCTAAAGCTCTTATAAAGTCCTTAGTGACAAAGGTAATATGAGCACTTTCTGTTTTAATATTTAGTCTTAGTCCCAGGTTCCTGACACAAGGGCCTCTAAGGTCTTTCAGATCTGTAGCATGGTAAGAATGCAAGTGGGATGCTGTTGAGCTGACAGGGTGGCTGCAAGCTCCTAGACTGCTTCAGGAGGAGGGCTGGCTGCCAGAGGAACCAACCACATTTTTTTTAAATGGAGTTTGGCTCTTGTAGCCCAAGCTGGAGTGCAACGGCACAGTCTCAGCTCACTGCAACCTCCGCCTCCCACGTTCAAGCAATTCTCCTGCCTCCACCTCCTAAGTAGCTGGAATTATAGGGATGCACCACAATGCCCAGCTAATTTTTGTTATTTTTAGTAGAGACGGGGTTTCACCATGTTGGTCAGGCTGGTCTCAAACTCCTGACCTCAAGTGATCCACATGCCTCGGACTCCCAAAGTGCTAGGATTACAGGCATGAGCCACTGCGCCCAGCTCCAACCACATTTTTTGAGGCTTGGAACTTTCAGCCTCACCTGCTGAACTCCAGGAGGCAAAAGGGACTGGAGATTGACTTAACTACCAATGGCCAATCAATCAGGCCTCCATAAAAACCCAAATAACAGGGTTTGGAGAACCTTGTGTTGCTGAACACAAGGAGGTGCTGGGAGGGTAGCATGCCCAACAGAGGGCATGGAAGCTCTGTGCCCCTCCCCACTTACCTTGTCCTGTGCATCTCTTTCATCGGCTGTTCCTGAGATGGAGCCTTTACATTGAGCAAGTAATAGAAAATAAGCTGGCCAGATATGGTGGCTCATGCCTGTAAACCCAGCACTTTGGGAGGCAGAGGTGGGCGGAATCACTTGAGCCTAGGAATTTGAGACCAGCCTGGGCAACATAAGACCCCATCTATACAAAAATTAAAAGAAATTAGCCAGATGTGGTGGTGGGAACCCTGTAATTCCAGCTACTTGAGAGGCTGAAGCAGGAGAATCACTTGAGCCCTGGAGGCTGAGGCTTCAATGAGCTATGACTGCACCACTGCACACCAGCCTGGACAACAGAGTGAGGCCCTGTCTCTTAAAAGAAAAGAAAAAAACCTGTTTTTCTAAGTTCTGTGAGTTGTTCTAGTAAATAATTAAACTCAAGAAGAGGGTCATGGGAAACCCTGATTTCTAACTGGTTGGTCAAAATACAAGTGACAACCTAGGACTTGCAATTGGCATCTGAAGTGAGGGTGGTCTTGTGGGACTGAGCCCCTAATCTGTGGGGTCTGCACTAACTCCAGGTAGTGTCAGAATGGAATTGTGGGATACGCAGTTGGTATCCAAACAGTTGGAGAATTGGTGTAGAAACTCCACACACATACTTGGTCAGTAGTGTGTGAGTAGAGAGAAACATGAGTTCTTCTCTCACCTGTCTACCTGCTTAACTGCATAGGAGAGGCAATGCATGGTGCTCATGAACAAGGCAAGCATTAAAGTCAGACCAGACCTAACATGTGACTCAGTCTTAATACCCAGGTGAGGTTGGGCAAATTGCTCATTAACCCCAAGTCTTCATCATTTTGCGCGTATAATGGGGATAACTGTGGCACCCACCTGTTTTTGTGAGATCAATGAAATATTATGTTTGATGTTATTGTGATTATCATACTATTTGACAAGGGCAGTGATGCATGATAACATCAAAAAATTAGAAACTGTAATGAGGTCTCTTGGGCAAAATTCCATACAAGCAAATGACCATCTCTCCAAAGCATTCCTGCCACACTTAATTCACCATTCCCTGAACAAAATGTGCCATCTTCATTGTTCGGGTCTGTACAGTGCTGGTTTCCCTGCCTGGGTAGCTCACTCCATCCCATCCCAGCCCATTGCCCATCCCTCCACCTCCCCTTTCCCTCCCCACTCTCATACAACTCTTCCTCATCTTTCAGGACCTGGTTTCAATGTCACTTTAACTGGAAGCTTCTCTCACTCTCCAGAAGAGCTTCCACTGCATTTGATGCATGCAGTATTATTTGATCATTTTTGAGTTATAGTCCAAGTCTTTTTGTACCTGAATAACATGTTGCCCAGTCAATCTCTCTTCCTGGATTCAGAAATCTTTCATGGTAGATCCAGCCGGAAGTGACAAAAAGACATTCTTTAAAAGAAAAAAAAAAAGAGGGATGACACAGACAGACATCAGTACTTGAAAGTTTTAAATGGTATGTGAAAAACAAACAAAATTCAAGGGCTTCTAGGAGAAATGTAGGAGGGAAGGCGTTACTGGGAAATATGATGGAAGGTTAATTTTTATTTTATTTTATTTTTAGAGAAAGGGTCTTGCTCTATCGCCTAGGCTGGACTGCAGTGGTGCAATCACAGTTAACTGCAGCCTCAACCTCCAGGGCTTGAGCAATATTCCCATCTAATGTTTATTTTATTTAAGAAACACAGTCTTGCTCTTACCAGAGCTAAAGTGCAGTAGTATGATCATAGCTTACTGCAGCCTCAACCTTCTAGGCTCAAGTGATCCTTCAGTCTTAGCCTCCCCAGTAGCTGGGACAACAGGTGTGTACTGCAATGTGTAGCTCATTTTATTTTTTAATTTTTAGTAGAGACAAAGTGTCGCTATGTTGACCAGGCTGGTGGTGATCTCCTACACTCAGGCAGTTCTCCCACCTCAGCCTTCCAAAGTGCTGGGATTACAGGTGTGAGTGCCACACCTGGCTGAGGGGGTTAATTTTTAATTATAAAGAGCTCAAAGCAAATATTAGAAGGAGCCTAAATGCCTACAGCAGCTGACTGGTAAATTGTGATACATCCATATAATAAAATATTATGTAACCATGAAAAGGATTAAGATAGATCAACAGGTATTGGCACAAATGTCCACAAAATATGAAAATGTGAACTGATGTTCAATCACCGTGTATGTATCTTGAAGGATATGGCCCGTTTTCTCAATAGCAATTATTTCCTGAGATAAGATTATGGGTCTAAAGAGTGAAGGAAATTCTTCACTTCTTTATTTAAAAGTATTTACTATTTTTATAATTTAATAAAAGATTAAACAGATCATTGAATTAGTAAAAGACAAATTAACTCTATAAATAAATGGAAAAGACACGGACAGCCCAGGCATGGTGGCTCACGCTTATAATACCAGTACTTTGGGATGGGGCGTTGGGGGGATCGCTTGAGGCCAGGAGTTCCAGACCACCCTAAGAAACAAAGCAAGACCTCATCTCTACTAAAAATTAAAAAAATATTGGCCAGGCATAGTGGCATGTGCCTATAGTCCCAACTACTGAGGTGGAAGGATCACCTGAGTCCAGGAGGTCAAGGCTGCAGTGAGTTGAGACTGTGCCACTACACTCAAGCCTGGGAGAGAGAGCAAGACTTCATCTCAAAAAAAAAAAAAAGGACAATAAAGAAATAAAGCTAATAAGCTAACATAAGAAAAGATAAAACATGTGACAAATAGGCCGGGCGTGTGGCTCACGCCTGTAATCCAGCACTTTGGGAGGCTGAGGTGGGTAGATCACGAGGTCAGGAGTTCGAGACCAGCCTGATCAACATGGTGAAACCCTGTCTGTACTAAAAATACAAAAATTAGCATGCTGTTATAAAGACACATGCACATGTATGTTTACTGTGGCACTATTCACAATAGCAAAGACTTGGAACCAACCCAAATGTCCAACAATGATAGACTGGATTAAGAAAATGTGGCATATATACACCATGGAATACTATGCAGCCATAAAAAATGATGAGTTCATGTCCTTTGTAGGGACATGGATGAAGCTGGAAACCATCATTCTCAACAAACTATTGCAAGGACAAAAAACCAAACACCGCATGTTCTCACTCATAGGTGGGAATTGAACAATGAGAACACATGGACACAGGAAGGACAACATCACACACTGGGGACTGTTGTGAGGTGGGGAAGGGGGAGGGATAGCATTAGGAGATATACCTAATGCTAAATGACAAGTTAATGGGTGCAGCACACCAACATGGCACACGTATACATATGTAACAAACCTCATGTTGTGCACATGTACCCTAAAACTTAAAGTATAATAATAATAATAATAATAATAATTAGCTGGGCGTGGTGGTGTGCGCCTGTAATCCCAGCTACTCAGAAGGCTGAGGCAGGAGAATCACTTGAACCTGGGAGGCAGAGGTTGCAGTAAGCCAAAATCACACCACTGCACTCCAGCCTGGGTGACAGAGCGAGACTATGTCACAAAAAGAAAAAAAAAAAATGACAAAGTAATATGAGGTCTTTTATTTATCACACAGAAAATAACTTGTTAAATTATAATACCTGTGCCAGCGAAGGTGCAGTGAAATGGCCATTTTCTTGTAGTATTAGTGGTGTTTAAATTGTATACAAGCCTTCCAGGATAAAGCTTGGAAATTTTTTTAAAATAATACAGACAGTGACTGATTATACTGCCTCCTCCACCTCCTGGCCTCAAGAAATCCTCCCACCTCAGCTCCCAAAGTGCTAGAATTACAGGCTGACAGCCACCGTGCCTGAAAGCTCGGCAATTTACATCAAGAGTAGTAAGAATGCTCATACCCTGCGACTCACAGTAATCTCACTTCTGAAAATATCATCTTTGAATATAATTCAACCTAAACAAAAGGTCATATGCACAAATACAGTGAAAATCTGGGAGTAATTTTTTTCTCTTTTTTAAAAAAATATGGAATGCTTCACAAATTTGCATGTCATTCTTTCAGAGAGGCCATGCCAATCTCTCTATTGTTCCAACTTAAGTATGTGTGTTACTGGAGCAAGCATGAGTAATTTAAGATAGAGTGGTTAAGTGAAATAAGGAAGAGTTACAGGGAATTTAAAAATCTATGGTATTTATACGCACCTAGTAACAGCTCAGTAAATATTAGCTGCTACTATTGTTATTTTTATGGTAATTTCACTCAATTAAAAATTGTTATTAAAAACTACCATTGTCATGGAATGTAATGTATCCTACAGTATAATTGTAAAAATATATACAATTTGTCCCTTGGTATATGGCGGGATTAATTCCAGCTCCCCCATTTCTGTGTATACCAAAATCCACACATACTCAAGTTTTTGAAGTCAGTCCTGTGGAATCCACATATTTAAAAAAATACGAAAATTAGTGAGGTGTGGTGACAAGTACCTGTAGTCCCAGCTACTTGTGAGGCTGAGGGAGGAGGACTGCTTGAGCCCAGGAGATTGAGGCTGCAGTGAGCCATAACTGCACCACTGCAGTCCAGTCTGGGCAACAGAGTGAGACAGAAGGTTGACTTTTTAATCAAATTTTTCTGTTCACTTGAAGATATGGTCAGGACTGTGGCATAGGAAATTCTTCATAAAATAACTATCTAATCCAATTTATGCTGGAATTAGGGACAGAAAATGTTTTGGTGACTATTTATTCCTTCACTTGCTGTTATATAAACTATTGCCAGTGGGCACTTACCAACCAGAAGTATCATCTCAGAGCTATTCACAATGAAAGGTGATCTCTGCGGCTCAAATGTGTTGAGGTCCCCATGCCTGGGCTATGGGTGCTGAGTGGGATTTACTTGTCCATCCATTTTCTATATTCCAGCACTGGGAAACTAGGGTTTATCCATCTTGATAAGATGTCATTTAAATTCCGCTTGGCAAGAACCACAAATGGAAGAAAGGCCATGAAACCACAGGACAGTACTTGTTCTCAAGGGAATCTTCAGCTTAGGTGACTCTGTAAAAGAGAAATTACATTGTTGAAAAATCATCACAGGTCAGTTAAGGTGGCTCATACCTATAATCCCAGCCCACTGGGAGACTAAGGCAGGAGAATCCCCTGAGGCCAGGAGTTCCAGACCAGCCTGGGCAACACAGTGAAACCTCATCTCTACAAAAAATTAGAAAATGAGCTGGGTGTGATAACACATTCCTATAGTCCCAGCTACTCTGGAGGCTGAAATAGGAGGATTGCTTGAGCCCAGGAAGTGGAAGCTGCAGTGAGCTCTGATCTCACCACTGCACTCCAGCCTGGGTGACAGAGTGAGACCCTGTCTCAACATACACACACCCACACACACCCTCATCTCAGTCTGTCCAGCCTTGACTAATCAAAAAAAAAAAGGGTCTTCTGGTTACAGAAGAGGTATGCTCTTTTGTAGGACAGGGAGAGACCTGCAAGCTTGTTCACAGACTTTTCCTCATCCTTTGCTTAGTTTTCCAAGAACTCTCATAGTGGAAACAGAGTCCCTGGGAAAACGACCTAAATCTTTAGGTTACCAGAAGAGAAATATGCGTCCTTTGTCAATTAATAAATGGAACACTTGCCTTAAAATCCAGGGAGTTCTGCTAGAATGAATCACTCCCTAAGACCCTGACCTATGCATGGAACATGAAAAACTGGAGTTTAACTGGGCACAGTGGATCATGCCTGTAATCCCAGCACTTTGGGAGGCCGAGGCAGGTGGATCACCTGAGGTCGAACCTGGCCAACATGGTGAAACCTCGTCTCTACTAAAAATAAAAAAATTAGCTGGGCGTGGTGGTGGATGCCTGTAATCCCAGCTACTTGGGAGGCTGAGGCAGGAAAATTGCTTGAATCTGGAAGGCAGAGGTTGCAGTTACTTCTAGAAGAATTTCCATTAGCCGTTTGAAATCCTTCAACATTCATTAAGGCCAAAGAGTTTTCACCTAATTTAATCTGATGGGTATGTGACCAGAGTCTTTCTAGGGAATAGAGACTCCCAAACTGTTCAGCTGGGAAGTGAGGAGATAATTTATTACTCAAAATCAAAGGGAAATGAAAAGAGGCCAATGCAGAATGTCATTATTCTTTTTTCGGGGGAAATGAATTCCAGAGTCATTTTGTGACCTTTATATGACCTCCTTATTAGCATCTAAAAGCTTCCAATGTAGGATGCAGCCAGCTAGGTTCTCTTCTAATGTAATAAAATCTACTTCAGCAAAGCTTATGCAGAGCCATCTCCAGACTCCAGAAATACTAGGCTATAAATTACTGGATCTCCCATTTGATATAATGAACTATAAGCACAGTCCTGAATGACTCCTCTACATACTACTCTGCGTGGCTTGAAGTGAATTTGATACAAGAACTGGAGCGAGCACAAAGCAGAGCTAGATCTAGGATTAATGAACTTGGGCCCAGCTCCTCACTACTCACCGATGAGTCCAGTTCCAGAACCCAAGTAGAGGGTGGGGAAACAAGGCTCCTGGCATTTCCCAATGTCTGCATCTCTTTCACATTTCTTATCTCCTTGCAAAGAAACTAAACAGGCTCGACTGAAATAACTAAATGATTAAACCCTATGCAGAGAATCTCCAAAGATTCACAAAATATCATTCAAGACTGTTACACAGACAACCCTGAGGATGACTTGATGTACCAGTGATCTACAATATTTGGGATCATTCCAAATTCCCATGAAGGATCTGCCTATATCAACACGGGAGCCAAGGACTAACCATTCAAATGGGCCCTGCTGCCAAGCCTTTTTTTTTGTTTTTGTTTTTTTTGTTTTTTTTTTTACAATGCCATCTCTTCATATTGTTCTGTTTAACAAAACTGCAGCCTGTCACCCATCCTTAAGTCCCTTGGCCAATGGTACAGAGCCAGAGTATGCTACTCCCTAGGAGGAAATCAGCAGGATGACCTACTAAACACCATTCAGAAGATGCTAAGACCCATTAATTGCAACAGGAAAGAAAAGACAGAGAATTAGTCAGACAGGTACATGCTGTGCCAAAAATGCACTACAACCCCCACCCAATTCTGCCTAATCCTAGCTAGGCTGACACCAACCTGATGAGACAGGCCTATAAGATCTCAAACTAAAACAGAAACTCTTGAACCAGGTTCTTGCGAACCCAGGAAGCAGCAGTAAACCATTAAAGAACAGATAAGTTCTTGAGGTGAAGAAGAGTTTCAGATAAATGGAATGCTGGTAGAACACAGGGCCCAAAGGAGCAAAAGTTAACCTAAGCCTAGGTAGAACCTTCTTTACTAGAGTATTAGGCATGGGTTGTGGCAACTATTCTAACCAAAGAGGCTCCACTGAGGGCGGGTTGGCAATCCAAGGTATAGCATGCATAGGGCTGGTGAAATTCAGGGTGACTGAAACAAAAGCTTCAGAACCAGAAAGACCACATCTGGGGGTAGAGCACAAAACTCTCAAGAGATGAATCTTTGTAAGAGTGAGGCAGAACTATATAGCAGTTTTAGGAGATCTGTTGGTGCCCAGCAAGAGCTCCAAACGGGCTATATGCAGGGATGCAGGCTGTAGTTTCAGAAGAGAAGGTTCACAAAAGTCATTCAGTCCAAGATCCCAAACTGCGTTCTCTACTAAAAGGAATCAAGGCCTCCTAGAGAAATGGCTGACTCCATGTATGGAACAGTATATTGATCCTGGAACATCTTTTTTGCCAGAAAGCAAGGAAGCCATCAAAGTCCAACAGGATCACATCAAAAAGACGTAAGAGTCAACTTGAAGAGATAATTATTAACCTAGATGAGACAATGTAAGCATCCAAAACAATAAAGACTGCAATGGCCTGAAATACATCAAATGCAAACAATAATCTACGAGTTCATAATGGTATTCAGAAAAAAAAAAACTATTGGTCACTAGAGTGAAGGTTAGTAGGTCACTAACTTATTACTCTGAAAAGTGACTTAAAGTGAGAGGTTAGGTGGAGAATTAGCTATTTTTTCAGTTTTTCCTGTACAAACATAAATTTTTAGGGAGATTGAAGCAGATGAAACAAATCTGGAAAAATGGAGGTAACTGCTTAATCTGCGGGTTGGGTACATGAAGGTTCATCATATTTCTTTTGTGTATATTTGAACCCCCTACAAAAAAAAAGCACAAGACAGAATGTGAGCCAAGCAGCTTAGGGTTTAGGCAGGGCTTCTGCCTACAAGAGACACTAGGATATGAGGAGTAGTTTTAGCCCTGATGGGCTGAGCCAACTGGAGGTATATAAGGAGGTGCTAAATTGCAGAGGTATCATGTTGCCCAGCACTTGATCAAATCCTAGATCCTAGGTCTGCTTGGTAGCATGCTTCCTAGATGGTGGATCTGAGGCTACCTACAGAACTTCGTTTGCAGTCATAATTCGCTCAGAAACTACAAAAGTGCTTGCTCTTGAAAATGGAGCCTGTCTTTGTCCATTTCATGCTGCTATAAAAGAATGCCACAGACTGCATAATTTACAAGAAGGAAAAAAGGAAGGAGGGAAGGAGGGAAGGAGGAAAGGAAGGGAAGGAATGGAAGGAAGGGAAGGAAAGAAAGGAAGGGAAGGAAGGGAAAGAGGGAAAGAGGGAAGGAGGAAGGGAGAGAAGGAGGTAGGGAGAGAGAGAGGGAGGGAGGGGAAGGCAAGAGAAGGGAGGAGCAGGGAATGGAGGAAGAAAAGGAAAGAAAAGAAAAGAAAAGGAACAAATTTTATTTCTTACAGTTCTGGATGTCAGGAAGTCCAAGGTTGAGAGGGCTGCATCTGGTAGGGATCTTCTTGCTGTGTAGAGGAAGACTATCTTCCTCTACACATCATCCCACAACAGCAGGCAGAAGGACAAGAGACTGCAAGAAAGCAAGAGGGCAAAAGGGGCTGAACTCTGTTTTATAATAAGCCCACTCTGTGATTACTAATCTATTACCACAATAACAACATTAACTCATTCATGAGGGCCCTCTTATTAGGCCCCACATCCCAACTGTTGCATTGAGGACTGAGTTTCCAGCACATAAACTTTGGGGGACACATTTAAACCATAGCAGAGCACTTATGTTAATTCAACCAAGAGGAGCTGGGAAAATCAAAGGCAAGAGAAAGACAGCAAATGCTGGCAAAGAAATATGTGCCGGTTAAGGACAAAAGTCACAATGAATCCTGTAGTGCAGGCTACTTCATCAAAAGCACCTAAAAAAGATCTCATTAACTCCCCCAACTCACCTCCACCCACATCTAAAGGGCCACACACAGCACTACAAAAGGCAGCACAATGAGAACAGCATTCTCCTCAACAGATGCGCTGTGAGTACCCAGACACCCGACCTCAACAGCTCCAGAACAGCCCTAAAATAGCTCCTCCCTAACCACCACTCGAGTCACCAGCTGGGAAAATATTCAGAAAACCCAAATCCTGACACACCACTATGAAACAACTTAAACAGCAAAGAACAACCCATTTAAACAGCAATGCCAGCGGCTGGGAAAAAAGGAACAATGAGTAGAGGAAAAGCAGACTTCTTGGGGTCCACTAAGACCCAGTCTCTCAGCTTCAGCACTTTCAAATGCAGAATCCATACACCTCTGGGGCCTGTGGAGCTCCACGAGGCATGTTGTCCTCAAAGATAAATGAACAGGCAAGCTGGCTAGAAAACCGCTAAGGGTATTATTCTTTAAAGAATCTTTATAGGGTCAAAGAGGAATGGGTCTTACAGCCGATGTGTATTCCCCACAGATTCTGAGGATGATGTCAGTATCTCTTTCCAGATGTGTTTAACACTTTGTGGTCGCTTGTATTCCTGCCACTGAGTGCCAGTGCTTTGCTAATTTGAACTGATTCCAACTCACGCTGACCCTGGCTCCCTGAATCTGGCTACCATTAGCCAAGACTGTCATCTATACTGTACCCTTTTAAAGAGTCCTAAAAACAACTCTTCACCTACTCTTCCAAGACAAGTAAAAATGTCTGCCAAAGAAATGGGGAAAAAAGATTGAGAGAGAGAAAACAATTAACATACTAACAAGAGAGTAGAAAGAGAAGCGGGAGGAGAAACTAGGAAAATCATATGTGGGCTCACACCTATTTCCAAAGCTTATGTAGGGGATCAGTCAGGATGGTGGGAAAAATTGTAAAATAAACACAAACCTTCTTGGAAAGCTGGAAGGTTTTTGCAAAAGCCTCAGGATAGAGATATGGCTGAAGGCAGCCTAATCCTCCTTGAGCTACAGCAAGGATAATTAACATAGGAATATAGAGGAGTCTATCTAAATAGCTTGTTTACTCATGTGGTCCTAAGACAAACCTTTGACCATCCGCGGGTGCATGATTGCTCTCTACTCGGGGGTCGGCAATGGTAATTACCTTCTAGTGGTGTTTACTTGATACTTATGTCATTTAACGTGTGGTGTATAAATGCCGGGAGGGCCAGCAAGTTGGGACCATGGTTACAACTCTTTACAGCACTCTTCTGGGAGTCTGTAAGTGGGCCAGACTCTCAGCTGGACTGACATGCATAATATCTGTGTCAGTGTATGTTATTCATCTGTTGTTGGACAGGGTCTGTGGGATGGACACCCGCAGCAGGGCAGTGATTTTTACCCCTAGTGCAATTGGTTCCTACTGCTATGTGCTTTCTCCATTGGCTGGGGTTGGACCGCACAGTCTAAACTGACCCAATTGGCTAATGTTTGAAATTGAACACAGCTATCTAGGTGGGAAGGGAAAGGCTATTCGTTATAGCACAAGGCACGTCTAGGCTTGTCAGGGCACGGCAAGGGTGGGAAGGATTGTTTACCACACATGGGTAACTACAGAAACTAGAGAAACAAAGAATGGGAAGAACAGGGAATTAAAACCTTTTGAAGAGGAATTTATCATCTCTGACAATTTCCTTCTCTTGATTTTATAGTTTGTTTTTCCTCTTCAAAACGTCTCAGCATATCTTGGCTCTGTTCTTCTTGGGCGTCTAGAAGGATGAGTTTATCTGAATAAGGCAGGGGTGAACTAAGGGAGGTTTTGGTAAAGCTGTTTCTATAAATGTTTGCATTAAACCACGAATACAGAATATGATACAGCATCCTACAAGAATATACCTATAATGATTACAAGGGAGGTGAATATTGAGGTCATAATTCCTTTCCATTTCTCAAACCATTTTTCCATGAGGCTTGTAAAGGGGTCATTTATTCCAGAATTTTTAGCTAACTCATTTGATAAGGAGGTAAGGCCTTGTAAGGCTTTTGTATTGTTCCATCAGGGGCAGTGTTATTAGGAATAAAAGTACAACATTGGACTCCAATCATGACACAAACCCTGCCTTTTTCAGCTAATATCATGTCAAGGGCTATTCTATTTTCCCAGGCCATTTGGCTGGTAGGGCCTAATTGTTCAACTATTCCTTTAATAGCATCTCTAGTATAATTAACAAAGTGTTGTTAATTATAAAAGATATAATTTATCTTCTAAGCTACATTCTTGTTTACAGTTGACAACCAGAACAATATGGACTCGAATCCTGCAGCTATTTGATTTCTGTCTTTGAATTCATCTGGTACCCCTAGTGGTACTCCGACAGCATCTATATAAACATGAGGATCAAAGGATCGGTGAGAGACATCTCTCTTTTTACAATATTCTGTTTTCAACTTTCTTGGTTGATGAAATGCCAAGGTGAAAGGGATAGCCAATTGAACTGGCTGCTCCAGTTACTTGTTAGAGTACCCAGCAATAGTCTCCCGCAATACCACCAAACATTTGCTCGGGGATGAACAAGGGCAGACTGATCAGTAAGCTCTTGAAAAGGCTTCGTTTCACTGCACCCTGTTAAGTCTCCAAGGAAGGCTAACTTTTCCCCCTGCCATGAAAGGCATGAGGTGAAGTTAACATCAGGGGCTGGAGGCTGGATGGTCCTCAGGGGCTGACCCGCAGGGCTCTTGACCTCAGGGAACAGCAGTGAAAGAGTCTTGCATGACTCATCGCCTTAGACTGTGGGGTTCTGGAAGAGAGCTCGGACCATACAGCTCATGCCTGGTCTGTGAAAGGACCACCTCACGAGTGGAAAGGGGACAATTTGGGTCTCTGGCCTGCCTGTCACACAAGCATAACAGTCGCTTTTGTTTAGCGTGTGAACAGAATATTTAATCCATTCCAGCCAAGCATTTGTGTCCTGCTACCCTGTTTCAATGGCTATAATTTGTTTTAAATCTTTAACCTCTATAACAGCTACTTTCAGTTTATCATTGGGTATACAACGAGAAAAGGTTTGGTTAGTGGAGAACTTAGGAGAGGGAGAAGGGGGTACAGGAGGTAGGGAAGCAATGAAGTGCATTTCAAAGGATCCTGCGGGGTCCTTCCCTGAGACTTCTGCTCCTATACCACAGAAATGGCTTAATGAAGGGGAAGAACTCTGGGGAGCAGGGATGGTAATCTGTGCTGGATTACATTGGTTCAGCTGACAATTGGGAGGGGTAATTCCTTTAGTAAAATGAATATATGGCTTTAAGAAACTGCAAGTACCAGTTGGGGTGGTCCATTCTTGCTCTTTAGTATTTCATCAAACATTGAACCAACTTCGGCAGAGAAGATCTGCTCTAAGAGGACAAGATTTCCAGTTCATACTGAAGTCTTCATCAAACTCTTCCCAAACTAACTTATCCCGATTAACAAATGCCCAATCTGAGGAAAGCCAGGAAGGATGGAGATACTTTTCTGAAGAAGAGAGTTGCTTTTGACTTGACAACTCTCCACAGGGTATAACAAGGCAAGCATCAAAGGTAATAGTTTGGGGTGAGCTTGACTTGGTTACATTAATGATAAGGGGACTAGGGATGGGGTAGGGGGAGGAAATAAATACAGAATAAGAGGGTTAAACCCTCTTTAGCCTTAGCTTGGTAAGAGTTGGTCCTGGAACAAGGGTCCATGATTCTGGGAAGGGTGGTGCCCGCTTAACTTGAGTGTGATGAGTCCAGCCCTTCTTGGCAGTCCAAACTGCTGTATCAGTTGTTAAGAGCACTAAATAAGGTCCTTCCCAAGTGGGCTCAAGCTTCCCTTCTTTCCAACTCCTGATGAGGATGTGATCTCTAGGCTGGTGGTAGTGAACTGGAAACTCAAGAGTTGGAGTCTGGGCTAGAATGCCTTGAGTCCTAAGGGAGAAGAGGGCAGAAGACAGATCTAATATATAGTTTTTGAGAAATTGAGTGAGGGCTTTCCCACTCAAAGGCAAATAGGTCCCGGCTGTCCTCTGCTAACAAACAAGTCCAGAAGGCATCTTTTAAATGTACTACTGTAAACTACTTGTGGCTGTATGGGATCCTACTGATAATAGTATAAGGATTGGGAACAACAGGGAGTGCAGTTTGGACTATCTGATTAATAGCTCTAAGGTCTTGCACTAACCAGTATGACCTGTCTGGCTCCTTTACAGGCAGTATTGGAGTGTTATAGGGCGACATTCAGGGTTCAAGAAGCCCATCACGGAGAAGACCTTAAATTATAGGTTTTAAATTTACTCTGCCTTCTAAAGGAATAGGGTATTGCTTTCTCTTTACTACTTCCCCAGGGGTATTTAATTTAACATGAATCAGAGGAATCTGTAACTTTCCTCATCCCATCTTTTGACCATATCTTGGGATGAATGTGTTCTTTGTCTGCGGTGGTGAGCAAGTTTAGGGAGGAGTGGAATTTCCCATGATCGATTTGGAGGCCTAAGCCTAATTTTAGCATTAAATCTCTTCCTAATAGATTTGCTCCTGCTTCCAGAATAAACAGAAATTTGATACTAGCTGATTGGTTTTTATATTTAACTTCTGTCTCCTACTTACTGGTTCCTTCTCTAAATCCGTATTTTCATTTCTGGGTGTTATGACTCCTCCCATCTCTCTCAGCCTCTATGTCCCAGCCAGGACAAAGCACTCTTAGTTGGTCTGGCAGAGAGGAGCTGAGCTGCTGGCAGGAGTGCGCTGATAGTGCTAGAAGGCCCTGACCGAAGCCAGCCACACCTTTGCAAGGACTCTGGCTGCTATAAACATGTGGCTGGGCTGAAGTGGAAAACACTGGGCACAAGAGCCCTCCAGAGTGGTCCCTTGTCCAACCAGTCCCAGCTACCCAGCTTACATCCGAACTTGCCCTTTTTCCTCTTTCCTCACCAGCTTCACAGTCACGCCGGGATGGGGTAAAATGACAAGCTTTTATCTACTTTAAGCAGTCATGCCACACTGCCAACAGTTTTCAAAGCATTATAGCCTTCAAAGAGATCCTTCCTTCCTTTCCTAATTTTAAGTTTCCAAGCTTCACTTTTTGGTGTTCTTTATATGGCCTGGAAAGTGGGGGCCTAGGCTCTTTTTAGGTTCTGGCCCCCTGAGTACTTTGTTGTATGGTGGACAGCAGAATTTTTGCCTTCTGTTTTTGTTTTCCTTTGTCCCTTCTTACATACTCTTTTTGAGCCTCCCTAAGAAATTCACTCACGGGACAGTGTGGAAGATCAGTCAGTATGGCAGAAGAAATTATAGGAATAGAAAGAAGCAAACCTTGTTGGAAGGCCAGGAAGTTTGGCATAACTTCAGATAGTTTGGCTGAAGGCAGCCAAATCCTCTTTTCAGGAGCCAGAGAGCTTAGGGCGCAGATACATAGGAATGTGGAGAAGTTTATCTAAAGAGCTTGTTTACTCATGTGGTCCTACAACTAACATTTGATCACTCAAGGGCGGGATAGCTCTCCTGGGGTGGGGGCGACCAGATTAATTACCCACAGGTGTGTTGACTCAAAGCCTTTGTCATTAAAACTGTGCCAAATAAATGCCCACAGGGACAGCTAATTGGGGCTGTGGCTGCTGATTCTTTACACCACCTTCCTTGGTGTCTGTGAGCAGCTCGGATCCCTAGAGGCACTTTCACTGAATATCGGTGTCTGGGTACATTATTCATCCATCATGCGAGCTGGGGCCTGCAGGACAGACCCTCCACAGGATGGTCTTTCCAATTTTCCATCTTTTGTAATTTCTTTGAAATATCTGGCCAACTGTTAACAACAAAATGAAGTTTTAACATTCCCCATCCAAGAGGATCCTCAGGATCTAGATCAGCATACTGTCTCATTTGTTCCTTCGATCTGTCTAAAAATTCTATAGGCCCTTCATCTTGCCCATGCTGTATATCAAATGCTCGGGTAAGGTTCTGGATTTGGGGTACTGATTCTTTAATCCCTTTTATTATCATTTCCCTAAGGTCTTGCATATGTAGTGGGCTGCATTGTTATTTTCCCACTGGGGGTCTTTGGTGGGGAATTTTTGATCTGCTGCAGGAACGTTTTGGCCAGGAGGGTGTTCACATTATCAGACCACCATAGCAGCTCTACGGATCATGCTTCTTTCTTCCCCTGAGAAGAGGATGCCTAGGATGAACATTAGCTCAGTCCAAGTATTAACTCAAAAGAATGCAACCTTTGTCTCTCACCTATCTGTGACCTGGAAGCCACATCCTACTTCCAGTTTTCCTCCCTTTGCTTTGAGTTGTCCTGCCTTTCCAGATCGAACCAATGTACTTCTTACATATATTGACTGATGTTTCATGTCTCCCTAAAATGTACAAAACCAAGCTGTGCCCCGACTACCTTGGGCACATGTCATCAGGACTTCCTGAGGCTGTGTCATGGGTGCATCCTCAACCTTGGCAAAATAAACTTTCTAAATTAACTGAGACCTATCTCAGATTTTCTGGGTTTACAACATAATAAAGATTTATGGAAGAGTTTTGGGAACAGTATAAAGAATTGCTATATACCCTTTACTCAAGTTCCCCAGTTATTAAATTTTTAGCCCGTTTGCTTTGTCATTCTTTCTCTTGCCCTCCTACTTTCTATATCTATTATCTGGTGTGTGTGTGTGTGTGTGTGTGTGTGTGTGTGTGTGTGTGTGTGTAATGTAATTGTTCCTGAACCATGGGCAAATAAGTTGCAGATGTGATGACCCTACATGTCTAAATACTTCAGTGTTACCTAAAATAAGAACATTAACCACAATAAAAATTATCAAACTCAAGATATTAACACTGATACAATAATATCAACTAATCTACAGATCTTAAATTTCACCCATTTTCCTGATAATATCTTTTATAGGAAAAGAAAACCACAGATTATTAATTGCATTCTATTATCATTTCTCTTTAGAGACTGCTGGATTCCCCTCCATAAGGTTATAACATTTGGCATTTCCCACCAACAATTAAGTTTTTAATACTCTGGGTTTAATTTGTGTCATGCATTTTTTCCCTGAACCAATGACTGTCATCTGGGGAAAGAGGCTGTGCTGGTGAGCTTAGCCTCACTCACTTTCTACTCCCTAGGAGGCTGTAGATGGATTCAGGTTCACCTGAAGCAAGTGGGCTCAGACAGGGAGGGTGATTCCCCAAAGCAAAATTGGGGTACTATTTCTACAGAATAGAGCTGAGTGAAAACCACCACCACCAATATCCAATAAGCTGGTTCATGGATGCCCAACTTGCATCTATACAACAAAACAACAGATGCCTCTGATACTTGGCTAAAGAGAGACAGTGAAATTGGAACTAGAGCACAGGTAGAGTCCAATCTAATTCTTTCATTTTCATGCAGTAAATATTTTAGTTTCTTTTTTTTTTAATTCATAGCACGACTTTTTTTTTTTCTTTTGAAGCAGGGTCTCACTCTGTTGCCCAGCAGGCTGGAGTGCAGTGGTGAGATCATGGCTCACTGTAGCCTCAACTTCCCCAGGTTCACATGATCCTCCCACCTCAGCCTCCCTAGTAGCTGGGACTACAAGCATGCACCAGCATGCCCAGCTAATTTTTTTGTATTTTTTGTAGAGTTGGGGTTTTGCCATGTTGCTCTGGCTGGTCTTGAACTGCTGGGCTCAAGTGATCCTCCCACCTCGGCCTCCCAAAGTGCTGAAATTATAGGCATGACCCACTGCACTCAGCCATAGCACAACTCTTAAGAGAAAGATTTCAGTCTATCTACTGCCTGTCATTTTTTGGTTTTTAATTTAGTTAATTCTCACAGCAGCTCTAGGTAGCAGGAAACTGTACATTTATCCCACTTCTGAAAAGTCTGTACTAAGGCAGACACTTGAAATAATTCTACTAAATGTGCTCAGCTAAATAAAATAAACTTAAACCCAGGTTTTTGTTCCAAACAATAGGTTTTGTGAAATTGTGATCTTTCTAGAAGAACTTAGATATGATTTTTCCTCTCAGTTTCTCTTTTTAAAAAAATCTTAAGAATTTTCATTGTTAGCATGTTTATTTTTCTGCCTTTTCCAATGAGAGAGTTTCCATCTTTCTCAGAAACTGGAGGGCTCTAGTGGAGAGTGATGATGTGTCATCGTTTCACATTTCCTCTCACGCTCGTTTTTCTCCTGGTTGTAAAGCTTCTAAATGATTGATTGCCATCTTAACAGATTTGAGGCCAGTCAGGGTCTCCTGCTCTCAGCACTGTGTTCTGGGGCAGTTTGTTTAAGCCCAGGAGTATTAATGCTCCCAGATAAGTCTGCACCAGGACAAACTGAGTTCTTATATTAGATCCAAAGTGTATTTGAGAAAGCATTCACTGAACCTAAGTGCTCAGTGTACTTTGAAGCACACGTTTGTTTCCCTTAGTCATTAAGCCTCAAAAAGTCCTACCATTCCTTGAGGCAGGAATGCACTCTTTTTAAATTTTCTATTCAGCAGAATGAGAAATGTCTAAAAATAGAAATCCCACTTAATGATTTAAGTCTGTCTCCATCCTTACTCAACAACTAGGCAAATATTAAACAAAAAGAGCCCCAGTGCTGGCCTGCCGGCAGCTTTCCCTTCTGTGAGTTGAAACTGGGAAAGCGCAGGGAGGTATTGAAGTACAAGGGGAGGTGGAATGAGCATTGGTGGTGGAGGCAGTGAGAGGTGACAGCATGCTGGCAGCCCTCGCTCGCTCTCGGTGCCTCCTCCGCCTCGGGGCCCATTCTGGCGTGCTTGAGAAGCCCTTCAGCCCCCTGCTGCACCGTGGGAGCACTTCTCTGGGCTGGCCAAGGCCGGAGCCGACTCCCTCGGCTTGCGGAGATGTGTGGAAGGAGAGGCACGGGTAGGAACCGGGGCTGCGCCCGGGGCTTGCAGGCCAGCTAGAGTTCCAGGTGGGCGTGGGCTTGGCGGGCCCCGCACTCGGAGCGGCGGGCCGGCCCTGCCGGCCCAGGCAGTGAGGGGCTTAGCAGCCAGGCCAGCAGCTGTGGAGGGTGCGCCGGGTGCCCCAGCAGTGCTGGCCCACCGGCGCTGCACTTGATTTCTCGCTGGGCCTTAGCTGCCTCCCCGCGGGACCTGCAGCCTGCCATGTCTGAGTCTCCCCCAACACCGCCGTGGGCTCCTGGGCAGCCTGAGCCTCCCTGATGAGCACTGCCCCCTGCTCCATGGCGTCCGGTCCCATCGACCACCCAAGGGCTAAGGAGTGCGGGCACACGGCCCGGGACTGGCTGGCAGCTCCACCTGCGGCCCAGGTGCGAGATCCACTGGGTGAGGCCAGTTGGGCTCTTGAGTCTAGTGGGGACTTGGAGAACCTTTGTGTCTAGTTAAGGGATTGTGAGTGCATCAATCAGCACTCTGTGTCTAGTTCAAGGTTTGTGAACACACCAATCAGCACCCTGTGTTTAGTTCCGGGTTTGTGGATGCACCAATGGGCACTCTATCTAGCTAACCTGGTGGGGACTTGGAGAATTTTTATGTCTAGCTAAGGGATTGTGAATGCACCAATTGGCACTCTGTATCTAGCTCAAGGTTTGTAAATGTACCAATCAGCACTCTGTGTCTAGCTCAGGGTTTGTAAATACACCAATTGACACTCTATCTAGTTAATCTAGTGGGGACATGGAGAACTTTTGTGTCTAGCTCAGGGATTGTAAACGCACCAATCAGCACCCTGTCAAAACAGACAAATCAGCTTTCTGTAAAACAGACCAATCGGCTCTCTGTAAAATGGACCAATCAGCAGCATGTGGGTGGGGCCAGATAAGAGAATAAAAGCAGGCTGCTGGAGCCAGTGATGGCAACCCGCTTGGGTCCTCTTTTACGCTGTGGAAGCTTTGTTTTTTCGCTCTTTGCAATAAATCTTGCTGCTGCTCACTCTTTGGGTCCATACTGCCTTTGTGAGCTATAACACTCACTGCGAAGGTCTGCAGCTTCACTCGAGACCACGAACCCACCAGAAGGAAGAAACTCCAAACACATCCAAACATCAGAAGGAACAAACTCCAGACATGCCGCCTTTAAGAACTGTAATACTCACTGCCAGGGACCGTGGCTTCATTCTTGAAGTCAGTGAGACCAAGAACCCACCAATTCCGGACACCAAGGACCCCTTGGCTGTAACCTCAGCCAAGCCACTTACACTTTGTGGGGCTTAGACCATGATATCCAAGAAAAATACTTCAGAATTTATTTATTTATTATTATTATTTTTTGAGACAGAGTCTTACTCTGTTGCCCAGGCTGGAGTGCAGTGGTGCAATCTCAGCTCAGCGCAACCTCTACCTCCCGGGTTTAAGTGATTCTCCTGTCTCAGCCTCCCGAGTAGCTGGGATTACAGGCACACGCCACCACACCCGGCTAGTTCTTGTACTTTTAGTAGAGATGGGGTTTTGCCATGTTCGCCAAGCTGGTCTGCAATTCCTGACCTCAGTTGATCTGCCCACCTCAGCCTCCCCAAATGCTAGGATTACAGGCGTGAGCCACTGCAAATACTTCAGGATTTAATACAAAAGTCATAATTCTCCCCATATTGACAATCCCAAAAGGAAGAGTCTTCCTGAGAGAACTACCATAACTTAGTAAAATTATAATTTAGATTCTTCCAGATAGTAGTCATTTGTATAAATTTCCTTAATATGATAATAGAGCCAATCCCTCAGATACATTCTTCTGTTTTGTCTGCCTGCAGGAGAAAAGAAGGCATGTTCCTAGTAAAGGTGCTCTGTTCACTGAGCACAAGGTAAACTCAAGCCCATTTCTTTAAAGATCTTGTGCAAACTATGAGAGACAAGTCTTTATAAAAGAAAAGGGGGGAGAGGAAGATGAATTATTCCTTTAAAAACAACTCATCTGACTTTGAAATGGGAGGGTATGAGAAAGTCATTAGAGGCTTTTGAGTGATGCTGGCTACTTTTCCAGAAAACTCCTTGCCCCAAAGTAAATAGCAATTATGTGTTGGAACACATATTTTGCCTACATTCTATATATATATAATTGGATTAAAATGTAGAAGAATTTTGAAATAAAACAGAATGGGACAAAATAGTCCCTAAGCTCTCTTAAAAAACAAACAGTCAAAATCAATTTTCTGCATTCCAATTGGCAACTCTGGATGCTGTCATTGAAAAACAGAAGAAAAAAAAAATTTTTTTTTTTGAGATAGAGTCTTGCTCTGTTGCCCTGGTTGGAGTGCAATGGCGCAATCTTGGCTTACTGCAACCTCCTCCTCCCAGGTTCAAGCAGTTCTCCCCCTCTGCCTCCTGAGTAGCTGGGATTATAGGCGCCCACCACCACGCCCAGCTAATTTTTGTATTTTTAGTAGAGATGGGGTTTCACCATGTTGGTCAGGCTGGTCTTGAACTGCTGACCTCAAGTGATCCACCCGCCTCAGCCTCCCAAAGTGCTGGGATTACAGGCATGAGTCACCTTGCCTGGCAGAAGAATGATTTTTGATTTATGGCCTCCAAGTCTGAATGCTTGGCCTCCAGGTCTTTTAATTAAGAAATATTTCACAATGTATATCCATCATTTTGTAAAAGGCAAACAATAAGTCTAATGATCTCTGTTAACGTAACTTAGTCTAGATAATACACTCAATCAGCTCCTTGTCCCTCCCAAAATCAAAGTAAAATAATCTAACCACCAGGGAAGGTCTTAGAGATACTCTTGTTAGAGAATATTCATTCATTCATTTGAATGTTTATTGAGAGCCTGTGAGCATGTGGAAATGAGCCAAAACACTGGCTAGGTGCGGTTGCTCACACCTGTAATCCCAGCAATTTGGGAGGCTGAGGAGGTCGGATGGATCCCTTGAGCTCAGGAGTTTGAGAGCAGCCTGGGCAACATAGCAAAAACCCGTCTCTACCAAAAATACAAAATTAGCTGGCCATGGTGATGCACACCTGTAGTCCTAGCTACTCAGGAGGCTGAGGTCGGAGGATTACCGGAGCCCAGGAGGTGAAGGCTAGAGTGAGCTGTGATCGCACTATTGTACTCCAGCCTGGGTGACAGAGTGAGACCCTGTTTCAAAAAATAAATAAATAAAAATATTTTTTAAAAGGAGTGTTTTCTCTAGGTTCTCATTAAAATTAAAAAAGAAAAGGAGATGAGCCAAAAGAAAGGTCCTGATCTCATGAAGCTGGCTCTTATGAGGAGAGACTCATAATAAACAAATACCTCTATAACGTCAGCTTAGGATAAGTGCCACAAAGAAAAATAGCTCAACATAACATAACAGTGCAAAGAGCAGCTAGGGAGAACATGTTCTGTTTAAGTAGGAAGATCAGGGAAGACCTCTCCCCACCAGGGTGACATTTGATCAAAGACCTGAACGAAGTGAGGGAGTGAAACGTGAGGTCACCTAGAGTAGGGGTTGGCAAACTTCTTCTGTAAGAAGCCAGACAATAAATATTTTGGCTTTGTGGGCCATACAATCTCTGTTGCAGCTACTCAACTCCGTCCTTGTAGCAGGAAACCAGCCATGGATAACATAAATAAGTGTGGCTGTGTTCCAATGATCTCTTATTTTATGAATGGTAGAATTTGAATTTCATGTAATTTTCATGTATCACAAAATATTATTTTTCTTTTTTTCCCAATCATTAAAAATTGTAAAAAATATTGTTAGCTCAGAAGCTGTACAAAATAGCCTGTGGGTTGCATTTGACCCATGGACCATAGTTTGCTGATTCTTGATCTTAAGCAAACACATTCCAGGAGAAGCAGCAATTCCAGCCTGGATGGGGAACATGCATGACTTGATGACAGAAAACAAAAGAAAGGTCCATCCCGAAACATCAGTTAGTAGTCATTATGGAAGACAGCCCACTACACTCATTCCAAATGATTTTTACCTAACTTCCCAACTTCTAACTTTCTAGCTAACAACTTGTTGTATATTGAGCACCCGTTGAAAGACAGACACCATGTTCCAGAGAGATGGGCGGATTGGGAGAAACATCTTAGAGGAAGTAGGTATTGAACTGGTTTGGCTTTGAAAAAAATGAACAAGATACCAACAGGTGAGTCTGTTGGAGAAAGACTATTCTAGTTAGAGGAATAACCTGAATAAAGGCATGAAAGTGGGAGAGTTCCATGGTGCAGGCTAGAGATTCTTGTAATCCCCATCAAGTATTGGGTGTATGTTGCATATCCTAACACTTTGAAAAGCAAGCCCTAAACAATGGTACTCAAACCCTTGCCTGCATCAGAATAGCCTGGAGGACTTGTTAAGCCGACTTGTTTGTTAAGCCAACTTTCTAGACCATTCCCCCAGGGTTTCTGATTCAGTAGATCTGGGGGAACACCAGAGATCTGGGGGAAAACCAGAGAATTTGCATTCCTAATAAGTTCCCAGGTGGTTCGGATGCTGCAGACCCTGGAAGCACACTTTAAAGAGCCACTGCCCCACAGGGTTGGCTGCTACAGAGGAAGAGTGGGCTCTAGCAAGCTTATATTGCCTACTTTCAAAGTGAGGGTGATACCTCAGAAGTTTGCCTGAGATCAGCTATAAAACATAATAGTGCCAGGTCCATCCTAGGCTTGCTTGTGCATGAATTCTCTTCCTGTCCTGTAGTCTTTCCTGCAACTTCTAAGCCTTTCCCAGAAGGACTTAAAATTTGTAAATGCATTTCATGTGGTGCTTCTGCTTCTAGATTATTTTAAAAAGTCATAGTGACATGTTTGCCATCAATAACAAAAAAAGCAATAATACGGAGTGGTGTACATCACACCAAGCATTCAGAGAATCCTATGATGTCATCAAAGGGACAAAATAATTGGAGACATTTTGAAAATGACTCATACAGTGAGTTTGTGTATCCTCCTCATAAGTTAAAGGCCAAGATTAAACTCAAGCTCTCCAGCAGCTAAACATATCATAATAAAACTTCCCATTTGCAGGTACTACTGATTTTTTTTCTTATTCATTCTTTTAGAGTGACAGAGCAGCACATATTTCTTTAAAATCCTTGACTTGCATCAAATTTCCAGTGATTGAAAGGCAAGCAGTAGAAAGACCAATATGCCCCGAAAGAAATAGGTTTTGGCAAGCTGGGCATGGTGGCTCATGCTTGTAATCCCAGCACTTTGGGAGGCGGGAGAATCACTTGAGCACAGGAGTTCGAGACCAGCCTGGGTAACATAGCAAGACCTCATCTCTACATATATTAAAAGGAAAAAGAAGGGGGAAAAATAGGTTCTGGCCAGGTGTGGTGGCTCATGCCTGTAATCCCAGCACTTTGGGAGTCTGAGTGGGAGGATCACTTGAGCCCAGGAGTTTGAGACCAGCCTGGGCAATATAGCAAGACCCCATCTCTCTATATAAAAAATAATTAATTAAAAAATAACAAAATTAAAGCAAAAAAGAGATAAGTTTTTAAAACTCATCTGGCCTGGAAACCACCAGGCCAGATGTGGTGGCACCCACATCTGTAGTCCCAGCCACTCAGGAGGCTGAGATAGGAGGATCACTTGAGTCCAGGAGTTCAAGGCTGCAGTGAGCTATGATGGTGCCTGTGAATAGCCAATGCACTCCAGCCTGGGCAACATAGTGAGACTCTGGTTCTTGAAAAAATAAATTAATTAATATTAAATCCAACTAAATATATGGAGCAAAAAATCAAAGTTTGAATTCAGATCAGTTTGATGGTTTGCTGAGCTTGTTGCTGACTAGTCTCTTCTAAGGGATAAGGCCCTGTCTACAGACTAAGGTTGGTACCACACGACCCTGTTCTCCATAGCTATGGCTTATTGGGCACTTGATCCAAGGGTGGCCTATATCAGACTGGCCAGCAATCTATGATGTGGCATGTCTTAGAAACCTGAGCTGGGCCAATCAGATTCCTCATTGAGGAACTGATAGTTAGGAAATAGAGGGAGACTGGGCTAATTCACCATTAGAGCTAGCAAAAGTCTCCTGTGGGCCATGTGCAACTCATGAGTATGAAGAGGCTTAGCCATAAAGGGAGGAGGACAGAATGGACAGATTCACAAGAAAGCAGCAGAGAGGCTGTGAGCAAGAGAGCCTGTGACCACTGGGGGAAAGGAACAGACTGGTTCTGGATGATTCTGTAGTTCCAGTGCACATGTGTCCTTAAAGTCAGCTCCCTTTTCCTTGAAATATAACTAACTCATGTGGGTTTCTTTCCTCAACCAAAGAGACTTAATGCAAACCAGCAGCTCTTTTTCAATTAGAAAAATTGACTATTAACTATCATTGTTTCTAATTAGAAAAGCAAGCAAAAACTACGTTATTTTAATACATTCCAGCTTATATACAGAAAAAAATATAGTTTAGTAGCAAGTGTGGATCTGGGTTTTGTGGGGCCTGAAGTTTATACAGATTACAGATACAGATCTTTTAGAAAAGAATGCCAAATTATAGGTAAAAAATAGGTAGAGGGTCCAGGAGGGGCCTGTGAAAGTCAGGAGCCTTGAACCTGAGCTTCACTAACTGCATGGTAAATTCAGCTCTGTTTAGAAGAAAGAACATGATCCTAAGGCTAATGTGGCCTTAGGCACTTTTTAAATTTAAATAACAACATTTAACTTAAATAAAAAGTGGACCCCAGAAAATTACATACTGTTCCCATACTTTGGTTGAATGCTTTTTAAGCTATCGCAAATGAACTTTTCTTGGCCAGCATCAGTACTTTTAAAAGGATGAAATAAAATGGAATAGAAAGGAAAGCCTCAGGGTGCATTGTATGATGTAAGGATGACTATTGTAGTGTGAGACTTTTGTTTCCATTTTATAAATATATAAGTCAGTGATTCGCAAACTCTTTGGTCTTAGAATCCTTTGTTCTCTTAAAATATACAGAGGACTATTATTGTTATTGTTTTTAGAGACCGGGTCTCACTCTGTCACCCAGGCTGGAGTGCAGTGGTGTGATCATAGCTCACTGTAGCCTCCATGTCCTGTGCTCAAGTGATCCTCCCACTTCAGCCTCTCAAATAGCTGGGACCACAGGTGCTTGCCACCATGCCTGGCTAATTTTTTCTTTTTTGTGTGTGCGGAAACTGGGTCTTGCCCAGGCAGGTCTCAAGCTCCTGGCCTCCAATGATCCTCTTGCTTCACCCTCCCAAAGTGTTGGAATTACAGGCATGAGCCACCACATCTGGCCCAGAGGAGAATTATTTAAGGTTAGCACCTAGAGTTAAAAAAAATACACACATACACACACAGACACACACACACACACACACACACACACACACACACACACACGGCCCCAAAATGTTTTTGTTTATGTGAGATATATATGTTGATATTTACTGTATTAAAAATTAAAACTAAGGCCAGGCACAGTGGCTCATGCCTGTAATCTCAGCACTTTGGGAGGCTGAGGCAGGTGGATCACCTGAGATCAGGAGTTGGAGACCAGCCTGGCCAACATGCTGAAACCCCATCTCTATGAAAAACACACAAAAAAACTAGCTGGGCGTGGTGGTGCATGCTGGGAGGCGGAGGTTGCAGTGAGCTGAGATCACACCACTGCATTCTAGCCTGAGCAACCGAGGGAGACTCTGTCTCAAAAAAAAAAAAAATTAAATTAAAACTAAGAATTAAACGTATATATATTTATTAATTGTTGTTGTTTTTTAGAGAGTGGAATAGTAAAATCACAAGAAGTGAAGACATTTAAGGAGGCATCGAAACCCCTCAAATATAAGAGAATCACATTTCTTTCTGACATTGGAAAGGCTCTTTTTCTCAACACTTAATGTGGGGAGGATCTGATTAACACAACAGGAGAAAAAGAGTGAAAGAACTATGTTGCCAGGAGGTGGCGCCTGCATGCAGCTGGGAGCCAGGAGGAAAATGACGGGGCAGAGAGGCAGCCTTCCTGAGATGAGAGGTTCCCAAAGGATGCTGGCAGCAAGGAAACTTCAGGGCGAGGGCGGGGGATCTTCCTGGCCCAACAGCAGATCAGAAAACGGAAGAACAGCTTTTTTCCATCCCTCACTACCGCCCCAGCATAAGCAAGTGGTTTTCAAATTCCTTGGGGTGCACAAGAATCACTGAAGATGTGTTGAAAATGTAAATGTGATGATAGGGTCCACATCAAGATTTAGAGCTGCAAAGTCTGCATTCTAGGAAGCTTCCCAGAGGATCCTGTTGTACGTGTGGTCCTCAGACCACAGCCATAATTATTTTAGGAGAAATGAGCAAACTTTACAGCCCTAGGTTTGCATGTAAAAAAACTGACATCAAATCTCACCTCTCAGTTGACAAAGGGCTTTCACATCTAAGGTCTTATTTAAGATGCAGAATTACCCTTTTATACATGTGGCAACCGAGTAGCCTGAGCCAGCCCGCAACCAGAACCCTCAGCTTTCAAATCCAGTGCCCTTGCCTTAGCCCCAGGCAGCATCTCCAGGGCCCCTGGTCAACGAGGATACCCGGCTTGGATTACCTTGGTGGTTCTCAAAACATGGTCCCTGGACTAGAATCACCTGGAACTTGTTAAAGCATAATTTAGGGGGCCCCCTTCTAGACCTGCTGAATCAGAGACTCAGGGGTGGGCCCAGCATCTTGTGTTTAATAAGCCTGCCCAGTGATGCTGAAGATGTAGGCTGAAGTGCTGGGTTACCTTGGCCAGACCCTGGAACCTAAGTCATCCTCAGCATCCAGATCCTCGGGGCATACTGCCAAATGGAGCCAGCCGTTGGACAAATCATGGCGGGTGGAGGGGGGTGGAGGAGTGGACTAGGCAGGGCTTGTTTCTAAACCTTTCCCTGTGGTCAGGCATAAACCAGTGCCTTGGGGCCCATGTTTTCTGCTTCTCTGCCTGGACACACTGTGCCCATATTTCCACCCTGCCCCCCGGGAAATTGAACTGATATCAGATAAATGTGTATCTGACTCAGCCCCACCCCTTCTCTTCTGCAGGCCATATAGTTGCTGCTGACCTTCAGCTCCAACCCCTGCTCAGGTCTTGGCACAAACTGGCCCTAAGAGGGAGGGCTTGAAGGAGCACCAGCCCCACCCTTGGGGAAGTAACTCATCTTCCTCATCTGCCTGCCTGGGTCTCTGCTGCTGGCCAACACATGCTTCTAATAGTGGCTGTTTGGCTCTTGAAAGCTGAGAATTCCCTGCCCCCACTTAGAGGTACCTGATACCTTGTCTTGTCTGCAGAGCCAGGCTCACACATCTCCTTGGTGACATCTTTCCAATTATGCATCCCACCCTCTTTACAGGAAAAGTGAGCAAGTTCTTCCTTTGGGCTCCTGTGACACCTTCAGCTTACCTCACAGCATTCACCTCACTCTATTATAATTCTTTATTTACTCTCTGAAGTTCTTTTTGGATTCCTGGCCCCAGGCAGAGCTCAGTAAATGTTCCTCATGTGGGATGAATGTTCGATTTCCTCCTAATCACCGGATGAGATCAGTGCACTGCCTTTTATGTATCTGGATTCCTGCTACCTGGAGAGGCAATGCAGGAGCTCAACAAATGAGGGTGACCATGAAGGTGGGAAGAGAACCAGAGCAGGCATTATTGCCTCCTGGGTCTTTCCCACACTGGGTTGAAAGCTTTAGACCCTTCCTGCACTCTCTCTTCCTTTTACCTTTTTAGGAACCAGTGTCATGTCCCTGGAACCTTGCTCTGCAAACCTTGGCTGCCAAATCTTGCAAACTATTGAGAGAATAGCAGAAAGGATTCTGAATAAGGAGATCAAATAATTTATCGCTCAAACTGTGACACTTTGGAGAGTGAACGGGGCAGTATTAATGACAACAGGCGGCCGGGCGCGGTGGTTCACACCTGTAATCCAGAACTTTGGGAGGCCAAGGTGGGTGGATCACGAGGTCAGGAGATCGAGACCATCCTGGCTAACATGGTGAAACCCCGTCTCTACTAAAAAAAAAAAAAAATACAAAAAAAATTAGCCGGGCGTGGTGGCGGGCTCCTGTAGTCCCAACTACTCATGAGGCTGAGGCAGGAGAACGGCGTGAACCATGGAGGGGGAGCTTGCAGTGAGCCGAGATTGTGCCACTGCACTCCAGCCTGGGCGACAGAGTGAGACTTGGTCTCAAAAAAAAAAAAAAAAAAAGACAACAGGCATAAATAGGAGTGTCACAGGCAAATTGGGAGACATGGACACCCTATCTCTGAGCCACGGAGTGGCTTGGCCCACCTGTGTTCAGGAGCTAAGTTTGGCTCAGCTGGGCCCAGGTAGAAGCGGAACTGCAGACAGTGAAAGAGGTCTCATGGCTGAGGCAGACAGCATTTTTCCATGAAAACTAGTGCCAAATTTTGAACTATGGGCAGGCCAGAATAATGAAATCTCAAAGGTCACCCCCAGCTGCCTCAGGAATGTCTTCATTTTGGGCAAGTCCTCTACCTTCTCAATGGGCCCCACAGTTAGAGCCCCCTACCTCCAGCATGTCCAGATGTTGAGGGACCTCAGGAAGTCACCGACCTAGTTACAATCCTCAACCTGTCTGGCCTTTGTCTAAAAATCATTTTCAGATGCTCTATCTCTTTTGGGCCACACAATGGCTTTCCGGGAGGAGAGTGCTTGGAATGATGGGACATCAGGACACCCGTCACAGAAACACATGACACAGCAGAGTGAATAAAAGGACTTCTGTGTGAGTAAGCATCCCCTTCCCCACACTGGGCAGTATTTTACATGATTAAATGTAATCATGCTTACCATTTATTTTCTTACTGCACCAAATTAGAGGGTGAAATTATCCTCATAACTAAAGGATTCCCCAGATTACAAAAGGATCTCTTTAAGAAGCAGCTTCTCCTGTGTATATTTATAGATCTTTAAATGCTCAGCAGAGGGAGAAAGTAAAAGCTGAAGGATTCCAAGTCGCTGCTTATTAAATATTGTTAAAAATTAAGATGAAGCGAATCTTGGCTGGGCACGATGGCTCATGCCTGTATTCCCAGCAATTTGGGAGGCCAAGGCGGGTGGATCACCTGAGGCCAGGAGTTCGAGACCAGCCTGCCCAACATAGAGAAACCCCATCTCTAGTATAAATCCAATGTCTTGCTGATGTTCCAAATACAAAAATTAGCCAGGTGTGGTGGTGTGCACCTATAAGCCCAGCTACTCGGGAGGCTGAGGCAGGAGAATCGCTTGAACCTGGGAGGTAGAGGTTGCAGTGAGCCAAGATTGTGCTACTGCACTCCAGCCTTGGTGACAAAGTGAGACTCTGTCAAAAAAAAAAAAAGCAGTGAATTTGAAATTATGAGGTTAAAGTGTATTTTCCTATGTTTAGCTTTAAAGGGTCATTTCACCAGTAACGTTTTCTTTCCTACCTTACTGGGTAGGAAGCTAAAGTGCCAGACGTCCAGCTCAATACTGGACCCAGAGAGCATGAGTTAGATGACTGGCCATAATGCACACCATTAGAAAGAGGCAGAGCTGGGGCTCGAACTCAGTCCGCAGCCACAAAGCCCAGTCTGAGGCCTTCAGTCCTACCCCACTGGTAGCCAGAGCCGCCTGAGCCCCCAACTTGCAGCCTCCAGCCTCTTCACACCCACCAACCCTTCCTGGGTCTCTTCCAGGTGGGAGCAGTACCGTCCATGATCATGAATCATGAATCACCACCTGATCATGAATCTCCAGGGCTTTGTCCACAGAAGTCGGAATGGTGCTTCCGACTGCTCTAAGGCAGAGTGGGAAGACCACGTCTCAGCGCCCTCCAAGGCCGGTGTGTGCTACTACCGCGCGTGGGACTCTTGACATCTAAGTATACTCAGCCCTCACTGCAGCACCGCATCCCACCAGCAGGAAGCGCTCCTCCTTCTCCAAAGAATGAATCTCCTTTCCTCTTCAGGGCCTTCCTCATGAGGTTCCCAGGCCTTGAAAGCTCTTGCCCATGGTGGCTTATCTACGATCCCCTCTCTATGGGCTGAAAGCTCTATGCATGCTTTTTGTGCACATCTGTTGGGTTTACTACCCTCTGTTTAGCACTTACGTGCTAAAGATTTAGTACCTGGTACATAATCACCTGTTGAGTGACTCAGCTTTTAGGTGTTCTTTTCTGGCAGCCAAATAGAGACTTCCTGCAGCAGCTCCTGAAGTGGGAAAGCTTTCAACACCACCATGCAATTTGGAATTTCTCCAAAATTCTGTTACCTTTGTACCACCATGAAATGAAAAGCCAACAGGACACATTACAAAGCAACTATGATCATTTTTAACCACTATTATTATTATTTTGAGACAAGGTTTTGCTCTGTTGCTCAGGCTGGAGCACAGTGGCGCGATCTCAGCTCACTGCAACCTCCGCTTCCCGGGTTCAAGCGATTCTCCTGCCTCAGCCTCCTGAGTAGCTGGGACTACAGGAGCGCGCCACCATGCCCAGGTAATTTTTTGTAGTTTTAATACAGATGGGGTTTCACCATGTTGGCCAGGCTGGTCTCCAACTCATGAGTTCAAGCAATCCTCTTGCCTCAGCCTCCCAAAGTGCTGGGATTACAGGTGTGAACCACCGTCCCAGAACTTTTTGATAATTATTTACAAATAAAAGAGGTAAGTAAAATTTCCTTAAGACACTGAAGTTCTAAAAAATATTTATTAGTTTCTTTTACAATGTGTCATATAAAGACCTCCCTGGAAGAAGATCCTATTCACAAAAGCAACCAAAAAACACAAACTATCAAAAAAAATAAACAACCAAACATAATCAACATAAACAACCAAAGACATAAACTACCTATGAACAAACTTAAAAATAAATGCAAAGCTGGGTGAGTGGCTCAACACTTGTAATTCCAGAGGTTTGGGAGGCTGAGGCAGGAGGATCAATTGAAGCTAGGAGTTCAAGGTTAGTCTGGCAACATATCGAGAACTCCCTCTCTACAAAAAAAATAGAAAAAGAAAAATAGCCTGGTGTGGTGGTGCAAGTCTATGGTCCTGCTACTTGGGAGGCTAAGGGGGGAGGATCACTTGAGCCTCAGACTTTGAGGCTTCAGTGAGCTACAATCATATTGCTGCACTCCAGCCTAGGCAACAGAGCAAGCCCTCATCTTTAAAAATATAAAAGTAGAAATACATAAATGCATAGAAATGATGTGAAGAAAACTATAAAACTTTCCAACATACATGAAAATTTTAATAATACTGAATGACAATTCTCAAAATCAAGATGTTCCTAGTAGCATTATCCATAATAACCTAAAATTAGATAAAATCCAAATATCCATCAACAGTAGAATAGATGAATAAATTGTTGTGTATTCACACAGCAATAAAGAATGAACTCCTGCTACACCCAACAACATGGATGAATCAGACATAATGATGAATGGAATAAGCCAGTCATCAAATAATACATATTATATGATCCATTTATCTGAAGTTCAAAAGTAGGTAAAACAAATCAAGGGTGATAGAAATTGGAAGACCGGTTACCTTTGGAAGAAGTAATGATCGGTAGAGGGCACAAAGGAGGCTTAAGGAGTGATGGTTACACGTGAGTATTCACTTTTTAAAAATTAAATATTAGCTGGGCGCAGTGGCTCACACCTGTAATGCCAGCACTTTGGGAGGTTAAGGTGGGTGGATCGCTTGAGCTCAGAAGTTTGAGACCAGTCTGGGCAACATGGTGAAACCCCATCTCTATAAAAAATACAAAAATTATCTAGTCATGGTGGCACATGCCAGTGTCCCAGCTACTTGAGAGGCAAAGTGGGAGGATCACCTAAGCCCGGGAGGTCGAGGCTGCGGTGAGCCATGATCATGCCACTGCACTCTAGCCTGGGTGACAGAGACCCTATCTCAAAAAAATAATAATAATAATTTAATATTAGAGCTTATCCTCCAAAAATACAGCAATTAAAATGAATGGGCTACCACTATACTTGACAACATGAGTAAGTTTATAAAGATAATATTGAGTAAAAGAAATCAGACACAAATGAGTACATACTGTATGATTACATTTATATAAAGCTAAAATAAGTCAGAATTAATCTAGTATATTAAATGTTGGACGAGTGCTTACGTCTGGAAAGGAGGTGCCGTGAAGACAAGGAGGGGGCTGGGCGCGGTGGCTCACGCCTGTAATCCCAGCACTTTGGGAGGACAAGGTGGACCACCTGAGGTCAGGAGTTTGAGACCAGCTTGGCCAACATGGCAAAACCCTGTCTCTACTAAAAATACAAAAATTAGCCGGGCATGGTGGTGCACGCCTGTAGTCCCAGCTGAGATCGTGCCACTGCACTCAAGCCTGGGTGACAGAGTGAGACTCCGTCTCAAAAAAAAAGACAGGGAGGAAGCACGAGAGAGGTTCAGAGTATTGGTGTTTCTCTATATCTTAATCTGGGTCAAATATATAGGTATTTTTTTCCTTATTTACATTGAAGGACTGGAGTGAGTCATATTTATACAGGTGCATTTTTATGATTTTTCATCAAACTATAATTTGTGCACTTTCAGTATATGTGATATACTTTAATTTTTTACTGTATGTATTTGAGGTGTATGACATGATGTTTTGATATACTGACTTATCTTGATAGACATAATGAACTGATTACTATCAAGCAAATGAACATACCCATCATCTCATATAGTTACCTTTCTTTTTCGTGATGAGAGCACTTCAAACCTACTCTCTTGGAAAATCACTGATATACAATATTATTGGCTATAGTTTTCATGCTGTACATTAAATCTATAGCCTTACTTATCCTACAAGACTGCAACTTTGTTCCCTTTGACCTGCATCTTCCCATTTCCTTCTATCCTGCAGGGCTCCCACCCTCCATAACTACCATTTTAATGTTTCTGTATATTTTATTTATGTGTGTATAGATAGATAGATGATAGATAGATAGATAGACAGATAGATAGATAGATTTAAAATTTACAAAAAAAAATGCATTCCCTTTGACATTGCAAGTCTACTTTTAAGAACTTTTCCTAAGGAAACAAAACAAAAGCTCCCAAAGATGTACAAAGATATGCATGGAAGCATTATTTACAATAAATAAAAATTAGAGACAACCTAAATGTCTAATGATAGGGGAGCCAGATGAATAATTTATGAGACAGACAAGTACTGAAATACTATCCAGCCAACTATAGATGACATAGACCTACATTTATGGATCTAGAAAAAGGCTCACTGTAACAGCTCAGATGACAAAAACAGGTAAATATATTGGTGTTTTCATAATACCAAAATGTTTTGTGTGGTAACTTTGGGTGGGGGATTATGTCTGATTATTTTGCTTTTTCTTATATATTTTTCTTTTCTTTTTATTTAAAAAATTTTTTTTCAAGACAGAGTCTTGCTCTGTCACCCAGGCTGGAGTGCAGTGGCACAATCTTGGCTCACTGCAACCTCCACCTCCTGGGTTCAAGCGATTCTCCTGCCTCAGCTTCCCAAGTAGCTGGGATTACAGGCACGTGCCATCATGCTCAGCTAATTTTTGTATTTCTACTAGCGGTGGGGTTTCACCATATTGGCCAGGCTGGTCTCAAACTCCTGACTTGGTGATCTGCCTTCCTTGCCCTCCCAAAGTGCTGGGATTACAGGCATAAGCCACTGTGCCTTCCCTTATATATATTTTTCTAACTTATCTATAAAACTTGTATCTTTACAGGCACGGTGGCTCACGCCTGTAATCCCAGCACTTTGGGAGGCTAAGGTGGGTGGATCACTTGAGGTCAGGAGTTCGAGACCAGCCTGACCAACATGGTGAAACCCAGTCTCTACTAAAAATACAAAAGTTAGCCAGGCATGGTGGTGCATATCTGTAATCCCAAGTACTCAGGAGGGTGAGGCAGGAGAATTGCTTGAACTTGGGAGGCAGAAGTTGCAGTGAGCCAATATGGCACCACTACACTCCAGCCTGGGTGACAGGCAAGACTCTGTCTCAAACAAAACAAAACAAAACAAACAAACAAACATATATATATATATATATATATATATATATATTTTTTTTTTTTTTTTTTAGCTATTTTACTCACTATAAGACAGCCCAGCTATTGATAAACAGATGATTGCCTCCCCTAAGAACCTGTAGATAGATCCAGAATGGTGTTCCAGCCACAACCACGTTAGTCATGGTACTTTGTAGGTATGACCTCAATTTTAGAGCTTCCTTTTCTAGACCCATAAAAGTGAAGATAGTTTTGTTTTGAGGGCTTAAAATTATTCAACATATGTAAAGCATTTTTGTTAACTGACACACAAAAGACACCAATAAATGTCATTGCCCTGCTTTTGGTGTATCCAAGGAACTTAATTTCAGAATTTGGGTTTCAGATACACCACATCATTTCAAAAGATGCCCAGTTTTCCAGGGCATTAATAAATAGTCTGTAGTCTCTCTTGTTTTGATAAAGTATTTTTGTCTTTGTGTCAGTTACTTTGGATAAAAATTGCCAACAGTTCCTGGACCCTTTTCCTTCAAGAGAGCAAAAGAAATGGGATTGGTGGGTTAGGACAGATATTCTTTTTTTTTTTCTTTGAGGCAGGGTCTCTCTCTGTCGCCCAGGCTGGAGTGCAATGGGATGATCTCGGTGCACTGCAACCTCCACCTCCCAGGTTCAAGCGATTCTCCTGGCTGAGCCTCCCAAGTAGCTGGGTCTATAGGTGTGTGCCACCACACTTGGCTAATTTTTGTCTTTTTAGTTGAGATGGGGTTTCATCATACTGGTCAGGCTGGTCTCGAACTCCTGACCTCAAGTGATCCACCCACCTTGGCCTCCCAAAGTGCTGGGATTACAGTCATGAGCCACCGCACCTGGCCTCAGGTATTCTTGTTTAATCCTGTCAGCAGGTTGAGTTGCCGCACTTGTGCTCCAAGTTTGATATATAAAGGATCAACATCTGAAAGGGTTTAGAAGAAGCCAGACTGTTTGTGAGGTTTCCACCTACGCCCCTCTGGGCTCTGATACTGTAACAGCATGGAGGTGGCATACGTCTCAGGATCCCTGGAGAACAGCAGGTGGGCTCTTTGACTGTATTTTTCTATTCAACATAGTTAACCAAGTGACTTCAGACAGACCAACCGACTATGCCACACTCAACAGTCCCTGGCCTCAAAGCTTCTGCCTCCTAAGTTTCTTTTTTTTTTCTTTCAATAAGCCCAACCAGAAGGACAAGCCATAGGCATAAGCATAGCATTTGGTGGGTAGAGAGGAAACTGAAGTCCCTTCCAAACAAAACTCCATGTCCTCAATATGTTAAGAGGTACCTCCCCCAACATGGCTAGTCCTAGTATAAATCCAACGTCTTGCTGATGTTCCAAAGGAGAAAAATGCAACTGTCAGAAGCCTGATAGACTATGAAGCATATAAGTACATGAAAGCTACATAGTTGGCTGGGCACAGTGGCTCACACCTGTAATCCCAGCACTTTGGGAGGCTGAAGCAGGAGGTTCGCTTGAGCCCAGGAGATTGAGATCAGCCTCAGCAACATAATGAGACCCTGTCTCTATATAAAATAAAAATAAAATATTAGCCAGGCATGGTGGCATGGTGGCATTATCCTAGCTACTCCAGAGGCTGAGGCAAGAGGATTGCTTGAGCCCGGGAGGTTGAATCTGCAGTGAGTCGTGATTGTGCCACTGCACTCCAGCCTGGGCAACAGAGTGAGACCCTATCTCAAAAAAAAGAAAAAGAATACTACATAATTTATGAAACAGAAGTTCATTTATACTGTGACAGTGTGTAAATATTGCAATTCTTTCAGTAAGACAGAAACTAAAAACAAAGGTTAACTTACGAATATGTTCATATAAAGAGACCACATTGGCAAAAGAAGAGATATGTGTGGAAAATCTTTCTATTTTATCCACTAAAAAAGCTACCCCATTTTCTCACCTCTCCAAACGATAATAATAGCTAAGATTTACATACCACTTAGTAACGCTTCATATGCATTCACTCATTCATTCCCCATAACTACCCATGAGGCAGATAGTATTTTTCTCACTAGTTTACAGATGAGGAAACTGAGGTCGTTAACCATCAGCCCTAGCAGCACGAGCCTTGCTACTTCACTTTGTCATCACTCAGCTCTTTCAGTGGTTTTTGAGGCCTGGCTAAAGGCCAGTCTCCCTGGTCTAGGATTATTGGTTCTGAGATAAGAACTGCCAGACCTCCATGCACCCTAGGGATAGCTTCCTGCCACCAGCTGAGATCAGTGATGCTGGGTTATCCATAGCTAAAAAGGGCTGTCATCACTGAGACTGTCGGCATCCCTGCAATCTGGCTGGCTCCTGCCTGGTTCACCCACCTCCAGGTTGTTAAGTTAGGTCAGAAATGGGGGGCTTGTCTCTCACTGGTTTATTCCTCTTGAGAGCTACTTAGAGAAGTGGAGAGATCAATACTCTTGAATGGAAGAAGGACATGAGTCCATAGGTCAGGAGAGATCTGAGCTGCCAGTAAAGAGGTAGGAACTATCTGCAGAGAGGGTACTTGAGGTGAGAAGCCAGCTTAGGCCAGTACCCACAGGGATGCCAACATCTAAGCATCTGGCAGATGACTTGGTGTTATTTCCTTAAGCTCCATAATTACCTCTAGTTTGTTATTCTCCTTGCATCCAATTGTGTTTCCATAATAAAAACTGCAAAACCCTTAATTATGGCAAAGTTCTGTAACCTTGTCTTTGGGAATAGTGAGGACAGAGGGAATGTAAGAGACAGGGTCCCATTTTACAGCAGATTACAGTAAATCTAACTTTTTTCCTATTTTATTATTTATTTATTTTTGATTGTTGTTGTTGTTGTTGTTGTTGTTTTTGTTTTTTTTTTTTTTTGAGACGGAGTCTTACACTGTCACCCAGGCTGGAGTGCAGTGCCATGATCTCAGCTCACTGCAACCCCCGCCTCCCAGGTTTCAAGCAATTCCCCTGCCTCAGCCTCCAGAGTAACTGGGATTACAGGCGTGCACTATGCCCGGCTAATTTTTGTTTTTGTTTTTTTTCAAGACCGAGTCTTGCTCTGTCATCTAGGCTGGAGTGCAGTGGCACGATCTCAGCTCACTACAATCTCCACCTCCTGGGTTCAAGAGATTCTCCTGCCTCAGCCTCTCGAGTAGCTGGGATTACAGGCACACACACTATGCCTGGCTAATTTTTGTACTTTTAGTAGAGACAGGGTTTCACCATGTTGGCCAGGCTGGTCTCGAACTTCTGACCTCGTGATCCGCCCACCTTGGCCTTTCAAAGTGCTGGGATTACAGGTGTGTGCCACTGTGCCTGGCCTAGGGTAAATCTATATATAAAAAAACTGATGCCTGGAACGGGAAGGAGACTAGCAAATTAAGGTACAGACCTCTCAAGATCTACTGGAGGGGAGAGTGAAGTGACCAGGGTAAGAGAGAAGCAAGCTGAAGCCCTAGGAATTCCAGAAGTGGGAGGTGAGGTGGAGAGAGGAAGACCAGGAAGCCAGACTAGCTTAAAGAGGAACGAGTTAACAGAAGAATAAGCATTATGACCCAACACAGAATACAAATTTAATAAGAACCCATTTTCTTTATTAAAAATTAAAGACATAATGGCCATTTATTAAAAGCCATGTGTTTGGCACTTTTTGTAGTGGTTTCACATAATTCTAGGGGCATCCCACTGAAGAAGGGTTTACAATCCTCATTCTACAAATGGGGAAGCAGAGGCTCTGAAGGATCTCCTTGTGAATTGCTAATTAGAAGCTCTGGAAATTACCTATGTTCTGACTCAGCCACTTCCTCACTGTGGGACCTGGGGCACGTCACTTCATCTTGAACCCTTGAAAGACACCTGGCAGCTGAGCGACCCCTCTGACTGGGAGTCACAGGACTCTAGGGGTTCTAATGTCCCTCCACTGCACTGTCCCCCTGCCCCCTGCATTCTGTCAACCTTAAACAATGAAGTTCAGAAAATGTAAATAAGCATAGAGTTTATTTAAACACAAAGATTGAGGATGGCCATCCAGGAAAGCGCTGACTCCAAACAAATGATGTCAGCGTTTCCAAGGTGAAGTTAAGGTTTCAATTATATAGACGGAGGCAGGGACATTCCAGCAGGATTACAAATGTGCATGCAAGTTGCATACCTACAACGATGTGGTTGGTTTCAGATTGCTACATTCCAAGGAAGATTATGACTGTGAGGAGGGACAATGATCTAAAGGGGTCTTACCTTGGATGCTACTTGGTCTTCTTAATTATTTACAGCGGAAAAAGGCAGAGGTTGCATCTGCATGCCACATGACTCAGGCTGCATAGCCACATTCCTCTCAAGGCTCGGGATCATGTAAAGTTCCAGCAGCTTTAAGTTGTAATTCTTTTAAGTTTGATTTAATTTAACAGTTCCAAAATCCCTGTTTTACAGGTAAAGAAACTGAGGCCAGCAGCAAGGGCAGGTCTAGCATCCAGGTTCCCTCTTAAGTACCTCTGATTCTGAAGCGGAACCTGCTTACAGAACATCACGGGCGGCTTCAGGGTCTATATAAGAAAAACAGATGCCCAAGCGGGAAGGAGACTAGGAGGCCGTGTTGAGAAAACCAGACCCAGCCACTGGCCTTGAAGTCCGGATGGAAGCTTGGCGCTTGCCTCGCCTCGTCTTCCTTCCGCCCTGGTGCTGAGCGGCTAGTCCAGAGCCGGCAGGATCTGCGCTTCCGGTTTCCGGGTTCTCCGGGTGTAGCCGCCTCTGCCCCGGGGGATCCCCTCTCCTCCAGCAGGCCGGGGAGGCCTACGTGGGCGGCTTCGTTGCAGCCAGCTTGCCGTTGTCACGGAAATCTCCTCCGGCGTCTCCAGGGACCACAGCGGGAGAGGAAATAGCCACCAACGAGATAGCGGGGGTCTCGTGACGTCACGGTAGCTGGGCAGGCTTCACAGCGTTAGCCCGCGAGCTCAGCCGATCCCTGGAGTCTCAGGCCGGGGGTTGGGGTTCTGCTACAGGGCGAGGAGTAAGAGTGGCAGTCTGAGAGACGCAGCTTCGTCGCCTCCAGGGTGTCCCAAGGCACCTCCTATCAAGTTCCTCCAAAATGCACCTCTCCCCTCCCCCTCACGTGCTCCTCCTGAATTCCATTTCGATGCAGGCACCGCTGTCTACTGTAAGAGGAGCGGCCCTTGGGTGGGGGAGAGTGGAAGAGGAACTGTCGTTGGCAGAGAAGACTTCAGGAGAAATCCGGTCCCTGGCTTTCGCTTCTGCAGGGCCAGGCCGAGTGGGGTTCAGGCAGCGATGGGAGCTCAGGAGAAGAAGGGCTTTTCCTAACGGGGGAGGGTGGGAAAGGGAAGTGCCACCCTGGAAAACTGCTCCACTAGTTGCAGTGTGCATGGCGGGAAGGAGGAGAATTGGCTAGAGCTGAGCTGCAGGGAGCCTGAATGACACCTTGTCTTGCTGCAGATGGCCCCAAACCCTGCGGTGCTCTTCCGCAGGTGGTCATAGGACCTGGCTCAGTCCAGCTTGAGGAGGGTCCCCGGAAGGAAGTCATTCCTCCTTCCCTTCTCAGAATTAATAAGAACCAACTATGAGCCAGGTCCTTTTCCAAGGCCTGGGGATGCAGTAATGAATAAGAGAATAAGGTTCCTGCCCTCAAGGAGACTGGCTCTAGGACGTGTTAAAACTTAAATTCCAAACTCTCCACCCCAGCCTCTGCTCTGGAAGTGATCGTTTGTACTGAACAAAGTGAACAGATTATAACCAGACATGGCCCTAGAAAGGGTATCCATTCTTGATGGTGCCCTGACCATATCTGGAAACCTGCTCCTTTGCAGTGCTCGGGGCTGAGGTCTTTGGGCCGCCTCCTGAGGCCCCAGCTTGGTGTCCATCCTGTCCCATCCTCTCTGTATGTTCTCTTCACCTTCAGTTTCTGCTTCAAGGATTCCTCCAGAAAGAACGGGGCTGGGCTGGAAGTGGTGTATCCTAATCTCTCGTCCCCAGGAAGGAGTACATGGGCTTGAGACTTACAAGGTCTCAGGGTTTCAGGCGTTTGGAGGCTGATCAAGAAAAAAGATAGAAACACTAGAGGCAGGCACACAGAAGCTTTACTGGGCAGTGCTTGGATAGGGATGCATAAGAGGGGAAGTTCCTCATAGCGTGAGACCATCCACAGCTTTAAGATGGGGGAGCCATCTTCCAGAATGGGAGAGTTTAAGGCATCTCCTGGGGGAGAGGGTGACCAGAGAGGGGGCTTCCCTGTCTAGGTGATGTCCCTCAGCAGCATGGCAGGGAGTCTCCAAAGGGAAGCAGCAGCTTGGGGTCTTATAACTACAAAGCTATGTCGTATCTATTGCTAGCAAATGTGTGTGAGGTTTTGCAGGGTATGCAAAGCAGGCAGCCTCTAAGTGGCTAAAAATATGCTTCTTTGGACCATTTTAAAAAATAACTGGATGTGTAGAAATTTGAATGTGGCACTGGCAGGCTTTTGAGCTAACAGGTCTCAGCCCATGGTGAAGAAATTAACAACCTAGGGACCCACACACAGAGGCCACCTTTGGCTCATCGATATAACACATGGACTGAAGGAAGAGAGAAAGGTCTGCTGCTGGCCTTGCCTCTTGGCATGACCTTGACCCAGGGTCCTCTCGGATAGTACATGAGGGACATCTCATAGCAGGCATTCCCACCCTCCAATGACTCTTAAGCCTGCCATTCAAGTCCTTCATGATCTGGGTCTGCTGAGTCTTACACCCTGTGCTGAGTGTGGTAATAGCGTCATGGGCAAGGTAGTCTTCAATGGGTGAGACAGATCTTTCCTCATGTCATGTCCCACTCAAGAACCTTAACAGCTCCCTATTGTCCACTTTGTCCTGAACACAGGCCTAGCCAGATCCACTGATTCTTAGTGCCATGTCTGCACTGCCTTGGCCACTTGCAGAGGTCATTCTACTGCTTTCTGGGTAAGTAAGTTGTTGAGTTCTTTGGGACTTAGTGAGATGTTCTCAAGCCTGCTGGCCTCAACGCCTGTGGCAGACGCTCCACTTATTCCCCACTTTCTGTTCTCTTCTTCTTCTATGATAACAGAATCTCACACAGCTGCCCTGAATAATATCTGTATTTCCTGGCCTCTCTTGCACCCAGGTGTGGCCAGGTGTGTTAACCTCCGAGGGCTGCTCTACCCAAGCACTGTGAATCGAGTGACTTAAAACAACAGAAATTGATTGTCTCACAGCTATGGAGGCTAAAAGTCCAAAAGCAGGGCTGTGCTCTCTCTGAAACCTGAGAGGTGAGTCCTTTGTTGCCTCTTCTGGCTTCTGGTGTTTGCCAGCAACCCTTGGCATTCCTTGCCTTATAGACACATCACTCCAACCCCTGCCTCTAGCATCCCATGGCATCTTTTCCCTCTGGGCCTCTTTTCCTCATCCTATAAGGACATCCATCATATTGAATTAGGGCCCACCTTAATGACCTCGTCTTTTTTTTTTTTTTTTTTGAGATGGAGTCTCGCTCAGTTGCCCAGGCTGGAGTGCAGTGGCATGATCTTGGCTCACTGCAACCTCCACCTCCCAGGTTCAAGTGATTCTCCTGCCTCAGCCTCCCGAGTAGCTGGGACTACAGGCGCCTGCCACCATGCCTGGCTAATTTTTGTATTTTTAGTACAGACGGGGTTTCACCATCTTGGCCAGGATGGTCTCTATCTCTTGACCTCGTGATCCGCCTGCTTCGGCCTCCCAAAGTGCTGGGATTACAGGCGTGAGCCACCGCGCCCTGCTGATCTCGTCTTTTTTGTTTGTTTGAAATGACAGTCTTGCTATGTTGCCTGAACAGGTCTCAAACTCCTGGGGTCAGGCAATCCTTCCATTTCAGCCTCCTAAGTAGTTGGGATTACTGATGCACGCCACTACACCCAGCAGTGACCTCAATTTAACTTGATTACATTGGCAAAGATCCTCTTTCCAAATAAGGTGACATTCACAGGTACCAGTGGCTGGGACTTCAACTATCTTTTTGAGGGACACAATTCAAACTCTAACAAGTGACTAACTTCTGGTCAAACATTGTGATGGAAATACATAGGAGCTCCAAAAACATTTCATAGGAAACAGCATGTGTGTTCCCTTTGCTCTTTCTTTGTCTCTCTCTCCATCCTGCTGCCCAGAACATGGATGCTACCATCTTGAATTATGATGTCGAGGCCACACAAGGCAGAGAAAAGCCTGGGCTCTCAACAGTGTAGAACACCTTTCCAGCCAGCCCTGGGAAACCTACCTGGACTTTTGCTTTTTTTTTTTTTTTTGAGACGGAGTTTCCCTCTGTTGCCCAGGCTGGAGTGCAGTGGCACGATCTCGGCTTCCTGCAACCTCTGCCTCCAGGGCTCAAGCGAGTCTCCTGCCTCAGCCTCCCAAGGAGCTGGGACTACAGGCGTGCCCCACCATGCCTGGCTAATTTTTGTATTTTTAGTAGAGGTGGGGTTTCAGCATGTTGACCAGGCTGGTCTTGAACTCCTGACCTCAAGTGATCTGTCCGCTTTGGCCTCCCAAAGTGCTGGGATTGCAGGCGTGAGCCACCGCGCCCGGACTTTTTTTTGTTTTTGTTTTAGAGACAAGATCTTGCCCTGCTGCCCAGGCTGGAGTGCAATGGTGTGATCATGGCTCACTGCAGCTTTGAACTTTTGGGCTCAAGCCATCCTCCCACCTTCTTGGCCTCCCAAGTAACTGCGACTACAGGTGTGAACCACCATGCCTGGCTAATTTTATTTTTATTTTGTAGAGACAGAGTCTTGCTATGTTGACTGTTCTTGAACTCCTGGCCTTAAGCAATCCTCCCATCTTAGCCTCCCAAAGTGTTGGGATTACAGGCATGAGCCACTGTGCCTGGCCTTTTACTACAAATAAAAATAAACTTATAAGTGTATAAATCCCTTATTATGGAGTTTCTATCCCTTGCAGAACCCAGTTGTAGCACACATACTTCATGCTATCTCAGACTTGGAGCTTATTAATGAGGTTTGATTTCTCCTTGGAGTTACCAAGGGGAATAGAGCACAGGTGCTTTTGGTTTTAGATCTTCAGATTTATTTGGGGATTCTATCATGCATTCTCCTCAGAGACACTCACCAGTGCCTAATCTGGGACTTCTTTTCTGGCTTTTTTTTTCTCCCTTCACTCAATTCAGAGATTCTTAATCTCTTATCTAGAGCCGGAAAAAAAAGTATTCTCTTGCATTCATCCAAAACTATTAATTCTGCCATAAACTGCCTGCCCTGAGTTCCTTGGGGCTTTGACGGTTGACATTCAAACCTTTGTCTCTGCTGGCTGCTGTGGCTCATGCCTGTAATCTCAGCACTTTGGGAGGCCAAGGCCGGCGGATCTTTTGAGGTCAGGAGTTGAAGATCAGCTTGGCCAACATGGTGAAACCCCGTCTCTACTAAAAATACAAAAAAAAAAAAAAAAAGTTAGCTGGGCATGGTGGCATGCGTCTGTATTCCCAGCTACTCTGGAGGCTGAGGCAGGAGAATCGCTTGAACCCGGGAGGCAAAGTTTGCAGTGAGCCAAGATCGCGCCACTGCACTCCAGCCTGGGTGACAGAGTGAGCTTCCGTCTCAAAAAACAAAACAAAACAAAACAAAAAAACCTTTGTCTCCTTTTGTTGTCTCAAAGATGTACTTTGAAAACCAGAAATTCAGAATGGACATTTTTGCGTTTCTGTGCCCCTCTTTCCCTGGGACCGGGAGCCCGGAGTGCTGTAGTGGATGCCCAATAGGGGAAAGGTCATAGGGACCAGGAATGACCGGGGTGAAGACACATTGGCTAGTTTATCAAATGATCCTGCCACATGAGCATTCACCTAGATGTAGTATCAGAAAATGCCAATACAGAAAACATGAAAAGTCTTCAAGAAACTTTCCCCCCAAAAGATTCTGTGTTCAAGTAAGTTTGAGAAACACTTGGAGCTTTTAATATGCTAATATTCACTGTGAGATGGATAGAGTACTATATTTCCAAAATTTACTCCCCAACTCCCCGAACCACTTACTAACACATCAAAGCACACACAGGGTTCTATGTTCTAAAATGCATTTCTGTGTAAGTACACGGGGTGTGTGGATGCAGAGATGATGTCCGGGAGGAAACAGAAGATGCAGGTACAAACAGTCGCCTCAGGGAGACGAGGTGGGAAGGAGACCCCTTTTCACTGCGTATCTTTTGGTATTTTTGGCTTCTGTTTACCATGTGCATGTATTAAAATAGATGAAATTAATTTGTGGAAGCTTAGATGAGCCCAAAGCTGAAAATGTATTGACATCATATTTAACTGAATGCTTATGAATGATAACTACCGGACTTACTGAGGGTCATCTTAAGAAGTATCCCTCATTGGTGAGGATGTGGAGAAAAGGGAACCCTTGTACACTGTTGGTGGGAATGTAAATTAGTACAGCCATTTCAAAAACCATGGAGGTTCCTCAAAAAACTAAAAATAGAATTACCATATGATGCAGCAATCCCACTTCTGGGTATATTTCCAAAGGAACTGAAATCAGTGTGCCAATGAGAAGCCTGCACTCCCATGTCCATTGCTGTGTTACTCACAATAACTAAGATACGGCAACAACAAAAGTGCCCATCAATGGGTGAATGGATTTTTTAAAGGGGGCAAATATACGTAATGGAATACTACTCAGCCTTTAAACAGCAGGAAATTCTGTCTTCTGTAACAGCATGAATGGGCCTAAAAGGACCCAAGAGAAATAAGCCAGGCACAGAGAGACAAATACCAAATGATCTCATTTATAGGTGGAATCTAAAAAAGTTGAACTCAAAGAAGTAGAAAGTAGAATGGTAGTTGCCAGAGGCTGGGCCAGTGGGAGTAGTGGGGAATGTGGGTGGGAAAAGGGGATGTTGGTCAAAGGATACATTTCAGTTAGACAGGAAGACTAGGTTCTGGTAATCTATTCTACAACCTTAATCCTAACCCTAACCTAATTATCTACAGCATGGTGACTACAGACAATGTATTGTATATTTCAAAATAGCCAAAAGAATGGATTTTAAATGTTCTCATCACAAAGAAAAGATGAGTATCTGAGGTGATGGATATGCTAATAAGCCTGATTTGATTACTGCACAACATACATATATTGAAACGTCACATTGTACCCCATAAATATATATGGTTATTATTGTCAACTAAAAATAAAATAAAATGAAAAATGAAGAGAAATATCTCTCAGAAACTTTTCATTGAACCTGATATAAGAATGGCATTGAAGATGCTATAAAAGAAGAAGCAAGAAAAATAAAAACAAAAAATGAATTTAACTGGTGTGGTGTGGAACTGACGCTACTAAACTTTTTTTAAAGCTCTAATGTGCAGCTGGAGTTGAGACCTATTGGGATTTAGAGAGATCTTTAAGAGGTCCTCACTCAATAGCCATTTCCCTTGTATTAGACAAGGTACTAGACAATGGGAAATTTTAAAGTGATACTCAGTCTCTATCCTCAAATGGCTCATGGAGATGGAAGTCACTTGGTTTCTTATCAAAGATGTGTCCAGAAACAGCCTTTTCTGCACCCATTGAGCCCAGCCCCCTTGTGTATGTGCTAGGGAAGGGCTTGGCATCAAAGTGAGGCCAGAGATGAGCTTGCCCAGATAATGACTAGAAGGAGCTTATCAAGTCAGCCTAGGAAGCTAAAGAGCTTTGGGTCACCTGCAACCCTGAGGGCAGCCTGGTCCTTCCAGGCACTGCAGGGAGTTCTACATCCCGGGTGACATTCTCAGGCCTAGGAAGTGCAGGAGGGGGTCAGCTTGAATAGCAGTGGCTCCTGGATTTTGCTCTAAAAAAGCTTTTCCACTTGCCAGGCCTCTAATCACATTTTTTTTTAAGCATCTCAGATGTAGAATCACCCAGCTTCTATTTTAAACTCCAGCAAATGGAGAAATCACCGTTTCAGGGAAGAGAGCATGTCAGTTTTGGACAACTCTAATTTTATTTTATCTCAAACTTTCTATTGGAAATAATTATAAACTCAGAGAAAATTACAAAATTAGTACAGAGTCCTTTCCCTGCATAGTGATGCCTTCCATGGGCATAGTGCAATATCAAAGCTGGGAAATTTGCATTGGCACGTTACTGTTTTAGACTACAGCTTTTATTTCACCATTAAAAAAATCCTTCATGCATTTTGTGTGTATGTATATTCTTCAATGCAATTTTATCCCATGTAGAAATTTGTGTAACCACCACCACAATTAAGATGCAGAACTGTTCTGTCACTGCAAAAGACCTCTCTCCTGCTACTTTATACTCACACCTACTCCTTCACTCCTCACCCCTCCCCTGGAAACCACTTATCTTTTTTCTCCATCTCTACATAGACAATGTTATATAAATGGAATCATTCAGGATGCAATCTTTAAATATAACAGCTTTATTGAGATATAATTAATATAACATGTAATTCCTCCATTAAAAGTGTACAATTCAATGGTTTTTAATCTATTAAAAGAGTCATGCAACGATCACCACAATCAATTTTAGGACTTTTTCATCACTGAAAAAGGAAGCCTTATACCCATTAGCAGTCACTCCCTATTTCTCCCAAACTCTCAATCTTAGGCAACCACTGATCCACTTTCTTTTTTATTTATTTTTTGACTGTGTGCTGAACTCTTAATTTGCTTTCTGTACCTATAGATTTGACTATTCTGGACATTTCATATAAATAGAATTACACAACATGTGGTCTTTTGTGACTGGCTTCTTTCACTTACTATAATGTTTTCCAAGTTCATGTATGTTGCAACACGTACCTCATTATTTTTTATAGCTGAATAATAATCCAATGGATAGATCATATTTTGTTTACCTATTTGTCAGCTGATGAACATTTGGATGTTTCCATTTGTTGGCTGTTATGAATTATGCTACTATGAACATTTGCATACGAGCTTTTGTGTGGACACAGTGTTTTCATTTCTCTCAGGTATACACGTGGAAGTGGAATGCCAGATCATATGACAACTCTATGTTTAACTTTTTCAGGAACTGTCAAACTATTTTCCAAAAGCTGTACTATTTTACCATCCCACCAGCAGCGTATGAGGGTTCCAATTTCTCCACAACCTTATCAACACTTATTATCATCTATTTTTTTTTTTTTTGAGACAGGGTCTTGCTCTGTTGCCTAGGATGGAGTGCAGTGGCGTGTGCATGGCTCACTACAGCCTCAGCATCCTAGGTTCAAATGATCCTCCCGCCTCAGCCTCCTGAGTAGCTGGGACTATAGGAGCATGCCCCGACACCTGGCTAATTTTTAATTTTTTTGTAGAGATGCGATCTCATTATGTTGCCCAGGCTGGTCTCGCAAGCAATCCTTTTGCCTTGGCCTCCCAAAGTGCTGGGATTACAGGCATGAGCCTTGATTATAGGATGGCTATAATCAAGAGCCATCTGTCCTAATTATAGCCATCCTACTCGGTGTGAAGTAGGAGCTCGCTGTGGTTTTAATTTGCAATTTCACTAATGACTAATGATGTTGAGGGTCTTTTCATTTGCTTATTAGCCATTTGCCTATATTCTTTGGAGAAATATTCAGATTCTTTGCCCATTTTAAAATCGATTTATTAGTCTTTTTATTATTGAGTTGTAAGAGTTTTTTTAATATATGCTAGATATAAGTCCTTTATCAGATACACAGTTTGAAAATATTTTTTTCCATTCCATGAGTTGTCTTTATGCTTTCTTCATGGTATCCCTTGAAGAACACAAGTTTTTAATTTTGTTTTGGCTTCTGTTTATGAGACAGAGTCTTGCTCTGTCACCCAGGCTGGAGTGCAGTGGTACGATCTCCACTCACTGCAACCTCCGCCTTTCGGTTCAAGCAATTCTCCTGCTGCAGCCTCCCGAGTAGCTGGGATTACAGGCGCCTGCCACCACACTCGGCTAATTTTTGAATTTTTAGTAGAGACGGGATTTCACCATGTTGGCCAGGTTGGTCTCAAACTCCTGACATCAAGTGGTCCACCTGCCTTGGCCTCCCAAAGTGCTGGGATTACAGTTGTAAGCCACCACACTTGACTACTTTTTGTATTTTTAGTAGAGCTGGGATTTCATCATGTTGGCCAGATTGGTCTTGAATTCCTGACATCAAGTGATCTGCTCACTTCAGCCTCCCAAAGTGATGGGATTACAGGCATGAGCCATTACACCCAGCCCAAAAGAGTCTGTTTTGTCAGTCTTTTTTTTTTTTGAGATGGAGTTTCACTCTTGTTGCCCAGGCTGGAATGCAACTGCACACGATCTTGACTCACCGCAACCTCCGCCTCCCGGGTTCAAGGGATTCTTTTGCCTCAGCCTCCCGAGTAGCTGGGATTACAGGCATGTGCCACCAGGCCTGGCTAATCAGCTCACTGCAACCTCCGCCTCCCAGCGTGCACCACCATGCCCAGTTAGTTTTTTTTTTTTTTTTGTATTTTTAGTAGAGACGGGGTTTCTCCATGTTGGTCAAGCTGGTCTCGAACTCCCAACCTCAGGCAATCCACCTGCCTCGGCCTCCCAAAGTGCTGGGATTACAGGCATGAGCCACCGCACCCAGCCTTGTCAGTCTTAAGAACTCTGTTTTAATGTTAATGTTGGTCAACTGTTCTGAATTCCAAAGGGAGGGAGGTACAATGAGGCATCCTGGACCCCTCCTTCCCATCGTGACCTTAACTAGATGTTCAAGTTTACATTGGAATGCCCTTGGCTGAGAGGGGGTCCATCAGTTGATTGGGGGGGCTCAGAATTTTATTTTTGGTTTATATTTTTCACGTATAGTTTGAGGAAGAAGTTCAATTTTATTTGCATGTGGATATTCAGTTGTCCCAGCGCCATTTTGTTAAAAAGACTTTCTTCCCCTTTTGAATTATTTTGGCACCCTTGTCAAAAATCAATTGACCATAAATGTAAGGGTTTGTTTCTAGACTTTCAAGTCTATTTCATTGATCTATTTGTCTATTCTTATGTCAGTACCACACAGTCGTGATTACTCTAGCTTTGTAATAAGTTTTGAAATCATGAGGTGTGACTGCTCCAACTTTGTTCTTTTCTAAGATTGTTTTGACTGTTCTGGATCCCCTGAATTTCCATATGAATTTTAGAATCAGCTTGTCAGTTTTCTTGAAAAAATTAGCAGAGTTTTGATAAGAATTCCATTAAATATGTAGATCATTTAGGGGAGTATTGCTATCTTAGCAATACTGTATTAATTCTTCCAAACCAGTATGTTTTCTATTTATGTAAGTCTTCTGTAATTTCTTTCAGCAAATTTTTGTAATTTTCAGGCTATAAGTTTTCCAATTCTTTTTTTCTTTTTTTGAGACAGAGTCTTGCTCTGTCACCCAGGCTGGAGTGCAGTGGCACAATCTCAGCTCACTACAACCTCCACCTCCTGGGTTCAAGCCATTCTCCTGCCTTGGCCTCCTGAGTAGCTGGGATTACAGGTGCACCCCACCACCCCCAGCTAGTTTTTGTATTTTTAGTAGAGACAGGGTTTCACCATGTTGGCCAGGCTGGTCTTGAACTCCTGTCGTCGTGATCCAACCTCCTTGGCCTCCCAAAGTGCTGGGTGTGAGCCACTGCGCCTGGCCAAGTTTTCCAATTCTTTTGTTAAATTTATTCCTAGGTATTTTATTCTTTTGAAACAATTATAAGTGGAATTGATAATACGACTTAAGAAGAAATCACTTACGCAGATAGTAAGGGTATGGGAGTCCTCGACAAGGCTTTTCTCTTTAATGAAAAGCAGCCCAAATCATTTTCTATCAAAGAGCAGCCGGTAAAGCTGAGCTGCAGACATAGACAAGCAAGCTGGGAGCTTGCAGGGGTGAATGCTGGCAGGAACTGGGGACTAGACATGTTCAAGGTGGAGGCTCCATCTTCCCTTCTCAGCCAGACACGCGTACAGTAAGGAGCAGACAAGATGGCGCAGTCCAAGGAGAATTCATCTGCATAATAAGATTAGAGTGGGGCAACCAGCCTTCCCCCGCTCTCCACCGCCCCCACCCCCACCCTCCGCCCCACACTATGTAAATGTCATACCTGATCAAACCAATCTGTGAGCCCTATGTAAATCAGACACCGCCTCCTCAAGCCGGACTATAAAATAAGGTACATTTGCGCCAGCCAGTCTTTTCTGCTCAGAAGACCCCTCTCCATATGTAGAAAGAGTTGTTTTTCTTTATCTTCTCTTCTGCCTATTAAACCTCCGTTCCTAAACTCCTGGTGTGTGTCTGGTCCTAAATTTCCCTGGCATGAGACGACGAACCCTAGGGTATGTAACCCAGACAACGTAGCCACTTCAGAATTATTATGTTTTAAAAATCACTTTTGTTGGGTTGTTTATAGCTGGTGAATAGAAATGGAATTGACTTTTGTATATTGATCTTCTTCTACTCTGCAATCATACTGAACTAGTTTATGAGTTCAATTAATTTTTAATGGATTCTTTAGGATTTTCTGTACACAGCATTATGTCATCTGCAAACAGAGTTATATTTCTCTCTTCCTGTGGTGTTATTTTATATATATATAGGTTTTTATCCGTGGTTCCTGGCCCATAGCCTTTTATAGTCTCTTGTTATAATGTTGGGTGTGTTAGGCCTCAGGAAACAGAATCTCTTGCCTGCCCTCCTTTCACCTGTCCCAAGGCAGGACTCTAATCTTCCCAACTTTCTGATTGTGGGTCTTATGACCCTCCTCTGAGAGGATCCTGCCTCATACCCTGGGGGAAGGAATGCTGACTTCCTGAAGCTTCCATAGAAACTCAAGATAATTGGGTTCAGGAGTTTCCAAATAGCTGAAAATGTGGAGGTTCCTGGAGGGCGGTGCCCCAGGGAGGGCATGGGATCCCTTAGCCCGTTCCCCCACACCTTGCCCTATGTACCTCTTCATCTGTATGCTTTGTAATATCCTTTATAATAAGCTGATAAATGTGTTTCCTGAGTTCTGTGAGCTGCTCCAGCAAATTAATTAAACCCAAAGAGGAGGTTGTGGGAACCCCGACCCAAACCCAGTGGTCAGAAGTTCTGGAGGCCCAGGTTTGTGGTTGATGTCTGTGGAGCAAGGGTAGTCTTGGGGACAGAGTATTTAACCAGTGGAATCTGATGCTATCTCCAGATAGTGTCAGACTTGAATTGGAGGACAACCAGCTGGTGACCCCTGCTTGATAGTAGGGAGAAACTCCTAAAATTTTGTCACAGAAGTCTTCTTCTATATAGATGATTATTGTTGTGGTGTAAGAGTAGAGGAAAAATGCGGTTTGAGAGAGTTTTTCCTGACATAATTTGTGTCAGTGAATTGGGATTTGCTGGAAAGGCCCTGACCACAGAAACGTGGTTTGGGAAAAGAAAGAAAAAAAAGGGTGGGCGGGGGGTGGGGCAGTGGTGAGAAACCTTTGATTCCTGGGTGGCCACGTGGTCACCCATGTATGAGGCGGCAGCTGTGTTGAGAGTGTAAACCGAAAATAAAATTCTAAGCCCCGTGACCGACTGAATGGGCCTACTCCCTCTTGGCTAAGGAGATCACACCTAAAACCTGAAAAACTAGTTTAGGCCATGACAGGAATGAGGGTGCTGATGTTAGAGTAGGCAGCTAGGCAGACATGAGAAGGGCAGGAGAGGAGGTTTCCCCTGCCCAATTGCCAGCAATGTTAGGCAACCATCAGGTGAAGGTGGTTGTTAAACTGCCTAAAATAATAATTGGTAGTCTCCCAATAGATGAAAAACACCTGAAGCTGGTGATCAGCAGCTTCCCAAAAAGATCTGAGGATTTGGGCAAGCAGGCTTAATCATGCACACTAAGGGGCAAAATGGCAGAGTTTCACTGGTGTATGACCTTCTTCTAGGAACATTTGACTGGTGTGGGGAAAAAATGCCTCAGATGAGCACATCGCACAACTTCAGTAAACACACTGCTCATGTGGCCCCTCTCAAGTGCTGACAGGCCACTGTGTGTTTGGACAGCCCCCGCAAGGAAAGAATCAAGGGAGAGGAAACACAAACCCTGGAACCATGCCAGTGTATAAAACCCCTATTTGGCCAGGAGTGGTGGCTCACACCTGTAATCCCAGCACTTTGGGAGGCTGAAGTGGGTGGATCACAAGGTCAAGAGATCGAGACCATCCTGGCCAACATGGTGAAACCCCATCTGTACTAAAAATATATAAGTTAGCTGGGCCTGGTGGCATGCGCCTGTAGTCCCAGCTACTCGGGAGGCTGAGGCAGGAGAATTGCTTGAACCTGAGAGGCAGAGGTGGCAGTGAGCCAAGATTGCACCACTGCACTCCAGCCTGGTGACAGAGCGAGACTCCATCTCAAAAAAAAAAAGAAAAGAAAATTCAAGGATTGGATGGGGCACTTAGATCTCTCAAGTCACCTGCTTGGCCTTCTTCCAAGTGTAATTTGCTTCCTTTTGTTCTTGCTCTAAAGCTTTTTAATAAACTCTCACTCCTGCCCTAAACTTGCCTTATTCTCTCACTCTGCCTTATGCCCCTTTGCTGAATTCTTTCCTTTGAGGAAGCAAGAATCAAGTTTGCTGCAGACCCATCGGATTCTTACTGCCAATACAGACATGCCTCATTATACTCTCCTCCCTTTAGAATTCAGGCACAATTGACCAGCATTAACATTAAAACAGAGATCTTAAGACTGTCAAAACAGACAGTTTGTAGCAATAAGATACCAAAGTTCAAACCAGTGCTAATATAGCATCACATGACAGCAGGACCTGAAGAAAATCCAAAATATATTTCTTTGACATATTTTGAAATGACCCTCAAAGCCTCTTTGTGTGTGGGGAAATTTTGCGTATGTAAAGAGTCTCTATTAACATAGCTAGAGCTTTCCCATTCCAGGTGCTCCCAATCCTGAAGAGACTCACTGAAAGTCTAGCATCTTTTAAAGGTCTACATAGGAAACATTTGCCATCTATTATCTCTAAGGTCGCTACCTATGAGACTTCATCTATATAATAGGAACCTTGGTCTCCACAACCCCTTATCTTAACCTAGACACTTCTTTCTATTGAGTCCAGGTTTTTAGGTAATAACTCTTTCAACTAATTGCCAATCAGAAAATCTTTGAATCCATCTATAACCTGAAAGCCCCCTTCCCCACTTCTCCAGCTTCAAGTTGTCCTGCCTTTCAAGACAGAATTAAGGCATGTATATGAGGTATCAGTTGATGTCTTATGTCCCCCTAAATTGTATAAAATCCAGCCATAACTCAACCACCTTGGGCACATGTTCTCAGGACCTCTTGAGACTTTGCCTTGGGCCATGGCCACTCATATTTGGCTCAGAATATTAAAAATTTTAGAGTTTGTCTTTTTTCATCAATAAGGTAAATGTTTCCAGTGGAATTTAAAGATGTATCCAACTCCCAGGGAGTTGGGTCACTGGAGGCATAAGGAAATGCAAACTAATAAGAAAAAAATAAAATATTCAATCTCTTGGCTACTGTTATCTATAATAGCTAAAATGATAGTAAAAGAGGCTGGGCACGATGGCTCACACCTGTAATCCCAGCCCTTTGGGAGGCCGAGGCGGGCAGATCATGAGATCAGGAGATTGAGACCATGCTGGCTAACAGGGTGAAACCCCGTCTCCACTAAAAAATACAAAAAAAAAAAAAAAAAAAAATTAGCCAGGCGTAGTGGCGGGTGGCTGTGGTCCCAGCTACTCAGGAGGCTGAGGAAGGAGAATGGAATGAACCTGGGAGGCGGAGCTTGCAGTGAGCTGAGATCGCGCCATTGCACTCCGGCCTGGGCAACAGAGTGAGACTCTGTCTCAAAAAAAAAGAAAGTAAAAGAGAGTGTGAAGTTGGGTCTTGAGGCTGGACCAAGCTCAGATGTAGGTCTGAGCTCAGGCCACTAGCCTCAATGCTACCCACAAGTGGGAACATTATGCCAGGACAACAAAAAGTACCTCTAAGAACTGTGGTTACCAAGAAGGTATTCAACGTGGGAGAAGGACGAAACCAAGTAACGACTGAAGCCAGAGGGAATACTGTGAAGGAATTGTTTCATTTTGTGGATTGGTATCATCAGCTTCCTAAGGCATCTTTACAAAAATGGATTATGAGAATAACTAATTCAGGAGCAGTATCTTTGGTTTTAAATGCTGAGAGTGGAAGAGCATGTTTGGGTTGATGCAGGACCCATAGCTCACTATTGAACAGTCACAGATGGGTATATATGATCTGGACACACAGGAGGTTATGCCTGAGGGAACAGCCAGCCTGGTGCACTGGATAAAAGCCACTGTGAGGTCTGTTTACCCTGGGAAGGGAAACTGTTTAACTTCACCTATAAAGGCCAATGGACACCCCAGATGAGGCAGCTGATTCACTTCATATGCAAGCCATGTGCAATTGACTCTATGACCTCAGGGATATTCACCCACTGAATATGTCTGCTACCCAGGTCATAGATAATTAATTTTATAATTTTTTATACAGACAGTGTCTCATCATCTTGCCCAGGCTGGTCTCAAACTCCTGGGCTCAAGCCATCCTCCCTGGCTCAAGACATCCTCCCACCACAGCCTCTCAAAGTGCTGGGATTACAGGTATGACCCACCATGCCCAGCCCTATTTTTAATTTTAATTTTGTTTCTTTTTTTTTTTTTTTGGAGACAGAGTCTCGCTTTGATGCCCAGGCTAGAGTGCAGTGGTGCGAGCTCGGCTTACTGCAACCTCCATCTCCTGGGTTCAAGCGATTCTTCTGCCTCAGCCTCCTGAGTAGCTGGGACTACAGGTTCATGCTGCCACACCCAACTAATTTTTGGTATTTTAGTAGAGACAGGGTTTCACTGTTGTTGCCCAGGCTGGTCTCGAACTCCTGAGCTCAGGCAATCCACCTGCCTTGGCCTCCCAAATTGCTAGGATTACAGGCATGAGCCACCGCGCCTGGCCAATTTTGTTTCTTTTAAAGACAGAGTTCTCACTATGTTACCTAGGCTGGTCTCAAACTTCTGGCCTGAAGTGATCCTGCCCCCTCAGCTTCCCAAAGCATTGGGATTACAGGCATGAACCACCAAGCCTAGCCTATTCTCTCTACTCTTAGGAATGGATCCAAAATTTTCCATAATAAAAAGTTAAAATGTTAACACTGCTCAATGAAAGTTAATGGCTTAGTGACTTGCATTTCTTTCTTCTTTCTGTCATCTTCAATGACACTTCCTATGTTGTTTTACACTGTTCACAGAGTCTGCCTCTCTTTCTCCTGAAGTGTCCTGGTGGGCAGGAACTGTGTCCTGTTCACAGTCTTATCTCTGCAACAACGCCACTCACTCCAACAAATACATGATGATGTAAAATACATGTCCTGGGGACATGATGGTGTGTAAAAGCAGATATGGTTGCCAAATCATTGAACTCAGAGTTCAGGGGAACCCTCAATCATTAATTAAATAGTTGTGCCCGTAAATGTACAATTGCTCCTAAGTGTTGCATAGGAGGATATGTAGAGTTAACAGGTGGGGACTCGATTAGTTAGGCAGCTCAGGGAGGCCTCCCTTAGAAAGTAACAATCAGCCTGAGGGATAAGAAGCTTCAGTCTGAAGGATGAGAAGGAATTAACCTTGTTTATCAGTTAGGATGCTTTTGGCTTCAAGTATTGAAAACCGTAACTTAGTTGACTCAACAATAAGGAAAATGGATCATCCCATATAAGATGCCCAGAAATAAAGAAACTTCAACATTGGACAACTCAGTAGTTCAACAATGTCATCAAGAACACAGGTCCCTTGGGAGGCTGAGGTGGGAGGATTGCTTAAGGCAAGGAGCTTCAGACCAGCCTGGACAATGTAGCAAGACCTCATCTCTACAAATATTTTAAAAATTAGCCAGGCATGGTGGCATGTGCCTATAGTCCCAGCTAGTTGAGAGGCTGAGGTGAGAGGATCACTTTACCCAGGAGTTTGAGGCAGCACTGAGCTATGATTGCATTACTGCACTCCAGCATGGTTGACAGAGCAAGATCTTGTCAATAATTAAAATAAACAAACAACAACAACGACAAAAACCCACGTCCCCTTCATCTTCCTCTTGCTATTGTCAGTGTTGGCTCATTTCCCCTCATATTGCAAAAATGGCTTTCACAGTTCCAGATGTTATGTGCAGAGACAAACGTGACCAACAGAAGAGGAGCCACTACTCCCTGTGCATCTACATTTAGCAGAAAATCTTCCCATGAAGTCTTGAGACAGCATCCCAAGTCTTATTGGCTAGAATCACATGATGCCTAGTCCAATCGATGGCAAGGGTAATGGAATCATCCTATTTGCTTAGACCAATCAAACATGATTTACTCCCTGGAGCTAGAATTGAGCCTTCAGCCTCTTTTCATACAGAAAAGAATGGATTCCTGAACAAAACTGGGCTGTACCAGAAAGGAAAATGGGTGGTGGAGGAATAAATTTGGGGTAGGAACCAATGTTGTTTGCTATGCTTGACAAAGAGGAATGTGAAAGAGGTTTTCCAGCAGTGGGACTAGCATGTGCAAAGGCTCTGAATTGGGAAGGGATACAAGAAATGAGTGTGGCTGAAACATGGAGTGCCAGGGGAAGGGAGCACAGCATAAGATGGGGAGAGCTTGCAAGGCCCAGTGAGTCTTGTGCATTAGTTTCCTGTTGCTGATATGACAAATTATCTCAAATTTAGTGACTTGAAACAGCACAGACTTATCTTACAGTCCTGAAGATCAGAAGCCCAAAATGGGTTTTATGGAGCTAAAATCAAGGTGTCAGCAGAGCTGCATGTGTTCCTTCTGGAGGCTCTAGTGGGGAATCTGCTTTTTGGCATTTCCCACTTCTAGAGGCTGCCTGCATTCCTGGGCTCCTGGCGTCACAACCCTCATTCTCTGCTTGCATCTTCCCATCTCCTTCTCTGACTCTCTGACTCTTACTCTCCTGCCTCCATCTTAGAAGGACCCTTAAGATTACACTGGACCCACCGAGATAATCCGGGATAGTCATCTCATCTCAAAATCCTTAACTTAATCACACCTGCAAAGTCCCTTTTGCCATATAAGATAATAACATATCCACAGGTTCTGGGAATTAGGACATGGACATCTTTGGGGGGCTATTTTGCAGCTCACCACACTATTTTTGGAGTCCTGTATTTATCTTAAAAAGACTGCTCTCACAGTCTTTTGAGTGCCTGTGGCTTTTCCAAGTGCAGGATGCAAGCTGCTGGTCTATCTACCATTCTCCGATCTGGAGGGTGGGTGGTCCCTTCTCACAGCTCCACTAGAAGGTGTCCCAGTGGGGAATCTATGTGGGGGCTCCAACCCCACATTTTCCCTTGGTACTACCCTAAATAGAAGTTCTTTCTGAGGGCTCCACCCCTGTAGCAGGCTTCTGCCTGGACACCCAGGCTTTTCCATACTGAAATCTAGGCAGAGGCTCCCAAGCCTCCTTCACTTTTGCATTCTGTGTGCCTGCAGGCTTAACACCAAGTGGAAGTCATCAAGGCTTAAGGCTTACATTCTCCCAAGTGGCAGCTCAAGCTGTACCTGGGCCCCTTTGTGCCCTGGCTGGAGCTGGAATGGCCAGGATGCAGGGAGCAATGTCCCAAGCTATGTAGGACAGCAGGGCCCTGGGTCTGGCCCATGAAACCATTCTTTCCTCCTTGGCCTCTGGGCCTATGATGGGAGGGGCTGCCACAAAGTTCTCTGAAATGCCTTTGAGGCCTTTTCCCCATTGTTTTGGTTATCAGCACTTGCCTCCCTTTTAGTTTTGCAAATTTCTCTAGCAAATGGTTGCTCCACAACCTGCTTGAATTCCTCTCCTAGAAAAGCTTTTTCTTCCTCTGCTACATGGCCAGGCTGCAAATTTTCCAAATTTTTATGCTCTGCTTCCCTTTTAAATATAAATTCCAGCTGCTTATGCCTGTAATTCCAACACTTTGGGTGGCCGAGGCAGATGGATCTCTTGAGTCTAGGAGTTTGAGACCAGACTGGGCAACATGGCAAAACCCTGTATCTACTAAAAAACAAAAACAAAAAACGTTAGCGGGGTGTGGTGGTGCATGTCTATATTCCCAACCAGTGAGCAGGCAAAGGCAGGAGAATTGCTTGAACTCAGGAGGCGGAGGTTGCAGTGAGCCAAGATCATGCCATTGCACTCCAACCTGGGTGACAGAGGGAGACCCTGTCTCAAAAAAATTAATAAGGTTTATTAAAAAATGAATATAAATTCCACCTTTAAGTCATTTCTTTGCTCCTGCATTTGAGCATAGGGTGTTAGAAGCAGCCAGGCCATATCTCAAATGCTTTTCTGCTTAGAAATTTATTCCACCAGATACCCTAAATCAATCATCACACTTTAGTTCAAACTTCCAAAGACCCTTAGAGCATGGACACAATGTAGCCAAGCTCTTTGCTAAGGTGTAACATGCATGACCTTTCCTCCAGTTCCCAATAAGTTTGCCATTTCCATCTAAGACCTCAGAAGCCTGGACTTCATTTTCCATATCACTATCACCATTTTGGTCACAATCATTTAACCCATCTCTAAGAAGTTCCAAACTTTCCCTCATCTTCCTGTTTTCTGAGCCCTCCAAACTCTTCCAACCTTGGCCCGTTACCCAATTCTAAAGTTGCTCCCACATTTTCAGGTCTCCTTATAGCAATACCCCCTCCTGGTACCAATTTTCTGTATTAGTCTGTTCTTGCATTGCTATAAAGAAATACCTGAAACTAAGTAATCTATAAAGAAAAGAGGTTTAATTGGCTCATGGTTCTGCAGGCTATACAGGAAGCATGGCGCCAACATCAGCTCAGCTTCTTGGGAGGCCTCAGGAAGCTTACAATCATGGCAGAAAAGGGGGCGGACATGTCACATGGTGAAAGCAGGAGCAAGTGAGATGGAGGGGGAGGTACCACACACTTTTTAATGACCAGATTTCATGAGAACTCACCATCATGAAGACAGCACCAAGCCATGAGGGATCCACCTCCTGCCATGACCCAAACACCTCCCACCAGGGCCCACCTCCAGCATTGGGGATTTCAATTCAACATGAGATTTGAGTGGGGACAGATATCCAAAATATATCACCTGCTGAGCCCTGCATACCCTGACAATCACTAGCTGTCCTTTTAAGGCTCATTTGTCATGATAACTTGTCAGAAGGTTTGTGGCTTCTCTCTTGGAAATGGTTATTGACCTTTGAATAAGGACAGTGCTTCATCTGAAGCCTCCTCCCAGCAGTGGAGCAAACTTACAAAGCAGTTGCCAATTTCCCGGAATCTAATGTTTCCTTCTCTCTTTGGCAGATATGTAGTGGGACAGGGGGATTACCTAGATATGCTACTGGCCAGCCTTTTCACCAGAGGCTGCAGCTGCTGCTCAGCATTTTCCTGTTTTCCTTTTTCTATTGTTTAAAAATTCTGTGTTGATACAAGCTCTTGATGTTAATATGTCTCAGAATAAATACAACTGTCACATAGGCTTCACAATGTGTTTTGCTGATTTCATCATGTATTATCATTCTCATTTACTATCACTTTCCTGAGACAGTATTTTCTCTCTGGGACTGTGGGAGTGTGATGTGCTGGGGGCAGGATAAGAGAGACACAAGATGTGATGTGATATGCAGGTGTCTGTGCACCTTCACCTCCATGCTCCACTTATGCTATTGGCCCTCTCAAGAAGATTTGCCTTTGGTGATGCAAGCTGACCCCCAAAATAGAGAATCAAGGTGAAGGCAGGCCGCTTTAGTTTAGTGGTTTGAATCAGTGAACCACCTCATAATTCCCAAAATGCAGCCTCGCTCACATCCAATGCAATGGGGCCTGAAAATCAAACCCCACAAACTCTTGGAGCCGGTATCTCAGGTTGCTCTAAAAAATTCTTCAAGAATGAAATTCTTCGTCAGTGCTTAACCATGTGCTCTCTATATATCTAGGGTCAAAACGTTGAATGATTCAATCTCTCCAGTCTCTCAGTCAATGAGTAAAAGTGTATTGAAGGCCTCTTCTAAGTCAGAACTTTCGTATCAGGGGCCAAAGAGAATATTCATCCCCACATTAATGGTCTCTCGAGTTTGCCACTCCCCCGGTGCTCCAGGCCTTCAGTGAAGCTGAGAGAGGAGCCTTCTCTGTAACTAGTCAGGTATCTCTGACCTGTCCTTCCTTCTAGGGTCCTTATGCTCCATATCCCCATCTTCCTGGCAGGAACTCCAGATATTGATGAAAGATACTAGAGTGGGATAGAAAGAACACGAGAGACTCAGCCAGCAGTGCAAGATTAAGTCTTTCTAGCTGTGACCTTGCACAGGCCACCTGGTCTCTGCAGACTTCACTTCTTTGTTCCCATGACTTGCCATCTGAGGGTACTTTCAGTGCTAAGACTCAGTGAATACAAAGGTGTGGCAACCTGAATCTCTGGTTCCTTAAACTAGAGTCTCCCAGTTTCTTCTTTCCAACATAAAACATGGACTTCAGGGGTATTGTCAATGGTTTAATTGGTGCCAAGCAGAATGTCACACAGAAACTGCTTTTACAGAGAATAGGGGGCCAGCCACAGAGAGAACTTTTCTCTGCATTTAAAATATATATACCCTGTACTAAAAATAGCTTATTTTTTTGTAAAATCCTCACAATAACCCTAGGAATTAAGCACTGACTAGGAGTTTCACAGTGAAGAACCTGGGGTTCAAGGAAGTTCCTCAAGGCAAATGAGAAAGGATGGAGGCCAAATTTGAATTTCAGTTCATCACACTCTGAGAACCCTCAGACTATTGTGCTGTCTCCATTTAAAGCACCCTCAGCCCCCACCCAGAACTTGGAAAGGTAAATAGGAAGAGCTTGAAATTAGCAGACTGATGACTCGGCTGGATGTGGTGGCTTATGCCTCTAGTCTCAGCTACTCAGGAGGCTGAAGTAGGAGGATCACTAGAGTCCAGGAGGTCGAGGCTGCAGTGAGCTATGATCATGCCACTGTACTCCAGCCTGGGCAACAGAATGAGACCCTGTCTCTAAAAAAAAAGACAAAGATGACAGATGCTTTTTTTTTTTTTTTTGATGGGGGTCTCACTTTGTTGCCCAGGCTAGTCTCAAACTCCTGGGCTCAAGTGATCCTCCCATCTCACCCTCCATAGGCATGAACCACCATGACTTTTTCTTTTTCCTTTTTTAATTGAAGCTCTGCATTCTAATTTTGCTTCTTATGTTACTTCGGTGATCCTGTGCAAATTATCTTTCTTCCGATCTATAAACTGAGGGAATGGCTCCTAAGGTGCCTTTTAGGCCAACTTCTAGGATTCTAGGAAAACCATCTAAATATCTACCCATTGAATCCGTTGAATCTGGCATTCTTTTTTGTTGTTGTTGTTTGAGATGCAGTCTTACTCTGTCACCCAGGCTGGAGTGCAGTGGTGCAATCTCTGCTCACAGCCAACCTCCACCTCCCAGGTTCAAACAATTCTCTTGCCTCAGGCTCCCAAGTAGCTGGGATTACAGGTGTGCACCACCGCGCCCGACTAATTTTTGTAATTTTAGTAGAGACAGGGTTTCACCATGGTGGCTAGGCTGGTCTCAAACTCCTGACTTTTGGTGATCCACTCGCTTTGGCCTCCCAAAGTGCTGGGATTACAGGTGGGAGCCACCGCACCCAGCCGAATCTGGCATTCTTTACAAAGACCAGTCCATAAACAAATAAAAGAGCTGGCATGTGATGATGCAGCTCTCAGGGCTATAACCTGAAATCCACTTCACTTCCTTCATAGACCAGTTACCTGTCAGCAGAGGCTCAGAAGTTAGCTCTAATACCTGCTTCCAATTCAACAAGCCCCAAAATTGTCTTTAGGAGTATTTTCTAAGTACTATATGCTTGCAAGCACCTAAATGCTTTTCTGTTTATTTTCCTTGGGGCTTTTGATGAAAGCAATCTTTTATCAGATATCTGACAGTTTTTCTATCAGATTAGCCTTGCAAGTTTTCATGTGTCTCATATCCTCTCTTAAACAGATGTTAACTGTTCCTCCACCCTGTCCCCAGCCCCATCAATGGTGCCTGGGTCCTGATTGAGAATAGATGACCAAACCTCACTTCCTGCCCATTTGCCGTGCACCCACAAGGTATTGTCTACAGTAGCTGCATGCAGAACTGCTACAGTAGAGGACTGAAATGATTTTGCAGTTAAAAAAATATGGGAGGAAAGCTCTGGGCTGCCAAAGGAATGCTGCCTCTTTACTGATGTTATGGAAAAAGCAGAGTCAGCCCTGGCTCCACAGCTGAGCTCTGCACAAGGTTTTGCCTCTTGGCTCTTGATCCTCTTAGCAACCAGGCTGCAAGCACAAGAAGCCTCTTTCCCATTCACACAGCAACATCTGCAAGCTTTCAGTCATTCAAGAGGCTGCAGCCCTGGGGAAATCTCGGGTGTTTCCCACTTTAGTATAGGCAATAACTAACTGTAATCTGAGCTCCATTCTGTTGCTTCTCCACTGTGCAGTGATTAATAAGAGCACGGACTCAGAGCCAGACTACTTTGCTTCCAATCTCACTTAATAATGACCAGTTCTGTGGCCTTGGGGAAGTTATTCAAATTCTCCATGCCTCAGTTCCAACAACTGCAAAGTAAGGATTAATGGCACTATCTACCTCATTGGGTTAAGTATTAAATTTAGATATATAAAAATACAGTATCTTGCATGTCAGATGTACTGTTTGCTAATATTATATGGATTGACGATCATTAAGAAATAGGGGGCCTAGTTCGGCATAAGGAGAATGAGACAACCTCTAATCTTTTTGAAACTTCACTTCCTCTCCTTATACATGGGGTACTTTCTTCAGTATGAATCTCTGCAATTGTCCCTTACGCCTGTTTGTCCTTCACCTGCGTATTCCCAGCCGAACCCAGAGCAGGCAGTCCATCAAAATCTATTGAATACTAAAGGCACAAAGACCTCTACTGACTTGCCATTCTTGACTTCAGACACCAAAGGAGGCTTTTTTTTTTTTTTTTTAAATACAGATAGGGTCTCACTTTGTCCCCAGTGGCTGAAGTGGCTTATTCATAGCTCAATGCTGCCTTGAAATCCTGGGCTCAGTGGATCCTCCTCCCTCAGCCTCCCTGGTAGCTGGGATTACAGGCGCGCGTCACTGTGCCTGCTTAATTTTTTGATTTTTTTGTAGACATGAGGTCTCACCATGTTGCCCAGGCTAGTCTTCACTCTTGGGCTCAAGCAATCTGCCCACTATGGCCTCCCAAAGTGCTGGGATTACAGACTTCGCCTAAAGGAGACTTCTGATACTGGATTACTCTGAAACCTCTACAGAAATTTTAGTAAATGATTTGATAGCTTAAGGTAGTAACATAAAGTTGCCAAATTTTTACGTTCTTCTCACAAAATTTTGGGACATGACTTTCTAACTCCTTCAGGTGAGCAAGACCATGCCCAGCTGATTTTTTAATTTTTTTGTAAATGGGGCTATGTTGTCCAGGCTGGTCTCGAACTCTTGGGCTCAAGCAAACCTCCTGCCTTGGCCTCTCAAAATGCTGGGATTATGACGCATAGTATTTAACATCATATTCCATATTGGTGTTAAGGATCTGTACACACAATGAGATTTAAAATTATGCCAATTATTACTTAAATGTGCTCATTCTAGCACTGCTTATGAGTTACGAAATTAAAATGAACCAGATTTTGAAAGGTTGTGCTCAATATTGGGCTGGATTGTTTCTAACTTGCAGGCTATTCGATAGTTAATAGGCCACGCTTCCCTCCAGACATCAAACGTTGGCCTGAAGCTTGGTGAAATGGTACAGGGTGTCATTCTTCCCACAATTTGGAAATTGTCTCTGGGGGTCATTCTGATTAGAAAATGAATATAAAGCTGTCACCTATTCATTCTAGAGTTTGGAGCATTCTAAAAGTAATGTACACATTTGTCATTTCATGACGGCATAGAATATCTTCAATGTAGTTGTACACGAGTCCTTCCATTTCTGAGCCTTGATTAAATCTGAGCAATGCTGACACTGTTATTTAGGAAATCTGGCATTACACAAAAGAAGTCTCCAAACTGAGAGCTCAAAAGATTTAGTTGTTTGGTAAAGATGCCTCATTTGATACATTTGAATGTTACATGTTACATTGTAAACATCAAGTAACACCACAAACATTTTAAAAAAGGAAGTTTATTGGTCTTTAAATGGCTCAAATTGCAAATAAACAAATCGGGTAGTGGCATCAGCCTAAGACACGTGATGCATCTTTGTCAGTTGGCTTCATAGCACCTCAGTACCCAGGAGAGGAAAGGTCTCAAAGCAAAGTCACAATGTTAGTGGTTAGGACCCCTGGTTAAATAAGACTGTAATAAGTACACATGGAGATTGCTGGGCCCGCTGGCCAGTGTTACATTGGTAACTTGAATTCCGCACATGGCATAGCCTATGAGAAATACGAAATGAAAGATGTACATCTCAAACCCTTTAAGGACAAATATTTAACATGAGAAGCTGGATGTAAATATCTAAAGAGTGAGTTCCTAAAAAGCCTATTTTTAACTTTACATACACACCTGTTACCTGGAATGCCTGAACACATCTTTGACCTGTTCAAATTAGGACTGAGAAAAAAGAAAAAAATACTTTGTTGAATCAACTGTCCTAGCCCCACTGCAAAGAGGAAAAAAAAAAAATCGGTCAGTGGCATATTTCCCACTGAAATTATGTCCCCAAGTAGCATGCTAGAATTCTTCCAGCAGGTACACCACACAATGGTGACACAGCCTAATGTGTGGTCAGTGTGTGCCACGTTTTCTGCACTATACCCAGGTTTGATGGCTTGATGTTAACTTCTGAAAATGTAGCTACAGTGTTCTTCATTATAAACAGAAACAGAAAAGAATTACTCCTAATAATTCCTGTATCAAACTGTAACTTTATGAATATAAATTTAGAAATGAACAGATGGCAAGCATGAATATTTTCCCGAAGCGTTCTAGTGCAAAATGCATTAGCACTACTGACATTTTCTTCCTATGCCCTGCTCCCAGATTAAAAACTTAACACTTACATGCTCACCACTAGCAGAAAGGGATTTCCAGGGACCAGAATCTCAGAGAAAAGGAGGGTTCATTCAAACATAACTGGTGCTGAATCCTTGCAGCTGAAAATTATCTTGCAAGTATATATGCTGGCCCTTCATTTAAAATGAACTTGCAGTTTATTAAAAGCGATCAAAGAGCTCTGGAATCTTATTTTCAAGAACCAGAATATGGCACACATTTTAAATTTGGACAGACTTCTAGCGGACAGTTACTTCTCAAGAATTTTCTATACAAAAGCTGTGCCAGGCATATATTTTCTCACCAGGACACATGGGGCAGCGGACCCCTGGTGTCAGTAAGAACACACCCAGAATGATATAACCAGATATTTTTCAGTTTCTAAATTAAGGCATATTCAAAAAATTCCATGTACAAGTTTACACCACTTTTCTAAGTTACTCACCAGGTAATTAAAGCAGATTCACAGATGAATTACTCTCAGTTTAACTATATGCAACAACCATGCCAATAACTTTTCTTCTAAATTTTGCATAATAATGGTTAAAAAAAGTGGTAGTTTAACTATCATGTTCACAATTGTCATTTTTCAAGGCAGTAGAAGACCAAGACATTTTAAAATGATATAAAATTTAAGCTTTATAATAAACACCAGAGGAAGTCACCTTTCCTCCCACTCCCCACCCCCATTTCACCTCTTCAATTTCAAGAAAGACTGCCCAAGAAACACAAGCTTACACGCTACATTCAGGACCATGATAAATGTAGGCAATTATGAAATAAGTTGAACTTTGCTTCTTGGTGAAGCCATATTAATTTCTTTTTAAAGTAAATTTGACTTTCATTGCAGTTCCAATTCATGCTTTTAGTGATATACAACAATTTCCAAAATGTTAAAGTAATTTCAGTCAATTAAGCCTTCAATGGCAATGCTTATAAATTATATTTATTAGTATGGTCAAGATAAGAAAGGAGTTTGGGCTTTGATTATAAAATGCAGCATCTTTCTCTGATTCTCTTGGCTAAACTTTTCCTCTTCTTTTTTCCATTCTTTTCTTTGCTGTCTTCCATCTTTCTCGCTCGAATTTCTCTCATTAAATCAAAAAATACCTAGAAAGAAAAAAAATAGGATAAATAAAGCAAACAGATACATGAACTTGGTACTTCTCCAAATCACAGCAGTAAACTTTGGGGGTAACAGAAGTATAAATATTTAAGAGCTCTTGTTTGGGAGTACAGAGCGGAAAGCATAAAACTAAAGCCTGATTTTCCTAGTATCTTGAAAAAAGGAGGAAACTAGGAAGTTTTCTGAATTACACTTTATGGTAAAAATGTTCATATGTAATAAAACCTGATCTTTCTGTTCCAGTTTTCGAGACAAAAGTCTAAAAAGTTCTATAAGGTGATGACAGACCCAAAGATAGAACTCAATGGATTATATTTAAGTAGTTTATAATCAATAAATGTATTTTATTAATTTATATTTAATAATATATGCTTAAATTTATATTTAATAATTTGATTATATTTCATAACTTGGTTTCCTCAGTTCCATTTTTAGAAATGAAGCTGAGGAAGATGGGTGTATGCTTTATCATCTTGATACCAGACACTATGAAACAACTTTGTCTGTTACTCTGTATTTGAGAATTTATCAGTTTTTGTCTGATGTCTAGGAACCGGTAAATAATGAGATATTAGCATAGTAACTAAGAAAATTACGAGTATAACAATTCAAAGTTAAATTTCAATAAGAAATTCCTCTGTTCTGTAACACAGAAGGGTCTGGAAGGCTACACACTCACACTCCTACTCCACATAAACGGCTGAGAGTATATGATAAAAGGAGGAATAACTTTTATGATCACTTTTGAATTCTGGATTTAAAAAATGTTTTTACTTATAGAATTAAAAAACTCAGACTAAAGCAAGAAATATGAAAGCGACAATGAGTGCTGTGAGTAAAGAAGCCTGTGTATGTCATGACTGATGTGGCCTTTCCTAACGCGTCTGAAAAAAGCAAGGCACAGAATAGCAGATGGAGCGCTACCTGTGTGTGTGTGTAGGGCAGGAGTATACATGGATTTGTTCGCCCTTGCACAAAGAACAATGAAATAATAAACCAAACCCTAATAATCAATTTCATTTTGAAGAAGGGAGGAGGGTACAAGGAAGAGTGAGGCATCTCTGAGTGTATCTTGTTATAGAATTTCTACTTTAGAGACATAGGTGTTTTACGTATTCAAAAATAAAATTAGGCCAGGCATGGTGACTCACACCTGTAATCTCAGCACTCTGGGAGGCCGAGGCGGGCAGATCACCTGAGGTCAGGAGTTCTAGACTACCCTGGCCAACATGGTGAAACCTCGTCTCTACAAAAAATACAAAAATTAGCTGGGTGTGGTGGCGGGCACTTGTAATCCCAGCTACTGGGAAGGCTGAGGCACAAGAATTGCTTGAACCCAGGAGGTGGAGGTTGCACTGAGCCGAGATTGTGCCACTGCACTCCAGCCTGGGCGACAGAGCAAGACTCAGTCTCAAAAAAATAAAAATAAAAAATAAAACAAAATAGCAAATCCTAAAAATTGAAAATCAAATTAAAATAAATTAAGACTGGCCAGGCGTGGTGGTTCATGCCTGTAGTCCCAGTACTTTGGGAGGCTGAGGTGGGCGGATCACCTGAGGTCAGGAGTTCAAGACCAGCCTGGCCAACATAGAGAAATCCCATCTCTACTAAAAATACAAAAATTAGCCAGGTGTGGTGGCGTATGCCTGTAATCCCAGCTACTCGAGAGGCTGAGGCAGATCACTTGAATTCAGGAGGCGGAGGTTGCGGTGAGCTGAGATCGTGCCACTGAACTCCAGCCTGGGCAACAGAGTGAGACTCCATTTCAAAAAACAAACAAACAAGACACAAACAAGTAAGACTGACTAGAGGAATTATTTCAAAGGTCTATAAGACAGCATAGAAAGTATCTATTTTAGAATAGATGCTAAGGATAAAAATAGAAACAAAATTCCAACAAAACAAAACAAAGACAAATCTTAAACTTCTTTTTTTTTTTTTTTTTTTGAGAGAGTCTCTGTTGCCCAGGCTGGAGTGGGATGGCGTGATCTCAGCTCACTGCAACCTCTGCCTCCCGGGTTCAAGAGATTCTCCTGCCTCAGCCTTCCAAGTAGCTGGGATTACAGACAGGCACCACCATGTCTGGCTAATTTTTGTATTTTTAGTAGAGACGGGGTTTTGCCATGTTGGCCAGGCTGGTCTCGAACTCCTGACCTCAGGTGATCTACCTGTCTCAGCCTCTAAATGTGCTGGAATTACAGATGTGAGCCACAACACCCAGCCAAACTTCATTTTGTAGTTTGTTTGTGACAGCAATGTTGCTCTTTTGGAACTATTTTATTAATGCAAGGGAGGAATTATGTTAATGTAATTTAGGAACCAAGATCTTCAGTGTAAGAGAAAAGATACAAGTACAAAATCAAAGATGTAAACATTTGTAATGTTAAATTTGAATTGGAAATAACAACATGATCACATTTTTTTCTTTTAATAATACCTATTTCCTAGAACTATTCACTGAAAAATGACAACACAATAGCAACAAGCAAATTATGTAACTATGCTGTGGCTGCTAAATATCATTCCTCCTAAACAGAACCTGAGTTCCTTAGATGAATGGCTGATTCCTGATCTGCAGCAAGAAGCATAAAATTTAAGTCAGAAAGCAACGAAACTATCAAAGATGAATGGGCTGAGTCAAACGGACATAGGACCAACATGAAGGAGCATAAACGGTTAAAGGGAAAAAAGTATAAAACACACACCCACACACAAAGTATGCAACAGAACGGAACACAATGATGACATAAAAGCCATGGGTTTTTGCCCCTAGTGGTTGTGATTCTATTTCCCCAGAGACTAGGAATTTCAGAAGACCTCTGTTTCAAGTCTCTGGCTAACTAGCTAGGACAGGAGGTCTCGATTCTGACTAAATGTAATTATTGGAATACTCCCAGTATTGCTTTCTAATGCAGATAAATCACTATGAAAAGGAAACTAGATGAAGGTTTAATTTCTGATTTTATTTTCAATTGAATTTTGTCTGTTTAATTGACACATATTCACAGAGTACACAGTGATGTTTTGAAACATATAACGTACAGTGACTAAGACCAGGGTAATTAGCACATCCATCATCTCAATCATTTATTATTTGTGTTGGGAACATTCAATATCCTCCTTTCAGGTATTTGAAACTATACATTATTGTTAAGTATAGTCATCTACAATAGTATAGTACACCAGAGCTCATTCCTCATATCTAGCTGTAATTCTGTATAATTTAACAAATCTCTACCTATCCCTCCCATTCCAGCCTCTAGTATTCTCTGTTCTATTTTTTACTTCTATGAGATCAACTTTTTCTAAGCTTTTACATATGAATGAGAACATGCAGTGTTTAACTGCCTGTTCCTGGCTTATTTCACTTAATTGTCTCCAGTTCTATCCATATTGCCATGAATGACAGGATTTCATCCTTTTCAATGATTGAATAGTACTCTATAGTGTATATCTATCACATTTTCTTTATCCATTCATCTGTTGTTGGCACTTGGGTTGGTTCTGTATCTTGGCTATTGTGAACACTGCTGTAACAAATAAATGTCATTAATAGGAAAATGGCTGAATTATGGAAAAGTCTAACCATGGAATACTTTGTGGTTTTAAAAAGAATGTGGATACATCTATATGCAGTGACATGGAAGAGCTGTAGGATTTGTCATAAAATTTAAAAAGCGCACCACAGAAATATGCTCTATATATACAGATACAAAATATATTACGTGTGTGTATATATATACACAAATCCTATTAATACAGGAAGAAAAAACAAGCAAATGCAAACTTTCCCTTAGAGATATGTATGACTGCTTTTAACGTCTGGAAAGACACACCCGTGTTAGCACTGGTTACTGAAAGGGAGGGGAAAGGAGTGAACTATGGGAGAAAAATGACTCATTTTTCCTCCTTATGTTTCTATATTATGAATTTTTCTTTATATAAGCATGTATCCATGTATTACTTATACAATGAAAAAACCCAAATATGATATTTTCCAAAAAATACAGTGTATTTCTACCAAAATTCTTCCCTCGACATAAAACTGATTCTCTTGACATAATAAATCACACTGCCCCTTTGGACATCTGTTAATATTTGCTCAACTTCTCTCTATTCTGCCAAAATGTTCCTTAAAATCAAGAGCAACCTTGGAGTCGTGAATTAAGACCCAGAGCATTTAGCTAGAAGGATAATAACAAGGTCACTGAATGAATCCAATGAGTACACAAGTAGGATTGCCCAGATGTTCCTTTAGCCTCGGAGTGATTCCTCTGTGACAAGCATGGCTTCCTGAGACATGCCATGCCCCAGCTCTGGTGGCTATGACACTTTTTCATGACTAGATTTAAAATCTGCATCTTTGAAACTTCCACCTAATGGTCTATTTGGACTCCAGATGAGGATAACGCATGAGCCAATGATCTTATGGAGAGCTAGCATTTGTTCTGTGACAAAGCATGACACTTCACAATTTAATAAAAGGAAATAACACTTGCTATTCCTGAAAATTTGTGATCAGGCTTCTAGTAGTGGATGACATAAGAAATGGGAGATACACTAGCTATTCCAACCATTGTTTTGTTTTGTTTTTGAGATAGGGTCTCACTCCCATTACCCAGGCTGGAGGGTAGTGGTTATGATCTCGGCTCACTGCAGCCTCCACCTCCCAGGCTCAAGCAATCCTCCTGTCTCAGCCTCCCAAGTAACTGTGACTACAGACATTCGCCACCACACCTGGCTAGTTTTTGTATTTTTTGTAGAGATAGGCTTTTGCCATGTTGCCCGGGCTGGTCTCAAACTCCTGGGCTCAAGTAATCTGCCTGCCTCGGCCTACCAGAGTGCAGGGATTATAGGTGTGGTGGCACCTGGCCCCAACCATTGTTTTGAGTAAAATATTGAAGAAAGAATGTGAGCATGTGAGCGCCAGAGTTGGCCAGACCCAGAAGCTGCAGATGCCACCACGAACCCCGTGACCTTGAGCCAGTTACGTAATCTCCCCACACCGCAGCTTCCTTGTCTAAAAAGTGAGCATCAGAAGAGTATCTACGCCTCACACAATTAAGGATTAAATGGTTGGTACTTACCACAGTGCCTGGCTCTTATAAACACAAATAAATATTAGCTTTTCTGATTATTAGATTATTTCCTCAGGAAAACAACCACAAACACAAGTATAACCTAATTCTGGAAATTGAATAGTTGCTGCAAATGACTTTTATGTAGCCACTGAGGTACTTTATCTGGTAATCACTCCGCAGGATGTAGCAGTACATGAAATTATAGTCTTCAGTATGGATTTGCACCTCACTTTACAAGCAGCCTCGTTTAATGTAATTCTGTTTTGGACAGGTGACCACCGACTGCAGACTGTATTAACTGAAACTGGCCACAGCAATGTTTCCTATGTGCTTTTCCAGAATCCTGCCACTTTTCATCAAGAGCTGAAGTCTATTCCCCTTCCTTCTCAACCTAGGTGAGACTTTGTGACTATCTCCAACCTGTAGAATGAGGTAGAAATAATGCTGCATAACTTCAGAGACTATGTCATAAAAGGCCGTATGGTTTCTGCCTGGTTCTTTTTCTCTTGTGACACTTGCCCTTGGAGACTCTGCCCACTGTGCTGTGAGGAAGCCTAAACTAGCACACATGGAAAAGGCCACATGGAGGAGCCCACCTGGAGAGGAACTGAGGCATCCTTGGATAATGGCCAGCATCATCTGGCTGAGCCAGACATGTGCGAACAAGCCTTCAGAACCTAAGTTTAGGTATTTCCAGTGCCTAGACTTGAAGCTTTCAGCTGAGGCAGCAGACACTGTAGAGCAGAGCCAAGCCATTTCCACTGTGCCCTGTTCAAATTCTTGGCCACAGAATGTATAAGCAGAATAAATGACTGTTTTACCCATAAAGGTTCTGGGGTGTACTTTGTTATACAGCCATAGTAACTAAAACGGCCTTATACCTTTATTTTATTTTTTATTTTTTGAAAAAGTAACATAGTCGTACCTCAGTATCTATGGGGGATTGGTTCCAGAATGCCCGTGGATCCCAAAATCTCTACCTACTCAAGTCCCGCAGCTGGCCCTGCAGAACACATGGATGCAAAAAGCCAGCCCTCCGCATATGCAGGTTTCACATCCTGCTGTATTCTCTGTCTGCATTTGGTTGTGGATGCAGAGCCCACCGACATGGAGGCAGACTGCATCTGTGAAAAAAAAATCTGCACAGCTCAAATCTGTGTTGTTTGAGGGCCAAGTGTCCATGAATATGGCAAAAAGTTCACAAGGGTATTTACAGTGAAAAAAGCATAAACTGTGGCTTAATTCTCTGGAGGCAACCACAGGTACCAGAGTCTTACATATCCTTATGATGTGTACATAGATAATGTGTATGTATGTGTGTTTAAAACACATGGCAGCAAGCTACAGACACCACTCTGTACTTTGTTTCACTTACTTTATAATTGAAGATCATCTGATATCAGCACATTTAGTTCTATCCTCATTTCTTTTTAATGGTTGGGCAAAACTCCATTATTTAAACCAGTCCATTACTGAACACTTGGATATTTCCAGTCTTTTGCTTCTAAAAATAATGCTTCACTGACTACCACTGAACATACACGTATACGTGAGTGCATAATTTGTTCTGTATAATAACATTTTTAGGCCGGGCGTGGTGGCTCACGCCTGTAATCCCAGCACTTTGGGAGGCCGAGGCGGGTGGATCATGAGGTCAGGAGATCAAGACCATCCTGGCTAACAAGGTGAAACCCCGTCTCTACTAAAAATACAAAAAATTAGCCGGGCGCGGTGGCGGGCGCCTGTAGTCCCAGCTACTCGGGAGGCTGAGGCAGGAGAATGGCGTGAACCCGGGAAGCAGAGCTTGCAGTGAGCCGAGATTGCGCCACTGCAGTCCGCAGTCCGGCCTGGGCGACAGAGCGAGACTCCGTCTCAAAAAAAAAAAAAAAAAAAAAAAAAAAAAATAACATTTTTAGCACTTAAATTGCTGGGTCATAATTCTGATGGGTATCACAAAACTGCCCTTCCACCAACATATGAGAGGTTCCTGTTTTTCTATACTCTTGCTAACAGTATATTCTATTCTCAACCTCTTTGCTTTTTTTCTCCCAAAGTGACGGGTAAAAAAAGGACATTCCACTATATTTTAAAGTTGTACTTCCCTTTTTATAAGTGAGACCGAGCCTCTCTTCCAGTTTAAAGGCCATTTGTGTTTCCTTTCTACGACATGCCAGTTGCTGTTTTTGGGCCATTTTCCCTAGGCTTTTGTCCTGTAAGAGCTGTGCTAATACAGACACCATACTTCCCAGGGCCTCTGATGCCAACAGATGATCACCACAAGGACTGTTACAATATAGCTTTCTATCTTGGATTGCCAGTGTCTGCATCTCTTCCCCACTCCCCTTAGGTTCAAATAGTTTTTATAGTGTGTTCTACAACCTACTCGAAACATCGATTAGAAAAGTATATATATGCTATGAGAATGTTCAACGTTGCCTTTTAAAACCTCAAACACCCTCAATCTTAACATATATTTTCATTAGTATTTTAAAAATATTTGCCATACAAATTGTCTCTTCAAATCTATAATTTTCTAATGACTTAGAAATGGCAGGCACAGGCTGGGCATTTTACATATGTGATTTCATTTCATCTTTACAATAATCCTATGAAGCAGGTATTCTTGTTCCCATTTCCAAATGGAAGCTAACTGAAATACCCAAGCCCTAGTTACTGTGTTCAGAAACCATGGTTCCCAGGAAACTATGATAGGGCATGCTATGGACTGAATGCTTGTGTCACCCCAAAATTCATATACTGAAACCCGAATTCCTTATGTGATGGCAATAAGAGATGGGGCCTTTGGGTCGTAATTACGTCACTAGGGTAGGGTTGTCATAATGGAATTAGTATCCTAAGAAGAATCAGGAGAGCTATCTCTCTCTCTCTGTCATGTGAGGATGCAGCAGGAAGGTATAAGGAAATCCAGCAAATCAGGAAGAAAGCCCTCTCCAGAATCATTTTGTCTAAGACCTTGATCTTGGACTCGCCAGCCTCCAGAACTGTGAGAAATAACTTTGTTATTTAAGCAAAACACACATACACACACATACACACACACACACACACACACACACTTGCCCTAGTCCTAACCTTAGAAAAAATTCGTATCCTGAATAGAATCCTGTAGTACTCACTTTGTACAGATATCTTAGACCTAAAGGAATCTGACAATGTCTTAAAAAGTTAAGAAGCTTAAGACAGCAACGACACTGTCTTAAGACCTACAGCAAAATAACAGAACAAATCTCAAACTTTTTTTTTAACCTAGTACTTTCTGGATCAGGGTTATAAATCTACAAGCACATGCAGCACTTGCTAGAATCATAAATTCTTAGGCCCCATTCCAGACCAAATGAATCCAAATCTCTAGGGGTAAGACCCAAGAATGTGTGTTTATCAAGATTTACAGGCAGTTCTTTTGCCTATTGGAGCTTGAGAGGCACACTATAGAGCCTAGATACTTGCAGGCTGAAGAAAGACCCCACTTGGAGGCCTTTAAGATTCTGTGCTACCTCAGCCCAGTGAGCAGTCTTTCTAGATACTGGAGCTGGTCTAGGGCAGTGGGATGAAATGTACTTGCAGGTGTTCCACATCTGGTCTTCAGGAAGGGCCACTCTGAACAAAGCGAGAAGACAAGAAAGGAGGGCAGAGTGTTTACTTTCCTTTCTTTCTCTTTCAGGAGAAAACAAAGGTTGAGGGTGGGGAGTGGAGAGTGGCAGGAGAGATTTTAAAACGCTCTTATCTGGGGGCTTCTTCATCTTGGGAGGTACCCTTATTTTTAAGAACTTAAGTGGGGTTGGGTAGATGTCAGGTCAGAGGTAAGAACGGTTTAGTGCTGGAATCTTGGGACTCACACGATTCCTTCTAAATTATCCAAAGACTCAATAGGATAAGGGGGGAAAAAAGTCAGGAATGCCATCAGTGCTTTAAAAAGAAAAAAAGTACATTTAGCTGTAGTGTCTCATGTTTTAATGTCTCTTGGGAAGCTAAGGACAAGGTGAACTAAAATTCCTAACATGTATCTGAGTATTCAGGGATGATAAAAATCAACAAGGATTAAACCTCTATTTGAAAGTTTCATAGACTCTCCAGACAAAATGGAGCCAAGTTAAAGCAAACCAACCTATTTTAACATGATGCAGTAGTAAAGAGTCACGTGTTACCTTGTCAACATTAGCTCGTGTTTTAGCAGATGTTTCCACGTAGTTAACATTCCACTGCTCAGCTCTGTTTTTTGCCTCTTCTACAGAAACCTGTCTTTTATCTTCTAAATCTGATTTGTTACCAACCAGTAGAAATGGAACATTCTCATCTTCTTTTACTCTTAAAATCTGCTCCCTGGATAAGAGAAAATGAAAAAGAAATATTAACATTATAAGGATAGCACAGAAAGTTCTTGTTTGCCCCATACCTATTTTTCCCTATTGTTAACATCTACTACTGTGGTACACAAATCACAATTAATGAACCAATATCGATACAGTATTAGCAACTAAGGTCCAAACTTTATTCAAATGTGCTTGCTTTTTGCCTGACATCCTTTTTCTGTTCCAGGATCCCATCCAGGTTGCCACATGACATTTAGTTTCGTCATGTCTCTTTAGCCTTGAGTTGGCCATGGTAATTCTCAGACTTTCCTTGTTTTTGATGACCTTAATAGTTTTGAGGACTGCTGGCTGGCAGTTTGTACAATGTCTCTCAATTGGGATTTGTCAGATGTTTTCCTCATGATTAAAGTAGGGTTATTGGTTCTTGGGAGGAAGATTTAGAAAGTGCTATTCTTATTGCATCATATCAAGGGTCCCACCAATTGTTTTTCAAAACCCAAATGTGCCAGAAATTACTGGAAGTCAGACCTTGAGCATAGATTTTGCATTGAGAGGTAAGTTATCCACTGTGAAAGTGTCATCAATTTTAAAGTACCATGGTTCTGCTCTTCCTAGTCATGTAAGTCTGAGCAAAGTGCAAAGTACTTCTTACCTCAGTTTCCTCATCTATAAAATGGAGCCAACAATTATACCTTCCTTATAAAGTTGCTATGAGGGTTAAATGTGAAGTGCTTATAACTGCATCGACAGAGTAAATATTCAAAAAATGTTAGCTCATTATTAATCTACTGGAAGAAATGTTTTTTTGTAAAATCAAAAAACAAAAGGAAATCTGTAAGACTTAGGTTCAATAATTTGCTACCTTAAAAATGCCTCTCCTTTGAAATTATTAAGAGCTGTTGAAGCTATAGGAACGTAAGTAAAGTCAGCCCTCTGTATCCACAGACTCAACTAACTGCAAATAAAAAATATCTTTTAAAACCCCAAAAACAGCCAGGTGCAGTGGCTCATACCTGTAAACCCAGCACTTTGGGAGGCTGAGGCAGGAGGATTGCTTGAGGCTAGGAGTTCAATACCAGCCCAGGCAACACAGTGAGACCCCCATATCTATAAAAAATAGAAAAAAAATTTGGCTGGGTGTAGTAGTGTGCACCTGTAGTCCTAGCTACTCAGGAAGATCGCTTGAGCCCAGGAGTTCAAGGCTGCAGTGAGCCATGATTACATCACTGTACTCTAGCCTGGATGACAGAGTAAGATCCTGTCTCAAAAAAAAAAACCAAAAACCAAAAAAATGCCACAATAAAAAGTAAAACAAAATTTAAAATGCAGAATAACAACTATTTACATAGCAATTACACTGTATTAGCTATTAAAAGTAATCTAGAGATGACTTAAGGTACATGGGAGGATGTGCATAGGCTATCTGCAAATACCACACCATTTTATAGAAGAGACTTGACTATCCATGAATGTCGGTATCCATAAGGAGTCCTGGAACCAATCCCTGCCCTGCCCTGATACTGAGGGACGACTATATTTTAGAATAAGAGAAAATGAGAAAATTAAAGGGATATTAGAATGGCAAATCAGCAAAGTACACTTGGTTTTGCAGACTTTTTTTTTTTTTCTTTTTTTTGAGACAGGGTCTTACTCTGTCACCCAGGCTGTAGTGCAGTGGCATGATCACGGCTCACTGCAGCCTCAACCTCCTGGGCTCAAGCAATTCTCTTACCTCAACTTCCCGAGTAGCACACCTATACTATAGGCACGCGCCACCACACCCAGCTAATTTTTTTTTCTTTTTTTCTTTTTTTTGTAGAGATGGGGTTTCACCATGTTGTCCAGACTGGTCTTGAACTCCTGAACTCAAGTGATCTGCCTGCTTCAGCCTCCCAAATTGCTGGGATTACTGCTGTGAGCCACTGTACCTGGCTGCAGGCATTTTATAGTGATGCTTGAAAAACTGGGAAAAATCTTCTTGCCTTATTTTCAGATTATTCTATTCTGTGCTTCTTAGACAATGTTTCCTAAATACCACCACCACACTACTACCACTAACATTGTACTCAGCGCTCACAATGTGCCAAACACTGCTTTCAGGACTTACATACATTTTCTCATTTAATCCTTACCTAAACCTATGAAGTTAGTATCATTATTATTCTTGTCCTACAGATGAGGAAACTGATGCACACAGAAATTATGTTAACTTGCTCAGAGACACACTTAAGTAGAACCAGGACTGAGAAATCCAACTCCAGAGCACACAATGAACTTGTACAGTAGATACCAAGAGAATACAAAGGCAGACCTCCTGCATTTTAACTCTATGCTATTCCTGACTGCACAACCTGGGGCAAGCCACTTAACCTCCCTGCATTTCTGTTTCTTCATTTATAAATTTGGATGTCACTTTTTTAAAAAAAGTCAAATTTAAGACATCACTAGTTCTCAATCTTATTTTATGGACTCTAAGAAAAACTGCTGGCAATTATAACTGTATGGTGCCATATCATAAGACATAGCCCTCAGAGATGTTAAAATGTACATCTTATAATCTATGAAATCCAGTAGTATCTATCTCACAGTGTTGTTTGAGAAACTAATTTATATATGTGAATGCTTAGAACAGTCTGGTCCTGGTAAGTGCTGCATGAGTATGAGGTAGTGTTACTATTATTATTACTTCATTCACTTGATTACTCACGATGTAGCAAACATTCTAACACATTCAACACTCATAGGAAGTTCTTTGGACCTGAACTCTCAGTTTTTCTAATGTGAATAGACTATAGGCCGCACAGACTATGGGCCACAGAGAAAGTAAACTCCATTCTTCACTGATTTGTATTTGTCTTAAACATCCTTTTAGAAGTCAAACAAGCACGGTATCTGGGTGATGCAGGCTAAGACGTACAGCACTACACAGTGCTATGATGCTTCCTACCACTCACATGATTTCTTGCAAAAACCATGTCAACTTTCACCATGATTACTATTAAATATATGCAGTACTTGTGAAGGGCATTTTGGCCAATCACAATCTTTTTCTAGGGCGTGCTGTGACTTTCTTAACCAGTTTCCTTTGTGAATGACGGCCTGAATGCTGTTCTTTTTTCTTTTTTTAATTATACTTTAAGTTGTAGGGTACATGTGCACAACGTGCAGGTTTGTTACCGAGGTATACATGTGCCATGTTGGTTTGCTGCACCCATCAACTCGTCATTTACATTAGGTATTTCTCCTAATGCTATCCCTCCCCCAGTCCCCCACCCCACGATAGGCCCCAGTGTGTGATGTTCCCTGCCCTGTGTCCAAGTGTTCTCATTGTTCAATTCCCACCTATGAGTGAAAATATGCAGTGTCTGGTTTTCTGTCCTTGTGACAGTTTGCTCAGAATGATGGTTTCCAGCTTCATCCATGTCCCTGCGAAGGACATGAACTCATCCTTTTTTATGGCTGCATAGTATTCCATGGTGTATATGTGCCATATTTTCTTAATTCAGTCTATCATTGATGGACATTTGAGTTGATTCCAAGTCTTTACTATTGTGAGTAGTGCCGCAGTAAACATACATGTGCATGTGTCTTCATAGCAGCATGATTTATAATCCTTTGGGTACATACCCAGTAATGGGATCGCTGGGTCAAATGGTATTTCTATTCTAGATCCTTGAGGAATCGCCACACTGTCTTCCACAATGGTTAAACTAATTTACACTCTCACCAACAGTGTAAAAGCATTCCTATTTCTCCACATCCTCTCCAGCATCTGTTGTTTCCTGACTTTCTAATGATCGCCACTGAATGAAGCTGTTAACAACAACTAACCTGCCACTCAGTCTCACCACTTGGAAGGTGAGACTGACTCAGGTGTTTGTAACTCTAGCACCTCTGGTCATATGTGTGTATATATAGTCATTAATTTATTTCTTAATAAATACCTACTAAGCTACTCTGAGTCAGGTGCTGCAGGGAAACCAATACTGAAAAAGCATAGTGTGATTGATGCTGGCAGAAACACGGCTGTAGAAAACCTGGACCTACTGGGTTCCGAGGTGAGAAGATGTTATTTTTTTAGAGTTAATAGATTGGTTTTACTAGCAACTTTGCTGGATGTCAGAGAAAAGTAATTCTACGGTATAAACTTCATATACATTTTGCTTAATATAATACTCCCTTTAAATACAGTTTTAGAGGCTATTACAGAATTTCAGAATAGGGAAGTACAATCTGGTCCAACTTCATTTTTGACATAGGAAAGTAAAAACCAAAAGGTAAAGGTTTTTGAATCAAGACAAATGTTTACTAAACATGTACTTACTATAGATTATATGCTATGAACTATGGCATATATAGGTACTGGGGATACTGAGACAGGAAAGGAATAGGTGTTAAGTGTGATACTGGAGCTGCAGCAAGGACATTGCATATATAGACGAGGAAGCAATGGATTTTGTGGATCACAGAGATGACCAGGAAGGCTAAAGGGAGGAGCTGATATTTATGCTACTGTTTTATTTATTTTTGCTACTCTTGCAGTTTAGACCACGTGGAGTGCCCACTGTAACCATTCAGACCTTTTCAAAAAAGCCTTTCACCAACAATATTGTTGGTGAGTCACTAGGGTCATTTTTATTTATGGCAGAGGCATTGGAGGTACGCCCTAAGAGTAATGAATCATCCTTATTTTCTATAATAGTAATAGCCCAAGATTCTTGCATGAAAATACCTTATTCTCTTGAAATATCACTTTGACTTTGGTGACTATGGTGATAACATTTATTCCATTACTTAGAACAAGACTTGCTACATTATAAGCACTCAAATATCTGCTGAATGAATAAGCATTGGCATTTATATAACTTTCAACATGTCTCCCACAATTACAAGCTACCAGAGTCTGCCATCCCTTGCATGTCATCATATATGAAATTTCTTCCTCATAGAAACCAACAAACTTTATGAATAAATCTATACTTCAGAGTTTCTCAATTACCTGCTTTTTGCAAAGAATGCTCTCTTAGAATAAGTTCTTGAGATTTTCAAGTGTGCATAAAAAGGAATGCTCTGTAAAAGCCTTGGTTTAGTTTTTTGCTCACCCACCTGAAATGCCCTCTTTCCTTATGTGTGAAAATCCTTCTTTTCTTCAAGCTCATCTATTTCATGAAGGTTTCCCAGCTTCTTTCCCCTCCCGGATCCTCTGCACTAACCACTGCCCATGTTCCTACTTTGTCACTAACTTGCTCTTGGTTAAATGCCTTATATATTCATCTAGGCTGTGTGAATCTTGAAAATAGAGGATACATTGCATGCTTCTTTTCTGTCCTCCATAATCAAGTAAGACACTTCACACAGAAATAAAAATATGTATCATTTAATTAAAGAACACTTGATTTATGCATGTAGTATTTGCAAGACCACGCAAGAACTCTATGCCAAATACCTCTTAAATATAGAGGAGCACCTCTTTCCCCTTCACCAAAACCACCTCCTCTAAAACCAAATGGATTCCAGATTTTAATTAAACAATAAATAATAAAAAATATTATATAACAATCTAATGTGCCCATCTACAGAGATATTATTTCTATTAAAAATTCATTCATTCTGAAGGTTCCCATGTAATAAGAAAAAGAAACAAAAAATTCAGTCTGTGCTATCAGGGCATCTATATTTTGAGGAGGATGGCAACGTGCCTACTGAGCATTACATAGGTGCTAAGAAACCATGACTAACAGAGAAAGATGTAAAACCTGAGTAAGCTCCATTATGTGCTCTAAGTATGAACTGTTATGGCAGTAGTAGTTTACACTAAAGAGAAATACTTCAGTAACTCATAGAGACTCTGGGTAACTGAAGCTGTCACAAAATCAAACTCCAATACAGGTGACACCGGGAGAGCTGTAAGACTATGCAAAGTATCCTAACTGTGTGTACATAACACAGTAGAGAGAGTCATATACTGATATCAAAAAGGGAATAAACACAATTAGAGACAGAGTAAAAGACTAACAAGTTAGAACCTCTAGTTGTCTACTTGTTTCTGGGGAAGAAATTGTTGTATAGTATGTCACAAGCAACAACATTACTCTAGGACATACCTGAAGTCAGCTGTAGCTGCAAAGGATTCCATTTCTGTAATAGAGAAAACACAGAGGAACCCCTCCCCACTTCGGAAGTAGTTGTCTCTAATTGCAGCGTAGTCCTCCTGCCCAGCTGTATCTAAGATATCGATCTGGACTTCCTCCCCATCTAGCACTACCTTCTTCCGATAGCTGTCTGCTTTGGTAGGCTCATAGTCCTCCACAAACTAGAAAAGATAAAAACACACCAATTTTTTAATTATTACGTTTCAAAACTTATTTTGAAATAATTATAAATTCATGTGAAGCTGCCAAAATAGTACAAGAAGAGTTCTGTATACCCTTTGCCCAGATTCCTCCAATGGTAAAAACTACACTAATTTTAATTTTAGACAATTTCTTGGTTTCCTCATTTGCAAACAGAGAGGGCTGAGTTATTACCTCTAGGCTGTTTACAGCTTGAAAACAGCTTTTCTTCCTTAAAACACAATACCTGCAAAAACTATTACACATATATTTTACCAAATTTATAATAGTCTTTTTTCTATGTAACTCTGAATATAAATTTTCATGCTAGAACTGTGGAAATAACTTAAAGGTCAATATTTTGGTAAGCACTGAAAGTATCATTAAATCCTTTCTTTTTCTAAAATGAACTAAGTCAATAAAGTGATTTACACTACTCAACAGAAAGTCAAATCTTAAACTTTATGAGACTTCTTCCCAAACTTTTGATTTTTTAAATAGTACAATTCAACAACTTTACATTCCCACTCCTATCGTCAGCCCCATAAATCTCACTTTAATATACCTTGATAAACCGTAGGCAGGCAGATGATAAGTATGTGTATATGTACGCAGACAAGGCCTTACTATGTTGCCCAGGCTGGTCTTGAACTCCTGGGCTCAAATAATCCTACTGCCTTGGTCTCCCAAAGTGTTGGGATCACAGGTGTGAGCCACCAGGCCCGGCCTATCTTTTGATATCATTGTTAGCATGTATTCATTTACACACAGACATTTGTGGGTTTTTTATTAGCTCTTGTAAATATTTTCATTATCTGATACATTCTTATTTATTTGCTATGACTGTATCTTGTCATTAGAATTTAACCCCTCAGAGCAGGGACCTTGCATATGCTATTCATCATTATATCTCTAAAGCCTATAACAGTGCCTGTTACATGGGAGATACTCAATAAATAATTATTTTAAAAATGGACACAGTGTATTTGTAACTGTAAAAGTTAAATAACATTCCACCACATTTACATGCTATTAATGTGCTTAGTCATTCATTACAAGTTAGGCATGTGGGCTGGGTGTGGTGGCTCATGCCTGTAATGCCAGCAGTTAGGGAGGCTGAGGTGAGTGGATCACTTGAGCCCAGGAGTTAGTTCAAGATCAGACTGGGACACATGGCAAAACCCCGTGATATGGTTTGGCTCTGTGTCCCCACCCAAATCTCATGTTGAACTGTAATTCCCAATGCTGGGGGAGGGATCAGGTGGGAGGTGACTGGATCATGGGGGCAGATTTCCCTCATGCTGTTCTCAAGATTGTGAGTTCTCACGAGATCTGATGGTTTTTAAAGTGTGTGGCACTTCCTCCCTTGCTCGCGTGTGCTCGCTCACACTCTCTCTCTCTCCCTCCCCTGTCCCAACATGTGAGGATGCACTTGCTTTCCCTTCACCCTCTGCCACAATTGCAGGTCTCCTGAAGCCTCCTAGTCATGCTTCCTGTTAAGCCTGTGGAACTGTGAGTCAATTAAATCTCTTTTATTCATAAATTACCCCAGTGTCAGGTACTTCTTTATAGCAGTGTGAGAACAGACGGATACACCCCGTCGCTACAAAAATATACAACAATTAGCTGGGCATAGTGGCACATGCCTATAGTCTCAGCTACTTGGAAGGCTGAAATGGGAGGATCGCTTGAGCCTGGGAGGTGGAGGTTGCAGTGAGCTGAGACTGCATCACTGCCAGGGCAACAGAGCAAGACGTTATCTTTAAAAAAAAAAAAAAAAAAATTAGGCATGTGAATATTCTTACTTTTGGCTTCCTTATTGTCAAGAGGAGACTGATTTAAGGATTAGTCTGAGAGAAGATTAGCTCTTAAATAAACAGTATGAAACAAAGAATTCAATGAATAAATCAGTAATTTCATTTAAAGTACCATTTCAATCCACTCTCCACAAACTTTTTTTTTTTTTAAGAGACAGGGGTCTTGCTCTGTTGTGTAGGCTGGAATGCAGTGGCACAGTCATTGCTCACTGTGACCTCCAATGCAAATGATCCTCCTGCCTCAGCCTCCTAAGTAACTAGGAAAACAGGCATGCAGCACCACGCCCAGCTAATTTTTTAATTTTTTCATAGAGACAGGGTCTCACTTTGTTGCCAGCTGGTTCAAGCTCCTAGCCTCAAGTGATTCTCCAGCCTACGCCTTCCCTAAACTTTTTAATTCGCTCACTAACAAGCATGGCAACTGACAGATTTAAGGGTTTTATGTATGTGTGTAAAAAGAATGGTGAGACACAGGCAACAGAAAAAGACATGGGGGGTTGGGTGCACTGGCTCATACCTGTAATCCCAGCTTTGGGAGCCCAAGGTGGGAGGATCGCCCTGGGCAACAGAGTGAGAACCTGGTCTCTATTTAAAAAAAATAAAAGGTAAAAAAAGAGATAAAGACATGGGGTGGGAAAAATCTGTAGGGATATTTTTAGTCAAAAGACTAGGTTTAACACTTTGTTGCTCATCACAGATCACTTTTCTTGGGTAAGCTGGGTAACTCTCTGAGGTTCTGTTTTCACATCTGTAAAATGGGGATATCACCATCTCCCACACAAGATTGTTACGAGGACTAAGTTGTCTGCAACCATAAAACCTGGCTTTTGTTGGGAGAAAACAGAAGTGAGGATAAATGCTTACATTGGATTACCAACTCTTAAATCATTAAGACTTGATAACATTCCTGCAGGGAAAGACTATATTGCTATATATAGGCTACACCTTAACTCAGGGATGATGAAGTCTGATATGAATACATGCATACAAATCTGTAACCTGTGTGGTAATTATAAATTTTAGTGACTTGGCCTGCTTAATGATGAATGTAGTGCCATGCCAAACACACAATAAACGACTTTTTCATCAAGTTTATTAAAAGAATTTTTTTTTTTTTTTGGGATGGAGTCTTGCTCTGTCGCCCAGGCTGGAGTGCAGTGGCGCGATCTCGGCTCACTGCAAGCTCCGCCTCCCAGGTTCACACCATTCTCCTGCCTCAGCCTCCCGAGTAGCTGGGACTACAGGCACCCGCCACCATGCCCAGTTAATTTTTTGTATTTTTAGTATAGACGGGGTTTCACCGTGTTAGCCAGGATGGTCTCGATCTCCTAACCTTGTGATCTGCCTGTCTTGGCCTCCCAAAGTGCTGGGATTAGGCGTGAGCCACCGTGCGTGCCCAGCCTAAAAGATATTTTATATATGTTAACCTCAAGTCTCTCTTAAGTATTATACACACCACTTCTATTAATTAAAGGTAGGAATCGCCAATAAAACCTAAAAACAAAAAAGCTAAAGTTAGATTACTAAAAAAAGGCGTACTGTTTTTAGTTTAGCTTTGTTTTTAAAGCCTGAGGTTTTTAAGGACCATAAGTTCCTGATTTGTAAAATCAAGTTATGTACAGATGGCTCTAAACACAAAAATGAAAAAAAAATTATTAGTAATTTCAAGGATTCAAACAATCCATACAAAATAGCACCAAAACTAAGCTAGGGAAATACTCTCTGAAAGCCTAAACTTTGATCCATTATAAAATTAGCACTTACCTCATCGTACATGAACTGTAGAGTCAGAGCTGACTTGCCCACGCCACCACTGCCCACCATGATGACTTTGTGTAAAGCCAAAGAATTCTGACCCTTGGGCTTATTTGCAGCCATTTTGTGTCTCAGTTTTCACCAAAGGATTAAGAAGAATCTAAGAAGAATGAAAGAATAAGTAATGCTCAGTACATTCTTCTTTAGAATTCCAGTGTAAGAAAGAGATATGTCCTTAGAGTTCAATATACTAGTTTTCAATCTGTAGTGATTTTAAACAGATGGCAAATGAAGTATGCTCACTTAGGGGAAAAACCATGAACCATTTATCAGAGAATACCATGGCAATAAAACAAGCCTATGACTCAAGGGCATTTCTCTTAAAATAGTTGGGTTTCAGTAATGAGCTATGATCAAAAGTGAAAATTTCCCAGTACAACTGCATGCTGACAATAATGGGGTATCAGCTGCACTGCAATATGTCCACACAGATACGAAAGCAGGCTAAAGGATCTCTTTGTTTTCACACTAATTTATATTGGCAATAATTAAAGAGATGTTTCTTCCTTTTTTTTTTTTTTTTTTGAGACGGAGTCTCGCTCTGTCGCCCAGGCTGGAGTGCAGTGGCGTGATCTCGGCTTACTGTAGCCTCCACCTCCCAGGTTCAAGCGATTCTTGTGCCTCAGCCTCCTGAGTAGCTGGGACTACAAGCGCGCACCACCATGCTTGGCTAGCTTTTGCATTTTTAGTAGAGACAGGGTTTCGCCATGTTGGCCAGGCTGGTCTCAAACTCCTGGCCTCTAATGATCCGCCTGCCTTGGCCTCCCAAAGTGCTGGGATTACAGGCGTGAGCCACCGCACCCCCGACCAAGATGTTTCTCTTGAGTAAGAAACAAGTGACCAAAAAAAGACTGCTAATGTGTTTACTACATCATGCCTCACATTAAGGACCTCATTGAAATGCTTACTTACTGCTATTTTATAGAAGAAGACATCCCATCCCAACAACTTGGTGGTAGAATTATAAACAGAATTCAACACTGTATACCCCAACTAACAGATTACTGGAACATCTGTTTCTTGGGATGGCTGGCCAATCTAACTTAAATGCTTGGATCTAGCATGCCTTCACTTTTCTCAGAGCATCCACTGTTTAATACATTTTTACACTCAGTGTGGAGAGGCCAGGTTCTTACAGAAGTTGTAGTGACCTTCGGCCATGCTGACTTGGCCTTAGAAAAAATCCTGTGAGGCCACAACAAACACTCTGAACGTGTGTGGAGATCCAAGCAAAGAGACTTTTTGTTATTGGGGGTTGAGGGGGTTGCACCCCTTGTCCTCAGCAACTCTTTGACTTGTTTCGGACACAAACAGCTTTCTAAGTTGCAGCTCCCAGAACCACGCCCCCTCCTGTTTACCTCTCTATCTTGGGCCAATCTTTCCTAGCTCAGCTGCATCAGACCCACAACGGTCTCCTTCTGTTTTTCACTTTTCTAAGCCTCTTGGCCTTTGCCATGCAGCTTCCTCTGTCTGGCATATTCTTATTCCATCTGGCTAACTCCTCTTGGTTTTTGGGTCTCAGCCTTACCTGAAACTCTCAACCTAAATTAGGTTCTCCTCTGCTCTGTGCTCTCAGATAGCATCTGATACTTTTCCTTCATAATCCTTATCACAAGTTGAAATTGCCTGAATATGTATTAGGTTGGCGCCAAAGTAATTGCGGTTTTGGCCATTACTTTCAATGGCAAAACCGCAATTACTTTTGCACCAACTTAATAGTATAAGTATTCCTCTAGTATACCAGAAACAGTGAGTTCAGGACCATGTTCACTTGGGTTAATAGTCTGCTTAATGTAACTAACATGGCTGGCAAAATCCGCCATTTAGTGCAAAAGCATTGAATGAATGAATGAATACACAAATGTTTGCAGTCTGACTTAACCCTGAGAAATGCTTTAAGCCAAGCTTGTCCAACCTGTGGCCCGTGGGCCACATGCGGCCCTTTGAATGCCCAACACAAATTTGTAAACTTTCTTAAAACATTATGCAACTTTTTTTTTTCTTTTTTTTTTTTTTTTAGCTCATCAGCTATCGTTAGTGTATTTTATGTCTGGCCCAAGACAATTCTTCTTCCAATGTGGCCCGGGGAAGCCAGAAGATTGGACACCCCTGCTTTTAGGTTGTACCGGTGTAAAGCAGCTCTTGCTACTAGAGGTTCAATCACAAATGGGCCAGGACAATCTGCCATGGGTCTGTGCCTCACATACGGGCTGTACAGGGCACCCAAGAACTGGGTGCGGCTTCAGGTCTCACCCATAAATCATTCCCATATGCCTGCTTGCCCAATATATAAAAGTATTAAGAAAAATCCCCCATAATCCTACTGTCCATTTAGCAATATGAACAGGCTAACATACCTCCTTGGAGACTGCTTTCAATCTACATTTAACATAACTGAGATCACATATACATAAATGCATTTTTTCATCCTGTTCTTATCATTCTATCAAAAGCATTTTAGCAGAAGCAGTTTGAACTGTTAAGCGTATGGCAAAAAATTTACACTTACAGGCTAAGAGTTCAATTTAACTCAACAAACACAAATTCAGCCACTCTTTTACCTGGGTATTGAGAACATGACCATTAGATTGTGAGTGCTTATCACTGCTCAAAAACAGTGAAAATTACAGTACACTGCAGGTAACTAAAAGTCTGAAAGATACCAAGTCTAAGCCAGTTTATGAAGCATGCTGTTGCTGGTGTTCCTAAATACATCAGGAAGTGACTTCTTTATTATGATCATTACTTGCTGGCAGTTATAATCATGTCACAGCTAATATATCTACTGTTTTATTTTTAAAACAGTACATATCACATGAGCTCAGGGCATTACCATATCAATTAATACTCTAAGAGTTGTGTGTGTGTGTGTGTGTGTGTGTGTGTGTGTTCAAAAGAAAACACTTAGCAGTCACTACAACTGGGTTAAAACACTTTTCCTTCTAGAATAATTTAAAACACAATCTGTGACTCAGAAGCAGAAAAGACAGAGATTTCCAAGGATGTTTTTCCAAAGTGCAAACATTTCCTAATAACTATGAGCTGCACATTCCAGACTATTAAGAGGCTATCCAGGAAAAGAAGCTTCTGCCAAGGAAAAACTACTCGACCCCCATTTTAAAAGACTTGGCACTCCACCACTTAATTCCCAAGCCCTGGTCTAGATATTGTTTTGAATGATAAACAAGCCATAGCCCCTGCCTATGTGGAACTTAAGACAAACACATACACAAATAAGCAAATACCATTAGTGCTAAGTGCAATGAAAAAAAATAAGACAGCAATGGGGGGAGGAGCTACTTTAACCAGATGGTCAAGGATGACTCTGAAGAGGTGGCATTTGAGCTGAGACCTGAATGTTTTGAAGAAACCAGTCAGCTCTGAGGGAAGAGCGCTCCAGACACAGGGAATAACAAGTACAAAGAACTTAGAAGAGGGTGGGAGTGGGGAGCATGTTCTAGGAAGCAGAAGAAGGCCAGAGTACATGAAGCCTAGTGTCAGTCTGTTTCCTGTTGCTATAACAGAGTATCTGAGACTGGGTAATTTATTTTTTAAAAAGAAATTTATCTCTTACACTTCTGAAGGCTGGGAATCCCAAGAGCATGGTGGCAGCATCTACATGGCTTCTGGTGGAAGGCATCACATGGCAAGTGGGCAAGTTTGCTGCCTCTTACAAAGCCACCAGTCTCATCATGGGGGCCCTACCCTGATGATCTTATCTAATCCTAATTACTTCCCAAAGCCCCACTGCCAATCAACATATGAATTTGGGGATTAAATTTCCAACACATGGCCAGGTGCAGTGGCTCATGCCTGTAATCCCAGCACTTTGGGAGGCCGAGGTGGGCGGATCACTTGAGGTCAGGAGACCAGCCTGGCCAACATGGTGAAACCCCACATCTACTAAAAATACAAAAAAAATTAGTGGGGTGTGGTGGCAGGTGCCTGTAATCCCAGCTACAAGGGAGGCTGAGGCAGGAGAATCGTTTGAACTCAGGAGGCGGAGGTTGCAGTGAGCCAAGATCGTGCCACTGCACTCCAGCCTGGGCAACAGAGTGAGACTCCGTCTTAGAAAGAAAAAAAAAGTGCCAACACATGAAATTTGCAGGACACATTTAAACCACAGCACTTAGTGAATGACTGGAGAGTAAGAGGAGGTAAAATTGACAGGTAGGCAGAGGCCAAATCACAAAAAGCCTTGAAGGCCCCGGAAGTGTTTGGATTTTACTAGAACTGCAATGGGAAGCCTCTGGAGTTTTTAAGAAGGATAGTGGTAAAATTTGTGTTTTTAAAAAGATTACCCTGGTTGGTGTGTAGAGAATGGACAGTGGAAGTATCAAGAGTTGAAAGTATAGGAGGCTATCCCAGTAATCCATGCAAGAGAGGACAGAGGCTTGGGGTACAGCAGCAGCAGCAGCAGCAGCAATGGTATTACCAGTTCCCGTATAACTACTAATACCACCTATACTGAGGACAACCAACATTTACTGACCACTCACTAAGTGCAAGGCACTGTTCTGAGCACTCTGCACATACTAATTCAGCTGAGTACTACATTTCAGATATTTACAATCCTAGGCGATATGTACTATTTTAACTTCATTTAACAGATGAGGAATCTGGGTCACAGATGTCAACTTGCTCAAGACCGAGCCAGAATTCAAACTGAGGGAGCCTGCTCTCCTAACCACTATGTTATTTGGAATACATTTTGAAGAAACAGTTGATAGGACTTCCTGATTGACTGGATGGGAGAAAACAAGACTAACCTTTAAGTTTTTGTCCCAAATATCTGAATGTTAGGCATCTATACCTAAGATGGAGAAGGACCAAGAAGGAATAGGTCTGGGAAAGAAATCCCAAGCTCTGCTTGCACATTAGACATTTCAACTAGAGTTGAACAAGAAAAACTGAATGTTTTAGTCTAGAGTTCAGGGATGAGGGTAGAGATGGAAAAAAAATTGCACGTCAGTTTACAGATGATATTTGAAGTCACAAAATGGCATGAGCTTTCTTAGGGAGAAGATGAAGATAGATACGAGAAAGTGGCAAAGGAAAGAGCCCTGAAACAACTCAACAGGCTAGTTCAGCAGGAGATCTAGTAATCGCACAGTCACTGAGGCTGGCTGACTTAAATCCTGCCGACCGACTGAGGTGAGATATGAGGAGAGACAAAAAAGAGCTAATTCTGTGCAAGATGGAGGTTGTTGTTAATCTTGGGAAGAGTCATTTCACCAATTGAGGTAAGAATGGGGTGGGTAGTGCATGCCAGTAATCCCAGCTACTTGCAGGGCTGAGGCATGAGAATCGCCTGAACCCGGGAGGCTCCAGTGAGCCAAGATCCAAGATTGCACCATTGCACTCCAGCCTGGGCTAGAGAGTAAGACTCTGTCTCAAAAAAAAAAAAAAAAAAAAAAAAAAAAAAAAAGGAATAGGGTGGGTTTGGGTTGAGGAGAAACAGAAGGTACAGAATTGGATTTTTACTCTCAAGATGAATGGAGAAATGCAATCATAATGGGAAGGTGTTGTTAGGAAAAGGGCTTTTTGTTTGGCTGCTTTTTAAATGTTATTAGGGGATGTCTGCATAACAATCATCCAAAAGAGGCATAAATTAATGATCTAGAAGACAGAGTGAACTCTAGGAGCAAAGTTCTGGAGTGAACCAGAAGAATTAGGACCTGGAACATAACAGGAGCAGGGACATCTCTTCCTTTGTAATGGGAGGTAAGACAATGCAAAGAATAGGGGTATAGATGCCGGCTGCAGGTAGATTTATTTCTTTGACTGTATCTAAATTTCTTCAATGAAATATAACCACAGATAATTTTGCGAGGGAGCCGGAATTCAAAAGCAAGCCTGTCTAGATAGATCAATAGAACAGAATATACAAAACCAGATTCAAATACATACTGTAGTGTAGTGTGTAATAAACGGTGGCACTTCAAATGGGGGTGGGGGAAGACGGAGAATAATTCAACAGGTAGTGTTTGGACAATTGTCAAGCCAACTGGAAAAAAATAAAAGTTGGATCTATTCTCCTCATACCAATATAAAGCCTAAGTAGATCAAAGATTTAAGTGACAAAATGAAATCACAAAGGCACAAGGAAAAAAATATGAAAGAACTGATCATCTTTTTTAATCTTTTTTTTTTTTTTGAGACAGTCTCGCTCTGTCACCCAGGCTACAGTGCAGTAGCGCACTCTCGGCTCACTGCAAACTCTGCCTCCTGGGTTCATGTGATTCTCCTGCCTCAGCCTTCCGAGCAGCTGGGATTACAGGCATGAACCACCATGCTCAGCTAGTTTATATATATATATATATATTTGTGTTTTTTTTGTTTTTGTTTTTTTTTGAGACAGAGTCTCACTCTTGTTGCCCAGGCTGGAGTGCAATGGTGCGATCTCAGCTCACTGCAACCTCCGCCTCACCAACCCCAGGTTCAAGCAATTCTCTTGCCTCAGCCTCCCGAGTAGCTGGGACTACAGGTGCATGCCACCACACCTGGCTAATTTTGTATTTTTAGTAAAGACGGGGTTTCTCCATGTTGGTCAGGCTGGTCTCAAACTCCCGACCTCAGGTGATCTGCCTGCCTTGGCCTCCCAAAGTGTTGGGACTACAGGAGTGAGCCACGGCGCCCAGCCTGTTTCATAACCTTAGAGTGGGGAAGGTCTAAAGTATTACATAAAACCCGTCATAAGTTTGAAAAATTGTACTACTGAAAAAAATTTCTGGCCAGGCGCGGTGGCTCACGCCTGTAATTCCAGCACTTTGGGAGGGTGATCATGAGGTCAGGAGTTTGAGACCAGTCTGGCCAACATAGTGAAGCCACATATCTACTAAAAATATAAAAATTAGCCAGGCATGGTGGCGCACGGCTGTAGTCCCAGCTACTCAGGAGGCTGAGGCAGGAAACTCACTTGAAACCGGGAGGCAGAGGTTGCAGTGAGCCAAGACTGCGCCATTGCACTCCAGCCTGGGCAACAGAGAGTCTGTCTCAAAAAAAAAAATTCTGCATGGCAAAATCTTCTAGAAGCAAAGTAAAAAGATAAAACTGTGGAAAACATTTGCAATTCATTTTACAGATAAGAGATGATTTCTCTATATAAAAAGCTATACTGCACTTCTCACTACTGCACTTGACTAGTCTTTAAAATAGTTACTATAAATAAAAAACTGCAGGAAATTGGGCAAAAAATATGAATAGTCACAGAAAAGGATATACAAATGACTCAGTATACTTGACCTCACTGATAAGATAAATACAAATAAAGCTATACTGGGATAACGTTTTATCCACCAAACTGATAACTGTATGTTTGCAAGGGCCAGCAAACCAGAGCCCCCTTGACTTGTTTTCGTATGGCCTGTAAGTTAAGAATGGTTTTTGTTTTTGAAGGGTTGTAATTAAAATCAAACCAAACCAAGAAGAATACGTAACAGAGAATGTGGCTTGCAAGCCTAAAATATTTTCTGTCGGCCCTTTACAGAAAATTTTTGTCTATCCGTGGTGTAGAGAAATAGGCATATTCAATGATTGCTGGTGGAACTGTAAATCTGATACATGGAATAATATGTAACCACAAAAAATGAGGAAGCTCTTTACGCACTGAAATAGAAGGAACTCCAACACAGAGCTAAAGTGGAAAAAAAAAAAAAGATACAGAACAACATATCCCATATGCTATGCATTGCCTAAAAACATTAAAACAAAAAAGGAACATTCAGGATTTGCCTGTTCATATATTTGGAAGGATTTTTTTTTAAAATGGTAACACAAGGTTGTCTGTGAAAATGGAAACTAAGTCACTACAGAGGTGAGAGAGTATACCATTTTGTACATTTGATTTTTGTATCATGTAAATGTATACTTTATTTAAAAAATATAATTAAAACTAGTCATAAAATAAATCAACAAAGCCCACTTATTTATTCTACTTGGCAAAACTGCAATTAACTATGTTCTTGGTACCTTATATAAACTAGAAATTGGAGGTATGAGCTTGAATTTTAATTAAAATACAACTTATCCACATGTACATGCCTTTGTATTTTTCCCCTTCAAAGGAACAGGGGTCCTTGAATTCCAAATTGTGTGACTTATTTGGCTCCTCAATTATTTTCTGTCTCTTACCGTTCAACTTTTTAAAGTGATATCCTAGAATAATACTATAGAACCTATTTGGGGTGATGGGTGGGCTTCAAGTTTTCAAGCTCACTTCAAGCTTTGCTTCATCCAGAAACTAGACAACTACACCATGCTCATACGAGCTACTTATTTCCTTTCTTCTTTCCTCCATTTTTCCTTCTCTCCAAAAATACACCAAGGGCCTACCTTACTACGTAAGGCACTGTGCTAGGTGCTGAGGCTATGGAATCCTGCCCTTGTATGTTTAGTTAACAGGTTCCACAATGTATTAGTTTCCCGTTTCTGCTGCAGCAAATTACCACAAAATTAGTGGCTTAAAACAACACACATTTATTCTGTTACAGTACTGGATGCCAGAAGCCCAAAATGAATCTTTTTTTTTTTTTTTAATTATACTTTAAGTTTTAGGGTACATGTGCACATTGTGCAGGTTAGTTACATATGTATACATGTGCCATGCTGGTGCGCTGCACCCACTAACGCGTCATCTAGCATTAGGTATATCTCCCAATGCTATCCCTCCCCCCTCCCCCGACCCCACCACAGTCCCCAGAGTGTGATATTCCCCTTCCTGTGTCCATGTGATCTCATTGGGAGAAAATTTTCGCAACCTACTCATCTGACAAAGGGCTAATATCCAGAATCTACAATGAACTCAAACAAATTTACAAGAAAAAAACAAACAACCCCATCAAAAAGTGGGCGAAGGACATGAACAGACACTTCTCAAAAGAAGACATTTATGCAGCCAAAAAACACATGAAAAAATGCTCATCACTGGCCATCAGAGAAATGCAAATCAAAACCACTATGAGATATCATCTCACACCAGTTAGAATGGCAATCATTAAAAAGTCAGGAAACAACAGGTGCTGGAGAGGATGTGGAGAAATAGGAACACTTTTACACTGTTGGTGGGACTGTAAACTAGTTCAACCATTGTGGAAGTCAGTGTGGCGATTCCTCAGGGATCTAGAACTAGAAATACCATTTGACCCAGCCATCCCATTACTGGGTATATACCCAAATGACTATAAATCATGCTGCTATAAAGACACATGCACACGTATGTTTATTGCGGCATTATTCACAATAGCAAAGACTTGGAACCAACCCAAATGTCCAACAATGATAGACTGGATTAAGAAAATGTGGCACATATACACCATGGAATACTATGCAGCCATAAAAAATGATGAGTTCATGTCCTTTGTAGGGACATGGATGAAATTGGAAACCATCATTCTCAGTAAACTATCGCAAGAACAAAAAACCAAACACCGCATATTCTCACTCATAGGTGGGAATTGAACAATGAGATCAAAATGAATCTTAAAGGGCTAAAAAGAAGATGCCAACAGGGTTGGTTCCTTGAGGGGGCTTCAGGGGAGAATGTGCTCCTTGCCTCTTTCGCTTCTAGAGCCTGGGGCATCCCTTGGCCCCTGGCCGCATCACAGAAGCACCACTCTGCTTCTGTGGCCATACTACCTTCTCCTCTACTTTAGCCAAACTCAAACCTCCCTCTACTTCCCTTTTATGACACTGGTGATTCATTTGGCCCAACCAGATGATCCAGAATAATCTCCTCACTTCAAAATCCTTAATTATGCTGGCAGAATTCCTTTTTGCCACACAGAGCAACATTCACAGATTCTAGGAGTTAGGACATGGATATTTTGTGGGGCCATTACTCAGCCTACTGCTTACCATACACAGGAAAGTGGGTCAAGGAGCTTCGGACCACAGATCTCCAATCCAGACTCTAAACTCTCTATCTTAAACTTTAAAAATTATTCTAAAAAACAATCAACCCGTTTTTTCAATACTTACTAAGGAATACTCTACCAAGTAAGGTGTCAAATACCCCATGCCTGCCAAAACAAAAACCCCAATGATCTTTGTATGTCCAGAATTCATTATTATCTTCTTTAGATTTTCGATAGAGAAGCTCATTACAGGATAAGCACAGCTAATCCAAAAATCCAAAATGTGAAATGCTCCCAAATCCAGCATTTTTTAGTGATGATATGACCCTCTAAGGAAATGCTCATAGGAGCATTTGGGATTTTTGGATTAGGGATGCTGAACCGGTAAGTATAATGCAAATATTCTAAAAGCTGAAGAAAATCCAAAATCCCAAACACTTCTGATCCCAGGCATTTCAGATAAAGGATACATAACCTGTTTTAGGCTTCAGTCTAATAAAAATATTGGCTGGTAAAAGTTGTGAGAGTCCTTTTTAATAAACTGATTCAAGGAAGCATTTCCCTTGCCTCTGATCTGAACGGTGCATTAAAGGCTTATGATCGGCTGGGTGCGGTGGCTCATGCCTGTAATCCCAGCACTTTGGGAGGCCGAGGCAGGCAGATCACCAGGTCAGGAGATCGAGACCATCCTGGCTAACACAGTGGAACCCCGTATCTACTAAAAATACAAAAAATTAGCCCAGCGTGGTGGTGGGCGCCTGTAGTCCCAGCTACTCGGGAGGCTGAGGCAGGAGAATGGCGTGAACCCAGGAGGCGGAGCTTCCAGTGAGCCTAGATCAGGCCAGTGCATTCCAACTTGGGTGACAGAGTGAGACTGCCTCAAAAAAAATAAAAAGACTTATGATCATTAAAGTTCTGCCCCTATCAAATCATTATAAATTTCAAGTAGGTAAAGGCCGTCTTAGTGAATGGAAAGTATTTCATATAAACAACTCACACATGATACTCCCTATCTGCATTAAGAATATTTGCTCAATTAAAAAAACACAGGTAATATAAAATGAACAATTTCAGAAGAGGTAGAATATACATGACCAAGAAAAGGAGATATACAGTTTTTTTTTTTTTTTTTTTTTTAATTTCCCAGACATGGTCTCACTCTGTTGCCCAGGCTAGAGTGTAGAATGTAATGGTACCATCACAGCTCACTGCAGACTTGACCTGCTGGGCTTAAGTGATCCTCCCACCTCAGCCACCTGAGTAACTAGGACTACAGGCACGCACCACCCTCAGCTAATTTTTAAAGTATTTTGTAGAGACAGGGTCTGTGTTGCCCAGGCTGGTCTTGAACGCCTGGGCTCGAGCGATCCTCCCGCCTAGGCCTCCATGTTAGGATTACGGGCTGAGCCACTGTGCCAGGCCCACAAGTATATTTTCCTAACTGACAGAAGAACAAGTATCATCAATACAGGTTGAGCATCTCTAACCTGAAGATCGGACATGCTCCAAAATCTGAAACTTTTTGAGCATTGACATGATGCCACAAGTAGAAAATTCTACACCTGACCTCATGTGACCTCATGTGGTCAAAACGCAAGTGCCCAATACAGTTTATTCAGCATCCCCAGGACCCTGCTAGCTCTCTTCAGCTGCAATGTATCTTTTCTGCACATGCCCAGATTCTCTCATGCAAGCATTCCCACAGAGCAGCAAAATGGTTCCACATATACAAACTTTGTTTCACACACATAATTATTAAAAACTGGCTCACGCCTGTAATCCCAGCACTTTGGGAGGCCAAGGCAGCCAGAGCACCTGAGGTAAGGAGTTTGAGAGCAGCCTGGCCAAAATGGTGAAACCCCGTCTCCACTGAAAATACAACAAAATTAGCGGGGTGTGGTAGCGTGTGCCTGTAATCCCAGCTATGCAGGAGGCTGAAGCAGGAGAATTGCTTGAACCCAGGAGGTGGAGGTTGCAGTGAGCTGAGATCATGCCACTGTACTCCAGCCTGGGCAACAGAGGAAGACTCTGACTCAAAAAAAAAAAAAAAAAAAAAAGCATAAAATTACCTTCAGGCTGCTATATGTATAAAGTGTATATAAAACATAAATGCATTTCATGTTTAGACTTGGGTCCCATCCCCCAAGATATCTCAATATGCATTTGCAAATATTCCAAAATCCAAAAAAATCTTGAAACACTTCTGGTCCCAAGCACTTAGGATAAAGGATACTCAATCTGTACTATTTAATGTCTCAGAGCACAGGGAAAGCTTCCAAATTCTTTTTAGCAAGCTAGGCTAACAGTGATGCAGAGTACTGACAAAAATAGAATAAAGACAAAATAGAATGATTGGACTATCACATGAATATGGGGCAAAGAATTCTAAGTGAAAAATGTTAACAGATAGAATCTAGCACATTAAAAGAATAAACCCAAGTGACCAGGTGTGATTCAAACCAGATACGAGAATGGCTTAGTAAGTCATAATTTCTGATATTAATAGATGAAAAAAATCATATGAGTATCTCTACAGGTTCTAGAATAATATTTGATAAAATTGTTCATAAAACAAGTAGAAATAGATTATTGTTCACTTAATCACATGGAAACTGTCTTAAAACCCAAATCAGGCCCAGTACAGCGGCTCTAATCTGTAATCCCAGTGCTTTAGAAGGCTAAGGTAGGAGGATGGTTTGAGCCCAGGAGTTTGAGGTTACAGTGAGATATGATTTTGCCACTGCATTACAGCCTGGGCTACAGAGTAAGACCACCCCCCCTCAACCTTTTATTTATTTATTTATTTATTTATTTATTTATTTATTTATTTATTTACAGTGCATGCCTGTAGTCCCAGGTAATTACTTCCAGGCTAATTTTCTTTGTTGAATTTTTAGTAGAGACGAGGTCTCACTATGTTGCCTGGGCTGGTCTTGAACTGCTGAGCTCAAGCAATCCACCTGCCTCGGCCTTCCAAAGTGCTGGGATTATAAGTTTGAGCCACTAGGTCTGGCCAACCCTCTTAAGGGAGACCCTGTCTCTTAAAAATCATTTTTAATGACAAAATAAAAGCACTTCCATTAACATCAGGAGTAAGATAAGGGTGGCTGCTAGCATCACTCTTACTTGGCACTGTTCTGGAAGTGGTACCATATTAGAAAAGGAAAGAAAGAGGCAAATGATCATTATTAACTGATAATATGATTTCATACCTAGAAAGACCAAAGGAATCAACTGCAAAATTACTACAAATAAGAGATTTCAAAGGGTAAATGGTTATATAAGGAATATAACATATACAATTAAATTTCTTCTCAAATGACAGAATATATAATGAAAGACCCAATTTACAACCTCACTCACAAAGAGTATATAACTAAGAATAAAATTACCACTATCTGTGTAAGATATACATGAAGACAGTTTAATAATAACACTTAAGTAACATAAAGCATGACTTGAATAAATGAAGACAACCTGTTCTTGAGACATAAAGAGTGTATTTTGGTAAAGGTACAAAACTCTGACAGTAAAAAAAGACTATTAATTATGAAAATTAAAAATATCTTCATGATTAAAAAAAACCTAGTAAGTCAAAACACAAAGCACCTGACTCAGAAGTCTTCTGATCTGTCTCCTAAAGTTTTCTTCACCATAAAATTTGTGAAGATAATTTCTCTCTTTTTTTTGAGACAGAGTCTCGCTCTGTCGCCCAGGCTGGAGAGCAGGGGCACGATCTCGGCTCACTGCAACCTCCGTCTCTCAAGCTCAAGCAATCCTCCCACCTCAGCCTCCTGAGTAGCTGGGATTACAGGCGTGCACCACCATGATCAGCTAATTTTTGTATTTTTAGTAGAGAAAGTGTTTTGCCATATGTTGAAAACTGACTCGAACTTTTTGAGGGAAGGTTGATTTACATACAATAAAATTCACCCTTTTAAGTGTATAGTTTAATGAGTTTTGATAAATGTATACAGTCATGTAACTACCATCACAATCAAGGTACAGAACATTTCCATTACCCCAAAAAGTTTCCTCTTGTCCCTTTGCAGATAATCTTCTCCATCACCCTGGCAGCCACTGATAGGATTTCAGGCCTTACTGTTCTGCCTTTTGGATCATAATGTATGTAGCTTTTTATGCCTGGCTTCTTTCTGTTAGACAAGGCTTTTGAGACACACAAATATTGTTGCATGTATCAGTGCATGCATCTTTTTTTTTTTTTTTACGACTGAATAGTATTCCATTGTCTGGATGTATCATGATTTATGTTATTTCCATTTTTTAAAATTTTATAAGTAAAGCTGTCATAAACTTTTGTGTACAGGTCTACACATGTTTTCATTTTTCTTGGGTAAACAACAGATGCAGAACTGGTAGGTTGTATGGTGTGTGATTAAATGTTTTTCAAAGTGGCTGTACCTTTTTGCATTTCCACTAACAATGTATGAGATTTCCAGTTGCTTTCACATCCTGGCACTGTCCCAGGCTTCTAATTTTAGGCAGTCTAGTGAATGTGTAGTGGTATTTCCTTTTAATTTGCATTTTCCTAATAACTAATCATGTTGAGCTCTTTTCATGTAGTTACTTGCCATCCATATGACTCTGGTGTTCAAATCTTTTGTCCATTAAAAAACTTTTGTTTTGTCTTTTAAGTGAGTTTTAAGAGTTCTTTATATATTCTGAATCAAATCCTTTCCAGAGATGTGTTTTGAAAATATTTTCTTCCAGTTTGTGGCTTATCTTTTCATTTTCTTGACATATTTTTTGATGAGTATTTTTCTTTATGCTTTTGGTGTCTCAAAAATGTTTGACATTTTAAGTGGCAAATTAACTACTATGTTTTGAATATTTACAAATAAAGCCTTATTATTTAGTTAATAATTTATTATAAAGAGATGGAAGGAAGTCAAAAAAATGACATTAGTTATAACTGACATCCTAAATAGTTAAACCCTCCATTTTAAATACGCCATCAAGCTCGGTAGGAACAACATTCAAAGAAAATCCCTGCGGCATTTTTCTACTTTTGAAACATAACAACTTAGTATTTTCACGTTACTCTAATTGTACTGAATAAGAAGAACACAAAATAATAACAAAGACTGAACTAAGAAAAGTAATATTCTGTTTTAAGGGTACAGTAGTTGATGGCTTAAAGATGGTTTAACGTTTTGCCTTGTCTGCAAAATAAAATTTATTTATAAGACTTGCCAGACATGTTGTCAGACATCAAAGCACAGAATCTTAACATAATGAAGGGTCGAGTTTTATCTCCCTGGGTTTCAGCTTGTTTGTAACACTAAGGTTAACATTAATAAAACAGCATATGTAAGATATCTAATATGCCTAAATAATTATTCAATAAAGCGTAACAAATATTCAGGCGTCTTTTTAGAAGACCCTAACTTTATATGCCACATATACTCAGTCCACAGTCAGTGCAAAATCATTACCAGTAGCACAAAGGTAAAGCCCTTACCACAGTTAAAACTTATAAAAAATTTCTAAAACACATGAGAAAGTGATGGCTGAGACTTGAAAGACAAAGCATTAGCAAATTAAGTGAACCTTGGGGTGACAGTAAGAAAGAAAGCTATAAAAAGTAAAAGGGCCAAAGACAGAACTTTATAAACCAAGTCTTTAGATTTTTATCCTTAGAGCAATGGAGAAGCACCAGGAGTTTTAAAAAAAGAGACTGGGACTCAGAAGGCAGGAAGAACAGGTGGAAGGCTACAGGTCAATGATGACTTGAGTTAGGACTAGGGAGGTGGGACAGATGGATCTAAAAGATATTAAGAAAAAAAAAGAGTCAAATGAACTAGATTAGTTGTGAGGGGTAAAGGAAAGCGAGAATTTAAGCCAAAACAACAAACTTCCTAGCTTAAGTGACTATGGTAAGGAAAGGAAAGGAAACAAGCAGCTTCTGTGGGACCAGTTGGGAGTAGGAGGGGAGAGAAGAGTTACTGTAAGGAAATGATGGAAATCAATATTGATCTATTAAAAGATCAAAATATTTAATAAGAAAAATCTGAGAGTAGCTTAAGAATAAGCAGTTTTCTTACCCCAGCCCCAGTGGTTTTGCTACTAGACTATGACCTGAATGTTTTCAGCAATATTGAGAAATAAGTAACAGGGTAGAACCTGAAAGGTGGAAAAGGAAATAAAAGACTCATAAACTGCTATTTATATTTTAATATTTGTTTTTAAACCCCTGTGTTTTCAAAATAAGATATAGTTTAGAAAAGCATTAATAATTAATTGCAAAGATATATGTGTGCTTCCATATTCCTATGCTAATTCTGGAAGGATACATCACCTTTTGAATTTTGATCCATGTGAATGTATTACATATTTGGAAATTAAATACATAGATGTTTTTATTTACTGAATTTAACAGCTTACAAAATTGAATAAAGAAATAATGTTCAGCTGAGCATGGTGGCTAACACCTATAATCCCAGCATTTTGGGAGGCTGAGGTGGGAGGATCACTTGAGACCAGGTGTTTGAGACCAGCCTGGGCAACACAGTGAGACTTTGTCTCTACAAAAAATAATAAAAATTACCTGGATGTGGTGGCACACGCCCGTAGTCCTAGCTACTCAGGAGGCTCAGGTGAGAAGATCACTTAAGCTCAGGAATTTGAGGCTGCAATGAGCTAAGATTGCACAACTGTACTTTGGCCTAGGCAATACAGCAAGACCCTGTCTCTACAAAAATAATAATAATGCAGGCTTAGATGTTTAATAGATCTAATCTTTAAAAGTATAATTTAAGTAATTTATATCTGCTTTAGGTTCTATGTATGAGCTACTACAAATTAAGCATATATATAGCCTGGTAGTTTGAGTTTCTGTTATTGATATATTTATGAACTTGATATTGTCCATGAGAGCTTTGTTAATTTTAAAAAATGCAGCCAGAAAAAATAACTGAATTAACCATGCCTGAATGATCCAGTTTAAAAATGAGTAGGGCACTTGCTTAACTGATTAAGACTTACATCAAACCATGTATTAGAATAGTGACAGAAAGTTTACTAGCAGGCTTTTTTTTTTTTTTTTTTAAAGAGACAGAGTCTCGGTCTATCACCCAGGCTGGAGTGCAGTGGTGCTATTATACCTCACTACAGCCCTAAACTCCTGGGCTCAAGCAATCCTCCTGCCTCAGCCTCCTGAGTAGTTGGGACTACAGGCACGCCTGGTTAATTTTTTTCTATTTTTTTTGTACAGACAGGGTCTCACTATGTTGCTCAGGCTGGTCTTGAACTCCTGGCCTCAAGTGAACTTCTCACCTTGGCTTCCCAAAGTGCTGATATTATAGGCATAAGCCACCGTGCCTGGCCCACAAATGAAATATTTTAAAAGAAAAATCTAAGCATAGCCTCTGGTTTACATGAAGACATCTGTTAAATCCCACTCTTTAACACATGTTTCATCTGTAAGTTGGCTCTCTTTGTATAGCTGCTTCTCTGATCTTTTGGTATGCTTCTGGATTTCCTTTTTCTTTTTCCTATGACTATATTCTGCACCAACATGTATTTATTGAGTCAGGTACTATGCTAGGCATTGGGAGAGGGTGGGGGATAGGTTCATAGGTGAGCAAGTCAAGATCCTTGACTTCAAAGATCTTAAAATCAAGTACAGAGATGGAGCAAGAGGGGGAGGGAAAGGATGTATTAAATTCTTATACATCATTTTGCCTTTTGCATTCCTTACTACTTACGTCCCACTTGTATTTTTATTTTATTTATTTATTTATTCAGACAGAATCTTGCTCTGTCGCTAGGCCGGAGTGCAGTGGTGCGATCTCGGTTCACTGCAACCTCTGCCTCCCAGGTTCAAGCGATTCTCCTGCCTCAGCCTCCTGAGTAGCTGGGACTACAGGCAACCGCCACCATGCCCAGCTAATTTTTGTATTTTTAGTAGAGATGGGGTTTCACCATGTCGGCCTGGATGGTCTCGATCTCTTGACCTCATGATCCGCCCGCCTTGGCCTCCTAAAGTGCTAGAATTACAGGCGTGAGCCACTGCGCCTGGCCTTACTTTATCTTTTCTTTTCTTTTTTTTTTTTTTTTGAGATGGAATTTCGCTCTTGTTGCTCAGGCTGGAGTGCAATGGTGCGATCTCGGCTCACCACAATCTCTACCTCCTGGGTTCAAGTGATCTCCTGCCTCAGCTTCCCGAGTAGCTGGGATTACAGGCATGCGCCACCATGCCCAGCTGATTTTTGTATTTTTAGTAGAGATGGGGTTTCTCCACGTTGGTCAAGCTGGTCTCAACTCCCGATCTCAGGTGATCCACCCACCTCAGCCTCCCAAAGTGCTGGGATTACAGGCATGAGTCACTGCGCCCAGCCTTATGTTGTTTTACTGACTTCATAGCTGTAATTTTTAATGGCTATGTAATATATCATCCTGTAGACACAAAGCAATTAACTTACCATAAACCATAATATAAGACATTAGAGCTGTTTTGAATTCTTCAAAATTATAATGGATGACCACCTATTTCTACATTTAAAGTACTTTCCATGAGATAGACTCTAAGAAATGGAAAATTAATAAATTGACTGTTTAAGGTTTATCATGCACATTGTCCAAATGCTTTCTTAAAGTGCTGTACTTTAGCACAGTAACTATGCTAGTATTGCTAGTATCCCTACTGGCATTGTGTATTCTTTTAAAAAACCTGCTACTTGTATACTGTGAAAAATATCTCATTGTTATTTCTAATTATATCTCTGATTTCTTAAAGAGGGTGGATACTTTTTCTATGTAGTATTTATTTTGTGAATTGCTAGTTCTTATCCTTTACTCATCTGGCAATAATATCTTGTATCACATTTTGTGTAATTTCATGTCACCATTGGCTAGACTTTCTTTTATCTTGCTCTCCCAGTCCACTATAGTAAGTTTCCTCCGTTGTTGGGTAGATCTGCTTCTCACAACAGATCAGGAAGACACTTTAAATTCACTGGGTATTTAAAGTTTCACTTTAGGTTCATGGGCAAGAAACAGGTTGACAGATTGGCTCCTTCTCCAAATATCAAAAGAATAGAGTTTACCCTGGGTTGTTAACATGTTCATTAGAACTCCTAGTCCTCCCAGGCTGTGAGTTCAAAAAGAAATGTTTTTCGAAATAGATTTCCAAAATTAGCATGGAACAGATGTTGCTGCAATCTTTGTATGGGCTGGTTGTGTGGGCAGGATATCAAGCTAGCTTTTCACTTATATTCCTTTAATTAATAGCAAGTCCTATCATCTCTTCTGCCCTCTGTTCCTATTGACTCATTGCTTAAAGTCTCTTCAGGACTCAGTGGGGAAGAAGAGATTCCCCCTACAGGCCTCCCTCACGGGAATGCTGGGTAGCCCTTCCTTCGCCCTGCTTCATCAATCAGCACCATCTGTCTTCTGTCTTCTACAACCTAGAAAGTCTCTGCTTTGCTGATGGTCACTCCATCTGTTCTCATTCTCAGTGCTATTACAGAATTACAAATTTCTGTCTGTAAATTCTTTTTCCTGTCTTTTCACAGGGAGTTGGGGATAAGAGGAGGTAGACACATATATTTAGTCTACTGGCTTTCATTACCATGAACTTGAGTTAAAATCCTGAGTTGACTTGATTTGGAACCCCAAAATATTTCAAATTTAGAAAGTATAAAAAAAATTCCAAGACATTCAATTAAAATTAGCCTGAGTTTTAAAGAATACTATTTTTCAATACCAACTTCAAGAGTAAATCAGTTTTCTGATATGGATGACCAAAGAATCATAAATAAACACAAAAGTTTAAGATGGGGCAAGACCTGGCATCAAAAAGAGTGGGAGTGAGGCAGAAATAGGAGAGAAGAGAAAGGAAAGCTAATGGTCTGAACTGCTACAGAGAAGGATTGAAGTGATTTTTTTCCCCAAAAATGTTTTTTTTCTTCAGCATTGGGACAAGCTGGCTAAAACTCAAAATTTATAAGAAGATGTATTGATCAAAGCCTTGAAAATTAAGCATTGACATTATTTTTACAAACCAGGAATGTAAAGCTAAAGACTGACTCTATAGCAACAAAGATTCCCTTTGTGCCAATTAACCTTTACTACAGCTCTTTTACAGACCACCTGCTGAATTCTTACTTTGTGGAACTGCGGGTGAATAGCCAATTCTTTTTAAGGAGTAACAGCGAGCAGCTAAGAAGAAAGAAAGAAAATATAAAGTAGTAATCTCTTAAATTCTGACTTGTATATGTGGCACCCCACATCCATCCAGTCAGGTTAACCTCTTAGTATGTACTGTTAAGATCCTTCCTGTATAAGTAAGGCATTGCGAATGTCACTTTTTAAATTTAAAGAATCCCTTTGGCACTGAATATAAAATATATTACCTGAAACTATGTTTAATGACAACTATTATCAGTTACATTCTCCATCACAAATCTGTTTAGCACAGACTCACTTCCACAGGTGATCTTGAATGCTGTTGAATACGCCTAATCCTACCATTTGAGTTCATCACCTTCCAACACACACAGGCACAGGTGGAACTTGAGCTCCTCCTATCCTCAGTGTTTTTTCATGACTATAAAAGTAACATATATTCATTATATATAACTTAGAGAGTAAAGTCAGAAAATGTCACCTTTGTGGCCCTGACACCCAGTATACATTTTTTTTGAATTTTTACTCTCTTCTAGGACTATCTTAAACAAAGTAGTCAACCAGTCACAAAGTTCAGCAAGCTAAGAGAAAAATTCCAAGGAAAGCAGGAAAAAGAAAGAAAAAAAAGGGAGATTAAAAAATCCAAATAACTGGATAGGACAAAAACCTTGGGGAAAAATAAATATCTTCCTATTTATTGAGTGCTTATTCTGTGTCAGACACTTTTTCAACTGCGTACTTAATTATCTCATGAAACCCTCAAAACAACTTTAGACCTATCATTCACATTTTATAGGTGAGAAAATTGAGCCATATCAAGCTTTAAAAATGTGCCCTAGGACACACTATTGATGTGAAGCCAGGATTAAAAAAAAAAAATTCACATCCTAAGTGTTTGCCAACTAAACTTTATCACCACTATGGAAGAAACTAGTAAGAATGACCTTACACAAAGGTTAGAGGCAATTTCTCTTAAACATAAAAAGATAATTCTCACGGGTGGCACAGAAAAGCTACCCAAATCATTTTATAAGGTCAGTGGTATAAAATAGCGATAATCACACCAAAAAAAAAAAAAACTACATTGCAGTCTCATTTATGAACAGAGAAATTCCATAAAATACCAACACCTGAAATTTACCTCTCAGCACACAAATAATCCATTACTGTATAGTGTGTTATACAGTCGACTCTTGGATAACACAGGGATTGGGGTACTGAACCAACTCCCCCAACCCCACTGTGTGCAGTCGAAAATCCAACTTTTGACTCCCCCAAAACTTAACTACAAATGCTTATTTGACTGGAAGCCTTACCAATAACATAATAGTTGATTAACACATATGTTATATGTATTATATACTGTATTCTGACAATAAAGTAAGCTAGAGAAAAGATAATGTTAAGAAAATTTTAAGGAAGGAAAAATACACTTACTAGTCATTAAGTGAAAGTGGATCATCATAAAGGTCTTCATTCTCATCATTTTCATGTTGAGTAGGCTGAAGAGGAGGAGGAAGAGGAAGGATTGGTCCTGCTGTCTCAGGGGTAGCAGAGGAAAAAGAGGTGGAGGAGGTGGAAAGGAGGCAGAAAAAGCAGGCACACTCATTGTAGCTAAAGAAATGCATTGTAATTAGACTTTTTTGCTTTTTCATTTTTCTAAAAATGTTTCTATGTGGTACCAATCCTTCTTCCACCATTTGCTTTAGTTTTAGTGCTTGTATCACGGAAGAGTCTATGTTGTAAACGAAGTCAAAAGCAGTCTTGAATAATAAGAACCCTTCTGCTAGATTATCTAACATCACTTTGTTTTATGGGTTTGCTTCTTCTAGGACTCCTTTCTCATCACCTGGCACCAGTTCAGAAGCATTGATCTCTATCAAGCAGACTTTTGTTCCCCCTCCCACTATTTTTTTTTTTTGGCACGTCCACCAACTCTTTCAAGATTTCCTTGACTGGCTATGTCATAAATCTTGTGAAGTCATACACAACATTCGGACACAGTTTTCTCCAGCAGGAATTTATTGTTTGGGGCTTAATGGCTTTCACAGCTTTTTCTATAACAATGATGGTATCTTCAATGGTGTGAGCCTTCTAGGCTTTCATGATGTTCCTCTATTGGGGTCCTCCATAGTACTGACATCCTTTCCACAGAGTGCTGTGTGTAATGAGCCTTCCAGGTCCTTACAACCCCCAATCTAGAAGCTGAATTCAGAGACGTAGTGTTTGGTGGCAAGTAGACTACTTCAGTGCCTTCAGTTTCGACCTCATAGGGTTTGGGGTGGCCAGGGGCATTATCCAATATCAAAAGAACTTTAAAAACCAATCCTTTACTGGCAAGGTACTTTCTGACTTCAGGGACAAAGCATTGATGAAAGCAATCCAGAAAAAGGGTTCTTGTTGTCCATGCCTTCTTGTTGTACAACAACCTAAAGACTGGCAGCTGGTGTTTATCTCTTCCTTTCAAGACTTGGGGATTAGCAGCTTTACAGATAAGGGCAGCCCTGATCATAAACCCGACTGCACTTGCACAAAATAGTAGTTAGCCTATTCCTTCCTGCCTTAAATCCTGGTGCTTGCTTTTCTTCCCTACCAACAGAAGTTCCTTGTGGCTTTTAAAATTTTTTCCAGAAGGGCAATTTTGTCTGCATTAAAAATCTGTTCAAGCAGATATCCTTTCTCCTCAATGTTTTTCTTAATGGCTTCTGGGAATTCACCTGCTGCCTCTTGGTTGGCAGAAGCTGCTTCTCATGTTATCTTGACATTTAAAAAGCCAAACCTCTTTCTAAAATTATCAAACCATCCCTTGCTGGCATTAAATTCTCCAGCTTTAGATCCTTCACCTTCCTTTTGCTTTAAGTTGTCATATAATGACACTGCTTTTTCTGGAATCACATTGGAGTCTACAGCTATGGCTTTTTTTCGTTAGACCCAGGGACAGATTGGAAAGGTATGCCTTTCTTACAGCAACCCTGCACCCTCATAAAAGCTGAATTTTCAATTTGATAAAAATGTATTTTGCAACAAATGCAAAGCTTTTGTGCCTGCTGCTGTAGCTGCAGTGAAGGCTTCATATATTTTTTCTTTTTTTTTTTTTTACAATGTCCCTTACTCTGGATTCATTCATCTTGAAATGATGGGCAATCACAGCTGAAGACCTCAATCTATGGTACATATCAGGCAATTAAACTTGTTTCTTGTAATGTTGACTTTTCTCTGCTTCTTGGGAGCACTTCCAGCATCACTAGTAACATTTCTTATGGGTCCCACAGTGTTATTTAAAGTTTACAGTGTTGTACAAACACTACATTTACTGGAGAGATGAACTGCTCACACAGAGATAATTAGTGTCACATGGCATTTGAAGTAGGTATTTGCAACATTTGAGCTCAACAATAGCAACAGGAGGTAGTTATAAAATTATTACAGTAGTATCATATGCACTACACTTAATTTTATGCAGTTATAATTTAATACTGAATCTTTACATTGGTTTACATTTCTCTTGACTGCAAATGGCACCACATATAGTTGTGTTTGTATGTGATATGATTTGGTTGTGTCCCCACCCAATCTCATCTTGAATTGTAGCTCCCATGATTCCTACATGTTGTGGGAGGGACTCAGTGGGAGACAACTGAATCATGGGGGCAGTTTCCCCCACACTATTCTTATGGTAGTGAATAAGTCTCACTTAGCTTGGCTCTCTCACTCTCTCATCTGCCACCATGTAAGATGTGCCTTTCACCTTCTGCCATGATTGTGAGGCCTTTCCAGCCACAGGAAACTGTGAGTCTGTTAGACCTCTTTTTCTTTATAAATTACCCAGTCTTGGATGTGTCTTTATCAGCAGCATGAAAACAGACCAATACAGGAAACTGGTACTGGTAGAGTGGGGTGCTGTCGTAAAGATACCCAAAAATGTGGAAGCGACTTTGGAACTGGGTAATGGGCAGAGATTGGAACAGTCTGGAGGGCTCCAAAGAAGACAGGAAAATGTGGGAAAGTCTGGAACTTCCTACAGACTTGTTGAATGGCTTGGACTCAAATGCTGATAATGATATATAGACAATGAAATCCAGGCTGAGGTGGTCTCAGATGGGAGATGAGGAACTTGTTGGGAATTGGAGTAAAGGTGACTCTTGCTATGTTTTAGCAAAGAGACTGAGAATTTTGCCCCTGAACTAGAGATCTGTGGAACTCTAAACTTGAGGGCGATGATTTAGGGCATCTGGTGGAAGAAATTTCTAAGCAGCAAAGCACTGAAAAGGTGACTTTGGTGCTGTTAAAAGCATTCAGTTTTAAAAGGGAAACAGCATAGAACTTTGACAAATTTGCAGCCTGACAATGCAATAGGAAAAAAAAGCCAATTTTCTGAGGAGTAATTCAAGCCGTCTGCAGAAATCTGCGGAGCCAAATGTTAATCACCAAGACAACGGGGGAAAATGTCTCCGGAGCCCAATGTTAATCACCAAGACAATGGGGAAAATGTCTCCAGGGTATGTCAGAGACCTTTGTGGCAGCCTCTCCCATCACAGGCCTGAGGCATAGGAGGAAAAAATGGTTTCAAAAGCTGGGCTAAGGGCCCCCCAACCCATGCTGTGTGTAGCCTAGGGACTTGGTGCCCTACCTCCCAGCCACTCCAGCTATGACTAAAAGGGGCCAGGGTACAGGTCGGGTTGTGGTTTCAGAAGGTGCAAGCCCCAAGCCTTGGCAGCTGCTTCCACGTGTTGTTGAGCCTGTGAGTGCACAGAAGTCAAGAACTGAGGTTTGGGAACCTCTGCCTAAATTTCAGAGGATGTATAGAAACGCCTGGATGTCCAGGCAGGGGCAGGGCCCTCATGGAGAACTTCTGCTAAGGCAGTGCAGAAGGGAAATGTGGGGTTGAAGCCCCCCAACAAAGTCCCCACTGGGACACTGTCTAGTGGAGCTGTGAGAAGAGGGCCACTGTCCTCCAGACCCTAGAATGGTAAATCCACTGACAGCTTGCACCATGAGTCTGGAAAAGCCACAGACACTCAACATCAGTTCATGAAAGCAGCCAGAAGGGAGGCTGTACCTGGCAAAGCCACAGAAGCAGAGCTGCCCAAGACCATGGGAACCCACCTTTTGCATCAGAGTGACCTGGATGTGAGACATGGAGTCAAAGGAGATCATTTTGGATTTGACCACCCTGCTGGATTTTGGACTTGCATAGGGCCTTTGGCCCCTTTGTTTTGGCCAATTTCTCCCATTTGGAATGGGTGCATTTACCCAATGCCTGCACCCTCATTGTATCCAGGAAGTAACTAACTTGCTTTTGATTTTACAGACTCACAGGCTGAAGGGACTTGCCTTGTCTAGATGTGACTGAACTGTGGACTTTTGAGTTAATGCTGAAATGAGTTAAGACTTTGAGGGACTGTTGGGAAGGCATGATTGGTTTTGAAATGTGAGGACATGAGATTTGGGAGGGGCCAGGGGCAGAATGACATGGTTTGGTTGTGTACCCACCCAAATCTCAACTTGAATTGTAGCTCCCATGATTCCCAGGTATTGTGGTAGGGACCCGCTGGGAGATAACTGAATCATGGGGGCAGTTTCCCCCATACTATTCTTTTGGTAGTGAATAAGTCTCATGAGATCTGATTGTTTTATAAGGAGTTTCCCTTTTAGCTCGGCTCTCTCATTCTCTTGTCTGCCACCATGTAAGACATGCCTTTCACCTTCTGCCATGATTGTGAGGTCTCTCCAGCCACAGGAAAAGTTTGAGTCCATTAAACCTCTTTTTCTTTATAAATTACTCACTCTTGGGTATGTCTTTCATGTCAGCAGCATGAAAACAGACTAATATAGTATGCATGTATTTTGATAAATTTTAACTTTTTATAAGATTTGTGTACCTGATAGTAAATAATAAACTAGTATCTGCATATATTTAATGCATTCATGATATACCTATCTTGTTTTCAATATTTCTAGGTTATACAGCTCACCTGCAAGTTTTTTCAAATTGTTGTAAATCTGTAAAAAAATTTCCAATATATTTATTGAAAAAATCTGCGTAAGTAAACTATTGTGGTTCAAACCTGTGTTGTTCAAGGGTCAACTGTATTCCAAAAATGCAATATTAGATTAATAGTAAGCATAAAAATACAATCACATGAATGGGCCCAATAAGAAAATCAATATAATCAATGCAAGTGAAAAGAAAAAGTTATGCAGAGAAGGCAAATTCATTAAAAAAAGAGAGACAGAAAAGAAATAAGCATTGGATAAAATTCAATATTCCTTCTTGATAAGAATTCTTCTGAGTTAAGCACTAGAGACTGCCTCTTATAAGTGTTATGTATTTCTAAAGAAATGGATCACAAGTGGGAGTCATTTTACAATTTTTTTTTTTTTTTGAGATGGAGTCTCTGTTGCCCCAGCTGGAGTTCAGTGGTGTGATCTTGGCTCACTGCAACCTCTGCCTCCTGGGTTCAAGCAATTCTCTTGCCTCAGCCTCCCAACTAGCTGGGACTACAGGTGCACACCACCACACCCGGCTAATTTTTGTACTTTTTAAGTAGAGGTGGGGTTTCACCATATTGGCCAGGCTGGTCTTGAACTCCTGACCTTGTGATCTGCCTGCCTGGGCCTCCCAAAGTGCTGGGATTACAGTCGTGAGCCACTGTGCCTGGCCTTAAATTGTTTTTAATTAAAAAAAAAATTTTTTTAAAGAGGGGGCCATGGGCAGACAGATTCAGACTCCCAGCCACAGGCATCCAAGGGCCAAGAGCTGCACATAGCTCCCTTGGAGAGCATGTTCCTTTTATTACTATTTTTTGAGAGTCATTTTTATACAGGAGCCACACTAAACTTATCTGTATTTTTAAAAAATATACATGCCACTAAAGCAAGTGCAACTCATTTTTAAGGAATGCAAATTAGAGAGAACACGCTAGTGAGAGATAGAAGGAAGCTCAGAACTCTTTTCTGGGCTTTAGTACTCCTTTCTGCAGTGGCCAATGAATTAACAGACAACTTTTGCTCATATTTTTGGGCTTATTTAGTGCCTATTTACCCAGAGATTCCAAAAACAGTGATTAATAATAACACACAAATTACCAGCAGTGAAGGGAGACAGATGCTGTTCAAAGAAACTCCATTTTCTCTTGGCTACGATAAAATTACGAATCATGTAGGGTAAGCTGCATTGTGAGTCATAATTAAGTTAATAACGAACTACAGCCTGCTCACTACTGTTAACTCCTTTTCATGAAAGATAAAAGTGTATCTGAAAAGTAAAAAATCTTAAGTTGAAGTTATACAAAACATAACGTGAAGTTACAAACTAGGGGAAAAAAAAAAGACTTGACAATTCCCTGAAAATCATAAAACATCTTGTAGCACTTATATTTTTCTTCCTAAGAGTACTGAAAAATCTAAATTTAAGATTTGATCATATTTATTTTTTATTTTTGAGACAGAGTCTCTCTCACTTGCCCAGGCTGAGGGGTAGTGGTGCAATGCAATCTCAGCTCACTGCAGCCTTGACCTCCTGGGGTCAAGCAATCCTCCTGCCTCAGACCATTTCATCCCCACCACAGCAGCACCACCATACCTGACTAATTTTTTCGCTGTGTTTTTTTCTAGAGGGGTTCTGCCATTTTGCCCCAGGCTGGTCTGGAACTCCTGGGCTCAAGTGATCTGCCTGCCTCGGCCTCCCAAAGCGCAGGAATTACAGGTATGAGACATCACACCCGGTCCATATCTTAAAATTTTAAATAATAGCAATTTATGAAGTCATAGACTTAAAAGTTTCAGTTCATATCAGACAACTGATTACACCAAAAACATATGCATCTGTATGCAGTCTGCTTGAGGCAGGCTCGGTGGCGCACGCCTGTAGTTCCAGCTACTCAGGAGGCTAGGGTGGGAGGATTGCTTGATCCCAGGATTTTGAGGCCAGCCTGGGCAACGTGGTAAGACTCCATCCCTAAAAAAAATTAAAATAAAAAAACTAAAAATAGCCTAGAGGGAAGATTCGCTTACAGGTGTTTTTAACCAGGAGTATGACTCAGAATCAGGTTTTTAAAAAATGCATTTACTCTGGAACCATCCATGAAGATCCTAATTCACTGGTCAAGGATGCAGACAGTGTGTGTGTATATATATATTTTGTAAAAAACTGCCTAGGTAACTGTAGTTCATATCTCTGGTTAAAAATCATCACTGTGTATATTTATAAAGTGAAACCATATAAAACTGCAAACATTATATATATATATACATACAAAAACAGCAGTTTCATATGGTTTATCTAATAGAAAGTGGCTAGGGGATAAAAATATCCAACAGACTGAACATACTACTTTGCACCAGTGCTCTTCACTAAGTTCTTTATACTAGTTGTTCGAAGTATTGATAACACTAGGCAAGAAATGGGCAAAAATATACCCAGACTTTGTAGGGGGAGGTGAGAGGGTTGGAGAGGCAGCTGAAGGAGAAAAAGGAGCAAAGTCATGGATGCCACAGTGCAAACCACTGTTATGTCTAGGATGAAGACCACTGGGGTTAATGATGGAGTGAGATGGTAATAGAAGACACCAGAGAACATTAATTTAAGACAAGCCCTGCATTTAGCAACTGTCTGTGTGCTCAAGAAAGGGACAACGCTCCTCAGTCATTTCCAACATGTCTTAACATCAAGAATACGGACTAGAATGCATGTGCTATTAATACTCTTAACTCAAAGAAAGAGAAGTAGGAGGAAGAGTACCCTCTCTTTAAGGGGCTTAGTGGGTACAGTCATGGCTCATCAGGAATGAACTAGTATCACACAGGCTGGGCATCAGGCCCATGCACAAGTAAACCTCCAGTCTTTTAAAACTATCATTAAAAGACAATCATATTTAAAATTGAAATACTAAACACATGCACCTACATTCAAACTAGTGGTTGGAAGCAGAATTGTAGCATTTCATTAACATTTTTTTTCTTTTTTTGTGGAGACAGGCTCTTGCTGTGTTGCCCAGGCTGATCTTTAACTCCGGGGCTCAAGCAATCCTCCTGCCCCAGCCTTTCAAAGTGCTGGGATTACAGGTGTCAGCCACCATGTCTGGCTGCATTTCATTATCACTTAAGGCTTACAGGCCTCAATTAATATAGAGGACAGGTTAATGACCAAAAAGATAATGTTTAGAAGGTCCAGACCCCACAGAAAGTAGGGCTTTCCTGGGACCGTCTCCAATACAATATCCTTCAGTATACTAGTCTATTTCTTTCCATTTTACAATTTTTAACAAGTTGCTTTTATGTTTACCTAGAAGTTTCATTGAACAATTTTTAAAAGTAAACATAATGAAATTGAAGAATCACAGAAGGAAGCCTTAAAATAATCCAAACCCTTCATTTTTTATATGAGGAAATAAGGGTTCGATAAGAGTTACATCACTGGCATGAAGTTCCAGAGAGTTGTGGTGGAGTTAAAATGAACTGGGCTGGGCGTGGTGGCTCATACCTGTAATCCCAGCACCTTGGGAGGCCGAGGTGGGCAGATCACCTGAGGTCAGCAGTTCAAGACCAGCCTGGCCAACGTGGTGAAACCCCGTCACTACAAAAATACAAAAACTACCTGAGCATGATGGCAGGTGCCTGTAATCCCAGCTACCCGGGAGACTGAACGGGAGAATCGCTTAAACCCGGGAGGTGGAGGTTGTAGTGAGCCGAGATCACACCACTGCACTCCAGCCTGGGTGACCGAGCAAGACTCCGTCTCAAAAACAAAACAAAACAAAAAAACACAAAAACAAACAAACAAACAAAACTGGAACAGAGCCAGGATGGTATGATCCAAGAGATTCTATATATCCATGCCAGGGTAGTCAGATGTGACATCACTGGAAACTCCCCAATGACTTCTGAAGTGAACATCCCTTACCCTCATCCCTTCACTTTATCCCAAAATCCAGGGTCCAGATCAAGAGATGGGCTGAGCATGTTTGTTTTACTTAGTAACTGGTACCCACTTCCACATTCACCAATCTGTCATGCTGGAGGACTGAGTTTAAATAAATGAGCCAGAGTTCAACTAACTTCCTTCAGGATTAGCCACAATATAACCTAACAGTTTCATGTTATGCCAGGTGTTCAAAAACACGGTCTTGTTGCACAGTAACAGGTGCTGTATGAAGACAAAGAAACTTGTTACAATAGACTCTTAACAACAAGGCATTCTGGTTGCCAGATAATTGGCTGCAGCTCATAAATTACCTTTTTTTCCTTTCCTGGGTTCTTGTTCCTATCAAAAATCAGTAGTAGCCTCATAGAGTCATAACTAATCCCAAATTAGTGAGTCTTAACTCTAAAGGATTGAAAGAAAGACAAATAAAATGCTAATGCTCTTACATGCTATAGGATTTTAAATTGAGAAATAGCAAACATGAATAGATGGGACCTGTATTTGCTTAATTCCAGTAGACTAAATACTCTGGCCTAAATAGAGTTGTCAATCTCATAAACCCAAGAAATACTCAGAAACAAGAACATTCAAGTAACTCTGAATTTTGAATTGCTAGTTACAGTTCACTTGACAGGATGCAACTATAATGTACAAGGCTTGGGAATAAATTTAAGATATCTGAATAGGGGTTTTGACTCTGCCACTACAAAAAAACTATATACTCACTAAAACACCAAAGGGACTGATGCAAATCCCCTTAGATAAATACTGCCTGCCTTTTTATGTAAGTTCAGCTGATCACAATAAAAAGTGAAATTAGTTTAACTCAGCTTACTTAAAATTCTTCAGAGACTCCACATTGCTCATAGGTGAAAATCTAAATTCCTTAATTCTGCCCCTGCGCATTTCTTTTTTTACTCCTCTCCCCTTAATCCTTATATGCCTTGATCCTGATGTATTCTGTAATTTCTATTAATAATATAATTGTGGAAAATTTGGGGAAGTTTGGGTTAAATTATAATAAGCAAAGTGAAACAATGATACCAAGTAAGGTTAACAGACTCTGTAGGGACTGGCATGACATAACTCAAAGAAACAGAAGATATACTTGAAGTGAGTTTACAACAATCAATTATTTTCCAAATGCTATATTCAGATCTACATACCTTTTTAAGAAGAACAATAAACTGGAGTTACAGTATGAAAAAAAATTAAGAAATGGGAAAAGAAAAACCTTGGTTATCAAAAGCTTATCTAGCCACTATGTTATTCTATATAAATTTTAGAATTATATTTGGAGCAGCTTTATTGAGGTACAACATACGACAAACTGCACATATTTAAGCCTGTTCAACTGTAATCCCTCCCTTTCCTTTCCCTCCATCTCCCCTCCATACACTGATCTGCTTTCTGTAAATATAGATTAGTTAGTACTTTCTTCAGTTTCACATAAAAGGAATTATGCAACATGTACTCTTTTATCTGGCTTCTTTCAGTAAGCATAATTTTGACATTTATCCCTGTTGCTTGTATCTATAGCTCATTCCCTTTTATTGCTGAGTAGTATTCCATGGTATGGATATCTTACAATTTGTTTATTCATTCACCTGTTGATGGACATTTGAGTGGTTTGTAGTTTTCAGCATCTGCTGACAAAGGTGCAAAAGGCAATTCAGTAAAGAAAGAATCACTTTTTAAACAATGATGCTAGAACAATTAGATGCAAAAATACAATTGCAAAAAAAGAATTTAGAGGCTGGGCGTGGTGGCTCATGACTATAATCCCAGCATTTTGGGAGGCCAAAGCAGGAGGATTGCTTGAGCTCAGGAGTTCAAGACCAGCCTGGGCAACATAGTGAGATACAGTCTCTACAAAAACTAAATTAGCTGGGTATAGTGTGGCACACGCCTATAGCCCCAGCTGCTTGGGAGGTTGAGGTGGGAGAACTGCTTGGGCCTGGGAAAGCGAGTCTGCAGTGAGCCATGATCACACCACTGCACTCCAGCCTTGGTGACAGAGCAAGATCCTCTCTCAAACAAACAAACAAACAAACAAACAAAAATTTAGATTCACATATACACCATATACAAAAAAATTAACTCAAAATGGATTGTTTCTAAATGTAAAACCTAAAGCCACAAAAGTTCTAGAAGAAAGCATAGAGTTAGGCATGTGACCTTGGGTTAGGCATTCGATGATTTCCTAGATACAATGTCAAATGCAAAATCTATGAAATTGATAAGTTGGACTGCATCAAAATAAAAAACTTCCAGTCTTTGAAGGTTAAGAAAATGAAAGGATAAGTCACAGACTGGGAGATAATTTTTACAATTTAAAACTAAAATTACTGAGGAGAAGACAAAAAGAGGCAGATTTGGCTCACTAGCAAGATCTTTCCAATTACTTATTACTGTAAAAACTGGAATAAACTGTCTGTAAGCCCCATCAAAGAATTCAAACAGATAAAGAAAGAGGATTGGAGACTGAGCTGATTAAATTCAAATACCTTCTTATTCTATAAATACATATTTTAGCCATTTCTAAGACGACCAATTTAATGCATATTTGATAACATATTATTCAATGGTGAAAGAAGCAATTATGTTCTTGATTCATACAATTCAATAAAAATGTTTTCAATTAAAACATTTTTACTGATAGGGTGATGTGACTGTGTACATAAAGGTAAAGAAAGTTGTTCAAATAGAACCCCCTGTGCAGTGTCCTCTGCCTTCCAATTGCTCTCCAGCCTTCAATGGGCTTGTTTCATTGTTCCCTAGTATTCTGGATATAACTTCTATCAGTGCTACTCATCAAATTAATTATTGGGAGCTGAGAGCTATCTTTCTCAGTTCTGTAATCTCAGCATCTAGCACAGTACATGAAAATAACTAGTACATATTCAGATGGAAAAAAACCCTAAACTCTAGAAAATGATTTTGGAGAACAGTTCATCAGTATTGGCAAAATTCTGAGACATCCACCCAGGAGGAATAGGTACTCTGCTTAATGCTGTTTTATCACCTGGAAGTACAATGTACTACAAACAAATTAAATGCTGGTCTCAGAAGCTATAAGCTACTACAAGACTAATGTTCAAAAAGGTCCTAAAAAATAAAATGGAATTGTGAGGGAGAATTCTGCTGAGCTGAGGTGACACTTCATATAATTATTCTAAATAAATAAATTCTAAATAAATTATTCTAAATAAATTATTACAACTAGGTAGGAGGATTATAGGAGCTCAGGAGTTTGAGACCAGCCTGGGCAACATAGCAAGGTCTCATCTCTACTAAAAATGTTTTAAAAATTGGCCAGGCATGGTGGAACACATCTGTGGTCTCAGTTCTCAGAAGGCTGAGGTAGGAGAATGGCTTAAGCCAGGTAGTCAAAGCTGCAGTGAGACATGACTGTGCCACTGTACTTCAGCCTGGGTGACAGAGCAAGACCCTATCTCAAAAAACAATAATAATAGGCCGGGCGTGGTGGCTCATGCCTGTAATCTCAGCACTTTGGGAGGCTGATGCAGGCGGATGATAAGGTCAGGAGTTTGAGACCAGCCTGACCAACATGGTGAAACCCCATCTCTACTAAAAATACAAAAATTAGCCAGGCATGGTGGCGCATGCCTGTAATCCCAGCTACTCAGGAGGCTGAGGCAGGAGAATCGCTTTAACCTGGGAGGTGGAGGTTGCAGTGAGCCGAGATCGCACCACTGCACTCCAGCCTGGGCAACAGAGTGAGACTCCGTCTCAAAAAATAATAATAATAATAATAATAGTTTGAGACCAGCCTGGCTAACAATAATAATAGTTTGAGACAAGCCTGGCTAACATGGCAAAACCACATCTCTACTAAAAATACAAAAATTAGCCATGTATGGTGGTGCATGCCTGTAATCCCAGCTACTTGAGAAGCTGAGGTGGGAGAATTGCTCGCACCTGGGAGGCAGACGTGGCAGTGAGTCAAGATCACACCACTGCACTCCAGCCTGGGCAACAGACCATCTCAAATAATAATAATAATAATAAAATTAATTAATTCAACTACATCAAGATTTGACTACAAAGAAATTCAAATCCTCTGATAGGCATTTACTAAAATCACTCTAGAAAGTAGCAAACCTCTGTAAAACTTTTCTTGCTTCTTACCTTATACAGGTATTATGAAGTTTAGGAGTCTGAGGAATATTAGAATTGCTTTATTCTTATATCCACTCCAACAGGTTTATGTTACTCCTATGATTACAGCAACTGAACAATTTTTGCAAATTAACTGAGGATTTGAATATCCTAGTCATCCTTGAGAACCCAATAAAACCAACGGACCTTCATCCCTAGAAGCCCTACTATGGTCCTGTTTAAAAACTAATGCAAATATCATAAAACTTATACCTACAATTATTACTTTTGGTGAATTTGTATGTGAATTATTAGTAAGAATTGATATGGGGTGGGGAATGGCTATTACAGTTTGAATGTTTGTCCCAACTCATGTTGAAATTTAACTGCCATTGCCACAGTATTAAGATGTGGGACCTTGAAGAAGTGAGTAAACCATAAGAGGCCACCCTCATGGGTGGGATTGGTGCCCTTATAAAAGGACAGGTTCATCACTTTTCACCTTGCCCTTTCACCCTCTCTTGCTCTGCTGCCATAGGAGGACACCACATTCCTCCTCCCTAGAGGATGCAGCAATAAGGGACCATCTTGGAACCAGAGACTGAATCTGCTGATACTTTGATCTTAAACCTCCCAGCCTCCAGAATATGAGAAGGAAATTTCTATTCTTTACTAATTACCCAGTCTGTGGTACTTTGCTCTAGCAGCAGGAAATGGACTGAGACAATGGCTATCAGTGTCATGATTATCCATAGAAAATTAGCGATAAGAATATTTATTGTAACATTATTCATCATAGTAAAAAATTATGGATAGCCATGAACCATAAAACAGTCGTTTAAAAATGACACTGAGTACTGAATAACACTGAAAAACGTTCAGAAAATAAAAGCTGCTTACAAACAGCATTTATATATTAACTTTATTTTGAACAGATATGTATTACTACAAACATGAAAAAATTAGATAGCAAAATAAAATTTCACTAAGAGTAATCTGAACAAGGGAATATGAAAAATGTTTAACTTCCAGGGCTTTCTGCCTAACTGTATTCCAGTTTTCTACCACAAATGTTACTTTTGTAATCAGGAAAAAAAAAAAGCTTAGTGAAAAAGGAAAAATATTTAAAATATTTGTGGTTAGGCTCCAATATAATCAAACTGTCACAAATAGCTGCTTCAGCAATTGTAGAAACACTGGTCACATGACACGGAGTTTTGCAGACACTCAAGTGGATCAGTGTGGTGAGGAGCCTCCAAGATGGCTTCCAACAATCCCCACACATCCTAGTATTCACGCCCTTATGTGGGCTTCTATGTTGTACCAGGGTCGGTCTGTGTGACAAATATACAGATGTTCCTTAACATACAATAGAGTTACATCCCAACAAAACCATTGTTAGGTTGAAAACATCATAAGTCGAAAATGCATTTAATACACCTAGCCTACCCTGAACATGCTCAGAAGACTTATATTAGCTTACAGTTGGGCAAAATCAACTAACACAAAGCCTATTTTATAATAAAGTGTTTGTTGACTATCTCATATAATTTATTGAATACTGGGTTGAAAGTGAAAAACATAATGATGGTACACCATTGTAAAGCTGAAAAATCCTAAGTCGGGGACTGTCTACGATACAGAAGTAAAGGCATGTCACTTCCAAAGATTAGGATATAAAAGGCTGAGGCTTCTGTCCTGGGCACTCTGTCTCATTACTTTCTACAGGGGAAGCCACATTATGACTAGTCCAAAGGAGAGGCTGATGTGGCAAGGAACTGAAGCCTCCTGCCAATAGCCATGAATAAGATACGAAGCCGACTCTCTAGACCCAGCCAAGTCTCAGAAGTCTGCAGCCCTGGCTGACACTTTGATTGCAGCCTCATGGGAGATTCTAAGTCAGAACCATCCAGCTAAGCTGCTTTCACATTGCTGACCCACAGGAACTGTGGTAATAAATGTTTGTTGTTTTAAGCAGCTAAGATATTGGTAATTTATAACACAGCCCCAATAGATAACTATATAGTTAGCTTACAGTTTGAGACTAGGGCCCCTTCCAAGAACCCGCCTTAGGAAAAAGCACCGAGACTGCAAGTCTAAATTCAAAGTTCTGATTTTCTATGTGGTTTGACCAAAACCAGAAAAGGGGTCTTACTACCTTCTTCAAAATGTTCAATTCCCTAGATTTGATACCTATTTCTTCCCCTCTCCCACTCATATTTCATCCTATCTTTTCTTCAGTTACTGTAAATCTAAGGGTTGGCAAACTCTTTCTAGTAAATATTTTAGGCTTCTCTGCAGCACTACTCAACTCTGCTGCCATAGTTTGAAAGCAGTCACAGACAATACCTAAATAAATGCACAAGGTTATGTTCCAACAAAACTTTATTTTAAAAACAGGCAGCAGGCTGAATTTGGCTCCAGAGCTGGGGTTTGCCAACCCCTGCTATAAATGAAACTGATCAAGATCCTAGTAAGCCCGATGCTTCCACTCATGCCGATCTCATTCCCTCTAGCCAACTCAACAGAGACTGCTCCAGAAATTCTCCCCCTTTCATCCATGAATTTGTTCCTCTCTACTGGATTCAAATGTATTTTTTTCTATCTTAAAAATAAAACAAAAACTCTCAACCCTACTTCATTTCTCAAACTCACTGTCTCCAATTCTGTTCCTTTTATTCTCTCCCAAGCCTACTCATATAAAGCTTTTGTTAAGGTCACCTCCACACTGCTAAATCCAACAGTCAATTTTCAATCTTCGTTATACCTCACTTATCAGTAGCAGCTGACCCAGATCATCACTCCCTCTTTCTTAAAACATTTTCTTTATTTGGTTTCCAGGATACCACAATCACCTGGTTTTCCAAAGTCATTATGGCTTCTCTTTTTCCATCCATCTCTTTTTGGGCCTCTTTTTTCTATCTACATTCATTCCTTTCATGAGTTCACTTAGGCTGTTTGAGTTGCTGTAACAAAACATGTAAGCCTGGGTAATTTATAAAGAACAGAAATTTATTTCTCATAGTTCTGTGGCCTAGAAGTCCAAATTGAAGCAGGTTCGGTGTCTGGTGAGGACCATCATCTGCTCCAAGATGGCACCCTGTTGCTGCATCCTCCAGCGGGGACGAATGCTGTGTCCTCACTAGGAAAAGGAGCAGAAGAGCAAAAAAGGGCCTAGCTAGTTCCTTTAGCCTTTTTATAAAGTTGCTGATCTCATTCATGAGGACTCTGCGCTCGTGAACTAATCACCTCCTATTGGCACCATCTCTTAATATTGTTGAATTAAGGATTAAGTTTCAACATGAATTTTGGAGGCAACACAAACATTCAAACCATAATACTCAGTATAGCATCTATATGGGGATGACATCCAAATTTATATCTCTGGATTTCATCTCTCCCCTGAACATCAGATTCACATGTAACTGCCTACTTAACACATAAAACTAGTTGTCTAATAGGCAACTTAACTGTCCAAATTCCAAACTGTCCAAAACTCCATGCCTGGTTTAACCTACTCCAACCTGCTTCTCTCTTAGCTTTCCCTCTATCAGTAAATGGCAACCTCATTCTTTAGGTTGCTCACACTGAAACTCCTGGAGTCATTCTTTTATTTTTATTGAGACAGGGTCTCGCTCTGTCGCACAGGCTGGAGTGCAACGGCATGATCACAGCTCAGCACAGCCTTGATCTCCTGGGCTCAAGCGATCCTCCCACCTCAAGCCTCCTGAGTAGCTGGGATTACAGGCGCATGCCACCATGCCCAGCTAATTTTTGTATTTTTTGTAGATACTGGATTTTGACTTATTGCCTCTACTGTCTCAAACTCTTGGGCTCAAGTGATCCGCTTGCCTCGACCTCCCAAAGTGCTGGGATTACAGGGGTGAGCCATTGCACCTGGCCCCTTGGAGTCATTCTTAACTCTTCTTTCACAGCCCACAACTGATTGGCTGGCAAATCTGTCACCTCTACTCTCAAAATACAGCCATTCCTAAGACTTCTCATATCACTGGGAATAAAAGCCTTATGAGGTCTAAGAGATCCTAAATTACTTTGCCATTCCTTCTACTGGAAGATTAGCACATGGCTCACTCCCTCACATCCTTTAGGACTCCTCTCTGCAGAACATAAGATCCATGAGGGCAGAATTTTGCCCATTGTATTTACTGTTGTATCTCCACTACCTTAGATAGTGCCTGACACATGAGGCCCTTAATATCTGCTGGACGAAAGAGTTAACTGTGAAAAGAGACAAAAAAAAAAAAGCTATTAAGTTGATGGAAAACTTACTGGCAAAACAAACTGTATATATTAACTCCTTTTTCATTTTCACACTGTTTTTAAACATAAAGCTCTGGATTACACATGATAGCAGAAAGAGGACTAGAGTATAAGTCAATGGGCCTAGGTTCTACCACCTAATAGGCTCTAAAGATTTCGGTTTTCTGCCACTACAAACCTCTGAAGACCATGGTTTTCAGATATGTAAAATGAGAGGACTGAACCCAGGCCACTGGGCCCCTGTAAAACCTACAAAATTCCAAAATTTTGTATATGACTTTAGAAGCTTACATGATGACAGCCTCTATAAAGGTGTGTTAATAGGGAAGTATAAATCTGACTTCCTGAGAAAAATGTTATACCATATAGAAGTGGCATACCAGCTGATGCAGTTGTTGAAACAAAATGAAACAGACACTTACTTAAGGGCTTAAAATAGATCTAAGACTTTATGACAGATACTTGAAAAGTTATCTCTGTTTTCAATAATAACACTGAAAAGCAGGAAGAAATTTTCATTCTTTCTTTAAACAACAAAAATTTATTTCTTACAGTTCTGGAGTCTGGGAAGTCCAAGATCAAGGTGCCAGCACATTCGGTGTCTGGTGAGGACCCATTTCCTCCTAGATGGCTGTGTTCTCACTGTAACCTCACATGGTGGAAGGAGCAAGGGATCTCTTTGGGGTCTTTTTCAATAAGGACACCAATTCCATTCATGAGGTCTCTTCCCTCATGACCTAATTACCTCCTAAAGGCCCCAACTCCTAATACCATCACCTTGCGGTCTAGGATTTCAACATACAAATTTGGGGGGAACATAAACATTCAGTCCAGTGCAAACATGTCCGGGATCACACAACAATAAGCTGGAATTCAAATGCAGGACTATGAAACTCCAGACCTACATTGTTTCAAATGTTTCCAACAATACCTCAAGTTTTAGTTACAGGATACACAATACACCTAGGATAGACACAGAACCTTTTGATCAGAAACAATCACAGAGTAAGCCTCATGAGCGGAGAAGCTATGTGGATTTCCACTAGAAACAATCTGCAGCCAGGCGTGGTGGCTCACGCCTGTAATCCTAGCACTTTGGGAGATCAAGGGGGGTGTACCACTTGAGCGCAGGAGTTCGAGACCAGCCTGGGCAACATGGCAAAACTCTGTGTCTACAAAAAATACAAAAATCAGCTGGGCATGCTGGCACATGCCTGTAGTCCTAGCTACTTGGGAGGCTGAGGTGGGAGGATTGCTCGAGCCCGGGAGGTCGAGGCTGCAAAGAGCCATGACTGTGCCACTGCACTCCAGCCTGGGTGACACAGTGAGACCCTGTCCCCAAAATAAATAAATAAGAATCTGTTCATAAGCTAACAGGAATACTCAGTTATACTGATCTCACTAAACAATGGTTTAGTGCCAACACAACATTTATATACTATTAAAAATAAAATTTTACATTTTATAATAGCTTATCCAACCTCTCATTATTTTCTTACTTTTTCTAACTTATTATTTTATGGTTTATAATGGAAACCATATAACTGAACAGCAGTACATGGGTAAGGCTGAAAAGTAAATATATACATGGGAGGCTCTAGAGTTCTGTACTGAGAGCATGCAGGACCAAAAAAACATTACTCCTCTGTAACAGAGGTACTCAAAGTGAAGTAGTTAATGACTAGAACAGAATAAATTTGAGAGTACACACTTAGAAACTTTTATAGAGAAACTAGAGCAATTTTATGTCTATTCAATGTTCAATCTTTTTTTGAGACAGGGTCTTGCTCTGTTACTCAGGCTGGAGTGCACAGCAAGAACATGGCTCACTAGAGCCTTGACCTCTGGGCTCAAGTGAAGTGATCCTCCTGCCTCAGCCTCCTGAGTAGCTGGGACCACAGATGTGTGCTGCCACATCTGGCTCATTTAAAAAAATTTTTTGTATAAATGGGGGTCTCACTGTGTTGCCCCGACTGATCTCAAGCAATCCTCCCACCTTAGACTCCCAAAGTGCTAAGATTACAGGTGTGAGCCACTGTGCCCAGTCTGTTCAATCTAATTTAAAAGTGGGCTTGTTTTTATTTTTTATTTTTGGCGGGGGGTTGTAGGGACAGGGTCTTGCTCTGTCATCCAGACTGGAGTGCAGTGGCATGATCATGGCTCATTGCGGCCTTGACCTCCCAGGCTCAAGTGATCCTCCCACCTCAGCCTGCCAAGTAGTTAGGACTATATGCATGAGCCAGCATAGTTTTATCTTTCAAACATTTCATTCTTCTAGTAATTCATTGTGGTTGTATTTTCCAAAGTTATCAGTTGGCCACTTATTAAAAATTTTTAAAATAGCCTTTCACCAGAGATAATTTTGAGAGCTCTGAAGTTGAGAATGGTCCAAGTCTGTCTAAAGGCAAATCTTATAATGCTTCTTAAATTGTTTTGATGACTCCCCACTGACCTGAAATAAGGTGTTTATGATCTGCCTACAACCTCCTGACACCTCTAATCAGCCTCTTTTCCCTCCCCTCTTCACCCCTTAGGAATATACTCTTGCTCTAAATTCATGGCATGAATTTTATTTCCCAGTTTTGAACATTCAATGTCAAACTCAACCTGATGCATCTCCGTTATCAAATTCCTATTCGTCCTCCTGTGGTCACTTATGGAAAGCTTTCCTTGTTCCTTAAGCCTAGATTAAGTGCCAGTGCCTATTATTTGCCTAGTACAGTGCCTGGCACATAGTAGGTGTTTATTCATTCAAGAAACATTTTATTAAACAAGATTTGTGCTCATGTCACTATACCACACTGTCTCCCCTAAAAGGTTATATGCTTCCTTTACACTTTACTGACGATAAATGGACTTTTATCAGTTTCAAATATTAAAGGAAAAACAAACTATAATTTCTGAAGAAAAAACCCTCAATTACTATCATCATTCCCTCTCTCATTTCATTTATGAGGCCATAATTGTCAATGTGTCCCAGTTTAAGAATTAAGAAAACACACATTAGTAACAACATTCATCTCAAAATATTTTCATATTACTGCCTTAAAAACGAAATGTTCTTTCTGAACCCTTCTGCCCCCACCTCCCACACTGTCACACAGGATTTACAAAATAGGTTTATTGACTAATATAACAAAAGTAAGCTACAAAACCCTGCTGTTGTTTACCCTTGTCCCAAGAATTTTAATGTAAGTGATAATACTTTATACTGACATTAAATTGGAAAAAAAAATGAGTACTCAGTTCTGAACCTGGATGATGTTACAATTATAGTCTCAATATTTTAAGCCAAAGGACACTTCACACTTTTAACGTCTAGGAAAGTCATCAAAAAGTCTGATTGCATCAAACCGGCTTAATCCATCACTGTAAAGAAAGAGGAAAAAGTAATTTATAAGCAGAACTTGGGTTTCCTACAAATTTGCACAAATCTGTCACGTGATTAAATGTATTGTATACTGCACAACAAAACTTTTTAAAATGAAGTACCTAAAATTTCACTAAAGGCATAGAAAAGTTTACTACTTTTTAGTCTCAATGGTAGTGATCCTCTGACAAACATTACTTCTGGGTTTTAAACAATCAAGAAATAGCAGCATAAATATTCTGGACTATATATTTACCTAATCTTTTTTGGTTGAAGAACAAATTGTCAATATTTGCATCAAAGATTTAAAGATCTAATGAAATTAGATAGTTTAAATCCACTAAGAATAAAGGGCAGTACTCTGTTTATGGCAAAATAGTAACCAAATGAACAGCTGGGGTTGAAGGAAAAAGAGATGAAGGATGAAACAAAGTATTTCAGTAGTAATGCAATCTTATTCTTTTATTTCCAAGTCTCTACAAGAAAGCAACTATTATCTAGATAATTTTAAAAGTATTCACATACATATTTATATGAAAAATTAAACTATGTTTCACTCAGGCTAATAATAACAGCATTCTCTAAATACTTAACAACTGATAGCAGGGAAAGTGGACCAGGATGTGCTAAGACACGAAGGGAAGTCAAGCTGGGATAAACCTCAACACAGTCAAGATGGGAAAACCTTGATGATTCAACCAAGGTTGCAAGAAATGATACATTCTAACTGTATGAATTAGCTCCCAAAATAAGCACCAATGGGTGAATACCTACTGAGTATCTTATTACACTTAACTCTTAACACATACAAATTAAAAAAAAAAAAAACATAGGAATTTCCCAGCAAGACCATAATGAATAAGAAACAATCAATTTAGCCACCAGAAGTAGTACTCAGGTAGAATAGTATTTTGATTTCTGAGTTATATTCAGTAAAGATTTTGAGTCCAGAATTTTGTCTCTCTCACAAATTCCTCAATTTAACTGAATAATTTTTTAAAAGATTTCTGAGGACCTGGAGTCATTATATGTATTAACCTGCTCTCAGAGGCTATTATGAATTCAGGGGAGTATTCCTTGAATTCAATAGCCCTGTAATGTGGAACTCTGAATTCTTCTATCAGCACTGCATATTCTTTCTTTTCTTTTCTTTCTCTCTTTATTTCTTTTGAGATGAAGTCTCAACTTTGTCACCCAGGCTGGAGTGCAGGTGGCGTGGATCTTGGCTCACTGCAACCTCTGCCTTCCAGGTTCAAGCCGTTCTCCTGCCTCAGCCTCCTGAGATGGCTGGGATTACAGGCGTGCGCCACGACACCTGGCTAATTTTTGAATTTTTAGTAGAGACGGGGTTTTGATATGTAGGCCGGGCTGGTCTCGAACTCCTGACCTCAAGTGATCCGCCTGCATCTGCCTCCCAAAGTGCTGGGATTACAGGCGTAAGCCACCACGCCTGGCTAATTTTTGTATTTTTAGTAGAGAGGGGATTTTGCCATGTCGGCCAGGCTAGTCTCGAACTCCTGACCTCAAGTGATCCGCCTGCCTCAGCCTCTCAAAGTGCTGGGGTTAGAGGTATGAGCCACTGCGCCTGGCCGTTTTTCTGCCTCTTTCTTCCCCTGCATAGTTGTCCCCCGCTGATCACTACTGCCTATGTGCCTGCCTGCAGCAGCATCCTTTTACCCCTAAAAATTGTTTGGAAATAAACTATCAAGTTTACTACTAGGTATAAAGTAACAACAAGTAGGTTCTGGGTGATAACCTAATTATTCTCTTATGCATCAGATACATAATAGTCTTTAGTGCTAGGACTTTGGCATTTATATGGATGCTCAAAGGTGTTCTTTGTTTGAACTTTACTTCCTAATTCTTAATGGTATAGTCTTAAGTTTCCTTATCTTCTACCTCACAGGGTTTTACTGGATGATTAGATGTAAACAATGAATATAAAATTGCTTAGGTCAGGGCATGGGAACAGAAGGAAATCTACAGATTCCAGTAACTTCCTCCTGCCTTATGTGTTTCATACCTAAGCTGTAAAACTTGAGCTCCAAGTAAGTGAATGTTACAGTGTTATTTTCAGAAGTTTGCCATCAGGATGGTTAGAAACTAACTAAAGAAATGAATGATGTGTGGCCTGAACAGGCAGACTGCTTGGGAAACCAGTGGGAAAGTTTTACGACAGCCAGCTTCCATTATTTGATTAAAGGTATATGTAAAATGAATACTCTCAATTCTGTCAACAGATGCGCTATTTAACAAGTGCTCAAAAATACGTCTACTAAATGCTGCTCCCAACAGCAAACCAAGGAATAAAGAGAAGTCACAACAGTCTTCAGTTCAAAGAGGACATATTTTTAAATATAAACATCCAAAAATGAAGCAGATTTCCACAATATCACTACAGGGGTTTACGAATGGCTAATAGCTGGATAGTTTTGAGGGGATTTTTGTAAAGAGTGTGAAGGAAATCAGAATATATAACCCCAAAATATGCCTCTTTGATGCAAACATTACTTTTTAGATGAAGACAACTGAGAGATAGCAAACCAAGGAAAATCTATCTCTACCCTCTCTCTTTTCTACCTAAAGGCAGGATATAGGATATAAATTCTGTTACTAGAGACAACTCTAGACTCATCAGCCCAGAGACAGCACCAGAGGAATCTGCAAACAAATCTTACTCCTTTACTTTCCCCCTATATCTTTACCTTTCCACCGTTTCCCACCCCTGGAAGCCTAAAACCCTTTCCTTTGTCCTGTCATTTACCCACACATTTACTGTTCTTTGTTGAAGATGCTATATAAACCAGAGCTCTAAGCCACTGTGCTCTGAGTTCGTTTTCACTGAGGTTTCTCCCACTTGTTGTATGCTGCACATGCTTGTTTTTCTATTGTTAAATTGCCTTTTGTTACAGCGGTTGTCCCAACTGAGGAACTAAGATGGGTAGAGGTGATCTTTAGTCTCTCTCTTGGGTAGAAAAATATACAAGATGACCCCTTAAGGGCTGTTCCAACTCTGACAGATAATACATTTTATGCAGATAATCTCAAGCCAGAATTTTTCAATTCTGCAATTAATTTTCATATTAAAATAAATCCCAAAAAGTACTATATGGAAGAAATGTAAGTTCCACACAGTATCCAAAGATATCTGTTCAACTACATGAACAAATTCCAGTTATATCTATCTACTAAGGGTTTAGATAAGAAGCACTTCAAGTGATAAAAATGATTTCCTTTTTTGAGCAAGAAAATCACAAAAACTACATCAATAACACCATCACCATCACCATCCACATCATATACCCAACATCATGAAAATGAACTGGGAATTATCCTTACTTAAAAAAAATTATCCTTACTTAAAACAAAAATCACTTCAAATATGAATCATATAACATATGGACACTGACAGAGCTTGGGAATCCAAATATATGAACAGAGGGGAAGCAAACCAATAACAAAAAATTGATTTCAGTAATCTGTAGGAATATAGGAACTCCAAGATGGTCATAACCCCACTCAGAGAGCTAAAGAAAACTACATAAAAGAACGTCCATGAGAAGTGGGGAGGTCAGCCACAATTATCAAGTTGTTATCATTGTTGATACAGGTCCCCTCCCTTCCTTGGGAGGTGGGAAGATGTATGTGGAATGTTTTAGCATAAACCAAGTATCATATATGTTTGTTTCAATATGAAAATGGTGCTATTAGTAAAGTCTGATTTAATGTTAAAATTAATCAGAAAATAAATATGAGTTTTCAAAAATAGTCCAGGTATTAACCTTCTATTCATTACTTTTGGTTTAACCTCATAAAAATGGGCAAAAATGATATAACACCCACAAAGAAGTAGACATATGATTTGTCTGCCCAGCACCCCTCCAGCACCCCTTCCCCTCCTTACCCCATCACAACAGGACTAAATTAGGATGTGCTACTTCCCACAAAAGCAAGGCATGAGACTCAAGCTGGCCAAAGCACTCCATTTCTTGGGCTCTTCTGATAGGGCTAGTGAGGAAGACTGTCTCTGCTGAGCTGGGAAGAACTGAATCTGGAGATAAAGGTGACTATATTCCTGACCACATGAAGAGAATCTGCCAGTAAAATGGAGAAGGAAGTAGAAGAAGAGAGGAAAAAAATGGCAAAATTCTGTTTTGCTGAACTGGATTTCTGGCTCTTACAACTGAAAGAGTCCTAATACCCACAGTATGACTATTTGCTTCACATGGTCCAAAGGGGAAGAGTTTCTCACTGCTTAACTGTTGAATGAAGATGAAGGTGACTATTCTTTCTTTAATTGATTCTGCTTCAATACTATTAATAGATACATGGAAGAATTAAGACCAGAAGATTTAGCTTTTCTTCCAAGCCTCCAAGAAAGTCTCATGGGAAATTAGAAAACATTAAGAAAGGCTCATGGTCAACATCATTACAAAAAAACATAGCACTCTCTGAGAGAAAATATCTGCCATTCATATATATCTGATGTAAGATTTGTATCTGTAATAAACAAACTCTTACAACTCAGTAACAAGAAAATAAATAACCCAATTTAAAAAGAAACAGGAAAAAGATTTGACTAAACATCTCACCAAAGAAGATATGTGAATGGCTAAGAAGCACATGAAAAGATGCTGAACACCATCAGTTATTAAGGAAATGCAAATGAAAACCACAGTAAGATACCATTTCACGCTGGGTACAGTGGCTCATGCCTGTAATCCCAGCACTTTGGGAGGCCAAGGCGGGTGGATCCCTTGAGCTCAGGAGTTTGAGACAAGCCTGGGCAACACGGCAAAATCCCGTTTCTACAAAAATTAGCCAGGAGTGATGCCATGCACCTATAGTCCCAGCTGTTGGGGAGGCTGAGGTGGTAGGATTGCTTGACCTGTGAGGCTGAGCTGCAGTGTGCCAAGATCTCACTACTGCACTCCAGCCTGAACAACAGAGCAAGGCCCTGTCTCAAAACAAAACAAAACAAAAACCAGATACCATTTCATACACACTAGAATGGTTATAATATAGAAAAAACACTAACGTCAAAAAAGACTACAGCAGGTTCTCAAATAATGTTGTTTGGTTCATCATGATTCGGTTTTAATGAAATAAGGGAAAAAAAACCCATATTGCAAAGATGTGCATAAGAGGTTCACAGGCATGTCTAAATTGTCCATGTCTGAGTGAGTGTGCGTGTGTGCATGAGGGCATCCTGCAACAGGACGGTGTCCTGTTCAAGGCTGGTTCCAGCCTGGTTCCCTGAGTTGCTGGAATAGGCTCTCACCATCCAAGAGCCTGAACTGGAAAAAGCAGGTTGGAAAATGAATGGATGAATACAAATTATCAGAAAATAAAAATCTGTAAAGTCTATGATCATAGGACAAATGCATGAAAACACAGGATATGATATAAAAGTGCTCAGAAAGCCTGCCATATTTGTTATTATTTCTCTCCCTCTACTTTTTAAAGGAACAGGGTCTCACTATGTTGCCATGGTTAAGAGTGCAATGGCTATGCAGTCTTAACCATAATGCACTACAGCCTCAAACTCTTGGGCTCAAGAGATCCTCCTATTTCAGCCTCTCATGGAGCTGGGACTACGTGCGCACATCACCGCCATTTCTTTTTTAACTGTGGTGGCAGAAAGTTCTCCTTACAATTTTCACTTTGTAAAGATTTCTTCTTTGATTTGACCAACCACCAATGCAACTGCTGTCACTCACTGATTGGGTGAGTAAAATTGGGTTAAGTAATAGTCTTACTTGTTTGTATCAATCTTTCTGAAAGGTATGTAAAGCTCACAATTCTTTCAATGTTTAGAAGTGTTTTGGGTCTTGATTTAGAAGTTTGTGATGTTTTTGTGACCAGAAATATGCTACAGAAACTTAACTCTTGTATCAATTAACCTATGGTAAAATTGTTTTTGTTATACACCATTTCACTTAAAGTCACATTTTCCAAGAACCTACCTATGACATTAAGTGAGGACTTACTGTGTAACAACTGTCCATAAACATGCAGAGAAAGAGAAGCCCTCAAACACTGCTGGTGAGGATGCAAAGTAATGTGCAGCCACTCTGGAAAACAGTGTGGCAATTTCTTAAGAGGTTAAACATAAATGTACCATACAACCCAATAATTACTCTCCCAAGTATATATACATGAGAAATGAAAACTATGTCCACACAAAGACTTGTACATGAATGTTCACAGCAGGATTATTCACAACAACCAAAAAGTGGAAAAACTCCAAATGTCCACCAACTGATAAACAGATAAACAAGATGGCCTGGGCACAGTGGCTCATGCCTATTATCCCAGCATTCTGGGAGGCCAAAGGGGAGGACTGCTTGAGCCCAGGAGTTTCAGACCATCCTGGACAACACGGGGAGAACCCTATATCTACAAAAAAATTTAAAAAATTAGCCAGGCCTGGTGGCATGTGCCTTCTGGTCCCAGCTACTTGGGAGGCTGAGGTGGGAGGAATGCTTGAGCCCAGGAGGTCAAGACTGCAGGGAGACATGATGATAAACAAAATGTGGTATATCCATATCCATAGAATAGAATACTACTAAGCAACAAAAAAGAACTACTGACACATGCCTTAACATTAATGAACCAGAAAGACACTATGCTAAGTAAAAGAAGCCAGACACAAAAACCACATATTGTATGATTTCATTTCTACCATCCGGAAAGGGCAAATTTATGAAGATCCCTATTATAACCTTAGAAAAATCACTGACTTGACACTAAATATTGTTCTAAATCTATGAACAACTGGCACACTCCTGTAATCCCAGCTACTCAGGAGGCTTAAGCAGCAGGATCACTTGAGGCCAGGAGTTAGAGGTTAGAGTGAGCTGTGATCACACCATTGCACTCCAGCCTAGGTGACAGAGCATTCAGCCTAAGTGACAGAATAAGACCCTGTCTTTTAAAATAAAATTTTAAAAAAAGAGAGAGACATTAGGAGACAACTGGGAAACCTGAATCTGGGTTAGATATTAGAGGATGTTATGGAATTGTTACTAATTTTCTTAGGTGTTACAATAGTATTACAACAGTATTATGCAGGAGAATGCCTTTATTCTCAGAAAATGCAAGCTGAAGTACACAAAGGTGAAGTTTCTCCAACTTACTTTCAAATAGCTCAAAAATCAATCAATAAATAAAAGCATCTATACTCAGAAAAAGCAAATGTGGCCAAAATGATAATTGGTGATTGGTGAATATAGGTGTAGGGTATGTAGGCATTCAATACACTATGTTACTCTTTTCTATAGGTTTGAAATGTTTCAAAACAAAAAGCTGGGAGGAAATAGCACTCTCATTTGAAACCTAACCAAATGTAAATGGAATCACCAATACAGTTATCTGTGCATTTAGAAAGAAGCACATAGTTGGTGTATAAATACTGTCATCTTTTTGGTCTACCTGTGTTAACATACTGAAACTAACAGAGGGAACAAATGAAACTAAAAGTATAAAATAATTATTCAGAGACTGAACCACTTAAAGCTTTACAAAAAATGCTATTGTTAAGGAATACTTTTTGAAGTATTACTTAAGTCAAAGTAACATAATGAATTGGTGCTAAAATCTTTAAGTTACAGGTGTGTTCAAAAGAATTGTTGAATGAAGGTTAATAAATGTGGAAGAATAGCCGTCCTCTCTATATCTCTTGGCTGATAATAAAGATCAAACAAGGATAATGTATACAAAAGTGCAGGTTCCATTAAAAAAAATTAGTCACACTTTGTACCTTCCTGTTAATAGGGACAGAAATATAGGATTAAACCTAGCATCATTTTGGGTTACTTTGGCTATAACTGGGACTCCTCAATTATGTAGTCAACACTGCACTAAAAATTCACTTAGACAATGTCAGTATTCACTATGAATAATTCCCCTTCATTACTCTTAAACATTCTATTTGCTATACCACAAATTTTAACAGTGTGCTTTTAACAATTTAATGTTTTTAATAGCTTGAAACTCATCTGATAGGGTTTGACTCTGTGCCCTCACCAAAATCTCATGTCAATTTGTAATCCCCACATCAGGGGATGGACCTGGTAGGAGGTGACTGGATCATGGGGGTGGTTTCCCCCATGCTGTTCTAGTGATAGTGAGTTCTCATGAGATCTGATGGTTTAAAAGTGTAGCACTTCCTTGCCCCCGTGTCTCTCTCCTGCTCCACCATAATGAGAATGTGCTTGCTTCCCCTTTGCTTTCCGCCATGATTGTAAGTCTCCTGAGGGCTCCCGGTCATGATTCTTGTTAAGTTTGCAGAACTCTGAGTCAATTAAACCTCTTCTCTTCATAAATTACCCAGTCTCAGGTAGTTCTTTATAGCAGTGAGAGAACAAACTAGTATAACATCAAACACACAAACGTAAAACAGAAATTTTGTTGATGAATCAAAAAGAAAGTCCACCTGGAAGTTCAAACAAAAAGTCATGTTTATAGTTTTTACAACGAAGAAAGTGTTCTTGGGACTGGACCTCAAACTTAGAGATCTAAGAAGAAAAGGCATACACGATATGCTAAAATATAGATAACTTAATAAACATAGGTGAGCTCAAAGTATCCCAGCAGATGAAGGAAGACAGAAATTATATTCACTAGAATGGCTATAATAAAAAAGATAAGACAATAACAACTGTTAGTGAAGTTGCGGAAAAACTGGGAACTCTCATACGCTTCCAGTGGGGATGTAAAATGGTGCAGCTGCTTTAGAAGTTTGGCTGGTCTTCAAAATGTTAAACATGGGAGTTATTATACGACCCAGCACTTCCACTCCTAGGTATATACACCCAAGAGAAATGAAAACATACATCTATGCAAAAACACATACATCAATGTTCATGTCAACATTATTCAATATAAGCCCCAAAGTAGAAACACCCACATGTCCATCAACTGATGAATGGATAAATTATGGCATACCCACACAATGGAACATTATTCAGCCATTAGAACAAATGAAGTATTGCCGCATGCTACAACATGGATGATCTTGAAAACATTATGTTAGGTGAAAGTAGCCAGACACAAAAGACCACCTATTGTATGACTCCATTTATGGAATCCAAAAATTATCTGGAATAGGCAAGTCTGTAGAGCAGGCTCCCCAACCCCTGGGCCACAAACTGGTACCAGTCTGTGGCCTGTTAGGAACTGGGCCGCACAGCAGGAGGTGAGCGGAGGGTGAGCAAGCATTACTGCCTGAGCTCCACCTCCTGTCAGATCAGTGGTGGCATTAGATTCTCATAGGAGTACAAACCTTATTGTGAACTGTGCACCTGAGCAATCTAGTTTGTATGCTCCTTATGAGAATCTAACTAATGCCTGATGATTTGAAGTGGAACAGTTTCATCCCAACGCCATCCTCCTCCCCATTTCCCCTGGTCCGTGGAAAAACTGTCTTCCACAAAACCAGTCCCTGGTGCCAATAAGGTTGGGGACCACTGCTGTAGAGAGAGAAAATAGATTAGTAGTTGCCAGGGGCTGAGGGGCAGAAGAAATCAGGACTGATGACTAATGAGTATGGCTTTCTTTTTGAAAGTAATGAAAATGTTCTGGAATTAGATATTGGTGATAATTGCACAACTCTGACTATATTAAAAACCACTAAATTGTACTTTTTCTTTTTCGAGACAGGTCTGGCTCTGTTGCCCAGGCTGGAGTGTAGTGGCACGATCTCGGCTCACTGCAACCTCCACCTCCTGGGCTCAAGCGATCCTCCCACCTCAGCATCCCGAGTAGCTAGGACTACAGACAGGCACGCGCCACCATGCTCGGCTGATTTTTCTGTATTTTTTGTAGAGATGCTTGGCTAATTTTTTTCTATTTTTTGCAGAGATGGGGTTTTGCCATGTTGAACTCCTGGACTCAAGCAATCTGCCTGCCTTGGCTGCCCAAAGTGCTGGAATTACAGGCGTGAGCCACCACACCTGGCAAAACTGCACATTTAAAAGGGCAAATTTTATGGTATGTGAATTATATCCCAATAAATCTGTTATTATAAAGAAGATTCAAGTCCTCACTACAGAAAAATAATAAGCAAAGGAAATAAAGACAATTCACAGGCTAAGAAATATAAATGACCAATGAATGTGCAAAAAAGACAAGCAGTTGTAACCAGATAAGTAGAAACTTTAACAAAACAAAGAAATGGATTTTATGAACTGGATCAAAACAAAACATAAAAATAAATAAGCATAGCAACAAATGGCAACAAATAGCAACAAAATGATCAAGTTTTATTTTATTCTTAGGGACTAAGAAAGCTACTGAAAATCACAAGCAGCAAATAAGAATGAAGTAGCAGGCACCGAGAATTGTCTTAGCTGTATTATGTAGACATAAGAAATAGGAAGACCTTGGAGATTAATAGGGTAGTGGGAAGGTTACCAATTATTCAAACATTAAATGACTAGGGCTGGTGTCCCAGAAACCTAAGACTTCTGGGGATGGACTAAATATTTTAGGCAGAAAGATGATGGAAGACAGATTTCCCTCAGACTAAAAATGGTGGGGGCAGGCAGAGGAAATAAGACAACAACAAAAAAGAACAGAAAAGATCACCCTCCTGCTGAAGTGTGCCATCAGGGTAGCTGCATGTACCACAGGACAAGATCTGAGGATCTTCAAGGCAGGAAACCCCCAAGTCTGCCCCACCCAAGTCTGAATTTCATACCAGTGAGGCAGCAAGACCCAGAGAGAAAAAGGTGACATGGGTCACAGGAAAAGTGAAAACAGACAGCTGGAATGGACCAAGGAATGGACCAAGGTGAGTGAGGGCTCCTCAACCTAGGGACAAGAAGAGATCATTAAATACTCTACCTACCAGCACTCCTGGGACAGCAAAGATGGACAACAGGCCATGGACTGAGAGTTGTAAGGAGTTCTAGGAAGGAACTCATTAGTATATGGGGCAATAAATTAATAAATACCCTACCACCCAGCCCTCCTGGGAGAGAAAACAATAGAATGACAGAGAAAGGCAACAGGATGTGGTCTGAGAGTTCACACAGGGACCTGGTAATCTTGAAATTATAAGAATCTACAGAAAATACGCTACTTGAACTTTCTGGATAAATTAGATGGCAGTGAAATAAAAACACTCTCCAGAACTTGGGAGACCAAGCACTGGTGTGCAATGACCATCACTGCCATGTGGATGGAACATGTGCAGGATGCTGGGCCAACACCTGATTTCACACCAACAAATCATTCCTGCCAGATGAGTGGATTCGCATAAATAAAACCTGGAGAAAGAACTGCCTCAAAGCCAGATGTCCCAGGCCTTACACACTTGTCAAGAACCACCCACAGATATGTACTCTAGGATTACCCCCCAGTGGATAAACTCATCTAATTACAAACCTGCTGATAGGGTGTGGCTGTGTCCCCACCAAAATCTCATCTTGAATTATAATCGCCATAACCCCACTTGTTGAGGGAGGGACTAGGTGGGAGGTGACTGGATCATGGAAGCAGTTTCCTCCATGCTGTTCTCGTGACAGTGAGTTCTCACGAGATCTGATGGTTTTATAAGGCAGTTTTTCCTGCTCTTGCATGCACATGCTCGCTCCTGCTCACTCTCATGAATTCTCATTCTCTCTCTCCCCTTCTCTCTCTTTTCTGCTGACATGTAAGACACGTCTGCTTCATCTTCTGCCATGATTTTAAGTTTCCTGAGGCCTCCCCAGCCATGTGGAACTGTGAGTTAATTAAACCTCTTTTCTTTATAAATTACCCATTCTCGGGTATGTCTTTATAGCAGTGCGAGAACAGACTAACATTTACCTTGCTATATGATCTAGAAATCCAAGAAGTCAAGGCAGCAACATATCAATACAAAACAAGCCTTGCTCATCTGCAAAGCACACACACCACTTAAGACTGTGAAGCCTAGAAGGGAATCCCTAGATTTTCATAGACCTATGACAGCTTTAGCCTAGAAGGGAAAAGGAGGTCACCCTGTGGCATCTATAACTAGCTGGGTAAAAAACAAAATGAAATCCAGAAAACTGTGTAGAGAAGCAAGAAAACTCAGGGCTGCTTGTATAAACTGAGAAACCATGGAGCAGTTACCATGCTAAACACCGTATTTTCCTACCATGCACTAGGAAAGTTGACCTTTCCTGCTTCTTACCACATCCATCTCCTTAAGTATCTTTTGTTAAAATTTAATTTTTTAAAAATTGAGATGGGGTCTCACTCTGTCACCCAGCCTGGAGTGCAGTGGCATGATCTCAGCTCATTGAAGCCTCCCCTCCTGGGCTCAAGTGATCCTCCCACCTCAGCTCCCTAGTAGCTGGGACCACAAGCACATGCCACCATACTTAGCTAATTTTTGTACTTTTTGTAGAGACAGGGTTTCACCATCTTACTCGACCTGGTCTCAAACTCATGAGCTCAAGCTACCTGCTAGCCTCAGCCTCCCAAAGTACTGGGATTACAGGCCTTAGCCACCACGCCCAGCCAATCTCCATAAGCATCTCTTAAAGACACAGCGAAGGACTGTGTGCAACCCTTGTAAGGTATATACATAGCCAAACTATTATCTACATTGAAATGTACACATTTGTATATCCATGGTGAAGATAATACAATGAAGCAATCAGTACCTCTATTAAAGACATTGTTACACTGCTATTTAATCTTGTTCTGGAGATATTAGTCAGTGCAATTAGATAAATAGTTAAAGGCATAAACACTGGAAAAGAAGGAAAAAAAACTATTTACAGATGACACAATAGTATATCTGGAAAGTCTGAGAGAAGCAATGATGGAAGTAATTGATATGATTTGGATGTGTGTCTCTTCCAAGTTTCATGTTGAAATGTAATTCCCAAGGTTGGAGGCGGGCCTAGTCGGGGGATGTTTCCGTCATAGGGCAGATTCCTCACGAATGGCTTGGTGCTGTCCTCACAGTAATGAGCAAGTTCTTACTCTATTAGTTCACATGAGAGCTGGTTGTTTAAAAGAGCCCAGAACCTCCTCCTCTCTCTCACTCTTCTTTTGCCATGTGTCACACCTGCTCACCCTTCGCCTTCTTCCATGAGTAAAAACTTCCTGAGGCCTCAACTCGCCAAGCAGATGTTGGTGTCATGCCAGTACAGCCTGCAGAACCGTAAGCCAAACAAATCTCTTTCCTTTATGAATTACCCAGTCACAGGTATACTTTCATAGCAATGCAAAAGAGGCTAACATAGTCAACTTAGTAACAATTTGGCAAGGTGGCAGGAAAATATGCAGAAATCAACAATATTCGTATAAATGGACAATAACCAGTTAAAATACATAAATGATAAGAAAACTATAATAGCAACAAAAAAGATAAAATAGCTTAGGAATAAGCAAGAAATGTTGAAAACTTGTATGAAGAAAACTATAAACCATTCCTCAAAGACACAAAAGTAGAATGCAAAAAATAAAAAGACATTGTTTGTTTTAGGTTAAGATGTCTCAATACCATCAAGATGTCAATTCTCTAGCAGGGCATGGTGGCACACACCTGTACTATCATCTACTTGGGTGGCTGAGGCAGGAGGATCACTTGAGCCCAGGAGTTCAAGGCTGCAGTGAGCTATGATGGCACCACTGCACTCCAGCCTGGGCAACAGAGGGAGACCCTTTCTCCAAAAAAAAGATGTCAGTTCTTCATAAGTTAGTATAAGTTCAATGTGATCCCAATAAAAACAGCAATGAGGCCGGGCACCATGGCTCACGCCTGTAATCCCAGTGCTTTGGAAGGCCGAGGCAGGTGGATCACTTGAGGCCAGGAGTTTGAGACCAGCCTGGCCAATATGGCGAAACCCTGTCTCTACTAAAAATAAAAAAATAAGCTGGGCATGGTGGCACACGCCTGTGGTTCCAGCTACATGGGAGGCTGAGGCAGGAGAATCGCTTGAACCTGGGAGGCAGAGGGTACAGTGAGCTGAGATCGCACCACTGCACTCCAGCCTGGGTGACACAGTGAAACTCTGTCTCAAAAAAAAAAAAAACAAAAACAAAAAACCAGCAATGAATTGTTTCATAGACTTAGACAAATTGATGCTAAAATTCATACAAGAAGGCAAGAAAAACAATGAAGAGGAAGCGCTATAATGGGTGACTAGCCCTACCAAACATTAAAACATACTACAAAGCCTCTATGATTAAAATGATGTGGTACTGGTGCATGAATGGTGAGATAATCCAATAGAAAAAAAATATACCCAACTGCATATAGAAGGAACAAGAATTTTTTTTTCTTTTTTAAATAAATGTCATTGGGGCAACTGGATAGCCACTTGGAAAAGGATAAAATTAGATGCATTCCTTATATCATACATAGAAATAAACTCTGAATGGAACTAAATGTGAGAAATGAAACTATATGAGTACCAGAAGAAAGCATGTGTGAATTTCTCTATAACCTGAAGGTAAGAAGTTTCCTGAATATGACTAAAACTTCAGATGCAGTAAATTTAAAATTTATATATTTGACTATATAAAAACAATCTTTTGCATGGCAAAAAATCACCACAAGCAATGCCAAAAGACGACTAGCAAAAATATCTGCAACATATGTCAAAATTAAACGGTTAATATTCTTAAATAGAGAGAACTTTTCAAAGCTGAGAGGAAAAAAGACTGAAAGTCGTATAGAAAATGGGCAAATTGGTCGGGCACGATAGCTCATGCCTGTAATTCCAGCACTGTGGGAAGCTGAAGTGGGCAGACTGCTTGAGCCCAGGAGTTTAAGACCAGTCTGGGCAACATGTTAAAACCCCATCTTGACAAAAAAAAAAAAAAAAAAAAAATTAGCAAGGCATGGTGGCATGCACCTATAATTCCAGCTACTCAGGAGGCTGAGGTGGGAAGATCACTTGAGTCTTGGAGGCTGAGGCTGCAGTGAGCTGTGATCGCACCATTGCACCGCTGCACTCCAGCCTGGAGGGTCCAGCAAGACTCTGTCTCAAAAAAAAGAAAAAAAGTAAAAGAAAGCTCGGCATGGTGGCTCACGCCTGTAATCCTAGCACTTGGGGAGGCTGAGGTGGACGGATCACGAGGTCAGGAGTTTGAGACCAGCCTGACCAACATGGTGAAACCCCATCTCTACTAAAAATACAAAATTAGGGTCAGGCACGGTGGCTCATGCCTGTAATCCCAACACTTTTGGAGGCCGAGGCAGGTGGATCACGAGGTCAGGAGATCGAGACCATCCTGGCTAACACGGTGAAACCCCATCTCTACTAAAAGTACAAAAAATTAGCCAGGCGTGGTGGCACGCGCCTGTAGTCCCAGCTACTCGGGAGGCTGAGGCAGGAAAATCGCTTGAACCTAGGAGGCAGAGGTTGCAGTGAGCTGAGATGGCGCCACTGTACTCCAGCCTGGCAGAGTGAGACCCCATCTCAAAATAAATAAATAAATACATACACACATACAAAAACGTGCTAGGCGTGGTGGCGTGCACCTGTAATCCCAGCTACTCAGGAGGCTGAGGCAGGAGAATCGCTTGAACCTGGGAGGCAGAGGTTGCAGTGAGCAGAGATCGTGCCACTGCACTCCAGCCTGGGCGACAGAGCGAAACTCCATCTCAAAAAGGAAAAAGAAAAGAAAAGAAAGTGAGCAAATAATATGAACAATAAAAATAAATATTAAAATGACCCTTAAACATATGAAAACATGTTCAATTCACTTGTAATAGAAGTACAAATGGAAAATACACTGAGATACAATTTCTTACCTATTAGATCAGCACAAATTCAAAAGCTGACAAAACACTGCTGGTGAGGCTGTGAGGAAATAAGCACTCTACTCTCATACACTGCTGGTAGGAATGCAAAATAGTATAACCCCACAGGATGAGGAGTTTGACAGTACCTAACAACTCTACATATGCATTTATCCTGAAGATGTATCTCTCCAACAATACAAAGATACATGTACACAAAGTTTTTCACTGTAACATCATTTGTAATTGCAAAATATTAGATATTACTTAAATGTTCAAACAGGACATTAGTCGAGAAAACTATGGTACATACACGATAGCAGTTAAGAATGAAAGTTACTGATTTTAGTTTATGTATTTTATCTTTTCACACAGCTACTGACTTGTTAGGAGATACATACTTATTAAGTTGTTCAGACCTAATTACTTAATAAATTAAACTGGCCAGGCATGGTTGCTGACGCCTGTAATCCCAGCACTTTGGGAGGCTGAGGCACATGGCTCACGAGGTCAGGAGTTCGAGACCAGCCTGGCCAGCATGGTGAAACCCCGTCTCTACTAAAAATACAAAAAATTAGCCAGGCATGGTGCCGCGTGCCTGTAATCCCAGCTACTCGGGAGGCTGAGGCAGGAGAATTGCTTGAACCTGGGAGGTGGAGGCGGCAGTGAGCCGAAATCGCGCCACTGCACTCCAGCACGGGTGAAAGAGCGAGACTCCGTCTCAAAAAACAAAAAACAAAAAAATTAAACTGTTAGGTGTTTCTTTTGACCTAGGGATGCTGTGAAAAAAATTACTGCGATAATAAGGGTGCCATGAATTGAGAAAGTTTGGGCACTTGACTGATAAAGGCCTACGAAGAAGGCCTTTAAGAGAGAGAAAGAATGTGTGTGTGTGTGTGTGTGTGTGTGTGTGTGTGTGTAGTTATGAGGTTACTGTGGACTGCTGTCAACAAAATTTACAATAGGCTAATGAAAGTACTCTCTCCAGTGTAGTTAAGAGCTGTAACAGATATTATGACAGCACATAAGAGAAGCAATCAGCCCAGTCTTAAAGGTTTTTTGTTTTTTGTTTTTTGAGGGATGGGATCCAGAGAGAGAACCTAATTGTAATTTTTTGGAGAATTATAACCTAAACTGAGTTCTGAAGGACCAGTAGGAGTATACTAGATTAGGGGAAGGAAGAGAGGCTAGAATTCCAGGAAGAGGAAATGGAGGACTGAGTAAACAAACACTAGCATTCCAGAAGCTGGGTATTGGTAGAACAAAAGATCATCCAAGAAGAGAGATAAGGCTAAAGGGTTAGGTAAGAAAAAAAATGAAAAATATGAAAGATAAAGGGGAAAAAAGAGAGTTAGGTAAGGAGCACATCTTGAAGGTTTTGTATATGAGATTAAGGATAAATGGAGTTTGAATTTTATTAATGGGCAAAAAAGAGCCACAAGAGGATTTTAAGCAGAGAAATATCACCATTGTTCTAAGCAAGAATGGGAAAAGTATCAGATGGGTTCCAACCATAGGCTAGAAGGCTGCTGTAGTAATCCAGAATATCTAGACAGGGCAGCTGAACTCAGTGTTTGGTCACGCAGTGTGGCAACCTCCACTTTTAATGGAGTACTATGTTAGCTTCTCAACTACATAAGAAAACAGATCCTGTGGCTTAGATGACCATAATCATAACTTTTGGAAACTGGGGGATCTTTGCCCACCTTCCCAATAAATCTGGGAGTATACGCCATTTTATAATCTAACTATGTCTTATTGTCCAAAATAACATTACCAAACCCTGACATTTAGTTTCAAAAGTAAATTCAGCAATAAAATTGGATCCCAGACTTTAAGGAGACTATGTATGTCAGTGTTACATCTATTGCATCTAATATAGGACCCTAGCTGTGAAGGCCTTTAAGAATAGTATAATTTTATGGAAGCATGCCTTTTTTGGCTTGTAAAGACTACCCTCTTGACTTTCAGAAACTAAGTCATCACCTTCACGTATAATTAAATCAAAGATGCAAATTCTCACCTAAAATTTACTCATACATATTTTAGAAACCCATAGAACTTTAATTTCTTTTTTTCTATACGGCAACCCAAATCCTTATGAATGCGATAAGGTAATAAGAAAGATGTCTTAAAGAAAAAACAGAATAACTGTTACTTATGGGGGCCAGACAATCAGCTGTTTTTTACTTAAGGGTACATCTTTTAAAAAAAAAAAAGAGAGAGAGAGAGAGATGGACACATTCTTCAAATTAAGCCTATTTAAAAGTGCATTTTAAAAAGTGCACAGGCTTAGGAGGGAAGAGAATTCTACCAGCACTGAATAGCAGCTAAACCCTTACAAGACTTCTGCCACTTTTAAGCCTCCATCTTAAACCCAGAGAAAATGATTAATGGTCTCAAACGGTTAAAAACAGACCAAGCACATCTCTGCTTCTTTTACCATTCTTTCTACTGTCCCCCATAGCTTCTCCCCCATTTCCATTAGTGAAAGAACGAACTAAAAAAAATGTGATTTCAAGGAAAGGTCACTACAAATAGATTTATGGTATTCCTCTCAAATAGGGACGATTCTGTTACTTTAAAAAGCACTAATCAAACACCAGAATTGAGTCCAAATACTTTACCGGGACACCCACGGGAAAAATGCCCAACCATTTTTCCATCATGGCACACATGGACGGTGATAACACTGTATTTGTAGGCACGCTGAAGATAAAAGAGAAGAATGGCTGCTGCTTGAGGCCACCTGGCCAGGACTGCTGGCAACCCCAGGCCACACTTGATGTCCAAGAGAGAGGAATCAGTATCTTCACCTTCCTGAAGCTCCAGTTCCAGCTCAGTCAGAACTGCCTTTTCCACAGCCATTTAGGATTAACTGCAATAATACTCAGTGCTCTCAGCAATTGTTACTTTCAAATCTAGGCTCTACTAAACACAAGCTAGGTGCCTAGCCTCTGGCAAATAACTTCAATTTACCTTAATAAAGTATGGGAAAACTACCTGTCTTGCAGAAGTGTTGTGGAGATTAGAAATAATTTAAGTAAAGCTCTTATCACAGTGCTCGGCAGGCAATCAACACATGAGAACTCTTATTACCAAGAGGGTTGCTGAATTAAAGAAGGAAAATCTAACCTCTGTATAGTGGTAATGTCACTGAGGTAAGAAATTGCTGGCTTCCCTCTCCTTAGTGTCTAAGAGTTAAAATATTTTATAAAACAATGAAAATCATAAACTGTCTCCTTCAAAATCATAGTCTTTTTCCTCATTAACATTCACAGCCTCTTATTCCAGTATTTTAAAAGTAATTGTCCTTGCCACTCATCTACTAAAGAATACAAATGCATATTACACTGATATGCATATCTACAAGAATTGACACTGGTACATGTATTTATGTTCTGTAGAAGCTAAGCTTGGAAAAACAGTGCAGGACCACCACCACATACTTGGAGAGGAGAGAAAACGTCAGCACTTTCTTCTTATTTGAACCTCCCTAATGTGAAAATAATCCAACCATCTACAGACAAAAATATTCCCTCACAAATGGTAGACAAGATTCTTTTCTATAATTAGCCCTTTCTTCCTTTGGAAAGCCCTGTGAAGAAAGTGTTGTAATGAAGTACTGCTTCAAAATAAATGATCCATATTATTGCACACTCAGCAAACACACTAGAGAACAGCATCTGGATCTTGGAAAATAAATGTAAAAGAGGCTATTGGTAAATCATGCCAAGGTCACATCAGGATTTCAGAGGATTGCGTGTATTCATGGGAAGAATGAACCACTATAAGCATTCTGGGAAGCACCACGTTATCCAAACAATGGTAACTCCTAATTTCCTCTTTTTCATTAAGATAGGGTACAGTTATCAACCCCAAACATAAACTTGATGTGTATCACCAGGCAGTCTCTTCCTACTAACTCTGAATATGCTCAAGTAGTAAGCATTTAACACTAGAATACAAGTTATAATGCCCAGCACAATTTTAATATAATTTTAACCTTTCAGAGGAGGATAGTTTTGGAAGGCAAAGAACTCTGACTGCTGAAGAATGAAACACGAAGTAAAGTCTGTAAGTGGCAAGAACCTAAAACAAAACAAACAGCCTAGCCCAACAAAAATAAGCAACTCCTGGATGGTGACTGTGAGATAACCTATACACTCATTCATTCAGTGCAGAAATGTGTGAACAGCTTCTATGTTCAAGGCATACTGCATAGAAACAGTCATAAGTAGGACATGGCTCCTGCCCTAAAGAAATCCAAGGTCAAAAAACGGTGTTGTCAGATAATACTTCACAATAATAGTGTATTATTTTAATACAGGAGTCGGTTTAGAATAATATTGTATTACCAGAGACAGAAAAACATGAGCTAATAAGACACACTGAAATACATTAATAAACATACTGTAAGAGTTTACCAATGAAATCTGTTATCCAATTTCTGGAATATGATTAAAGTTGCAATTTACTTTCTGGAAAAGAATTAACTTATGATACATGTTTTATAAAGGTTGTTCCCCCCCCACACCACACAATTTGTAAATTAGGTGCTTTTCAGCTTGACACGTAGGGCGTGGCACGGGACTTCTCACACTACCTCAGCCACACTTGGATGAGCTCTTACAAGTCTGGACATTCAGGTTTCCGAGCACAGGCCAGTTAACTCCCTAATTCTCCCTAAATCCTGAAACAACACTGCCACCCCTGTGTGCCGTCACCCCCGTCTACTTAAACACATATATCCAGGCTAAAGCATGCCAATCACATCTTCCACTTCTGGAAATCTTTCAGAAACGAACCACAGAGGAAACACCTCTCTCCCAAAATGTATTCTCTTCCTCATATTAGAAGCTAGATTACCTGAAAATGGGCTAAAGCTGTGCAAGCGCCCAAGGCCAGGTATTCAGTTCAGTGCGGAGAGTCTAATGACTTTAAGTCTGAAAAACCATTCCTTTAACTGGCAAAAAAAAAAAAAAACACAAACAAACAAAACAAACAAACAAAAAACCCTGGCGGAGATGCTTAAAAAGCAGCGGCTCTAGCACAGGCAAGGAGTGGAAAGAAAGGGAAGGAGGGGAGAGGGGTGGAGTGAGGCGCGGGGACTGCGGCGGCAGCGGGTTGCCCCAGGTCGCGGGCACCGCCCGGGCGGGAACTTGGGCGCCGTGGACGAAAGGTGCGGGGTGACCTTCGGACGAGGCCAACTGAGACCGGCTGCCGGGCGCAGGGGACCTCTCCGCAGCCGCTCACTCTCGGGGGCTCACTCGCCCCACAGCGGCGAACGCGGTGCCCCGGATTCCAGCCGGGCTCATCTCGCAGCTCGTCCCCGGGCAGAACGTGGGATGTGCAATCTCGGCAGCCCGAACCCGCGTCAGGGCCTCGGCCCGCCGCCGCCCGGACACACCCCCGCCGCCGCCCGGGTGGCCCCAGTCCCTCCCCGGGCGGCCCGAGCGGGCATCGCTCACCTGCACCGCGAGCCAGTCCGCCGCCCCGAGGGCTCCGGAAGCCGCGGCTGCGTGGCTCCGGCCGGAGGGTACTCGGTCCTTGTCGCCTGGAAGGCCCCGCGCCGGGAGCGGTCGAAGGAGGAGTCTGACGGGTGGCGGGGGAGCCTGGGCGGCTGGAGGAGGAGGAGGAGGAGGAGGAGAAGGAGGAGGAGGACTCCGACGCTTTGCTCTGGGGAGATCCACCCTCCTCCTGGCGGCTCTGCAGCAGCCGCCACAGATCACTTCCGGGGCGCTGGGGAGCGGGGCGGGGCAGCTGGGGAGCGACTTCCTGTCCGTGGGCTGAGAGGAGGGTGATCATGGGCCTGGGCCGCAGAACAGTGGCTCGGAGGGCGCAGGCTGCCCGGCCTCCGCCCCCTGCAAGCTGAGGGCTGTCCGCGCTGTCTTTCCGACGGCCCCACCCCCGGCTCTCTGAGCTCCGCGAGGTGAAGTCATCTCCCGGGGGCTCGGGAGTGGCCGCGGGCCTCGCGGAGGTTCCCGGATCTCGGCGTCGTTGCCGCGGTGTCCTTGTCTTTCTTTTGGGGACCAGGAGGGGGTTCTTGGGGGAAGGAGGGGAGAGCGGAGGCCGCCATCTTGCTTCTAGAGGGTCAGCTCATGTTCCCTGGGCGTCTCAGGGTTGAGGCCGCTCGTGTGGCGTGGCCGGGGGTATTCAGAGCGGAGCTGGCGACGTGGCTTGTCACGGGCCAAATCCCAGGAGGCGGGTCAGCCGCCTACCCTGGCTGGAGGGTCTCGTGGCTGCCCTGGGCCTCATCTAACTGCTGATCCCCTGGAGAATTCGCTTTCTCGGACGGTCTGCGAGTTCTTTCTGAGGGGTGTCGGACCCCCCTGCGACTCTGCAGGTGTCGGTGTGGCACTGAGATCATCTTGCGGCCCCATGGCACTGTGATTTGGTAGCTTGTGAGAAGTAGTTTCACTAAATCCGTAAATTTAAGTTAGCAGCTACAGATTCTTATGTCTTGACATTTATTCGCTTATCTCTCTTTGCTCCCCACAAATTGAGTACCAACTATATTCCTGGTATGAGCCATTCAAGGAATGTCCAGTCTAGTGGGCAGACATACATGAAAGCAAATCATTGCTATTGGAAGTATGGTTTATCAAGATGTACAGCGTGAAGAATGGATAGCTTTACTAACGTAGGTTAGAGTTTTAAAGATAAATAGGCATTTTCTACTACAAAAATAGGGGTGGGATGGCAAATCCGGATCCGAACAGAAAGGAGATGCAGCACGGGGACAAATAATTTGTTGAGAAGAATGAGTAATAATTACAGGTCTTGAAGTTCAAACTTAGGTTGCTGAAGAAGATGAGGCTGGAGAAGAAAACAGGAGCCAAATCACGAATCGTCTATGCCTTGGTGAGGCAATGAGTGGACAGATTACAATTTAAGCTATTCTTCTGTTGGTAGAGAACAGATAACTTGGGGGGGTGGAGGTGGGGGGGCAGAGAAGGATAAGCAGAGAGCCCACAAGGGGGCCATTGCAGAAGCCAGTAAGAGAAAACTTAAGGACCCTGTGTGAATGGTAGTGAGCATCCAAAGGAGATGGATTCCTAAAATATTCAAGAGGCCATATCAACTGGTAATTGGTTGCTAGGGGCAGCTGCCAGATAGGAGAATGGAAGAGGCAATGATGATGCCTTGTTTTGCTTTGAGGGAGGGGCAGGATAAGGGTGTATTTTACTAAATAAGATAAGGAAGAGTTAGGATGAGTCCTGGGAGGGGACATTTTTGCAGAAAAAAAATGAGTTCAGTTTTGGAGTTGATGAGTGAAGTAAGAGTGGTGCTGTCTAATGGTGGTTGCTATATGGGTCTAGAGCTCTAGGGAGGAGCTGGGCTGAAGTTGGAAACACCACAGGTTTAGATGACCATAACCAAGCTGACTGCAGTCTTACGTCATTGAGCACAGTTTCAAAACCACTTCTCCTTTCTCCCTGCCTTTACTTGGGAAAATTACTGAAATACTGCATTAAAAAACCCAATATGGTGATATGTGTCCATCCATAGACCAATATTCTAATGTTTAATGGTCTTCTAAGGACCCTAAAGGTCAGGTTTAGCAGAAACTGGATGTAACAGTGGTAACTATTAATAGTATAGCATCATTAACTCATAAAATGAAATATTATCTATGTTTATATTTTAATATTTTAATTTTTTTCTTTTTTATTCTGTAGGAATTGCTCCATTCCAATAAAAATATTTTAAATTTAATCATTGACAACAGTTAAGCTGGCCATAGGCTGAGGATTGAGGATGGTGGGTTGCACAAATATCTGCTGAATGGAGAGCTAGAAGGAGGATGACTTCAAGAAGAGTCAGCAATAGGAACGCAATGAAAGACAACCTCAAATTCATTAGTCAGCCTGTCTCAGCTGCTTTTTGGTGGCTCACAGCTATGCTAACCTAGCATAAAGCAGTGAGAAATAGAATACTTCATTTTGAGCAGAGCTTCAGAAAACCACAAATAGTAAAAGCCCTATAAATAATAGCTACAGCTGCAAACCAAAGACTAATTATTAGTTTTTAACTCTATATCCCTGTAGAGCAGCATTTTTGAACACACAAAAAAAGAGAAACGCGTTCACTTACGTCTTAGATTATTTAAATACAGTATTCTCAATTTGTCTAGGATAAAAAAGCATTTAGGTGTATTGAACAACCATATAATGGATAATATACTGAACAGGAAATGAGAATAATTAGCTTGAGTCCCTTTTTTGTCAGTTGTTCACCGTATGACCCTAGCAATGTTACTTAACCTCTCTATGCCCTAGTTTCTCTGACTGTAAAATAGAGATAATAATAACTTTCTATCAGCCGCCTCTCAAAGATATTATAGGAAATAACAAATTAATGCTATGAAAGCTCTTTGAGGTACTTGGATGAAAGGGCATAATTGTAAGTACATATTATTAGTAATTAGCACTAATATCCAGTAGCACCCATGAGCATTCCTGACTTTGCTGCCTGGATTACTCAAAGAACATGAAGGATCCTGTTTTGAAATACACTTAGATCTTTTTTCTTAACTTGTGAATTGACTTTACTATTTATGATCAAACCTTGTGTATTAACAAATATAGTTAATGAAAGAGGGAAGTAAAAAGAAGTTTTGGTAACCACAACTTTTATATTCATGCTACTCATAGCTAATATATGCTTTGGGGGAAAATACAGGGTAGATAGGGATTTGCCAGAAGCATGTTTTAGAATTAATGATTAGTCTACTCCAGTCAGTTAACTGGAATTTTGTATTAAAAACATTATTCATGTCCCCATAGAATAATGCAGTCCCTATAGAATTTATAGACAGTTACATGTTTGACACAATTAAGTTGAACATTCCTGTGAAACTCTGTCATTCTCATCACTGTTTAATCACAAACATGTAATGAAATATATAGACTTGTGAAGTTTTGTCCAATGTCTATCCCTAAAGTAGATGAGAATTTTTTCCATTAAATTGGTGACTTCAGTATTTCCTTTAGAGAGGTGTATGCATAATGTAAACATTTAAATGTATTCATGACTACATAATGTGCATGTTTATTTTTATACACTTGCTTATATACCAATTTATAAAATTATCATATAATGTATATTAACTATACATCTGGGAACAGCAATGACAAACAAGGCTTCTTTGTGTTTTAGGGCCAGATAAGAAAGTAATTGGTTAATAGCCATTTGTCACCACTGGTGAAAAATCAACTCAAAATCATGTTTTATTATTTATTAGAGTTATGAGCATTATCTATAAGATTCATGACACCATGACTTGGTGTGGTGGCTCACACCTGTAATCCCAGCATTTTGGGAGGCCGAGGCATGTGGATCGCTTGAATACAGGAGTTAAAGACTAGCTTGGACAGCATAGGGAGCCCTCATCTCTATTAAAAAAAAAAATTAAAAAAAAACAACACTAGGCAGGCATAGTGGCATTCACCTGTGGTCCCAGTTACTCAGTAGGCTGAGGTGGATCCCTTGAACCCAGGAGGTCGAGGCTACAGTGCCTGTGATCATTACACTGTACTGCAGCCTGGGCAACAAAATGAAACCCTGTCTCAAAAAAGAAAAAAAATTCCGTGACACCTTGACATTTGTACTATTTCATTTTGTTTTCACAATTTTGTGAGATACAAATTGTTGAAAGAAATAGGCTCAGAGTGCTGAAAGACTAGCGCTCTGAGACTAGTTTTTAAAGACTTAAAAATTCACTACAGTTGTCAAGTAACATACCCAAACACACATTTTGAGATTCTCAAAATATATTGTTTCTTTTAGTACTTTATACCAGGGTCACCAGCTTGATATGACAGTCCAGAATGTATTTATAATATGGACATTTCTGGCTTATTATTGATTGCCTGCAGCATCTCCAAAATTCAGCCAAACTTAACGTTTTTAAAACTGAAAACTACAATTCTTATGTTTATGGCTGTATCTTTACCAGCTTGAAGACAGGTACATTGTTTTATTCATTTTTGTATCCTTCATGGTGCCCAAAATAAGTACTCAGAAAATATTTTGGGGATGAGTAAAATGTATATTGTGATGTTTAGTTGAATTAGCGGGAAAAAAGCTGATACAATCACCTCAGAAACTTTTTTAGGAGGTCGTACACATTTTCAGCACATTCATGTGAAGATAGTTTATTTGGGTTTGTACTTTAAATTGGTGGAACCATTGCCTCAATTTCCCACTTCATTTTTAATGACGTCATGCCTTGGAGAGATAGGCTTAAGTAGGTGATGCAGATGACAGTCACCTGTATGATATGCCTCTGGATATGTTTGTTGGGCTTAGATAGTCCGGATGACCCACAACAAAAGGGTCATCTAGAATATCTAAACACAGCTTTAATGAGAATGTGTAAAGAGTGGGGTTATGAGAGTTTGGGTCTTCATAATTCTCCCCTTCATGCCGACGACCCTTGTGGACCACATATTTCTATACTTTTCTGTCAAGGGATTAGAGGATAAGACTACTCTATCAGTGGTTCCCAAATGTGACTGCTTATCACAATCACCTGTGTAGTTTCAAAGGCAATTCAGATTCTCAAGTCCCACTCTAAACAGAAAATATTTAGATTTAGGATTAGAAAATACTGGGTGAAGTCCAAGGCATCTGTAACTGTAATAACACTCTCCCTTGAATTCCAATGATCAGTCAGGTTTGGGAAGTTCTGGTTTCAATAACTTGTTCAAGGTCACACAGAACCCTAAATAGAGCCAGAAACTAACTCAAATCTTTTGAGTCCAAGTTAAATATATTTTCATTGGACTCCTGCTGTCCATTTACTGACAATATATGATGGGGTAGGATGAAGAGGTGGGGAGAAAAGTAGCAATTTTAGTTTTTTCATTTTTATTTTTTACCATATTCTATGACATGGTTTTAAGATTAAATGAGCTAACATCCATAGAGTGCTTAGAACAGTATCTGGCACATGGTAATTAGGTGTAACGGTTCAACGAATAAGTCTCCATTGTCCAGTCATGGCATTCACTTTGCCTGGGGTTACATTAGGTAACATTTTATTGGATATCGACTTTTTCTATGAAGAAAAAAATGTATGTAAATAAAGGTGGAATCTTTAGCCTTTATTTGTCATGGAAGCCCTGAATTTGTATAGCTGAAAATATTTCTATATTGTTTCTTTTCATCTTTTCTGATATATTAAGAAAATGTTAATGATATACTTATTAAATAAAATTGTGGATGTATAGCTGTGTAGTATTTTTATATTATCTAATTTAGCATATAAGATAAGGTATTTTACATTGTCTTCCTATCACTGAACTAGCTCCAAAATTGATTCTTATTGGTATGTAATTAAGCATTTAGTTTTTAGAAGTTATTGTTTGGATTGATCTTCCAGATGAAATATTTCCCCTTAACGAGGTAATAGATATACGTGGCTCTATTTTATTCCCTTATTTCTCTGCAAGTTTTTCAGTTTTTCAATCTTGAACAACTTTTTACACTTGTTAATTATAAATAAAATTATGCATTTTCATTACTAGTAAGGGAAGAACCCAATTTAATACTTTAAAATGCTCTTTGATACATTTGGACAAAGTCTGTGAAAATATGCCTTTGGTCAGTCCCTGTCACTATGAAAATTGACATCCATTTTTGTTTTTATTCAGTTTTATAAGTTATATTATTTTTGAGGGATTACCCTATACCCAGCATCAATTTCTAGTGGCTCCTGTAATCCCAGCACTTTGGGAGGCTGAGGCAGGAGAATGGCGTGAACCCGGGAGGCGGAGCTCGCAGTGAGCCGTGATCGCGCCACTGCTCTCCAGCCTGGGCAACAAAGCGAGACTCCATCTCAAAAAAAAAAAAAAAAAAAAAAAAAAAAAAAAAAAAAAAAAAAAAAACCAATTATTGTATTATAAATGAATTGATTTATCCTGGAAAAAGGTAGAAGTAGTGATAGACCAGAACAGAAGATATTTATAACCTCAGGAGGTATATGGCAGGTAGAGTAGATCAGACTAATGGAGAAGCTAGAAAAAGAATCAGATATCATCAGTGATGAAGCTCCTAACTATTTGAATCCAGAGTCAGCCAAGGAAATGGGGTTAAATTACCACTTGTGAAATATTTGCAGTATTTCAGACATTGTATAAGGCACTTACCAAAACAAGAAATGGCTGGCTAGGTCCCATGAATCTAGGTAGTTTGAGTCTTGAGAGTCAGAGAAAATAGTAATAGTAAACAGGATATTTATATTACTCTATATTTCTACACTTATATACTTTATTATAAGAATTCAATTAATAATAACATGAGTGTGTGTTAGTTACTACTTATAATCAAATTAACAAGTTTTGAACTATACTCATTCCTTCCTCCATTCTTTTTACAATAGAGGCCATCATTCAATGCGTATTCTAGGTCTTGGCTACTCCTGTCTAGTTGGGACCTTGGTCCATCAATTATTCTCTTTCTGTTGTGTCTTCAGCCTCTCACTCTTTACTGGTTTCTTGCCATTAGCATTCTCATTTGTTAAAGTGTCTTCTTCATGCATATCCTCCTTCTAGCTTCTGCTCAAATTATCCTTTCCCCTAAGGAGAATTTTTGAGAAAATTGTCTATGCTTGCTTATCACCAATTCCTCACCTCCAAGTTACCCTCAACCATATATTAGACTTTTACCCCCAATACTGCTGTGAAACTACTCTTGATAAACTTACCAACATCATTCCTATTATGAGATATATCTTAGTTGTTAATGTTTCAATAGTATTTGAAGCTATTGACCATTTTTTCCTTTCTGAAACAATCTTTTCTCTTGGCTTCTGTGATACCATGCCTAACTGTTTCATTGTCCTTTGCATGCTCTGTCTTTGCTTAAATATTGCCACTCCAAGGAATTGTAAGGCTCTTATCAATGTAGTCTAGTCTCCACATTCTTTTTGGATGATCTCATCTACACCCATGGTTTTATACACCCATGGCTTTACTTTCTGTATATTGGTGACTTCTAGCTGTGAGCTCACTCCTAAGCTTGAAACCTATATATTTAATTCCCTATCTGATATCTCTTTGAGTGTTTTGTAGGTACCCAGCTCGAACTAGGCATGTCCAAACTGACTGATGATAGCCAAATGATCAAAGCCAGAAATCTAAATATTTGCTTTGAATTTTCTCTCTACTTCTTACACATCCACTCATTTACCAGGATATGCTAAATCTTCCTCCTCATTATATCTCAAAATCATTCATTTCACTCTGCTTCTATCACCACGTCCCTAATCCAAGCCATTATTACCTCCTTACTATTATTGTAGTATAGATTCAATGGGTTCAGACTTTTCCTGCTCTAAACGCAGTCTTCACTGTGCAGCCATCATGATCTGGGAGGCAAATACAACTTCTCTGCCTAAACTACTTTAATACTTCCATTAATCTTAGGATGATCTGGAATGGCTTGTTTGTCTTTCTTACTAGGAGGGCAAGAACTCTGTTTCATGTACTGTTATCACCCCCATATTGATTGGCTCAATATTGATTCTTTTAAGATGAATCATGGGAAAATATTATGAAGGAAAGTGCCCTGTGTGTTAATCAAGATAAGCTAGGTTATATTGCAGTAGCAGAAAACTTCAAAATCTCAGTGGCTTACCATCACAAAAGCTTATTGCTTGCTCATGCTACATGTACAGTTTGCTAGGATTCTCTCCTTTTCACTGTTACCTAAGAACCTACCTGTTGGAGGCACCAAGTGACATGTGTTTTCACAGTCACTGCAGGTGACTGCCAGGTGCATAGAACATGGCAAATCTTGCACTGGCTGTTAAAGTGACATACTTGCACTCATAATTCATTGACAAAGCAAGCCACATGTCATGCCTATTCAAAGTGGATAATCAAACCATATATCTGAAAGGAAAGGGAAACATAAACATTTGTATGTAACCCAATGATATCATACCCTCTTAGTTGAGACTCTTTTGCTTGCAGATGACATAAAACCAGCTCAGTCTAGCTAAGGGATGATGAGAAAAATATCCCTTCAAATTTAAAAAGGGAATG